>NC_000023.11:93087542-93712542 GCF_000001405.40 Homo sapiens
ACAGTGACCTTCTTTGCCTCTTTCTATAATTTTTCATCTTGAAATCTATTTTGATTAATATAAGTATAGTGAATCTTGGTCTTTTTTGGTTTCCATTTACATGGAATATCTTTTCTCTGTGTCTTTATTTTTAGTCCATGTGTATCTTTATAGGTGAAGTGTGTTTTTGTAGGCAACAGATAAATAGGTCTTTTTTAAAAAAATCTGTTCAGCTACTAATATTGTTTGGGTTTCTGTCCCTGCTGAAATCTCATGTCGAGTTGTAACCCCAGTGTTGGAGGAGGGGCCTTGTAAGAGGTGATTGAATCATGGGGGTGGACTTTCCCCTTGGTGTTCCTATGATAGTGATTTCTCATGAAATCTGATTGTTTAAAAGTGTGTATCACCTGCCCCTTCTCTCTTTTCCTCCTGCTCTGGCCACATGAAGACAGGCCTCCTTTCTCTTCGCCTTCCACCATGATTGTAAGTTTCCTGAGGCCTCTCAGTCATGCTTTCTGTACAGCCTGCAGAACAGTGAGCCAGTCAAACCTTTATTCTTTATAAATTACCCAGTCTTGGGTAATAATTTATAGTAGTGCAAGTATGGACTAATATAAACAATTGGTACCAGGAGTATGGTATTGATATAAAGATAACTGAAACTGTGGGATCAGCTTTGCAACTGGTTAATGGGCAGAGGTTGGAACAGTTTGTAGGGTTCAGAAGAAGACAAAAATATGAGGCAAAGTTTGAAACTTCCTAGAAACTTGTTAAATTGTTGTGACCAAAATGCTGACAGTGATATGGACAATGAAGTCCAGGCTAAGGTGGTTGTCTCAGATTGAGATGAGGAACTTATTGGGAACTAGAGTAAAAGTCACTCTTAGACTTTAGCAAAGAGACTCAGGCATGGAGGCCTAGGAGGGAAGAATGGTTTTGTGGGCCAGGCCCAGAACCCCACTGCTTTCTGCAGCCTTGGGACATGGTGCCCTGAACCACAGCTGCTCCAGCTCCAGCTGTGGCTGACAGGGGCCAAGATACAGTTTGGACTATTGCTTCAGAGGGTGCAAGCCCCAAGATTTGGCAGCTTCCAGGGGGTATTAATTCTGCAGGTGCACAGAGGGCAAGAGTTGAGGCTTGGGAGCCTCTGTCTAGATTTCAGAAACTTTTGAGTTAATGTTGAAATGAGGTAAGACTGGGGAACTGTTGAGAATAGACAATTATATTTTTTAATAAGAGAAAGACATCAGATTTTGGAGGTGCCAAAATTACAAATTACAGTCATAAATTATAAATTTCCGAGTCTCAGGTACTTCTTTATATCATTGCAAGAACAAAATAATACAGCTACTATATGTCTTCTGAGAGGGGAGTTCAGTCCATTTACATTCAATATTATTATTGGAAAGACTTACTCCTGCTATTTTGCTATTTGTTTTCTAGTTTTATTGTACTCTTCTCTTCCTTTTCAAAATTTATTTCTGAACTTCTTTATTGAAGGTGATTTTCTATGGTGATATAATTTAGTTTCTTGCCTTTTATTTTTTGTGTATCTGTTGTATGTTTTTTGGTTTGAGATTACCACAGGGCTTGCAAATACTCTCTTATAACCCATCATTTTAACCTGATAATAACTTTTAATTTTTTGCATAAACAAACAAACAAAAATGAAAAGGGAATTGAATAAAAGTTCTATGCCTTAATTTTGTTCCCTTGCTTTTTAACATTTTGTTGTTTCTCTTTATATCTTAACGTACCAACTACATCTTTAAAAGTTTTTGTAATTACTGTTTTTGATTGGTTCCTCATTTAGTCTTTCTACTTAGGGTAAGAGTAGTTTATAAACCACAGTTACAGTGTTGTACTATTCTGCATTTCCTGTGTACTTGCTATTACCAGTGAGTTTTATACTTTTAGATGATTGCTTATTGCTCATTTCATCCTTTGTTTTCTGATTGAAGTCCTCCCTTTAGCATCCCTTGTAGGACAGGTCTGGTGTTGAAGAAATTCCTCATCATCTTTTGTCTTGGAAAGTCTGTTTCTCTTTCACATGTGAAAGATATTTTTTGCCAGATATACTATTCTAGGGTAATAGGGTTCTTTTTCTTCAGCACTTTATACATGTCATGCCACTCTTGTCTGGCCTGTAAAGTTTCTACCGATAAGTCTGCCACCAGATGGAGCTTGATTATTAAATGCCTTCAGGTAAATCTGCTTGGTCTTCTATAATCTTCTGTTCATGGATATTGATATCTTTCTCTAGGTTTGGGAAGTTCCCCGTTATCCCTTTGAGCAAACTTTCTTCCCCTATCTCTTTCTCTAACTCCTTTTGAAGACCAATAACTCTTAGATTTGACCTTTTGAGGCTATTTTCTAGTTCCTGTTGGCAGGCTTTATTGTTTTTTTCTCTAATGATTGCATATTTTTAAATAGCCTCTCTTAAAATTCATTATTTATTTCTCCTGTTGATTAATTTTACTATTAAAGAACTCTGATGCATTGTTCAGTATGCCAATTGCACTTTTCAACTACAGAATTTCTGCTTGATTTTTTAAAAAATTATTTCAATCTCTTTGTTCAGTTTATCCAACAAAATTATGAAATCTTTCTTTGTCTAATCTTGTATGTATTTTAGTTTCTTCAAAACAGCTATTTTGAATTCTCTGTCTGAAGGTTTACATGTCTCTATCTCTCCAGGATTAGTTCGTGGTGCCTTATTTGGTTCATTTAGTAAGGTCATCTTTTCCTGAATGGCATTGATGCTAGTAGATGTTCTTCAGTGTCTGAGCATTGGGTAGTTAGGTGTTTATTATTATCTTCCCTTTCTGTGTTTATTTGTACTCGTTCTTCTTGGGAAGGCCTTCCAGGTTTTTGAAAGAATTTCGGTGGTATGATCTAAGCTGTATCTGCATTAGGGAGCACCCTAAGTCCAGTAATGCTGTGGTTTTTACAGGCTCATAGACTTAACACTTTGACGGTCTTGGCAAAGATCCAGGATAATGCTCTGGATTACCAGGCAGAGACTCTTATTCTCTTTCCAGACTTTCTCCTGAACCATAGAGTCTCTCTCTATGTTCTGAGCTACCTAAATCTGGGATGACAGAAGCTCCTCTGTGTCCATCACCACTATGAATGCACTGGGTCAGACCCAAAGCCCCACACAGCACTGGGTCTTGCCCAAGGATTTCTATAACCACTCCTTGGTTATTGCCTATGTTTATTCAAGGTTCTGGGGCTTTACATTTAGCTGGTGGCAAAAGCCACCCAGGCCTGTGTTTTTTTCTTCAGGGCAGTGAGTTTCCCTAGGCTCTGGGTGGGTTCAAATGTGCTTCTGTAAGTCAGGAACTAGAGTCAGAAACATTAGCTGTTTACCTGGTATTTTACTGTACTATGTGTGAGCTGGTACTCAAACCACAGGATGCAGTTCTTTCCACTCTTCCCTCCCCTATCCAAAGGCAGAGGCGCTACACCCCATAGTTGCCACCACCCCAGGCTACAAGGAGTACTGCTAGACTTACACTGATGTCCCTTAAAAGCCCAAGGGCTCTAAAGTCAGCTTGGAGTGAATGCTGCCTGGCCTGGGACTCACCTTTCAGGGCAGTGGTCTCCCCTCTGGCCTTATATGCAAGTCCAGAAATGCCAGCCAAGAGTCAAGTCCTGGAGTCAGGGACTTCAAGAGCTCGCTTGGTGCTCTATCCTCCTGTGGTGGTGTTGGTATCTAAGGTGCAAGACAAAGTCCCCTTTACTTTTCCCCTTGCTTTTCTCAAGCTGAAGGAGTTTTGCCTTATAGCCACTACAGCTAGTAATGTGCTGAGTCTCACCTGAAGCCAACAGGTCTCAGAGGCACACCCAATGCCCTCGATGTAGTACCTGGGTATAGCTGTTGGTTGTTTAGAACCCAAGGTCTCCTCAGTTATGAATGCTGCCTGAAGTGGATAATTTTTTTCAAATGCAGTGTGTTCTCCTCTGGCCCAGGGTTTTATAGAAACATCATCTAGGATCTAGCGTTTGGAACAGGGGCCTCACAACACTGACTGGTGCCCTATCCTGTTGTGGCTGAGCTGGTATCCAAGATGCAAAACAAAGTTATTCTTACTCTTCCCTCTTGCATCCTCAAGCAGAAGGAAAGGGCCTCTTTCAGAGCTGTGAGCTGTGTAGCCTGGGGTTACGGGAGGAGTGATGCCAGCACTCCCTTAATCATTCCAGCTTTTTATTCAGTAGGTCATGTGTCCCCCTAGACCACTATCTTTGGGTCCAGTTCAGCACTAGGACTCATCTAAGAGGTCTAAGAGTTGCAGTCCTTGTGGTCTGTGCTGCCTTTCAAGTTTACTTGGAGGCAAAGGACACTGTAGCCCTTGGTGGTAAGGTTTGTGGGAACTTGAGTTGGGGCCACTGGGATCAGTAATCCTTTCTGAATAGGGCCAGTTTAAATGCTGCCTTCATGGGCACCTGTCCACTGAGTTTAGTCTGGTTTTCCTTTCTGCTGTAACAGGAAAGCACCGAGTTTAATGCCTCAAAATTGCTGTGTTCTCTCTCCACCAGTGTCCAGAGAGCCTCTCCACTCCACACCACTCCTTCCAGGGGTGGGGAAGGTGTGGTGTCATTGATTCAAGACTGTTTTTTCTATGTCTCCAGACCCTCTTTCAACAATATGAAGTTAAAACCAGGTTCTATGGGTGCTCACCTAAGTTTTGGTTCTTATGATGATATTTTTTCTGTGTAGACAGCTGTTAACTTTGTGTCCTTGTGGTGGGAACAGTCAGTGGGGACTTCTATTCTGATATCTTGCTCTACCTCCTTTTGGATTCCACAATATTTTTTCTCAGTGAGCTTATGTCTTTGAATTTGAGCCCTTTGATTCTGAGGTTTAGACAAGTGGTCATGGTGAGGCCTAGGGACAGCATCCATGCCCCATTCTCCCTGACCCTGCTGTTCTTCCTAGCCATGCTGTGAGGGGTTGGATCTTCCAGGCATTGACTCCACTGTACTTTGTCCTGGGCTCTGCATCTATCTGGTACATGATTTAAATTTCTCATTTTCTAGGGTTTTCACTAAAAATGATCACTGAGAGTATATATATATATATGTGTGTGTGTGTGTGTGTGTGTGTGTGTGTGTGTGTGTGTTTCTGTGTGGTTTTTGGTTATATGGAT
This sequence comes from Homo sapiens, assembly GCF_000001405.40. Taxonomy (NCBI): domain Eukaryota; kingdom Metazoa; phylum Chordata; class Mammalia; order Primates; family Hominidae; genus Homo; species Homo sapiens. Next base: position 93,092,675 of record NC_000023.11, read on the forward strand.
GAATTGTATAGCGGTGAAGTATATTATATATATATACTTCAATAAATATATTGAAAAAATATATATAGAGATATATAAAATGTAAAATGCCAGATATAACAGTCTGCATTCAAAGTATATAAGAAAAGTTGGGTGTGTTTTTGGTAAGAAAGTTTACAAAAAGGCATGAAAATGTACTTTTTTGTTAAAAGGAAAGTAACTTTTCCTTGTTTACAGATTTTTAAAAGTTGTTTACATTGAAGTAATAAAAGTAAACAAACAATGCATATAGAAAGCTGGGGAAAGAAAGAAAATGGGAAAAAGTGTAATAGGTTATAAAAGGGTGTATGGAAATTTGATTGTGCATGCTCGAAGCTGATTGAAATTGGATGAATCTATTTATAAAGTTCTATTAAAATTAGCTTTAGCATTAATAATACACTAATGAAAAGATAGAACTTGGTTTTCTCTTTTGAATAAGATTTTGGTGTAATCTTAATAAAAGATGGTAAAATATTTTTATCTATTAAATAAACTGCAAAAGAAAAGGGGAGAGAGTGAGATAGATTTTGATTGTTTGGGAAATTATTAATTTACAGTGACCTGTGATCTGATTTTGAGCAAGTGTTTTAAACTTTTGATATTTGATAAGCTCCAAAATCAAATTTGAAAGTCTTAATTAGGTCTTTTTTACCTAAAATTAACATTGTAGATTTTAGGGCTCCTGGATGTCCAAAAGAGATGTATTAGGTTTATATTGTATGTTAAAGTCATATGGGAAGCATTAACAAATAAAAAAATAGTGCTTAACTTATATAAGTGGGTTATTAATATGCATTTCAAAATTGTATGAGAGTCATACAATTCTATTATTTCTTAGTACATTTTATCAGAAATAATTATGATTATTATGTTAAATAATTGTATGCCACAGAAATAACCAAATTTCCTTGCCAACTGTGTCTTTAATCATGGATATTCTGAGTCTTTTCTCATACACAAGCAATTATTGTTTTATTTCATTGTTTTTAAAAAGCAGTTTATAATTGACTAAAGTCTGTAATTTGCGGCTTCTTCAAGGAAATTCATGGAAAGAACCCTGAAAAATACTCTTCAAGTTAGGTTCTGATAACTTTTGAGATCATACCACTGGATAGGGTAAAAACTTCCAGAACTCTAAAAAGTTGATGCTTTTATGAAGATTGCTAACCCAACATCTAGCAGAACAAGAGTTAATTACATGAGACTAAATTAATAGAGGACTGGAATAACATTGTTATGAGTTTTTTGATTGAAACATGCTGCTTATTTTTATATTTTGTTTTTCAGAGCCAAGAAACCTTTTTTCTTTTGAACTGTGTATAGCTAACAATTGGATAAAGTATACTTTTTGAGAAAAATTGATACATTTATCTTTCTTTTTATTTGATTTCTCCAAAATTTGGAAGCTATTTGGATTTTTAAATTTATGGCAATATAGTTATTTGAAGAAGTTTAGTAAGAGTATTTTTTCTTTTGTAAGAGTATAAAATTGTAGACACTGGTTACCAAGTCTTTGGTTAGAATGACACATTTTCAGATATGACCAAACATTTTTGAGGAAATGTGACTGAATTCATATAGCCAATGAAAAACTCCTTAGAAAGACTGGCTTCATATCTTGCCTACACAGTTCCCTTACAAAGTTTGTGATCTCACAGTAAGTAAAGTATGCCACTCTCTGATATGTCCAGGATATTCATTCAAGATATTTTGGGACCTTAAGAGAAAAGGAATCCATTCAATTTATACAGAGAATATAGGCACAATGTGATGTGATTGTGACTCTTTGACTTTACTTCCTACCTTGGAGGGTTTTAAAAATTTAACCTGTAAAGCTTTGCTTTAAAGTTCCAGGAAAACCAACTTTAAAGAGCTTATATGGCCAGTCACAATTTTATGCTAAAAATTAGGCCAAGTATATTAGAACTGAAATTTATTTTTCAAATAAATTGGTCCTCTTATGTTTTATTCTTGGTAGAATTGGGGAACTAGCGAGAGAAAAATTATATTTCAGGAAAACTCTATAGTACACCTGTTTGTAGACTTTTCCATTGTTTTTCAGTTTTTATTATTTTTCTACAATTTAGACTGAATCATGCATTCTTCTCTGGCTACAAGTCTCCAACTAATGTTTTCAAATTTTCCTTCAATTTTTTTGACATGTGATCACTAGAAAATCAAACTACATTTCTTAAAGCCCTGCAAAGTGAAGCTAGACAACTTGATATAAACATCACAAGAAATCACCACGACAACTGATATATAAACAGCCGTCATGCTGGCTGATATATCAACTACTCAGAAAGTTCAATTGAATATTTGCTTTGAGTTATTATCCAGAAAAATCTGTCAGCTTGCCACTGCAATCTGAACACGCTTCAGAGACTCTAGAAAAACAAGTCTATAGAGTACTCCGGACATTAACCTTTGTTTTTCTTGTTTCTATAGAAATGCTTCTTATTAAAGATCTGTTTTCTTGCATGATATATACAGGCCTAGTCCATCTGCAATAGCATCTCCTGGAGTGGGACACAGCTGCTGAAATAAACTGATCTATTCTCAGGACTAAGAGACTGATTAAGAATGATATACATATATATATAAATGTGCTGTTTTCTGCGTATCCTAATTTGGTTACTTTCTATTCCTTTGCCTTTTTTAATCTAATAAACTCTAACCAAAATATCTTCAATGCTATAAGCCTTACTTTAACATATAAAACTTCTTAAAGTTTTAAAGTGGAAGCTGAAAGAAAATCAAAATATTTTACCCCAAAACATATTTCTTTGATGTATTTTGAGACACCTGTTTAGAAATCCAGCAAAGAGAAGTAGAGAAGTAACCCTACAAAGTTGTCTTTTGTGGGGGCAGATTTGCATCTGTAGAGAATCTGCATTGTTGCAGCCAGATTTTCTCTGAGGCCTCCTTTTATCCAGATCTAGGAAAGATTTACTGAAAGTCTGACACTTTTATAGGTCTGAAAAAAACAGTTATCATGTATTCTTTCTGAGGTCTGCTACCTGTGAAGTTTCATCTGCATAACAAGACCACTTTTGCTAGCTAAGCCTCCTCTTCTCTACCTCCCATAACCTGTTTTGCCACCATAACCTGTTTTTTCAAATTCCAATCCCAATTCTTTCCGTAACATCAAGATGGTATTTAAGCTTCTGAACTCCAGGAGGGGATTAGGAGGTAATCACCCTGTGTTTCTCTCCCACATGCATATTAATAATTTTTATGCCCTTTCTCTAATTAATCAGACTTTTGCAAGTTGATTTTTTTCGTGGATCCTCGGAAGGCAAAGGAGAACTTTTTCTTTGACTTTTGTCCATTGTCAAACTGCTATAAAGAAATACCTGAGACTCAGTAATTTCTAAGAGAAGAATTTTAATTGGCTCATGGTTCTGCAGGCTGTACAGAAAGCATAACAGCTTCTGATTCTCAGGAAGCCTCAGAAAGCTCCCAATCACATGGCAAAAGGTAAAGCAGGAGTGAGCTCTCTTACATGGCTGGAGCAAGAGATAGAGAGAGAGGAGGGAGGTGCTACACACTTTAAAAAAAACAGATCTCATGAAAACTCACTTACTACTGCCAAGAAAATACCAACAGGGGTGGTGTTAAATCATTCCTGAAAAACTGCCCCCCATGATCTAATCACCTCACACCAGGCCCCCCACGCCTAACATTGGAAATTACAACTCAACATGAGATTTGGGCGGGGGCACAGATCCAAACCATATCAACCCCTATGTTAGATTTTACTACACCCTTGAACATTGCTACCCACAGTTATCAGAATAAACATATGATCTTTAGAGTCTGCTTGAGAATCATTCATTGCTTATGTGTACTTACTAAAAGCTCCTACGAAAAATTAAGAATTGACTGTTTTAGTTGTGGGGTAATGAAAAAAAAAAACTGAAGAAGGAAAATATCAGACTAGCTATTTTATGGTAGATCCCAGTTCATCTTTAGAAGATAATTTCTTAGCATGGACTAAATCATTCTATATATAAGAATTTATTGCTCTTACTAGAATCCCTTTATATAAAAAATGCCTAGACACAATGGCCAATCCAATAGCAATGAGCATTCTGAATCCCAGGACTGTGACATTTTAATACTATTTCTCATTTACTTAAACCAAACTTCCTGGATAAATGGTTGATTCAAGGTATAGAATAGAAAATATACAAGATAAATCTGGAGCCCATTGATATGCCAGAGAGCAATGAAGCTAACAAAGACTATGAAGATCATGTCAAAAGGACTCTAGTTCCAACTTAAATAGGTTCTTGTAGCCAAACAATATACAGTTCGAGCCTCAATAAAGATAAAAATTGAAACATATTGAGAACATCAAATACATGTAAATCCATGATTTTATAATGGCACGAAAAACAAGTGTTCACTTTTAAAAAGTGACAGAAGACTAATTATCTAAAAACTGTAAATAAGATTAAATAATCATACATTTAACCTACCTTTCCTACATAAACTGTACCACTAGTTAACAAATTATTAGATTAAAAGTATCTCTATATAAAATTATTCTAGGTTTAAAAGCAAACAATAATAAAATTAAAATATTGCCATTTTGAATGCCCCCAATGGATCTATGCATTGAAGATCAAAAGCTGCTCACATTTAAAAAAAGGTGAAAAACAGTCATATGCCTCCTGATGAAAGGACAAGACACCACCAATAGCCTTGTCACAGGGATTGCATCTGACTCTGATCACATTTTCTAATCCAGCTGCCATTTTGCAGAAAATGCAGAGGAACTTACTGAACTGTACTATGATTACCAAGCAGAAAGCCCACACTGTAAAAACATTTACAAGTCAAACATAAGTTTTTAAACAAATAAATTGTAAGAAAGAAAAGAATGAAGAGAGGAAATCTATTGATAAATGTGATGTAAAACTTATATCATTTTTTAAATGGGGAAGCTTAAAGCTATAGTGTCTAGGGTTGCACACGTGGGTAATAAAACCAAAAGACATGCAGGAAAGTGATTACTAAAATGTCAGAATGATGGTTACTTTTGGAAGGAAGAAAAAATTGTGATTGAGATGGGACCAATGGAAAGACTTCTAGCATAACGTGAAAAGTTCCTTTTCTTGACCTGTGTGGTGGGTATAATGGTATTCACTTTGTAGTAATTATCTAAGATCATGTTATCCCTGGGGAAAATAGTGATTAGTAGAAAGCATAAGTAGGAATTCTGGGATGCTGGCCTGTATTCTGCTTCTTGATCTAAATGCCAATTACATGAGTGTTTTCCATTTCTTATAATTCATTGACCTGTTTACTTACATGCACTTTTCTATATGTAAACTATATTTCATAAAGAAATTAAAAATGTCATTGGCATTCCATTAAACACTTCAGAGAGTAATGCTTCTTCCATTAGGTTCTTCTAATGAGAAATATTCTCACATTTTTAATTTCAATATACAATAATTTAAAAATTGGACCCTGATCATGGAACAAAAAAGCACTTATGCAAAAATAATCATAACACTGTCCATGGGGTCCAGAAACACAACAGGGGTAGGATTAAACCTTGGCACTTTTTTTTTTTTAACAGTAATCTGTTTTTCTTGGAGATAATCCATCCTAATTTTCAGAAATTTTTCAGCTTCACTCAGAAAGTTAATTGGGGCACCTCCGTTGAAATGGTTTGACTCTGTGTCCCCACCCAAATCTCATGTTGAATTGTAATTCCCAATGCTGGGGAAGGGACCTGGTGGTAGGTGATTTGATCATGGAGGTGGATTTTTCCATTGCTGTTCTTGTGACAGTGACTGAGTTCTCATGATATTTGATGGTTTAAAGTCTCTGGCACTTGCCCTTTCTTTCCCTCTGTCTCTCTCCTTCTGCCACGTGAAGATGTGTTTGCTACCCCTTCACACTTCTGCCATGATTGTAGGTTTCCTGAGGCTTCCCCAGCCATGCCTTTTGTAAATCCTGCGGAATTGTGAGTCAACTAAACCTCTTTTATTTATAAATTACCCAATCTCAGACAGTTTTTTATAGCTGTATGAGAATGGACTAATACAGAAAACTGGTACTGAGAGTGGGGTACTGCCCCTTTGTTTTGGCCAATTTGTCCCATTTGGAATAGGAGCATTTACACAATGCCTGTACCCTCATTGTATCTTGGAAGTAACTAACTTGTTTTTTATTTTACATGCTCATAGGCAGAAGGGACTTGTCTTGTCTCAGATGAGACTTTAGACTTGTACTTTTGAGTTAATGCTGGAATGAGTTAAGACTTTGGGTGGACTGTTGGGAAGTCATACCTGTGTTTTGAAATGTGAGAAGGACATGAGATTTGGGAGGAGTCAGGGTCACAATAATATGGTTTGGTTCTGTGTCCCTACCCAAATCTTATGTTGAATTGTATTGACCAATGTTGGGGGAAGAACTTGTGGGGAGGTGATTGGATCATGGGGGCAAATTTCCCCCTTGCTATTATTGTGATAGTGAGTGAGTTCCTGTGAGATCTAATTATTTAAAAGTCTGTGGCACTTCCCCCTTCTCTCTCTCTTTTGCTGCCATGTGAAGACCTGCTTGCTTCCTGTTTGCCCTTTCACCATGATTGTACATTTCCTGAGGCCTCCCCATCCATACCTTCTGTATAGCCTGTGGAACTGTGAGTCAATTAAACCTCTTTTCCTTATAAATTACCCAGTCTCAGGTAGTTCTTTATAGTAGTGGGAGAATGGAGTAATATACCTGTCATGTTAAACCATCTCTATATCTCCAGTACAATCTGTACCTAATCACGGTACTGGTTTTATGTGAAGATCAAGTTTGTTTTTGTTTACCACACATAAACTTGATTTGTGTATATGAGATGTTAGAGATGTATTTATTCAAGAGTAATCCACAACCTGTGGTTAATTTATCATTGAGGTGTGAGCCCACTATCATAAAAATTAAAGGGGTTTATGAAAAATTACCCAGAAAAATCACTCACTTTTATACCTACCATTCACACGATGATTTCTATAATGGTCAGACATCTGTCAATACCTTAGCTTAAGTGATAAACAATACTTTCACAGCTTTTAAGTTTCAATGGAGAAGTTTAATTGTCTTTTGTCCAAGTGCTAATAGACAAATAAGTAGCTATAGATTCCCTATTAGCCAAAATGGTGTTTGATGTTACACTCAGACTAATACTACTGCCATGTAAAATGACAAATCTCTAAATTGAAAGAACTGACCACTTGGAAACTTGTTTTCTTGGCTTAGATTTAATTTGAATCATAACATTCATTATGCTTTACACAACCTAACCCTTATTTTGCTATTAGTCTTTTTGCAAATTGTCCATGACCAATGTGTACATGAGTCTTATATGCTGCTGTTCCATTAATGTCATATCAGATGGTCCAATAACTCATCATTTGACAAAAAGAACATAGAGGTCAGACCCTGGTCCAACTACAAACTGTTGTTTCTGAGACAATGATGGAATCTAATGATCACTTGAGTTGTCTAGAACTGGAATAAGAACACTTTTGTGGCTGACTTTATGATCTACTCAGGATGGCTGAGGGGATTTGGGAATAGAAGAGTCATATAGTCATCTGAATTGCCACTGAAACAATAGGATGGCTAGAGAAGATAAAGAGTAGGGAAATCTGAGTGACAAAACAAATATTGTGAGCCCTGCGTAGAGAATCAATAAATTTATTGGATGTTAAATAGAATTAAAAGACAGTATTTAAATAATTCTTTAAAATTCTGTTTCAAATACATATATTTTGTATTCTAATAAGTCAAATTGACACAAGTTGGAAACACCTCCGATAAAAATTGTAAAAGCAAGATGTACAATGGCACAATATTAGGATCTCAGCTGTAAACACTGTTCAATAAATTTAGTTAATATCAACTCCTCATAGGGCAAAGAATTTGTATGCCAACTCCCAAAATGGAAAGAATGGCTCCCAGGCAAGACGTAATGATAACCAGCTGAAAGTTATTAACATATCTAAAGATAAAATATATAGATGTAGGTGTGCTTGCTGCTTGTGTGGATGGTGGTATAGTATGGGGGGAGAAGAGGGAAAAGCAGAAAATGTAGAATAAAAATAGAGGGGTAGTGAAGTAAACCTTGACATTGCCCACACAAGCACATATCAGGAGGCAAGAACTCTTAAATAATAAATTAGCCTTTCATTTCTAGAATGCTTCCAAGTTGAAAGTTCTCAAGCCCCTAGGAATTCTCTTTAGTACTATCTAAGTTAATGAGTGTTCATTCTAGCTGATTGCAAGTTCTGTCTTCTATGGCCTTCTCTTTCCCTAGTATTTCTGATTATCCCTGGAAAATTCTTACATATTCCACAAATTCATGCTGGCTTCACTTATCACCTTTCCTACAGACACAAGCTCTGGTCTTCTCTTTTTGATGTTGTTTTGTCTTTTCCAGTGCCACTTCACTCCAGTGTGAACTAACATTTCTTTCTTAATGTCCTAAATATTTTCTAACTCTAATCTGTAGAAGCTATCAGATCTCTTCTGTGAAGTAATATAGCATTCTGGTTAAATGTGTGGACACTGATACTATGTCTTAGGTTCTAATCCATTTGGCCACTTACTAGCAGTAAGACCCTAGGGAAGTTACTAACTTGATGCCTGAATTGTATTTTTTTTTGTAAAACAAAGATAATACTAGTACTGATACCATAGACCTTCATTAAAGATTAAATGGACTACTTCCAAGTGAGCATTAGGAGCAGTGCTTGGCACATAGTACATGCTAGCTAAGTATTATCCATATGGAAGCTTGGGAACAAACTATTGAGAATTTCAATGAAGGGAAAAATAACAAAAACAAGGTATAATATTTTACCTGATGTTCATTGACTAGTGCCTATCAAGGGAACTTCCTAACTGGTATTTCAGTCTGCCCTCTTCTACAGGATTCTCTGTGAAAAGTATAGTTTATACGTCACTTACTGGAACTGCCTTGCCCTTGTCCTCTCTCCAGGGTCCCCACCATCAATCCCCCTACCTGCCTGCAATACATCAGAAAAGAAAGTTCTTTCTCTTCAGCAATTAAAAATTGATCACTTTGTAAAGCTGCAACTCAGGACCACACTGGAGAAGATTTTTACATGACTATACTCCGTTAACAAGCTCCTTAAATTCCTCATTCTAGGAAAGGATTTTGGCTTTTTATCAACATAAACGGAAAGTCGATAAAGTGTTTATCCCAAAGCAGAAAATAAATTTTCCTTAGTCCTACACCACAACACCCATCAAGATAAGTAGTGTTAATCATACATTTGAAATAGTCTTCCCCTCTAGAATAGCTGGAGATGCCTTTGAAGTACTATGCTTTTAAATATGCATCACCTTAAGAAAGGCTTAACCTCTTATATCACATGGGTAACATTTGGGCAACAATTTGGGCAAGATATTTAAGCTTTCTATTTCATCATCTATAAAATGGGGTTATTACTGCCATCTACTTCAAAGGGTTGCTTCCAGGGTTAAATACATAAAAAAATAAATAAAGCTCTTATTGCATTATCTGGAATATAGCAAATACTCAATAAATCTTAAATATTTTTAAATTATGGTAATAGATCCCAGGAAAGAGAGACTTTAAAAAAAAAAAGTTTTCTGTGCTCCTTGTTCTAACTTTCCTCTGGAACCTTAATGAGTTTCTGATGCAGTTCACGTCTACAAATTTGCCAAGAATAGCTGATGAGATTCAAGGTGACTGTAAAAAGTTGCACCTTTTTTACATATTGTGTTTTTTAAGAGAAGAAAAGAACATGTTAACAAGGGTTTAGCTCTTTTTTAAAAAAGGGCAAGATAAAGTAAGTCATATAAATCACCTGATTTTCTTATTTTAAATTATTGAGTACATTTTCTATGCCACTTTACTTATCTTCTTTAATGATGCTATTCTGAAAGTTTCCTTCAATATTTTAACATTTTCTGGCTGCTTTTGTATGATTGTTATGAGTGGTTCTGGAGCTAGAAATGTCCAGTTTAGCAACATACTAAAAAAGGTTATTTATGCTTTAGATTGTGACTGTAAAACAGTTTAACAGTTTCCAAAAGTATTGTTATTGACTCTAGATATCATTGGTCTCTTTGAGTACATTCTTAAATCTTCCTTTTATTATTTGTATAGTTAGAGGAAGATTAGGCATAATCTACTAAACTGAAGAGGAGAAAAACAGAATTTTTTTTTACTTTTAAAAGGTCCTACAGGTATGTTCTGTGATTTGGTATTTTGTATTTGGTAAATATGTTTCATGGTATTGTTCTTTCCATTTTTATATTAACATTTTTGGATTTCATATTAAATGAATCTTGGCATCAAAATGTTTCAACATGTCTCTCTGGTGAAGCTCATCCTGTTGGTTGATTTATTTGTCTTATGGCTGTAGTTTTCTCTGTGATTTTATGTAAGTCTTGTTGTCAACCTTAAACAATCAAACGGCTCAGGATGTAGTTAAAAGAGTTTATTCAAGTGCAGAGTGTGAGGGAAGCTGTCTGGGAAGCAGAACTTCATCAAGGAAGAATGGTAAGAAGAATGGTAATCAGGGCTCCTGACATGAGAAAAATGAGGATTGTTTATATAGGCCAAACAAAGCTGCTGAACAGAATTACATTTTTCATACAAAGGCTAAAATACAGACATAAGACCTAATTAGCTACTATTGATTACACAAGAATGGAGTGGTTTGAAATTCTTTTATAAAGAGGTAACAGTCACAAGGGTCTCTATCTCTAACATCATTTAATCTAGGTTTGAATAAAGAATAGGAAGTCTGGATAATGTATAACATCTCAACACAAAGGTCAGAAAACAATGGTTATGCACCAGAGTAGAAAAACAGTTGTAATAGGTGAGTCAGCTTTTATGGCTTAACTTTTATGGCAAAACCTCTCTAAGCGTTTTGAATCTCAAACATTGCTTATTCGGGTTTGCATATCTGTCATTAATTTGGTGATGTTATGTAATTCATCTGGGATATAAACACAGGATTGTTTTTTGTATATATTTTTCCCTTTTACAAATTTTTATCTTTTATTTTAGAATCAGGAGGCACATGTGCAGGTTTATTACAAGTTATACTGTGTTATGTTGAGTTTGGGAGTATGAATGAATCTGTCCTGCCGGTAGAGAGCATAGTATCCAACAGGTAGTTTTAAAACCTTGCGTCCTTCCCTCCCTTCTCCTTCTTGTATTGCACAGTGTCATATTGATCTCATCTTTATGTGCATGTATACCCAGTGTTCAGGTCCCACTTATAACTGAGAACACGTGGTATTTACTTTTCTGTTCTGCAAACTTAGCTTAGGATAATGGCTTCCAACTGCATCCATCTTGCTGCAAAGAACATAATTTCTTTTGTTTTTAATGGCTGTGCAGAATACCATGGTGTATATGTACCACACTTTCTTTATCCAGTTCACTGTTGATGGGCACTGGGGTTGATTGCATGTCTTTGTTATTGTGAGTAGTGTTTTGATGAGCATATAAGTGCCTGTGTCTTTTTGATAAAATAATTTATTTGGGGGGAGTATGTACTGAGTAACAGGATTGGATTGCTGGGTCAATTGGTAGCACAACTTTTAGTTCTTTGAGAAATCTTCAAACTGCTCTCCATACTGGCTGAATTAATTTTTATTCCAACGAACAGTATATAAGTGTTGTCTTTTCTCCAGAACCTCATCAACATATGTTAGTTTTTTACTTAAAACAAACAAACAAACAAAACTTCCAACTGGTGTGAGTTGATACTTCATTGTCATTTTGATTTTTATGTCTCTGATGATTAGTGACAATGAGAATTTTTCCATGTTTGTTGGCTGCTTGTATGTCTTCTTTTGAGAAGGGTTTTTTCCTGTCCTTTGCCCACTTTCTAGTGGGTCATTTGCTTTTTGCTTCTTGGATTAAGTTTCTAATAGATTTGGGATATTAGACCTTTTTGAGATGGATACTTTTTGAATATTTTCTCCCATTTTGTAGGTTGTCTATTTATGACCTTGATAGTTTCTCTTGCTCTTCAGAATCTCTTTAGTTTAATTAGGTCACACATTCAATTTTGTTTTTGTTGCAATTGTTTTTGAGGGCATAGCCATAAATTCTTTGCCAAGGTCGATATTGAGAATGGTATTATTTAGAGTTTCTTGTAGAATTTTTACACTTTGAGGTCTTACATGTCAATCTTTACTCCATCTTGATTTAATTTTTATATATGGTGAAAGGTAGTGGTCCAGTTTCATTCTTCTGCATATGGATAACCAGTTACTCCCACACTATTTACTGAATAGAGAGTTTTTTCACCATTGTTTATTTGTTTAGACTTTGTCTTGGAGCAGATGGCTGTAGGTGTTTAGTTTTATTTTCAAGTTGTCTATTCTGTTCCATTGGTCTATGTGTCTGTTTTTGTATTGGTACCATGCTGTTTTGGTTATTATAGCCTTGTAGTATAATTTGAAGTTGGGTAATGTGAGGCCTCTAGCTTTGTCCTTTTTGTTTGGATTTCTTTGGTTATTTGTGCTCTTTTGGTTTTATATAAGTTTTAGAAATGTTTTTTTTTTTGGCTAATTCTGTGTAAAATATCTTTGGTAATATGGTAAGAATAGTACTGAATCTGTACATTGCTTTGGGGTGTATGGCCATTTTAATGATATTGATTCTTCTAATCCATCAACATGAAAAGTTTTTCAGTTTGTTTGTGTCACCTCTGACTTCTTTCAGCAGTTTTTGCAGTTTTTGTTGAGATATTTCACCTCCTTGGCTAGTCATATTTCTAGGTATTTTATTCTTTTGTAGCTATTGTAAATGGGATTGCATTCTTGATTTTACTCTCAGCTTGACCTTAGAACATTTCTAAGTGTATAGAAATGTTCCTGATTTGAGTACATTAATTGTATATACTGAAACTTTTCTGAAGTTGTTTATTAGTTCTAGTAGCCTTTTGGTAGAGTTTTTAGGTATTTTTTCAGGTATAGAATTACATAGTGGAGAAAGACAATTTGACTTATTTTTTTCTCTTGTCTAATTGCTATGAAGAGGATTTTCAGTACTATGTTAAATAGGAGTAGTGAAAGTGGGCATCTTTCTCTTGATCCAGTTCTCAAAAGGAATAGTTCCAGCTGTTGCCTATTCAGTATGATGCTGTCTGTGGCTTTGTCATAGATGGCTTTCTTATTTTGATGTATGTTTCTTCAATGTCTAGTTTACTGAGGATTTTTATCATGAAGGAATGTTGGATTTCATTGAAAGCATTTTCTCTCTATTAAAATGATCATAAGGTTTTTAATTCTGTTATGTAGTGAATGATATTGAATGATATGTGTATGTTTAACCAACTTGCATCCAAGGAATAAAGCCTACTTCATTATAGTGAATTAATTTTTGACGTGCTACTGGAATTGGTGTGCTTGTACTTTGTTGAGAATTTTTGCTTTTGTGTTCATTAGGGATTTTGGCCTGAAATGTTCTTTTTTTTTCATTGCATCTCTACCTGATTTTGGTATTAGGATGACTCTGGATTCATGGAATGAGTTAGGAAGGATTCTTCCCTACTCAATTTTTTGGAATAGTTTCAGTAGGATTGGTACCACTTCTTCTATATCTAATAGAATTTAGCTGTCAATCCATCTGGTCCAGAAATTTTTATTGGTAAGTTTTTATTACTGATTTAATTTCAGAACTCATTATTGGTCTGTTCAGGGTTTCAATTTTTTCCTAGTTCAATCTGGAGAGGTGAATCTAGCAATTTATTCATTCCCTCTAGATTTCCTAGTTTGTGAGCATAGATGTATTTATAATAGTCTCCAAGGATCTTTTATATTTCTGTGAAATTGGTTGTAATGTCACCTTGTAATTTCTGACTATGTTTATTTGGATCTCCCCTCTTTTTTTTTTCTTTGTTAATCTAGCAGTCTATCCATTCTGTTTATTCTTTCAAAAATTTATTTTTGGTTTTGTTAATCTTTTCTATGGAATTTTGGCTTTCAACTTTGCTCAGTTTGCTCTGATTTTGGTTATTTATTTTCTTCTACAAGTTTTGGGGTTAGTTTGTTCTTGTTGTTCTAGTTCCTGTAGGTTCAATTTTAGATTGTTAATTTAACTAACTTCTTGATGTAAGCTTTAAAAAATATATATTTCCATAGGCTTTTGGGGAACAGGTGGTATTTGGTTACATGAGTACGTTCTTTAGCGGTGATTTGTGAGATTTTGGTGCACCCATCACCCAAGCAGTATACACTGAACCCAAGTTATAGTCTTTTATTGCTATAAACTTCTTAACACTGCTTTAGCTGTATCTCTAACAATTTGGTATGTTGTGTTTACTTTTAACAATTTCAAAGAATTTTTTGATTCATGCCTTATTTCATTGTTTACCAAAAGTCATTCAGGAGGAAGTTGTCTATTTGCATATAATTTTTTGGTATTAAGAGATCTTTTTGATATTGATTTCTATTTTTATTGCCCTGTAGTCCAAGAGTGTGGCTGGTATGATTTTGATATATATATATATTTTAATTTTGTGATACTTGCTTTATGGGTGAGCATGTAGTCAATCTTAGAATATGTTCTGTGTGCATATGAGAAGAATGTTTTTTCTGGAATTGTTGGATGGAGTATTCTCTAGATGTCTTTTAGCTGTCCAATTGGTCAAGTGTCAAGTTTAAGTCCAGAATGTCCTTGTTAACTTTCTGCCCTTGAAGAACTAACACTGTCAGTGGGGTGTTGAAGTCCCTCGCTATTATTGTGTGACTGTGTAAGACTTTTTGTAGGTTGAGGAAAACTTGTTTTATGAATCTGAGTGTTCCTATGTTGGGTGCATATAAATTTAGGATAAATTTTCTTGTTGAATTGAGCCATTTATTATTATGTAATGCCCTTCTTTGTCCATTTTGACTGTTGTTCATTTAATGTCTGTTTTATCTGTTGTAAGAATAGCGACCTTTGCTCTGTTTTTTTTTTTTTTTTTTCAATTTGCATGATAGCTTTTTCTCCATCCCCTTACTTTTAGCTTGTGGTTGTCATTATATGTGACATGGCTTTCTTGAAGACAGTAGAAGGTTGGGGCTTGTATTTTTTTTTTTAAATCCAATTTGCCACTCTCTCTTTTTAGTAGAGTATTTAGACCCTTTACATTCAAGCTTAATAAAGATATTTGAGGTTTTGGTCCTGGTCATTGTGTTGTTAGCTGGTTATTTTATAGACTTCATTGTGCACTTTGGGAGGGTGAGGTGGGTGGATTACCTGAGGTCAGGAGTTCGAAACCAGCCTGACCAATATGGTGAAACCCCGTCTCTACTAAAAATACAAACTTAGCCAGGTGTGGTGGCACATGCTTGTAATCCCAGCTACTTGGGAGGCTGAGGCAGGGGAATTGCTTGAATCCAGTAGGCAGAGGTTGCAGTGAGCCAAGATCGCACCACTGCACTCCAGCCTGGGCAACAAGAGTAAAACTCCATCTCAAAAAATAATAATAATAATAAAATAGACTTGGTTGTGTAGTTGTTTTTTAGTGTATGTGGGCAATGTACTTAGGTACATTAAATACTGTTTTTGTGGTAACAGTAATTGTTCTTTCATTTCCATGTTTAACACTTTCATAACATCCTCTTGTAAGGCCAACCTAGTGGTAATAAATTCCCTTAGCTGTTGCTTTTCTGAAAAAAAATATTTCTCCTTCACTTAAGAAGCTTAGTTTGGCATAATATGAAATTCTTGGTTGGAATTTATTTTCTTTATTGATCCTAAAATATGCCTTCAATTTCTTCTGGCTTGTGACTTTTCCATTAGAAAGTCTGCTGTTAGCCTGATGGGGTTCCTTTTTTATGTCACCTGACACGGGTCTGTAGCTTCCTTTAAGATTTTTTTCTTTAATGTTGATCTCAGACGATCTCATGAGTATGTGTCTTTGGAATGGTCATCTTCCATAGTATATTGCAGTTTTTTTTTTCTTGAATTTGCATGTCAATTTCTCTAACAAGGTAGGGAAGATTTTCATTAACTATATCATCAAATATGTTCTCTAAGTTTCTTATTCTCTCAGGAATGCCAGTGTGTTGCAGGTTTGGTCTCCCTATATAATTCCATATTTCTCAGACATTTTGGCCACTTTTAAAAATTCTTTTAAAAAAATGTCTACTTGAGTTGATTCAAGACTGGTCTTCAAACTGAAATTTTTTATTAGCTTGCTGTATTCTTTTGTTAATACTTTCAATTATATTGTACAATTATTGTAGTAATTTTTTTCAGTTCTGTAAGTTGAGTTTGGTTCTTTTGTAAAATTGCTATGTCATGTTTCTTCTCTTGGATCATTTTACTGGTTTCCTTGAATTGGGTTTTGTATTAGTTCATGTATGTTGCTATAAAGGAATACCTGTGACTGGGTAGTTTATGAAAAAAAGATATTTATTTTAGCTCAGGATTCTGAGTGTTGTACATGATGTATGACACCAACATTTCTCCTTGTGAGGACCGTAGGAAGCTTTCAATCATGGCAGAAGACAAAGGGCATGCTGACACATCAGACGGTGAGAGAGGGAGTGGGAGGGGTACCACACTTTTTAAAAGAATTATATCTTATGTGCATTCAGAGCAAGATATCACTCATATCATGAGGACAACACCAAGCCATTCATGAGGGATCTGCCCCAGTGATACAAACACCTACTACTGTGCCTACCTCCAATATTGGAGGTCATATTTTAACATCAGATTTGGAGAGGATAAAACACCCAAACCATATCATTCCATCCCTGGCCCCCCAAATTTTATGTTCTTCTTAGATTGCAATATAAAATTATCCCTTACCAATAATCTCCCAAAGTCTTAACTAGTTCCAAGCATTAACTTAAATGTCCAAAATCTCACCCAAGACTCTAGGTACATTTCTTCCACATTTTTTTTTTTTTTTTTTTGCCTGTAGAATAAAAAACATGCTATTTACTTGCAAGATGCAATGGTGGTACAGGCATTGAGTAGGCATTCCCATTCCAAAATAGAGAAAATAGCCAATAGAAAGGGGCAATAGGCCCCCCAGAAGTCTGAAACCCAGCAGGGCAGACTTTAATTCTTAAAGCTCCAAAATAATCCTTGAATCCATGTCCCACATCTAGGGTACACTGATGCAGGGGGTGGGGTCGAAAGGCCTTGGGCAGCTCTACCCATATGGCTTTGCATGATGTAGCCCCTGTTGCTACTCTCATGGGTTGAAGTTGAGTGTCTGTGGCTTTTCCAAGCTCAGGGTGCAAGCTGTCAATGGATCTACCTCTTTGGGGTCTAGAAGGCTGCAGCTCTGTTTCCACAGCTCCACTAGGCAGTGCCATAATGGGGACTCTCTGTGGGGTGTCCAACCCCATACTTCCCTTCCACACTGCCCTATTAGATGTATTCTGAAGGGCGTCTGCCTGTGGAGCAGGCCTCTTTGTGGGAACCCAGGCTTTTCCATACATTTTCTGAAATCCAGGGGTAAGCTACTAATTTTCCTTACCTCTTGCATTTTGCAAGCCTGCAGACTTAACAATACATGGAGGCAGTCAAGAATTACAACTTATACTTTCTGAAGCAGTGGCCAAAGCTGTACCTGGGACACTTTGTGCTGAGGCTGGAACTGGAGCAATCTAGATGTTTGGAACAGTGTACCAAGACTACACAGGGCAGCAGGGTCCTTTTCCTGGCCTCATGGACCATTCTTTTCTCCTAGGCATCTGGATCTGTGATGGGACAGACTGCCTCAGATATTTCTGAAATGCCTTTAGGCCTTTTTTTTCATTGATTCAGATATTAGCACTTGGATCCCCTTTAGTCATGTAAATCTCTCCAGCATGTAGTTGCTCCTCAACCCCACTTGTATTCTTCCCCTGAAAGTATTCTTTCCTTCTCTACCACACTGCCAGGTTTTGACTTTTTAAAACTTTTATGCTCTTCTTTCCTTTCAAATATAAGTTCCCACTTTAAGTCATTCCTTTACTCCCTTATCTGATCATTGGCTGTTAGAGGCAGCCAGGTCATGTCTTGAATACTTTACTGCTTAGAAATGTATTCTTCCAGATACTTTAAGTCATTACTCTTAAGTTTAAACTTCCAGAGAACCCTAGGACATGAGCTTAATGCAGGCTTTTTTTTTTTTTTTTTTTTTGCTTGGGCATAATATGAGTGATCTTTACTCTAGTCTCAAAAACTTTCTCATTTCCGTCACAGTCCTTGTCAGCCTGGCTTCACTGTCCATATTTCTACCAGCATTTTGGTTACAACCACTTAACAATCCTCTAAGAAGTTTCAAACCATTCCCTACATCTTCTTATCTTCTTCTGAGTTCTCCAAATGCTTCCAACCTCTGCCAGCTGCCAAGTTCCAAAGCTGATTCCATATATTGTATTATCTTTGTAGCAATGCCCCACTTCCCATTACCATTTGTTTTTGTATGAACTCATTTGCATTGTTATAAAGAAGTACCTAAGACTGGGTAATTTATAGAGAAAAGAGATTTATTTTGGCTCATGATTCTGAAGGCTGTACAGGAATGCATGGCACCAGCATCTGCTAATGGTGAGGGCCTCAGGAAGCTTTCTATCATAGTAGAAGGCAAAGGAGGAGCTGCTGTATAACATGGTGTGTGTGTAGGGGGGGGTGGGTGGGAGTAAGTGCTAAACTATTTTTTAAAAATTATTATTTTTTTAAATTGTGAGTACATAGTAGGTATATATACTTGTGGGGTACATGAGATATTTTGATAAAGGCATGCAATGTGAAATAAGCATGTCATGGAGAATGAGGTAGCCATCCCCTCAAGCATTTATCCTATGAGTAACAAATAATCCAATTACATTCTTTAAGTTATTTTAAAATATACAATTAAGTTATTGACTATAGTCATCCTATTAGGCTATCAAATAGAATAGCGGATCTTATTCATTCTTTCAACTATTTTTTGTACCCATTAACAATCCCCACCTTCCCATCAAAACCCCACCACACTTCCCAGCCTCTGGTACCTATCCTTCTACTCTCTCTGTCTATAAGTTCAATTGTTTTGATTTTAAGATACCATAAATAAGTGAGAACATGTTATTTTTGCCTTTCTGTGCTATAATCTTTTAACCAACTAGATCTTGTGTGAACTCAGAGTGAGAACATACTCATTACTGTGAGAAAAGTACCAAGCCATTCATGAGGGATCTGCCCCCATGACCCAAAACCTTTAACTAGATTCACCTCCAATATTGGAGGTCACATGTCAACATGAGATTTGGAGAGGACAAAATATCCAAACCATATCAGGTTTCAACTTTCTCCTGAATGTCTTCCTTGCCATCTAGATTCTAAATTCTATGGATGTCATTTCAATTAGGTTAAGAACTATTTCTAGGGAGTTAGTACCATCATTTGGAGGTAAGAGGACCCTGACTTTTTAAATTGGCATTGTTCTCAGGCTGATTCTTTCTCATCTGAAAGTGCTGGCATTCCTTTATCATTTTGAATTGCTGTCTTTTGGATGGGGCTTTTTGTTTTTATCTACTTTATTTCCCTGAGTTTGACTTTGGTGTAAGTTGAGAATGGTCTATTGGCTTCACTTCTGGGTGCTTTCAGAGGGCCAAGACTCTGCATGGGATCTTTATTTGTGGCTAAATTCCTGCGTTGGGTTTCACAGGCAAGGTATACTGGAAGAAATCTTTGTTGTTGTTGTTGTTGTTGTTGTTGATGATGTAGTGCAGGCTGCAATCTAGTAGATCTGCAATCCGGTAGATGACACCTAAGAGTAATGTCCAGCAGATAGGCTCTTAATGACATGCCTCTTTTGTATTTTAGCGCATTCACAGCTGTTCTATGTGGGGAGAGATATGGGGGATGGGAGGAGAGATGACTCCCCTGCCAGGTCCATTCCCAGGACTTAGGGGACCCCTCTCCAATCACTGTCACCCTGTCTGTAATTCCTTAGCCCCAAAGGGGGCCCTGCCAGGCTGCACTTTCCTCTCCTTTAGGGTTGGCTCAAGCTGAAGGTTAGTTCACCAGGAGATCTACAGAATGCTGGAGGCCCACTGATCCTCTGCGCTTGGCAGAATCAGAGTGGGTTGTGGGGCATGCCTGCGTGTGGTCTGTTCATGCAGTAGATCAAGAGCAGGGGATCTTCAGGCAGGGCAGTGTTGCTGTGGGTGTGCCACTGGTATGGCACAAACATCCCAAGGATTTTTGCCCATAAGACAGCTATAGGGACCGCCTAGATCATTCTCCTTTGACTGGGTCTCCTTCCAGTGGCTTCCCCAGTAACTGGCCCAGTCATCTACTTTTGTCCTAAGCCTTCTGCACCAAGCTCACTGGGGTATTAGGTGTTCCAGTCTGTGGGGCTCCCTTGGGCAGAGGCTGTAGCTGAAAGACAAGTAACGAGGTGTGAACTACTCAACCTTGTGCCCAAGCATAACCTAGTGAATATCATCCTAACCATCCTGTGGGTAACCATAGTTATAGATTAGTGCCACATAGCCAAGATGTTTTATTTGGAGCTAATCAATAAATAATCAGTTATTTGCCAATCTGAACTTTGTAATCAGTACTTGTAATACAGTGGCATGCCAATCAGTATTTTGTAACACAATGATGTGGATAAACCATTCTTTGGGTATCCATCCTATATCTGCTAACCAATAAATAATCAGTTATTATGTCTAATTAGTGGCATACCAATCAGTACTTTGTAATAAAATGATGCAGATATACCATTCTTTGGGTATGCATCCTATATCTCTATGTTCAGTTGGGCTATTTATCTTTGGTGTGATTTTTCTGTTCCCCAAATTAAGGTACATTTTGACAAGGCTAGCCAAAACAGGAGGTGAGCCAAATAAACCCATATGAAATGTGTATTATACCATCCTGAAATTGAGTTTTTGATTGGGGTATCATTATTTTCTTCTCTTTTAGCTGGGGTAGTGCCACAGCAAAAGATAGTGAGCCAGTTTTCTTCTACCAAGAAGCTCTTCTTATGTCCCTTATTTAGTAAAGTATCACTCATAGGGCAGTAATATACATTATCCTTAGTCATACTAGAGTTAAGGTTGCCAGACTATTTTTGTGATGAACGAATAAAATTTTTATGCTGTATTCAGTCTTGCCCTTGGAGGAGTGATACCCACCATGGTAGGCCAGAACCACTGGACTGGAGCATGAGGCCACATATACAGCAAGAATTTTTGTGTAATCTATCAGCATAGTTTGGGAATCATTGCAAACAGAGGTTTTCTTCATGGGCAACAGCTTGTGGTAGTAGTACCAGGACATAAGGACTAAGGATAAAAATAATTTTAGTGAGCGCTTATAAAAGAAAATCTTCTGCATCTCTTAACAATTTTTAGTATTAAACATTTATTTAGCTACAAGCCTGGTCCACAGTTTTGAGTTTTAGCTGTCTGTATCACATGCCATCTTTTTCTCAGCCTGGTGTCAAGTTAATTCAAAGTTGGAGGTCACCTTCTGGAGAAACAGTCAAATCAGAAGTCTCGGCCTTCTTTAGATAATACATATGAATCCATGAATTTATGCCTTCTAACGTAGCAGTGCAAGGGTTGGTAAGGAGTACCTGATAAGGTCCATACCACTTTGGTAAAAGAGAGGTGTTTTTTTTTTTTTGTTTTTTTTTTTAAATAAATATTGTTTCCAATAGACAAAATCTCCTAGTTGAAGTCCATGGTCCTTGGAAGTTTTGTTTTCTGGGAGTTAACAGTGAAAACGTTCTTTTACTAATTTATAATTTGTATGTAATTGTGTCATAAGGCCATTACAACAGCTAAACATGTCTCCATTTGCTATTAAAGGCACAGTTTCCTGGAGACAATTTCACAGGTCTGCCTTTTATCATTTTGAATGGGGATAACTGGTACTTGCCAAAAATGTTCAACCCCAGACTAAGAAGAATCCATGGAAGAGCTTTTGGCCAAGGAATTTAAAAGCCTCATTTGATTTTTTGAACTGAGTTTTGATTATTCCGTTCATCAATTCCACTAACCCAGATGACAGGGGATGGTAAACACAATGGAAATGTTGGAGAATGGGCCAAATTTTACACACCAATTGAATTATTTGTCTAGTGAAGTGAGTGCCACTGTTGCTATGAGTTTCCAGAACTCCCAAGGTTGGAATATTTTTTTGTAAGTGAATTTTACTCACCAACAAGCCTGTTGCTATTTTGTGTGAAAATGCCTCTACCCATTCTGAAAATGTGCAAATCATTACCAGAGCATATTTGCATGTTTCTTGAAGATGGTAACTGGGTGAAATCTAATTGCTGTGCCTGAAAAGGGGCCTTGGGTGAGGGAAAATGTCCTTGAGAGCTATGTAGTAATTTCCTTAGATTATATTTTTAACAAACGTAATAGCAATTTCATACCTTATGAGCTATAAGAAGTTTCCAAAAATATTGTTTTTCCCAAGCAATTGTTTTGTCAGGGCTCCAGTGAGTTAGGTCTTGTATATAGGTTAAAAATGGTAACCGTAATTCAGCAGCAAGTATAGGCAAATTGTTTGGCCCATACTATACCTTTTCTTTGCGGGAACATATTTCCTTTTTGTTTTCCAACTTTTCTGTTCTAATATTGGAGCTCTGGATTGAGCTAATTTTATGTTAAATTCAGAGTTTTTTTAAAGTTAATATAGATCTCTTTTTATTTTCTGTTGGTTCGTTTGTTTGTTTGTTTAGATGCATTTAGAACAGCTTTGTGCTACTTTATCAGCTAGCTAATTTCCTTTGCTTTCTGGTGTATCTGATTTCAAATGGCCTGAGATTTTAATTATGGCCAGCGATTTTGGGAATAATATGTCTTCCAACAATTGTAAAATTGTCTGCTCATTTTCTATGAATTGACTAGAAGAGGTTAAAAATTCTCTCTGTTCCCATTGTATTCCATAATTATGAGCTACTTTGAAAGCATATCTACTGTTTGTATAGATATTAGCAGTTGCTCTTTTTGACAATCAACAAGCCCTAATCAATAAAATTAATTCTGCTTTTGGAGCTGAGGTGGCTTCTGGAAGTTAAGCACGTTCTGTTTTTTCAGTTAAAGATAATATTGAGTAGCTTGCACGGTAAGTCCCAGATACATCCTTTAAGGTCCATCTTTAAACCAAACTACATCAGCATGATTAAGGAGACTCTCTTCTCGTAGGACAGAGAAGTTGAAAAGTTAAGGTTATTCAATTGTGCAGTGTTTCATCTGAAAGTAAAGGCAGAAGAACTGTAGGACTTAGATTTTTATGCCTAGAGATGGTGATATGAGAAGCTGAAAAAGGTAAAACTTCATATAAAGCTAATCTGCTAACTGAATAACGTTGAGTGTGGTGAAGGTTAGCAATGATTTCACAAAATGAGGGATGAAAACACTATGGGATATCCTCTTTACAATTTCTTCAGTTGCCTTAACCAACAAAGCAGTGACTATTATGGCAGTGCCACAAGGTGGTAGTTCTATAGCCACCGGGTATAACTGATGGCTATAATACCCTAACAGGTTCATTTTGGTCTCAATGTTTTTGAGTTAGGACCCTCAAAAGTGTTAGCACTACTTTCACGTATATATAATGAAAATGAAAAATTATAATTTGGATGCCCCAAAGCTGAGGTATTAGCAAGGTAATATTTTATCATTTCTAATGTTAGTTGATCTTTTGTCCAATCTAGAGGGTCTAGTATGTCTTGTTTTAAGACAGCATATAAGGGCTGGCATTTTAAGACATAGCTTGGGATTCACTTTTTAAAATATCCTGTCATTCCCCCAAACCCTCTCAACACTTTCTTGGTTCTCGGTGGTAGAAAAGCTAAGATCTCTTTTAGTCTGTCTGGATTAATAAAAATTCCTTCCTTGGATATTAGATAACCTAAGTAGTTTACTTGTTTTTTTGACAAAATTGAAGTTTACCTTTAGAAGCCTTGTGTCTCTTTAAGGCTAATTGTTGTAACAAGTGAATCTCATTTTCAATAGAGACTTGCTTATCCTCTTAGCAGAGGAGTAAATTATCTATCTATTGTATTAACATACATTTTTAAAGTCAATATCTGAGAGAGATCTTTTAATATCTGTAAAAAGTTTGGCTCTTAGTATAGTACTGAGGCTTGACTGTCCATGTGTATTGTCTGTTTTCCAAAGTGAAAACAAAGAGAAATGAACTATTTTCATTCATAGAAATACTAAGGAATATATAACATAAGTCTATTATAGTAAAGAACTCACCTTCAGTTGGAATGGCAGCTGACAATGTATATGAATTTGGCATTTCTAGATGTTGAGAAATAACAATGTTTTTAATTGCTCTCAGATTCTGTACAATCATCCATCCTCTACCATCTGGTATCCTTAGAGAAAAGAGAATGCTTATACACTGTTGCTGGGAATGTGTATTAGTTCTGTCACTGAAGAAAGCAGTTTTGAGATTTCTCAAAGAAGGATTGGAGTGTTACATGGTCTTTACAGAGAATAGTCTGTCTTCTTTTTATATAATTTGAAGGCTATTCCTATCAAACTACCAATGTCATTTCTTGACAGAATTGAAAAAAAAACGTCTCTAAATTTCATGTGGAATCAAAAAAAAAGAACCTGGATAGCTAAAGCAATCCTAAGCAAAAAGGACAAAGCTGGAGGCCTCACATTACTTAACTTCAAACTGTACTATAAGTCTACAGTAACCAAAAGAGCATGGTACTGGTACAAAAACAGACACATAGGCCAGTGGATCATAATAAACAACCCAGAAATAAAGCTGTATGCCTACAGCCATTTGATCTTTGACAAAGTTGACAAAATAAGCAATGGATAAAGGACTCCAAATTCAATAGATGGTGCTAAGATAGCTGGCTAGCCATATGCAGAAGACCAAAACTGGACCTCTTCCTTACACATTATACAAAAATCAGCTCAAGGTGGATTAAATACTTAAATATAAAACCCAAAACTATAAAAACCCTGGAATACAACCTAGTCAATACCATTCTACACATAGGAGTGGGCAAAGATTTCATGACAAAGAGGCCAAAAGCAATTGCAACAAATGGAAAAAAAAAATTAACCAATGGGATCTAATTAAACTAAAGAACTTCTGCACAGCAAAACACCATACCAACAGAGTAAACAAACTATTGCATTTAACAAAGGTCTAATATTCAGAATCTATAAGGAACTTAAACAATTTAAAAAGCAAATAACTAATAATTCCATTTAAAATGGGCAAAGCATAAATAAGAATGAAACTGTGTCCTTGCAGCAGCATGGATGCCTGAGTGCAGCTGGAGGCTATTATTCTAAGTGAATTAATGTAGAAACAGAAAACCAAATACTACATGTTCTCACTTATAAGAGGGAGCTAAACACTGAGTACACATGGGCACTAAGAAGAGAACAATAGACTCCACAGCTTTCTTGGAGGTGGAGGGTGGGAGGAGGGTGAAGACTAAAAAATTACCTACTGGGTACTATGCTCACTACCTGGGTGTCAAAATCATTTTTACATCAAACCCCAGCAACACACAATTTACCCATGTCACAAACCTGCCCACGTACCCCCTAAACCTAAAAGTTGGAAGGAAAAAAATGGCAAAAAAACATGAACAGACATTTCTCAAAAGAAGACATGTGAGTGTCCGATAAACATACGAAAAATGCTCTTTATCACTAATCATCAGAAAAATGCAAGTCAAAACCACAATGCAATATCATCTCACACCAGTCAGAATTGCTATTAGTAAAAAGTAAAAAAAAAAAAAAATAGCAGGTGCTGGAGAAGCTATGGAGAAAAGAGAATGCTTATACACTGTTGGTGGTAATGTAAATTAGTTTGGCCTCTGTAGAAAGCAGTGTGGAGATTTTTCAAAGAACTTAAAAAAACAAAACTACCATTCAACCCACAACTGCATTCCTGGGTATATACCTAAAGGAAAATAAATCATTCTGTAAAAAAGACACATTCACTCATATGCTTATTGCAGCACTATTTACAATAGCAAATACACGGAATCAACTTATGTTTCCATCAGTGGTAGATTCGCTGAAGAAAATGTGGTACATATACCACGGAATATGCCATAGAATACTATGCAACCATAAGACAGAATGAAATAATATCCTTTGCAGCAACATGGATGCAGCTGGAAGTGAATTAATGCAGGAACAAAAACCAAATATATCAAGTTCTCACTAATAAATGGGAGCTCAACATTGGGTACTCATGGACATAAAGATGGAAACAATAGACACTGGAGACCACTAGAGCGGGAAGGGAGAAAAAGAGAGGGGCATAGGTTCAAAAACTAACTATTGGATACTATTCTTACTATCTGGTGACAGGATCATTATTACCCCAAACCTCAGCCTCATGCAATATATTCAGGTAACAAACCTGTACATGTATCCCCTGAATCTAAAAGAAAAGTTGAAATTAAAATAATAATAATACAAAAATAAGGAAATTATAGGCTTGATCCCTTTTAGTGTTTAAGTTCTCAAATGATGTTGTTTAACATTTGAATGAGTTTTTGATGGATCTATTTGAACACTGATTGGGGTGGCAAAGATGATTCTTCCAATATCATTGGAAGACTTTGATCATAACTGATCAGGCATTACCTTTAGAAGGTTTTATAATCTTTCATTGCTCAATAATTGAGTGTCTTCTATGGCAACATGGAATGCAATTGAATTTTATTTTGAACTCTTCTTTATGTCTAGTAACACAGTTTTATCATCTTTTTCTAAATTCAATTTTCCCTTTTTGGGAGAAAAGCATGTGGGTATTATATAATTCCTAGAAGTCTCTTTCTGTAAGATGGAGGGGGGCTAATATAACTAGAAGGCAAATGTGAGTCCTTTGACACCTAGTTGAAAAGTTAGCGGCTGAGACTTGTATGCTGATACAGGAGTATTTGTGACACATACCGTTTAAATTTTTTGTTTACTCTGAGCAATGGAATCTTGTCATAAGGTGGAATTTCTTACATATAGTGTGGATCCACATCAGCAAGAGCTTGTGCTCACAACAAGAGCTTGCGTTAGATATCTATTTAAAATAATTTTTATTTTTCTCAAAGTGGAAATAGAGACATAAACTTAAGTATATAATTTAAATTTCTTGGCAAAACCAACAGGGTCCTGGTGAGAATCGGGTAGTTTATTAATTATTTCTTTAAGTTCTACCGTTGACTATGATTGATCTTCTAGGTCAGGTTCTACCCTACCTGATACAGGCTGTTGAAGAAATGGAGCTAAAACATTAGGAGCAGGAGGAGGCAAAGGAAGTAGATCTGGGCAGGTAGTTCAGATATTATCAGATTAAGAAAAGGAGAGGCTGAGAGCGGATAAGGAGAAATTTTCAAAGCCTTCTTAAACTCACAAATTGTTCTAGACAAGTTTTTGTTCCTCCTTTTGTAAAGAAATAACTTTATTAGAACGCTTTTTGGAAACTTCCAAATATCACTGAAAACAACTCTCCCAATTATTCTGTTTAATATGGAGCCAGCCTTTTTTGGATTGAGAATGCAAGTAAATTAGTTTAGGCATTTCAAAGGTATCCCAGTTTGGCCACCACACTTTTGTTTTTTCCACAAGTTATGTGATACCATTTTTTAAAATAGCAACAGGAGGTGGCCCCATAAATGTTTCACATGATTCCAGCTGTAGTTTCTATATTTGAATCTCTCCTTAAGAGGAAAGACTTGGTTTTGGATAGACTATTGATTATAACTTGGGTTCTATTCTTAAGTGATTCAAGACTGTAAGGGAAATTTTGGCCACACAAAAATGAAGTTTAGACAGTCAATCAAACAAAGCTCAAGAAACTGGGCAGTTTAAAGATCACAACTTTTACTTGAGCCACACAGATTCAGTTCTTTCACTTTTTCTCTTTTCAAAGAGAAACTATTTTCTCTGACCAAATATCAATGAAAAGAAAGGCTGCAAACTTTAGCAAGTAAGACAAAACAAACAAACACAACAAAACACACACACAAAAACAAACAAACAAAAAAACCACCCTTAACCTCAAAGAAAAGGGAAACCACAAACCTGGAAATGGCAGAATCTCTAGAGAATTAACACACAAAACTCCTACCTATAAAAGTAAAGCTTCAATTCTTCTAGCTCCATCAAGTATGGAATCAGGGCACTTGAGTAGAGTCTGAATCTCAGCCAAAGCCAGAAAAGATTCGAAACCCGAGAAAAGCCTTGAAGGGACACTTGCCAGTTCCAGTGAGGTCAGATAAATGAAAGCCAATTGTGCTAGTACCAAAGATCCAAATGTTAATGAAGCAGTGTGGATCTTAGGAATTTTGCTTTGGGTCCTACCTGGATTGCGAAATGTAAACCTAAAATAATTAAAAGGCTTAGGATCTAGTTAAAAGAGTTTATTCAAGTGCAAAGTATGAGGTCAGCTATTCAGGGAGCAGAACTGCATCAAAAAATGGTGAACAGTGCTCCAGGTGTGGGAAAATGCAAAATGGAAGTGTTAAACAGAATTACAACAACTTTTCATACAAAGGCAAACAGACATAAAATTTGATTGGCTAATATTGATAATAGTCTAAGAGGCTGTTTAACATTCTGTTGTAAAGAATGAACAATCATAAACACTCCTATTTTTAACGTTATTTAGTCTAAGTTTGAATAAAGAATAGGGAGTCTGGATAATGTATAACATCTCAACACAAATGTCAGAAAGCAATAGGTATGCACCAAATAGGAAAAATAGCGAGTTACCTGGGTTCACTTTTAGGGCTTAACTTTTCCCTGTGGCATAGTAAATTTGCAAGGTCCTAAAATTTTATTTTTGTGTTACATAATTGAAGATCTAATAAAATCCAGTGCTTTAAGCTCTTTCTTTCTTCTTTATCTTAGCATTTTAAATCTTCTGAAAAGTAATAATGACATTAGCAATCTTAACACTATATATATTTTTACAGACAGGGTCTTGCTATGTTGGCCAGGGTAGTCTCGAAAGCCTGGCCTTAAGCAATCCTCCTGCCTTGGCCTACACGAAGTGCTGGGCTTATAGGTGTGAGGTACCATGCCCAGCCTTTATTTTGTTATACAAAATCAAGTAGGTAACGTTATTTATTTTTATTATAAAATTAGTGCCACATTTTGAAAACTTTTGGAAATAAAATGTATAGCTAAATCACTTATTAATTGCTGCATTAAAATATTGCACCACAATTTAAGAGTTTAAAACAATACTAAATATTTTATTTCACATGGTTTCATGAGTTAGGTATTTAGGAATGGTTTAACTGGGTAATAATGGCTCAGGACGTCTTATGAAGTTGCAGTTGAAGGGAAAAACTATTTCCCTCCCAGAATACCATAAAGACTACTTTTAACTGAAAACTTTTGGACCAATAGCAGCTGCAAAAATGGCCTCATCTGAATGTCCTTTTGATTGATGATTAAAGTGGTGTTTTCCAAGAATTCAACTGCCATAAATCCTCCTCAAAGGGAGGTTCAAGAAGGAAGGAGACTGCCCATTAGCACTGGGATAAGAAATTTGATAAAGCAGCCCAATAGACCCTCCCATACTTTCCTTTTGAAGCCCTAACCACTTCCCCACTGCTCCCCCGCCAACACACACACACTTTTGTTAAGCTTCTGTATAAATCCCTACCTCTGACTCTCTGGGGAACCAGTCCTTTTAAAGTGTTCACACCTGCATGTGAAATAAGCTTTCTCTTGTTAATCTGTCTCTTGTCAATTAATTTGCAGCTTCCCCACTCCCTACTCACTCTACTCTCCCTTAACCACTAGGACCTATGTTGCTTGAAAAAAAAATTCTCCCAACACAGTCAAAATGTCAAGTGGTAAGAGAGTCATCTGAAAACTTGACTAGGATTCAAGGATCTGAGTCCAAGGCTCATGAACATGGCTGGCAGGTCTGTTTTGAATACTGGCAGAAGACCTCAATTTTTCTCATCATGTAGAGCTTTATAGGGCTACATGAGTATCTTTATGGATATGATGACTGGCTTCTCCTAGAGTGAGTGATCAGTAAGTAACAAAAGAGAACATACAGTATTTTTTATAACCTAACCTTAGAACTCACAAACTGTTATTTCTGCAGAACACTGTTAGTTGCACAAGTAAGCCCTATTCCATGTGAAAAGGGACTATATATGGAATATACAACAGGAGGCAATAACCGCTTGTGATGGTTAATACTGTCAACTTGATTGGATTGAAGGATACAAAGTATTAATCCTGGGTGTGTCTGTGAGGGTGTTGCCAAAACAGATTAACATTTGAGTCAGTGGGCTGGGCAGATCCACCTTTAATCTAGTGGACACAATCTAATCCGCTGCCAGGAAATACAAAGCAGGCAGAAAAACGTGAAAAGGGGAGACTGGCCTAGCCTCCCAGCCTACATCTTTCTCCCGTGCTGGATGCTTCCTGCCTTCGAACATCAGACTCCAAGTTCTTCAGTTTGGGACCTTGGACCAGGCTCTCCTTGCCTGGCAGCTTGAAGACAGCCTATTGTGGGACCTTGTGATTGTGTAAGTTAATACTTCAAAAGCTCCCTTTCAGATATATACATATATTTTATATATATATATTATATATATATATAATATATATATAATATATATCTCAATATATATAATAGGATATATATAATATATAATAGGATATATATATTATATATAATAGGATATATATATTATATATAATAGGATATATATAATATATAATAGGATATATATATTATATATAATAGGATATATATAATATATAATAGGATATATATATTATATATATAATAGGATATATATATTATATATATAATAGGATATATAATATATAATAGGATATATATATTATATATATAATAGGATATATATATTATATATATAATAGGATATATATATAAAATAAGATATATCTATATATAAAATAGGAGATATATATATCTATCCTATTAGTTCTGGCCCTCTAGAGACCCCTGACTAATATGCCACTAGAGGCCATTTTGGAGTCTAGCTACCACAATGATTCTTCTTTTCTATTTATTGGAAATCCCATGGTAAATACAATTTTGAATTTTACTTTTTAAGTTAACATTATACATAAAGGTATTTCTATTTGTTATTACATCATCATAATCATGCTTTTTAATGACTTCTTCATACTACACCATCAGAATTTAATTAGCAATTTCACTATTTTTGACAATTAGTCTAGTTCTGAAATTTATTTTTTATTGAAGTACCTAGCATTTTTTCATAAAATTAGGCCCATAAAAAGAACTGCACATTTTGTTTTGACAAACACATAGTGTTCCTATGACTGTAGCTTGTTTAGACTTGATTGATGCAGCTGGTCCAATTCCTTCCTTAAAGAAATATTTATGAGAAGTATTTTTGTGTGCCTGAAAGCTCATTGTGCTGTGTGGATACGACACAAGGAAATGGACTGACCAAATTATTTAGCCACATCTTTAGTCATTAAGAACCTGAAAATATGAAAGAGCCATGCTTAAAACCTTTGTAGGATCTCCATTCACTACAGATTAATGCCAAACAAATATGACGTTGAAGTCCTGTTACACATTTTCCCCTGTCTCCCTTACCTCTTCAATCTCCTCTTTCACATAATACTACATTTTATACAAACTCCATCCATAGGAGGTTTTCAGGCCTCAAATATGCCAAACTCTTTCACCTAGGCATGTCTTTGTTCATGTTGCTCCTAAATCTTGGAATGCCCTCATGCACCTCCAATAACACCTCTCCCATTAACTTGGCAAAGTGGCTTTCAAGACTCCATATGAAGTTTCTCTAAGCTGTCTTCTCCAGATAGAATAAAAAAATCCTTCCTTTGTGTTCTCTTGTTTCTTTTCTTTAAGAAATCCTATCATAGGACCTGGAACCTTTCATTATACCTGTTTTTAAGTTCATTGAAGGCAACAATTTTAAAATACATAATAAATTGTATTCTAAGTGCCTCCCATGTTGAGACATAAGTGCTTAGCACATAGCAGTAACACAATAAAAGATAAGATTAATGGTCTTTGGAAATATTCAGCTTCCATTTTCTACTTTCTGTATGAAAGATTCTATAACAGCTTATTGTTATTTTTCAAGACTACTGCATAAGGAGATTTTAGAAGCCTCCTGGTTTTATAATCAACAAATATTTATTGAGCAGCTATTTTATACCAAGCATTGTTCTGGGTGTGATCATGGAGTAACACTGAGGCAAGTGTAACTGCTGCTGAGTGAGCAAGGAGAAGAATATGAGGCCATGAGAATAGAGAGAAAACTGGCGGCCTATTTTAAAGACCTTGTTCTTTACTGATAAGGAGCAGTGAAGTAATACCTTCCAGAAGGATTCCTCTGGATGTCGTATGGAGATTAAGGTATAGGAAGTTGAGGAATTGCTATTGTTTAAATATGATTTACTCCCACTAAAACTCACGTTGAGACTTGTTTCCCAATGTGGCTATGATGAGAGGCAGTGTCTCTAAGAAATTATTAGATCATTATGAGGAATTAATGCCTTTCTCAAGGGAGTGAGTTCTTGCTTTCAAAATAGCAGATTAGTTACTAAGAGAGTGGATTGTTATGAAACAAAACTGCCTCTCATCTTTGATCTCTGCACATCCCTGCTCCCCCTTCTGCTTCTGCACTGTTGTGATGCAGCATGTGGCTCTCACCAGAAGCCAGCCAGATGAGCTGTCCAATCTTGGACCTCCTAACCTCCAGAATCATGAGCTAAATACACATCTTTCCTTTATAAATCACCAAGTCTCAGGTATCCTGTTATAGCAACAGAAAGCAAAGATAGGGATTAAACAGAAAGACCATTCAGAAGGCTACTGAAATGATCAAAATAAAAATTGTTGGTGGCTTAAACCAGGTATAAGTGCTGAATGTGGGAAAAGTTGTCATATTTAGGATACAGTGTGAAGGTAAAGCTAACAGTGACGTATTTTGTATCAAGTATAAGAGAGAGACAAATCAAACATGAGTCTATGGTTTATGGTTTAAGAAACTGGAAAAATAAAGTTGTAATTTACTGAGATTAAAGAAAAAGACTGCTTAGGAACAAGGTGTGAGGGAATAATAAGGAATTTGACTTTTATCATTTTAGAATTGCACTTGGCAATCAAGTAGTTGGATATATAAGCTTGGAGTTATTTTAGTTACTATGGCTCTGTAAAAATAATTACCCCTGAATTTACTGTCTTAAAACAATGAGCATTTATTTTATTCATGAATCTACAATTACGTCTACGATTGGTGAGGCTGACTTATCTGTGCTCCAATTGGCATCAGCTGAAGTGACTTGATGGCTAGGGGGATGGAATCTTCTGAAGGGTCATTCCGTCACGTGACTGGTGGTAGATGCTGGCTGTTGGCTGAAACCTTAGCTAAGGCTGTTGGTTAGAACACCCAAGTATGGCCTCTCCCCATGGCCCAAGCTTCCTCACAATATGGAAGAATGATCCCCAAAGGAAGCATCCTGAGAGAGAGAG
Organism: Homo sapiens; assembly: GCF_000001405.40. Classification (NCBI taxonomy): domain Eukaryota; kingdom Metazoa; phylum Chordata; class Mammalia; order Primates; family Hominidae; genus Homo; species Homo sapiens. The sequence continues at coordinate 93,126,210 of NC_000023.11, forward strand.
AGAGACAAAGAGAGGGGAGGGGGGAGGAAGATGTGTCTTTTTATGAACTCATCTTGGAAGTCAAATAGAATCACTTTTAACCATACTCTATTGGTTGGAGCCACCATAAATCCCACCAAGATTCAAGAACACAGAATGTTAGTTACTGTGTAAGAAGAGCACATGGGATAGATGTCAGACCTATACCTGTTACCTAATTTCTTTCCTTGCCACTTTCAGATTGACCTAGTCATTTCCCAAAGATAGCTGCTTTCACTAAGTGATCAAAAACTGGAAATGAGTAAAATGAATATATACATTGCCTTCTACTGTAGGGTATTTTTAACTGACTGATAATTGCTTAGGGAATTTTAAAATCCAAAATACTTGTCTTTAACCTCAAATCTCAATGGCCTTCAAGTAAGTAAGTAATAAGTACAGATACTAAGCATCTGCTTTTCTCAGATTCTATACATTTTATTATAAAATTTTACTGTATCTTTAGATCGGTCCAAACATCTAACGTTCTGTCAAAGGGGAATGAGAATACGATATTTTCCTTAACTACAGATATTCAGGAATGTACTGAGAATATATTTTAAATGACACTTCATGTCTATTAAAATAAACCTAAGTTAAACTGGGCCTTTTGTTTCCAGTTAATGATGGAGATTCAATATTAAACAAGGTAATAGCTGTTACTGACAGATGGTGTGTGATTGGAGCAATGTTGATGGTACCCAGAGACACTGATAAAAGACACAAGTCTCTAATGCAAGTAAAAGACACTCAAACACAGCTGCATGAAAATGGCTAAAGCGGGAGACTCAGAAGCACTTTTCATTGTAGGGGCAATCTCCCTTTGTATTCAAGTCCCCATGAAGTTACCCTACTGCTTATAATAACACGTGACTAATACAGATTCACCAAGTCCTTTGAGAAACTCAATCTAGACATTTCTTGGAGCAGGGAGGGATTTGTTTGTACTCATGTAGTCACCCTAAACTCTTCTGAGAGTCACACTGTCATAATTTACTTATTAAAATCTGCTAATGTGATGCAATCTGACAGAAGCTCCAAGTCAACTGCATTAAGGTACAAATGCAATTTGGCCTGGGAATAATTACTTCTACACCACTTATCTTCTTAGAACGCAGTATAAGCCAGTGCTGTCACATTTCTGGCAACGATAGTAGGCTGAGTTGAATCAAAGGTTGAGGTCAGGAGTCTCTGGCATTGACCATCTCAGTTAAGTCTGTTTCAGGCCTGCCTGTATTCAGTCTCCCCAAATTGTCTTTCCATCCTTTTCCAAAATAATATAAAGTAGATATCCACTGACACTGTACTTATCATATTTTGAATGTGTCCAAAGAGCAACAGCAACCTATTCCAAGTTATAGTAAAATAGACACTAAAGGATACATGAAGCATCATTTAAAACCTATGATAAAATTAAAATGTGTATCTATCTTCCAAATTAAATATTATTTATGAAATATTGCTTATAAAATATTGCTTTTTGGCTTCCAAATCTTGTGTGAGAACCACTAAATTTTCTCAAAACAAAGTTTCTCTGTTGGGACACAATAAAGTTTTATATTTTGTCATTAATGTATCATTAATGCGAATTTGAGTTTATAACTACTTTCTTCATGAAATTCAACTATTCCACTGCCACATAAAATATTCAGTTTAGGAAATATTGTCAATGACTCAATATGCTTCTGTTTGCTTTTAGAAACATAAATTCCCTACATGGCTTGCAATACCCTGCATCACCTATCACTATCCAGTTTTATACCACTTCTTATAGCACTTTTCACTTGCAAGCTATACAGTAGCTTTACTGCCATGATCGTGATCACTTCTACTTCCTTGCTATAGTTTGAATATTTGTCCCCTCCAAAACGTATTTTGAAATTTAATTTCCAATGTTGCAGTATTGAGAGACAGGGCCTTTAAGAGGTGATTGGATTGTGAGGGCTCTTCCCTCATGAATGGATTGATATAATTAATGGATTAATAAATTATAATGGGATGGGAAGTGGAGGCTTTAGAAGAAGAGAAAAAGAGACTCAAGCCAGCATGTTAACGTGTTCAGATCCCTTGCTATGTGCTGCCTTGTGCTGCCTTGGGATACTGCAGAGTCCCCACCAGCAGGGAGGTTCTTACCAGATGTACTCCCTGACCTTGTACTTCCCAGCTTCCATACTGTAAGAAATAAATTCCTTTTGTTTTTATAAATTACTCAGTTTCAGATATTTTGTTTTAAGCAACAGAAAACAAATTAATACATTGTTCAATGACTTTTTAAACTGCTGCTTATCCACCTGGAATGTTCTTGTTCCAAAGTTTCAAATGACTGTTTTTTTTTCTAATATTAGTTGAAATGTTATTTGCTAAGACAGGCCTTCCTTAACCACACAAACCCAATAAGCATGCCAAATCCGAGTCACTAACTACGATATTTTCTTCTTTTATTTTTTGGGTAACACTCATCATTTTGAAATTCTTATTTTATTTATTTGTTCTCTCATTTATTTCTCCCCCTCTCCTTCCCTTCACTCCTTTATTTCCAAATGCTTTCATGTATTCTTCCTCATTTATAGCATATGTTTTTCCTGCCTCTGGCCAAAAATTTACATAGTATCTATCTTCTTGCTCAAAACATTACGTTGTTTTTATACTTTTTAATATGCATGGAAACATTCTTGGAATCCAGTGTTGTAATCAGAGCCAGATCTACTCAAGATGCAGAGAGCTGAAGAAGTTGGTTTAGTGTCCTTGAAAAACCCTGTCATTTCTCTTGGAAGCACATTTCATTTCTAGGAGCTCAAGATTCTTCTACCCTCAGCAAGGCTATGTAAAAATCAATGCTATGGATGCCTGTGGGGTCCAAGTACAAGAGAATATAGCTTTTGGTGTACCAAAGGAAGGAGGTATTACCCGTTGAGTTATGCTTTCTTAGAATGCACTCTCTCTTCAGACTCAATTAAATACAAAAGCTTTATTGAGATTTAATTTATAAATGATAAAATCATGCTTTTAACATATATAATTAGTGGATATTAGTATATTCACAGAGTTGTGCAGCCACTACCACTATCTCATTCTCAACACCTCCAGAAAGAAACTGATACAAATTAGCAGTCACTCAACACATGCCACCCTCACATCCCATGTAACAAGCTTCTGGAAAACACTAATTACATTCTGTCTTTATGAATTTGTCTAATCTGCATATTTTATATACACGTAATCATACAACATGTCTTATTTTGTGTCTGGCTTCTTTGACTTGACAAAAAGTTTTCAAGGTTCATCCATATGGCAGCACGTATCAGTACTTCATTCCTTTTTGTGGCTGAATATTATTCCGTTACATGAATGGATCACATTTTATTTTTTCAGTTATCACTTGATGAATAGTTGAAGTATTTCAGTTTTTCCTATTATAAATAATGATGCTGCAAATGTATAATTGTGTGGACATAGGTTTTCCATTATCTTTAGTATATACTTAGTAGAATTGCTGGGTTGTATGGTAACTATATGTTTAATATTTGAAGAGCTTCCAAGCTGTTTTCCAAAGCAGCTGCAGTATTTTGTATTCCCACCAAAAATAAATACATAAGGGTTCTAATTTCTCCACTTCCTTACTAATGCTTGCTTTAATCTGTCTTTTTTATTATAACCATTCTATTGTGTGTGAAGTGGTATCTCATTGTGGTGTCGATTTACATTTCCCAAATAACTAACATATGGTGTTGCACATCTTTTCATGTGCTTATTTGCCATTTGTTCGACTTCTTTGGTTAGGGGTCTATGCAAATCCTTTCCCCATGTTTCAATTGGGTTATTTATCTCTTTGTTATTGGGTTATAAGAGATTTTATATATCCTCAGTACAAGTTACTTGTCAAATATAAAATTTGTCAACATTATCTTACAGTCTCTTGGTTATTTTTCACTTTCTTATGATGACCATTAAAGCATGAGTGTTTTAATTTTGATGATATAAAAGTGATGTTTGTTTCGTCACTTACATGTTAGGTTTCTATGTAAGAAAGCATAGCCTAATCAAATTAATGAAGATTTACTCCTATGTTTTCTTCTAAAAGTTTGATAAGTTTAGCTCTTAGAATTAGATCTATGATCCATTGTGAGTTTATTTTCATGTATGGTGTGAGGTAGGTCCAATATCATTCTTTTGCAAGTGAGTAGCTAGTTATCCCAATGCCATTTTTTGAAAATAGCACTTTTTGCCATTAGACTATCTTGAACACTTGTGAAAAATCAATTGACAATTGATATGATGTTTTACTTACGGACTGTCCATTCTGCTTGAATGATCTCTATGTTTATCACTATGCCAATACCATTATGGCTTGATTATTGCAGCATTGCAGTATATCTTAAAATTGAAGTGTAAGTCCTCCAAATATGTTCTTTAAAAAAAAATGTTGGGGGCTACTCTCAGACCCTTGTGTCTTTATGTAAATGTTAGAATGAGCTTTTCAATTTTTGTGTATAAAATAGCTAAGGTGTTACTAGAGCTTTTATATAATTTGCAGATAATTTTCAGAGTATTGTCATTTTAGCAGTATTAGTTATTTTAACCATTAAACACAGGAATATCTTTCAAATTTTTCTGGTCTTTTTAAATTTCTTTCAATGATATATGTAGTTTTTATTCTACAAGACTTCCATTTGTTTTGTTAAATTTATTTCTATTTTTATGTATTCTGGATACTATTTCATTATAAGATATATGATTTATACATATTTTTCTCCCATTCTGTTGGTTATCTTTTCACTGATATTATCATTTGCAGCATAAAATTTTAAATTTTTTTATAGTCCAATTTATCTATTTTTTTCTCTCTTTTTTTTCTTGTGCTTTTGATGGCAGACTAAGAAGGCTTTGACTTACCTAAGGCTGCAAAGATTTACTATTATGTTTTTGCCCAAGATTTTTAAAATTTTATTTTTTCCAAGTAGGTTTTTGATCCATTCATTATTGATTTTTGTATATAAAGTCAGGGATGGTTTCAATTTCAATCTTTTGTTATGTTGAAATTCAGCTGGTGCAGCACCATCTGTTGAAGACTATTAATCTCCCCCCATTTAATTGTCTTGGCACCCTTGTTGAAAATCAACTGAACAGAAACATGAGGATATATTTTTAGAATTTCAGTTGATTTATATGATTATGCTTATGCCTTTCCCACATTGTCTTGATCAGTCTAGTTTATAGTAAGTATTGAAACAAGAAACTGACAGTCTTTCAACATTGTTCATTATTATCAAGATTGTTTTAGATATTTAGGCTGCCTTACATCTATGAGTGACTCAGCTTGCCAATTTCTGCAGAGGGAGCCAGCAGGGATTTTTGACAAGAAATGTGTTGAATTTGTAAATGTATTTTCAAGGTATTACCATCATAGTAGTAATAAGACTTTCAATTCATAAACATGGAATGTCTTTATATTTAAATTATCTTTAATTTTTAATGATATTTTATAGTTTTCATGCACAGTATAGTTTTCTCATACTTCTTTTTTTACTTTTATTCCTAAATATTTAATTCTTTCTAGTACTATTATAATTATAATTATTTTCTTGGTTTCCTTTTTGATAATAACTATGAGTTTCCATACATGCCCACTTTCAGGTTGAGAAAATTTCTATTCCTAGTTTTAAAAATTAATTTAGTGTTTTTCATCATGAAAGGACATTGAATTTTGTCAAATTTTTTCTGTATCTATTGAGATGTTTCTGTATTTCTTGTCCTTTATTCTATTCATATGGTATATTATTTTATTGATTTTCATGTACTGAATTAACTTTGCATTGCTGGGATAAATTCTACTTGGTTATGGTACGTAAACCTTTTTATGTGTGGCCAAATTTTGTTTTAGTATTGTCTTAAGAATTTTTGCATTTATATTCATACGGAATGCCAGTCTGTGGTTTTGTGGGGTTTTTGATGCCTTTGTTATATACTGAATACTTGTGTTTCCCCACCCCCTAAATTCGTATCTCGAAATCTAAATCCCCAATGTGATGGTGTTAGGAGTTCAGGTCTTTGGGAGGTGCTATTGTCTGAGTGTGTTCTCCCAAAAATCCATATATGGAATCATAATTTTCAATGTGGTTGTTGGTATTGAAAGGTAGGGCTTTTGAGAGGTGATTAGATCGTGAGGGTCCTACCTCCATCAATGGGCTTAGTTCCATTAAAAAGAGTCCGAGGGCCGGGCGCAGTGGCTCATGGCTGTAATTCCAGCACTTTGGGAGGCTGAGGTGGGCAGATCAGGAGGTTAAAAGATCGAGACCATCCTGGCCAACATGGTGAAACCCCAACTCTACTAAAAATACAAAAATTAGCTGAGCATTGTAGCATGCTCCTGTAGTCCCAGCTATTCAGGAGGCTGAGGCAGGAGAACCTCCTGAACCCAGGAGGCGGAGGTTGCAGTGAGCCGAGATGGCGCCACTGTGCTCCAGCCTGGCAATAGAGCAAGACTCCATCTGGAAAAAAAAAAAAAGAATCTGAGGGCATTGGGTAAAGAGTGAAGACCCATTGGTGTGCTGTATTCAGGAGACCCATCTCATGGGCAAAGACTGACATAGGCTCAAAATAAAGGGATGGAGGAAAATTCACCAAGCAAATGAAAAGCAAAAAAATCAGGGGTTGCAATCCTAGTCTCTGACAAAACAGACTTTAAAACAACAAAATTTAAAAATACAAAGGACATATTGGTAAAGGGAAAAATTTAACAAGAAGAACTAACTATCCTAAATATATATGCACCCAATACAGGAGCACCCAGATTCATAAAACAAGTTCTTACAGAGGTACAAAGAGACTTAGACACCTATACAGTATAGTGGGAGACTTTAACATCCCACTGTCAATATTAGACAGATCGAGACAGAAAATTAACAAGGATATTCAGGACTGCAACTCAGCTATGGATCAAGTGGACCTAATAGACATCTATAGAACTCTCAACCCCAAATTAACAGAATGTACATTCTCTTCAGTGCCACATGACACTTACTCTAAAATCAACCACATAATTTAAAGTGAAACATTCCTCAGCAAATGCAAAAAACTGAAATCATAACAGTCTCTCAGACCACAGTCCAATCAAATTAGAACTCAGGATTAAGAAACTCACTCAAAACCACACAATTACATGGACATTGAACAACCTGTTCCTGAATGACTCCTGGGTAAATAATGAAATTAAGGCAGAAATCAAGACGTTCTTTGAGACCAATGAGAAAAAGGAGACAACACACCAGAATCTCTGGGACACAGCTAAAGAAGTGTTAACAGGGAAATTTATAGCACTAAATGCCCACATCAGAAAGCTAGAAAGATCTCAAATTGACACTGTAACATCACAATTAAAAGAGCTAGAGAAGCAAGAACAAACAAATCCAAAAGCTAGTAGAAGACAAGAAATAACTAAGATCAGAGCAGAACTGAAGGAGATAGAGAGATGAAAAACCCTCCAAAAAATCAATGAACCCAGGAGCTGGTTTTTTGAAAAGATTAACAAAATAGAAAGACAACTGGATAGACTAATAAAAAAGAATATAGAGAAGAATCAAATAGACACAATAAAAAATGGTAAAGGGGAGATCAACACTGGCTCCACAAAAACACAAACTACCACCAGAGAATATTATAAACACCTCTATGCAAATAAACTAGAAAATCTAGAAGAAATGGATAAATTCATGGACACATACACCCTCCCAAGACTAAACCAGGAAGAAGTCGAATCCGTGAATACACCAATAACAAGTTCTGAAATTGAGGCAGTAATTAATAAGCTACCAACCAAAAAAAGCTCAGGACCAGATGGATTCCCAGCCGAATTCTACCAGAGGTACAAAGAGGAGCTGGTACCTTTCCTTCTGAAACTATTCCAAACAATTAAAAAGGAGGAACTCCTCCGTAACTCATTTTATGAAGCCAGCATTATCCTGATACTAAAACCTGGCAGAGGCACAACAAAAAATGGAAACTCCAGGCCAATATCCACGATGAACATTGATGCAAAAATGCTCAATAAAATACTGGCAAACAGAATCCAGCAGCACATCAGAAAGCTTATCCACCACGATCAAGTCAGCTTCACCCCTGGGATGCAAGGCTAGTTCGACATATGCAAATCAATAAACATAATCCAGCATATAAACAGAACCAAAGAAAAAAACCGCATGATTATCTCAATAGATGCAGATAAGGCCTTTGATAAAATTCAACATCCCTTTATGTTAAAAACTCACAATAAAATAGGTATTAATAGAACATATCTAAAAATATTAAGAACTATTTATGACAAACCCACAGCCAATATCATATTAAATGGGCAAAAGATGAGAGCATTCCCTTTGAAAACTGGTACAAGACAAAGAGGCCCTCTCTAACTGCTCCTATTCAGCATGGTATTGGAAGTTCTAGCCAGGGCAATCAGGCAAGAGAAAGAAATAAACGGTATTCAATTAGGAAAAAAGGAAGTCAAATTGTCCCTGTTTGCAGATGACATGATTATATATTCAGAAAACCCCATTGTCTCAGCCCAAAATCTCCTTAAGCTGATAAGCAACTTCAGCAAAGTCTCAGGATACAAAATCAATGTGCAAAAATCACAAGCATTCCTATACACCAATAACAGACAAACACAGAGTGAAATCATGAGTGAACTCCTATTCACAATTGCTACAAAGAGAATAAAATATCTAGGAATCCAACTTACAAGGGATGTGAAGGACCTTTTAAGGAGAACTACAAACCACTGGTCAACAAAATAAAAGAGGACACAAAAACATGGAAGAACATTCCATGCTCATGGATAGAAAGAATCAATATCGTGAAAATGGCCATACTGCCCAAAGTAATTTATAGATTAAATGCTATCCCCATCAAGCTACCACTGACTTTCTTCACAGAATTGGAAAAATCTACTTTAAATTTCATATGGAACCAAAAAAGAGCCTGCATAGCCAAGACACTCCTAAGCAAAAAGAACAAAGCTGGAGGCATCATGCTACCTGACTTCAAACTATACTACAAGGCTACAGTAACCAAAACAGCATGGTACTGGTACCAAAACAGATATATAGACCCATGGAACAAAACAGAGGCCTCAGAAATAACACCACACATCTACAACCATCTGATCTTCAACAAACCTGATGAAAACAAGCAATGGAGAAAGGATCTCCTATTCAATAAATGATGCTGGGAAAACTGTCTAGCCACATGCAGAAAACTGAAACTGGACCCTTTCCTAATACCTTATACAAAGATTCACTCGAGATGGATTAAAGACTTAAATGTAAAAACAAAAACCATAAAAACCCTTGAAGAAAACCTAGGCAATATCATTCAAGACATAGTTATGGGCAAAGGCTTTATGATGAAAACACCAAAAGCAATTGCAACAAAAGCCAAAATTGACAAATGGGATTTAATTAAATTAAGAGCTTCTGCACAGCAAAAGAAACTATCACCAGAGTGAACAGCAACCTACAGAATGGGAGAAAATTTTGGCAATCTACCCATCAACAAAGGTCTAATATTCATTATTTACAAGGACCTTAAACACATTTACAAGAAAAAACCAAACAGCCCCATCAAAAAGTGGGCAAAAGATATGAATAGACACTTCTCAAAAGAAGACATTTATGCAGCCAACAAACGTGAAAAAAAGCTCAACATCACTGATCATCAGAGAAATGCAAATCAAAACCACAATGAGATATTGTCTCATGCCAGATAGAGTGGTGATTATTAAAAAGTCAAGAAACAATAGATGCTGGGCAGGCTGTGGAGAAATAGGAATGCTTTTACACTGTTGGTGGGAATGTAAATTAGTTCAACCATTATGGAAGACAGTATGGCGATTCCTCAAGGATTTAGAAGCAGAAATACCATTTGACCCAGCAACCCCATTACTGGGTATATACCCAAAGGAATATAAATTATTCTACTACAAAGACACATGCACATGTCTGTTTATTGCAGCACTATTTATAATAGCAAGGTCATGAAACCAACCCAAATGCCCATCATTGATAAACTGGATAAAGAGAATATGGTACATATACACCATGGAATACTGCTCAGCCATAAGAAGAATGAGATCATGTCCTTTGCAGGGACATGGATGAAGCTGGAAGCCATCATCCTCAGCAAACTAATACAGGAACAGAAAACCAAACACCTCATGTTCTCACTCCTAAGTGGAAGTTGAACAATGAGAACATATGGACACAGGGAGGGGAACAACACACACCAGGGCCTGTCGGGGGTTGGGGGCAAGGGGAGGGAACTTAGAAGATGGGTCAATAGGTGCAGCAAACCACCATGGCACGTGTATACCTATGTAACAAACCTGCATATTCTGCACATGTATCCCTGCACTTAAAGTAAAATAAAATAAAAGAGGCCATGGGAGCTTTCTCCTTCTTTCTTCCATGTGAGGACACAGGTAGAAGGTGCCACATTTGAAGCAGATAGCTAGTCCTTAACAGACACTAAATTTGCTAGCCCCTTGATATTGAACTTTTGAGCCTCCAGAATTGTGAGTAATACATTTCTTTTGTTTATAAGTTACCCAGTGTAGGAGGGTATTTTGTTACAGAAACCTGAAGAGACTAGACAGAAATGTGTACAAAGAAGTGGAGGTGCTGCTGTAACAAATACCTAAAATGTGGAAGCAGCTTTGAAACTGTGTAACAGGTAGTGGCTGGAAGAATCTGTAGGAGTATGCTAGAAAAAGCCTACATTAATTGAGCATTAAGGGTAATCTAGTGAGGTTTCAGAAGAAGAGGAGAGCTGTAGAGGAAGCCTCAGTTTTTGTTTTTTAGCAATTACTTAAATGATCATGATCAGAATGTTGGTTGAAATATGGAGAGTAAAAGCCATTCTAATGAGACTGCAGATGAAAATGAGGAAGAAAATGCTATTTAAACAGTGCAAGACTAACCCTGAAGGCATTTTTGAGAGCTTTGTCGCTACCCTGCTCATCACAGGCCCAGAAATCCAGGGCCTTGGGGACAAAATAATTTCAACGCTCTGCTCTCAACATTCTGGTGTGGTACTCCTTGGCAAGCCCACTTGTGGTTCAAATGGGCTTCAGGGGTGACTTGGGCCACCCCTCTGCAAGGCATAGGTGGCAAACCATCGTGGTGTCCATACAGCATCATTTCCACAGGCAGGCAAAGTGCACAAGCTGTAGAGGCATGGCTACCTTCACTTAGATTTCAAAGGATATCCTGGAGATCCTTGGGGAATGGACAGAGGACTACCACAGGGTCACAGTCACAACAGTACCCCTACTAGAGCCATGCCCAGCAGAACCATGGAGTCAGGGACATCAAAGAGAGTCCCAACTATGGTAAGACCTGGTGGAGCCATGGAGGTAGGGCTACACTTGAAACCTGACACTTGTAGAGCCACCAGCATGTAACTATAGCCTGGGAGAGCAGCAGGCATACAACCCCAACATATTAGAGCTTCCGTATGGGCTGAGCCCAGCAAATACATGATGGCGGTGCCTATTGGACACTTGAGGACCTTATCTCAGCCTAAGCCTGTCTGGAAGGTGAGACATTAAGTCAAAGAAGATTATTTTCAAGCTTTGAAATGTAATGTTGTTTGCCCTGTTGGGTTTTGACCTTGATCAGAACTTGTCACTCCTTTCTTTTTTCCTATTTCTCTTTTTTGGAATTGGAACATCTGTCCTATGCCTGTCCCTTTGTGTTTCAGAGGCACATAACTTGCTTGATTTCACAAGTTTACAGTTAGAAAGCCATTTGCCTCATTTGGTACCTTAAGTCTCACTCATATCCAATTTAGATGATATTGAGATGATACTCTGGACTTTAGATTTTCAGTTGATGCTAAAATAAGTTAAGACTTATAGAGTTATTGAAATGTAATAAATGTATTTTATATGAGAAGAAAATAAATTTGGGGGGTCAGGTGCAGAATGTTATAGTCTAAATGTGTCCACCCACAAAGTTTATATTTTGAAACCTAATTTGCAATAGTATTCACAGGTTGGGTCTTTGGGAGGTTATTAGATCCGCACTCATGAATGGGATTAGACCCTTATAATCAAGGCCTGATGGAGCTTCTTCACTTCTTTTTCATGTAAGGACAAAGCTATAAGGTGCCATCTTCACAGCAGACAGTGAGATCTGACAAGGCATTGAATCAGCCAGTGCCTGGATCTTGAACTTCCCAGCCTTCAGAACTGTGAGCAATACATGCCTGCATTCTTAAGTAAATTATCAAATGTAAGTTATTTTGTAATAGCAGCCTAAATGAACTTAAAAGGTAATTAGTTCATGAGGGTGTAGCCCTCATGAATGAGATTTGTGCCCTTACAAGAAGAAACAGGAGCACCCGCTCCTAGTTTCTCCGTTCTTCACTATGTAGATACAATGAGAAGATTGCCATCTGCAAATAAGAAAATGGTTTCTTCTTAGACATAAGATCTACAGGCACTTTGATCTTAAACTTCTCAGCCTACAGAATTGTGAGAAAAAAATGTCCATGGTTTAATCTGCCGAGTCTGTATTATATTTTTTATAGCAGACCAAACTGAATAAGACAGGCTTGATTTTGGCATCAGGGTAATACTAGCCTAAAAGAATGAGTTGGGTTGTGTTGCATCCTCTTTTATTTTACCAAAAGTTTTTTTTTTTTTTTTTAATTTGAATTAGTTCTTCTTTAATCATTTGTTACAATTCACCAGTAAAGCCATCCAGGCCTGGGTTGTTCTTTGTGGAAAATATGTTTATTAATAACTCAGTCTCTTTACTTATTAAAGAATACAGTCAGATTTTCCATTTCTTCTTGAATAATTCTCTATAGTTCTTGTCTTTACATAAAATTTTCCACTATATCAAGTTACTTATTTTTTTTTGCAATAGAGTTGTTCATAATATTTTCTTTAATTACTCTTCTTTCTGTAAGATTGGTGGTAATGTCACTTCTTTTTTTCCTGATTTTATTAATTTGACTATTCTGTCTTTTTTCTTGGCCAGTCTAGTTAAATGTTTGTCAAGATTGTTTACATGTTAAAACAAAAAACAACTTTTAGTTTTATTGCTACTTTCTACTACCTTCCTATTCTCTATTTTATTTATTTCTTTTTAAACCTTTATTATGTACTTTCTCCAGCTTCCTTTGGGTTTAGTTTGTTTTTTTCTATTTTGTTAAGGTAGAAGTTTACATTATTAATTTGAAATAATTATTTCTTGATGTAGGCATTACAACTATAAATTTCCTCAGCTATGTGTTCAATTTTTTCCCTTCAAAAAGATATTTTGAACTCATAAACCTTAATGCCTTAAAATTCCATCTTAATTTGGAAATAAGTAATTTTCAGATTTCATCAAGTCAAGATTAATTTACTAGGGATGCCTTAATTCAATATGACTAGTTTACTTATAAAATAATGATGGACATATACAGAATGAAAATGATATGAAGGCATATAGAAAAAATGCCATGTGAAGATAGATGAGAATTTTGTGTCTGCAAGCCAAGAAATGCCAAAGACTTCCAGCTAACCACCAGAAGCTAGGAAGAGGCGGGAAAGGATTCTGTTACAGGTTTCAGAGGGAAAACATCTCTTCCAACACCTTCATTTCTGACTTCTAGCCTTGATAACTGGGAGATAATAAATTCTGTTGCTTTAAGCCACCCAATTTATGACATTTTGTTACAGCAGCCCTAGGAAACTAATACACCCTCTAAAGCACTATTTTGTTTCATCTCATACATATTGGTATGTTACATTTTCATTTTCATTCTTCATCTTGGAATTTATTCCTAGACCCATTGGTTATTTAGTAGTGTGTCATTTAATTTTTAGGTGTTTGTGAATTTCTCAAATTTTCTTCTGTTATTTATTTTTAATTTTAATCTTTTGTGATTGGAGAACATCCTTTATACTATGTCAGCGCTTTTAAATTTATTGAGACTTGTTTTGTGGCTTTATATGTGGCCTATTCTGTACAATACACGACATGCACTTAAGTAGAAAGTGTATGCTCCACTTGTTGCCTGAGGGATTCTATAGATATGTTAGTTTTAGGTGTTTTAGAATGTTGTCCCCATCTTCTATTTCATCGTTGAACTTCTTTCTAGTTCTGTCCTTTATTAGAAGTGGAATATTGGAATCTCCAACAATTCTTCTTGAATTGTCTATTTCTACCTTCAATTATGTCAGGTTTTACTTTATGCATTTTGCAGCTGTGGTGTTAGGTGAACATGTGTTTATAATTGTTTGATGGATTAACCTTTCTACAACTATAAAATGACTTTTTGTATCTCTGGTAACATTTTATCTTAAACTTTATTTTGTCTGATATTAATGAAATTACTGCAGCTATCATTTTGGTACTGTTTGCATGCCATTTCTTTTCCTATCCTTTTACTTTCAACCTAGTTTTGCTTGAATTTAAAGTGTGTCTGTGTAGACAGCATAGAAATATACCATTATTTTTGTTTTCATCCATTCTGCCGATCTCTCCCTTTTAATTAGAGTGTTCAATTCACATTTACTGTCGTTACAAACATTTCAGACTTAAGTCTACCATTTGCTGTTATTTTCTTTATGTTAAATCTTTTTGTTCCTCTCCCCCTTCATTACTGCCTTCTTTTGTACTAAATAGGTATTTTCATTTATAATGTTTTAATTTCTTTGCCATTTTTTCAACTCTATTTTTGAGTTATTTTCTTAGTAGTTTCTCTGGGAATTATAGGGGTGAATATAGTAACTCATAACAATCTAGTTTTGATTAATACTAACTCAATTTCTTCTCTATAACTCTATTATCTCCCCTCTCTTTGGTACTGTTGTTCTCATACAACTGCATATTAATACACTGTGTGTTTGTTAAAATTGATACATAATTATTGCTTTATACAGTTGTGTTTAAATAAGATAAGGGAAATAATGTTATGAAAAAAGTATATTTATACTTTTTTATCATATTAACCTATTTGGTCATCTTACCAGTGTTCTTTATTTCTCCATGTGAATTTGAGTTACTATTTAATGTCTTATCATTTCAGACTGAAGGTCTCCCTTTGATATTTCTTAAAGATAATTGGCTATTTATGAATTATCTCAGTTTTTATCTTTTTTGGAATATATAAATGTCTTTGTTATTTCTAAAATATAATTTGCTGGATATAGATCTATTGGTCTGCTGTTTGCTTTCAGTACTTTGACTATGTCATCTCACTCTTTTCTGGTCTCCAAAGTCCTGATAAGAAATCTGCTGTTAATCTTATTGAGGATACCTTTTTATGTGATGAGTTGTTTTTCTCTTGCTTCATTCTATATTCTTTCTTTGTGTTTCAACAGTTTGGTTTTGTGTCTAAATTTAAATGTCCTTCGGGATTTTTTTCTTCTATTTGGAGATCTTTGCACTTCTCAGCTATGTAGAATAATTTATTTTGTCAAACTCCAGAAGTTTTGACCATGATTTCTTCAAATATTCTCTCTGTCCTTTTCTCTGTCTCTTCTTTTAATTCCCATTATGTTTATGTTGTTTTGCTTGATGGTGTTCCACAGGACTCTGAGGCTCTGCTTAGTTTCTCTTTATTCATTTTTCTTTCTGTTTCTTAGATGGGATAAGCTAAAAGTGTCTGTCTTCAAGGGGACAAAGTATTTTTCTGCCAGCTCAAATCTGCTGTTATTTTTCTTTAATGTTTTAATGTACTTATTGTAATGTCAACTCCATAATATCCATTAGTTTTTGTGTGCATGTTTTTTATTTATATTCTCTAAAAAATTACCTTAGACTCTTTTTAACTAGTTCAGTTGATGGAGTATTTTATGACCAAGACAATTGTCAAAATCAATAGAACGATCAGTCTGTAATGAGAGGAGCCTAACAAGTGGGTGGTATATTAATTGAGGCAGACAGCTTAATATAGAGACCAGAAAAAGAGGCAATTGAGCAGAACCCTGCTACGACTACCACCATCTCAGAGTGACTGTGCACATGCCCAATGTTGTGACCTCTCAGGAGAGAAAAGAAAGGCTGCAGACTACATGGTAACATACTTCACCAAAATAGCCCAGGCAAACCACAAAACTAATAAAAAGGCAAAGAGCAAGGACCAAAAGAGCCTGGGGGTGGAGGAGACACAGTGAGGAAGAGAGTAAGTAAACACAGTTGCTATATTACATACCTACAATTTAGAATTTTCAAGAAAAGTGAAAGAAAATTATGCTTAAATAAGTAATAGAAGCTATAATGACAATGTCTCACCAAATACAGAATATCAATAAATAATTAGAATTATAACAAAAGAATCAAGTAAAAATTCTAGAGTTAAAATGTATGATTACTGAAATAAAAAATTCACTGGAGAGTCTCAACAATGAGCTTGGCAGAAGAAATAATTAACAAACTGATATGATTTGGATTTGTGTCTCCACCCAAATCTCATGTCTAATTCTAACCCCAAATGTTAGAGGTGATTGGATCATGAAGGCAGTTTCTCATGAATGGTTTAGCACCATTCCCTTAGTGCTGTTCTGCCAATAGTGAGTGAGTTCTCATGAGATCTGATTATTTAAAAGTGTGTGGAACCTTCCCCCTCACCCTCTCTTTCTTCTGCTCTGGCCATGTGAAGTGCTGGCTTCCCCTCCACTTTCTGCCATGATTGTTAAGTTTCCTGAGGCCTCCCTAGAAGCCAAGCAGATGCTGCCATGATTTCTGTACTGTCTGCAGAACTATGAGCCAACAAATCCTCTTTTCTTTACAAATTATGCAGTCTTGGGAATTTCTTTATAGCAGTGTGAGAAAGGACTGATATACAAACTCAAAAATAAGTCTATAGAGATTATATAATCTGAAGTACAGAGAAAGACAAAAATGAAGATAATTTAACAGTTTCAGACAAATGTGAGATGACCTTAAACACACCAACATACACTTTATGGGGGTACCAGAAGAACAGGATAAAGATAAATTAGCAGAAAAAAAATATTTCAAGAAATGGCTGAAAACTTTCCTAATTTGATTTTAAAAATGTTAATCTATATATCTATGAAAATTACCAAACTTCAAGTAGGTTAAACTCAGAGATCCACACCCAGATGCACTACAGCAAAAATACCTAATGACGGAGAAGAAAAAATGTAAGAGCAACAAGAGAAAAAATAATTCATGATATACAAGGGAACAATAGTAATATTAATAGCCATTTTCTCATTGGAAACCTTGGAGACTAGAAAGCAGTCTATTCTAGCAGAGATAACATATTCAAAGTGCTGACAGTAAAAAATTCTCAAACAAGAATCTCATGTATAACAAAAATATATCTTCAAAAATAAACACAAAATAAATATATTCCAAGATAAACAAACCCTGACAGATTTCATGGTTAGTAGACCTACCTTACAAGTAATATTAGAAGATTTTCAGGTTGAGAGAAAGTGACTACAGATGGAAATTTGAATCCACAGTAAGAAAGAACACAAATAAAAGTTATTATGTCATTATAAAAGACTGTATAAATGCAACTTATTATCTTTCTGCTTTTAACTGATTTAAGAAGCACTTGTATAATACAGTATTTATATAAGTGTATTAAGGGTCTATGACATATAGAAAGGTGATATATTTGACAATAATAGTACAAAGTACAATAATCATACAAAGCAGGTGTGTGAGCACAATTTTGTACTGAAGTAATAAAATGGCAACACATGGTAATTCAGTATCAGAGGAAAAATGAAGAAAACCACAAAGGGTTAATAATAAGGTAAGTATGACAAACTATAAGTATTTAATTATTTCTTTTCTTTTTCAGATTACTTAATAGACATAAAGTTAAATAAAGAATTACCTGTGACAATATATTGCTGTTATATTTAAGTATTCTACATATAATAATAACAAAAAGTGGGAAGAAGTTATAGACCTATTTAAGAGTAGTAATTCTATACCTCAGTGGAATTAAATCAGTGTGAAGTTAAATTGTCTCCAATAAGTTTTACATGGTAAGCCCTAGAGCCACTAGTATGAAAACAACTAAAAATATAGTAAAACAAACCATTAAAACAATTTAATTGTTACACTAGAAAATATTCACTTCATAGAAAATAAAGGAATAATGGATGTGTAAAAGAAGAGAAAGATATGAGGCATAGAGAAACAAAAAGTAAAATGACAGACATAAATCTAACTATATCAACAATGATGTTATATGTGAATGGATTAAGCAATCTAATCATAAGGTAAAGATTCTCAGACTGGATTTAAAAAGTAAAACAATGCTATTATGTGATTTCTACAGGAAACAAAATGCAAAGTGGCAAAGAGATTAAAAGGAAAAGGTTGGAAAAACATATATTAAGGAAACAACAGTTAAGGGAAAACTTGAGTGGCTTATATCAAAAAAATTAGACTTCATAAGAAAAAATGTTATTAGGGATAATGAATAATAATGAAATAATCAGTGTTCTGCATAATATAACGATTACAAATATCAGTTCACCTAATGATAGAATCTCAAATTCTGTGAAGAAAAAGCTGACTGAATCAAAAGAAGAAATAGATAATTAAACAATGATTTTTAGGGATTGCAATCCTTAACTTTAAATAATGGATAGATAACATAGGCCTAGTATAAAAACAGAAAATAGACCTGAACAACATTATACACCAAACAGACCTAACAGACATGTATAGAATATTTCACTCAACAGTAGTAGAATATTTATTTTCTCAAATGCACATAGAACGTTTTCCAGGATATATAATATACTGGGTCATAAAGCAACCCCCAATAAATGTAAAACAAATGAAATGTTGTAAAATATTTCTGAGTCTTCTACTCTGTATACCTTTCTTCCGGTCATCACAGATTGAACCCACTGCAAACACCATTAATTCTAACCTCTATCTCCTCAACTCAACATAACCACAAGGCTTTGCTTGTGTTCTTACTCCTTGAGCTGTGGTCTGGAATGTGCTGGCTCTAAGCAGAAAGGTAGGCAGTGATAATAGTATACTCATTAGTTGCCCTTTACTGAGGCATGACAGTCCTGTGCTGCCTCTGTCCAAATGGAAAACAATTTTAAATACAGTATTTTGTTCATTTTCCTATTTTTTTATGGTGAACTAGTAAGTTTAGTCCTCATTATTCTATCGCAGCTAGAAGTGGAACTATTTTAACCATATTTTTGTTATATTTTTGCTTTCATAACATTTTGAATGTTTATGTAGTTAAATGGCTACATTTTCCTTTATAATTTGTGCTTTATCACTCTTCTTAAAGGAAGTATCCCCTATCCAGAGACCAGAAAGTATTTTTCTACATAAATATCAAGTGTGTTGAAGATTTTGTTTTACATGGTCAGGTTTTTTAATCTATATAGAATTTCATTTTTTTTCCCATTTGGTGCAATCTAGAGATCTAATATTATACATTCCTATAAAGAAAGAATAATTATTCCCAAACTTAGTAATGAATTATCCTTTCTTTTCCACTAAGTTTTCATGCCACTTCTATCAACTACTTTTTAAGTAAAGAGAGTAATATAAGCTCAAAAAGAAAGAAGGAAGGAAAAAGGAAGACCAAAACATAAAAAATACTGAAGCAAAATTCTTTTTTAGACTTTTTCCAAACTTCCAATAATATAGCACAGAAATAAACACTCATAAAATTATTCCCTATGTTTCTAAAAAATTTCTATGTATACTTTAGTGTTACTTTAGGAACAAATTACATAATTCTTTGTTAGGGCATATAGTATATCTTGCTTCTGTGATCTAAATTAATTTTTGACCTAATCTAAGGAAATAATAACTATGAAGTATTTGTTTTTTAATTTTAAGAGATTTATATAGTTTCCTTACTTAATCATTTCTTCCAATTGTGCACAAATTGCCCATGTCTTTGATAGAACATTGCTTGTTTATTTGAGGAACCCATGTTTCTGAAGCTGCAGAAAATCTCGTATCAGATGGAAACGGGATTAATTATCCTTTATTACAATTAATTCTGAGTATTTGAGGTTGTATGTTAAAATGGGAAATTATGAAATTTTCTTTGTCCATGACAATCCCATTCTGCAATCCAACAGATTATAGAAGGATATTCTGATTTCATTCCATCAGACTCCTTACCAACATCTGAGCTTTCTAACCAATGAAAAGCAGTTGCAAAGCTTTGGGATATCTTGTCCCAGCTTTGTCTGAAGCTTAATTGTATATCTATGTATTCCACATTTGCCATTCATTGTTTCACTGTCTAAGATCAAATTATTTTTTACTAATCATTACTTACAGTAGACATTATATAAAAATTGAGAGGCTAATTAACCTGTTCAAAGTTATACAGTCACATAAATGGTAAGAGCCAAAATTTGAACCAAGAATATCAGATTTTGTACATAATTATTTTTTACCACACCATAATAACTTAATCAGTCTTACCCCATGTAACATTTAGTATATTGTTTTCTACATATTGTATTGTCAAATAGGTTTGACTTAAGAATAATGTTTAAAAATGAAACATAGAGAAGTGTTCATAACAATATTCCCTTTGGGTGATGGGTTTTGAATGAGGATTTATATTAATATAGTCACACCAATTGAATGATGATGTATATATAGATAAGACAGGTGAATTGGATATGAACCAGATTCTTATTAGGAAAAATATTTTTCACCATACATATAACTGCCAAAGGCACATCTAAGCAGTATTCAAGTTACATGCTACATTGAAAATATTTTGGAGTTAAAAAAATCTATTAAACAAATTGATACTATGATTATTTTGAAAGTTTTCTGTGTGACGTTCAACTTTATAACATGTTCTATCTCAGATCTTTAATATTTTCTTGAATTTTAATGTTCTATATTTTCTCATCTAGAACAAAGTGAGAAAATGCATTTCAAAGGAAAAAAATGGAATAGTCCACTTGAGAAAGGAAACAATGAGGCTCATTTGATGTGAGTGCTTTTTAAAAGAGAAGTCAGTGCCTCACATGATTTATTTATTTCTAACTATAACAGAAATGACTTAATTTTAATCAGTTAAAATATCTGTTTCAAATGAGATTCAGCCCTTGGGGCAATAATGTCTGAATTCATGACTAGCTATTCTGAAAATAATATAAAGAATTTTACTCCCTTCAGAATTTTCAAAAAGTTGATGCAAAAAATATTAAAGTCACACACATATTTACAAATAATGTTATTGATAAAATAATTGTTAATCATTTTTCACATATGATCTTTACATAATTTTAAAAACTACTGCTTATTGAGCATTCACTATTTGCTAGGCAATGTGCAAATTGTTTTACAGACATTACCTTTACTAAGTTTAAATAACTTGCCCAGGGATACATATTTAGTAGGTGACAAACATAGGCTTTGAATTGCAGTTTGTGAGACTCCAAAATGCATATTCTGCTATATAAACAAATATAATGTATGGCAGTTGATTGTCAATGTCATATTTGTATTTTAAAAAGTCAACTTAGAAAGTATGGATTTTTCTGACATCATTAATTCAGAAATTTTACATGAACCACTCCAATGTTTTCCACTCTTGCTTACATAGATGAATGATAATGTTTCAAAATATATATTTTAAAAAACATGCAAGTACTTATGGAGAAAGTGCTTTATAAAAAGGAGGAAGAATCTATACATTAGAAAGAAAGATAATAACATCTGAAAGGTGGTGTGTGAATCTTATATCAATATGAAGACTAGGACACTTGACAATTTCTGCTACACTTTACAGCTTTGCCACTAGCTACTGTCAAACTAGCTCTTAATACAGTCAGACGAAATTCAGTTATTTCTATCATGCAGCTTCTTCATTGAGTGACTAAAATATTAAAAAATATTAATTGCATATTTGTATAGCAAAAATAATATCTTAAAATGTTACCACTTAGATTAGAAAGCATCACAAGCTGAAAAAAAGAAAATTGAGGCTGGGTGCGGTGGCTCAGGCCTGTAATCCCAGCACTTTGGGAGGCTGAGGCAGGTGGATCACGAGGTCAGGAGTTCAAGACCAGCCTCGCCAACATGGTGAAACTCTGCCTCTCCTAAAAATACAAAGAATAGCTGGACGTGGTGGCGGGTGCCTGTAATCCCAGCTACTCTGGAGGCTGAGGTAGGAGAATAGTTTAAACCTGGGAGGCAGAGGTTGCAATGAGCCGAGAACTTGCCATTGCACTCCAGCCTGGGAGACAGGGCAAGGCTCTGTCTCCAGAAAAAAAAAAAAAAGCTCAGAGACATATGGGAGATAATTTAATGATTATTTAGGAGAAACTTAGTAAAGCAGAATCTGTAGTGTTTAACCTTTTTCCCCTTTAATTTACTAGAGTATATATGTATTTTGGCTGTCAAGTCACTAGAACACTGAATTTAGTTGCAATTCTGTGATATTGTTCCTACCCCATAAAAATTAAATTAATATGCAAATAGATAAAGGAGTAGAAGTAATGCAGCAAGCTAGGTTTTTTTTTTTTTAGTGTTTGTTTCCCTCATCTTTTATCACCTCCAGTTTTCAGTTGGGGTTATTCTAAATATCCTTTTAGTTCAATTAGAAATTCATTGAGAATGTTTCACTTTTCTTTCTTTTTTCCTTTTTTTTCCATTTATGTTATCATATTACTTCCTTGAACTGGAACTAGAACACAGTCCTCTTCAACTCAACTCACAAAATTCTAGTCACTCTTCATGATGTGTTTCAAATGTCACTTCTTTTAAGAAGCTTCTTTTGAATTTCCCAATAGGATTTGATTTTCTTTTTCCTTTGTATTTCTATAGCTCTTAATTCCTATTCTAGTGTCAAGAACTTTGAGAATGAGACCACATTGAGAGGTGAAGCTGGCTGGGCGTCTGGGTCAGGTGGGGACTTGGAGAAATTTTCTGTCTAGCTAAAGGATTGTAAATGCACCAATCAGCGCTCTGTAAAATGGACCAATCAGCAGGGTTCCCTTCCACATTGTGGAAGCTTTGTTCTTTTGCTCTTCACAATAAATCTTGCTGCTACTCACTCTTTGGGTCCACACTACCTTTACAAGCTGTAACACTCAC
Source organism: Homo sapiens (assembly GCF_000001405.40). NCBI lineage: Eukaryota > Metazoa > Chordata > Mammalia > Primates > Hominidae > Homo > Homo sapiens. The sequence continues at coordinate 93,149,324 of NC_000023.11, forward strand.
CGCGAAGGTCTGCAGCTTCACTCCTGAAGCCAGCGAGACCACGAACCCACTGGGAAGAACGAACACCTCCGGATGGGAGGAACGAACAACTCCGGATGCACCACCTTTAAGAGCTGTAACACTCACTGGGAAGGTCTGCAGCTTCACTCCTGAAGCCAGCGAGACCACGAACCCACTGGGAGGAATGAACAAATCTGGACGCACCACCTTTAAGAGCTGTAACACTCACTGCAAAGGTCTGCGGCTTCACTCCTGAAGTCAGCAAGACCATGAACCCACCAGAAGGAAGAAACTCCAGACACATCTGAACATCTGAAGGAAAAAACTCTGGACACACCATCTTTAAGAACTGTAACACTCACCGTGAGGGTCTGCGGCTTTATTCTTCAAGTCAGCGAGACCAAGAACCCACCAGAAGGAACCCATTCTGGACACAATATCAGGTGTGAAAATTCATGGGGTGGGTTTTTAAAACTGTTACACAAACTAATGTGTCCTTTGTATGTAGTCCTTGGATTGTTTTTGTTTGTTCATTTGTTTGTTTTACTTAAACAACAGGCTTAATTTTTAGAGCTGATCTAAATATTCTAGAATTAAAAGCAAGCTTATCCTACTTAGTATGTTTGCTAACAATTAGCATTTGCAGTAGTATCTGTTATAGCATTGTAACAGGACTAACTTCCTATAAGCTATTTTAGAAATATTAAGTGTTTTTTATAAGTGAAGTCTATTATGTCAGCAGCTACTAGCACACTCCTAATATTTATTCTCCCCTTCTCAGTTTTAGTAATAAACACCCCATCAAGTTTTAGCAACACATGTTTATTTATCTAGAGACTACAATTCTAAGCTCCCTTTGCAGCTTAATACAGCTATATGACTAGATTTTCATCAATGTTATATGAGCCAAAATGATATGCTTACTGCCATGTCACATTCCTAAAGGAAAATTCTTTGTCCCTTAACTTCCTCTCATGCCTCTCATGCCTCCTTTCTATGGTTAGCTGTTGAGCAAGACCTCAAATGCTACAGACAATGATAATACTTGGTATATGGCAGAACAACAATACAGAAGGAATCTAGCTGTCTACGTAATGTTGTGGCTCAGAAACACTTACCTACCCTGGAACATGACTTAGCTATGAAGAGAGAGATGAGAGAAAAATAAACTCTGTTTTATATTGGGGGTTCTTCATTATAACAGTTCAGCTTTGGGTACAGATCATATCTAATGTGATATTCACTTTTATCAGGATCACCTGTGCTTTATTTCAACTTTATTGAATAAGATTCTTCATCAATGAATTTAAGAAATCTTCATTTCTATATGATCCTTACACACTCTAAGTTTGAGAACCATTAGTACAGTGTCTAAGAGCATGAGTTTGGAGAGAGATGTAGTTGAGTTTAAAACATAGCTTTGTCATTAGCTGTATGTCCCTGCCAATCCCCTACTCTTAGTTTTTAATTCCTGCCTGTTATTTAACTACGTTTCCCAAATGTTAGTAAATAGTTCGTTTTCATGCTGCTGACAAAGACATACCTGAGACTGGGAAGAAAAAGAGGTTTAATTGGACTTACAGTTCCACATGGCTGGGGAGGCCTCAGACTCATGGCAGGAGGCAAAATGCACTTCCTACATGGTGGCAGCAGGAGAAAAATGAGGAAGAAGCAAAAGCGGAAACCCCCGATAAACCCATCAGATCTCTTGAGGCTTATTCACCATCATGAAAATAGCACAGGTAAGACCAGCCCCCATGATTCAATTACCTCCCATTGGGTCCTTTCCACAACATATGGGAATTCTGGGAGATACAATTCAAGTAGAGATTTGGGTGGGGACACAGCCCAGCCATATCATTCTGCCCCTGGCCCCTCCAAATCTCATGTCCTCACATTTCAAAACCAATCATGCCTTCCCAACAGTCCCCCAAAGTCTTAACTAATTTCAGCTTTAACCCAAAAGTCCACAGTCCAAAGTCTCACCCGAGATGATGCAAGTCCCTCCTGCCTATGAACTTGTAAAATCAAAAGCAAGCTAATTACTTCCTAAATACAATGGGAGTACAGGTATTGCATAAATGCAGCTGTTCCAAATGGGAGAAATTGGCCAAAATAAAGGGGTTACAGGGCCTATGCAAGTGTGAAATACAGTGGGGAAGTCGAATTTTAAAGCTCCACGATGATCTCCTTTGACTCCAGGTCTCACATCCAGATCATGCTGATGCAAGATGGTTTTGGGCAGCTCTGCCTCTGTGGCTTTGCAGGGTACAGCCTCCCTCCCAGCTGCTTTCATGGGCTGGCATTGAGTGCCTCCAGCTTTTGTCAGTGGATCTACACTTCTGGGGTCTGGAGGACAGTGGCCCTCTTCTCACAGCTCCACTAGGCAGTACCCCAGTAGGGACTCTCTGTGGAGGCTCTGACCCCACATTTCCCTTCTGCACTACCCTAGCAGAGTTTCTCCATGAGGGCCCCGCCCTTGCAGCAAACTTTTGCATCCAGGCATTTCCATACATCGTCTGAAATCTAGGTGAAGGTTCACAAGTCTTAATTCTTGACTATGTGCACCCACAGGCTCAATGCCATGTGGAAGCTTCCAAGGCTTGGGGCCTCCACCTTCTGGAGCCACAGCACGAGCTCTGCATTGGCCCCTTTCAGCCATAGATGGACAGGCTGAGACATAGGGCACCAAGTCCCAAGGCTGCACACAGCATGGGAACCATGGGCCTGGCACACGAAATCACTTTTTCCTTCTGGGCCTCTGGGCTTGTGATGGGAGGGGTTGCCATGAAGACCTTTGACATGCTCTGGAGATATTTTCCCCATGGTTTGGGGTATTAACATTAGGCTCCTTGCTACATATGCACATCTCTGTAGCTGGCTTGAATTTCTTCACAGAAAATGGGTTTTTCTTTTCTATCGCATAGTCAGGCTGCAAATTTTCCAAACTTTTTTGCTCTACTTTCCTTATAAAACTGAATGCCTTTAACAGCATCCAAGCTACCTCTTGAATGCTTTGCTGCTTAGAAATTTCTTCTGCCAGATACCCTAAATCATCTCTCTCAAGTTAAAAGTTCCATGAATCTCTAGGGCAGGGGCAAAATGCCACCAGTCTCTTTTCTAAAACATAACAAGAGTCGCCTTTGCTCCAATTCCCAATAAGTTCCTCATCTCCATCTGAGATCACCTCAGCCTAGACTACATTGTCCATATAATTATCAGTATTTTTGTCAAAGCCATTCGACATATGTCTAGGAGGTTCCAAACTTTCCCACATTTTCCTGTCTGCTTCTGAGCCCTCCAAACTGTTCCAACCTCTGCCTGTTATGCAGTTCCAAAGTCACTTCCACATTTTCAGGTATCTTTTCAGCAATGCCCCTCTCTACTGGTACCAGTTTACTCTATTTAGTCCATTTTTATGCTGCTGATAAAGACATGAGTACCTCAAGACAGGGAAGAAAAAGTGGTTTAATTGGACTTATTGTTCCACATGGCTGGGGAGGCCTCAGAATTATGGTGGGAGGCAAAAGGCACTTCTTACATGGTGACAGCAAGAGAAAAAGTGAGGAAGAAGCAAAAGTGGAAAACCCTGATAAACCCATCAGAGCTCATGAGACTTATTCACTATCACGAAAATAGCATGGAAAAGACTGGCCCCCATGATTTAATTACCTCCCTTTGGGTCCTTCCCATAACACGTGGGAATTCTGGGAGATACAATTCAAGTTGAGATTTGGGTGGGGACCCAGCCACACCATATGAATAGTTAGATAGATGTTTATCCCCTTGTGATCCCAGGCATGGAAAGCCCTCTTGGTGAGTGTTTTCACCTTGACACCCCATTATATATGTAAAATTTTCTACTTGGCAGCTTTTTAAACTCTTTTTCTCTCCATTTTGTTCTTCTCACATGGCAGCCTCATGTACTAAGGAAATGTAATATTTTCTTTTGTTTTGTTTAAATGTGCTATGTAGGTTATCTGCATCTCCTTCACAGCTTGTGAAGAGTGCTGGTGTCTGACTATACAAAAGATATTCACATATGAAATTCTGGGGTGTAGAATTCCAGCTCAAGATGACTGACTACAGACATCAGATACTTGCCCCCTCCAGAAAAGAGAAATCAAATTATACACATTAAATAGTACATCCAGGAGAGAACAATAGAGTCCAACAGAGAAGTCACAGGAAACACCCAGAGGCACAGAAGAAGAGAGCAAGTGTCCAGCTTCTCTGAGTTTGGCTGAGATTATGGAGAAAGGGCAGATGAGAGAATTTCTGTGGCCCATATCTGCTGCACCACCAACTACTGCAGTCTGAACAAGGGGAGACCTCCTCTACCTGTACTTTGGCACTGGAATGGGCAGTGATCTGGAGACCCAAAGAGCAAAGTGCACCAGACAGGGAATTAGCACTGGATCACTCAGACCCCTAAGACCTAAGTGTCTGCAACAGAGCGCCATTGTGAGAGCACAGCCAACACTGCTGCATCCTGTCCTGGGAACCACAGCCCCCATATCCACACATACTGGGAAGCACAATTGGTATGCCAAAGTGTCCATCCAGAGGACTATAGTGGCACAGCACTGGCTGGACTGAAAAGTGCTGTGGGGTACCCAGTACTCCAGACCACAAGGAGTACTATTTCTTGGGAAAAGGTTGATACAGCACACCAAAAATGTGGCTCTGGGATAAAGAAAACCAAAGCACAAGCTTACCAGATCCCAAGAGCCTCCTGTCCGGAATTGTGAAAAATTACTCTGCTCCCAGCGGTGGCACATACACTGTTCTTGGCCTTGCAAATGGGGAGTAAGATCCCCTCCCACAGGCAAAGAGGCCACTGTTCTTGGACTCATGAATAGTGAGCAAGACCCCTACTCTACTTTCCCTCCAAACACCACTGCAGGTGCTGCTGCTGTTGCTGCCACCAGCAGCTAGGGTGGTTAGGCTGAAGGGCTGTCTGTTTGGGGTTGTTAATGGCTACCACTGGCAGTGTGGCCTCCATGCTTGGGTTCATGCACAAAGGGAATAGTCCCTCTCCTCCATGCAATACTACAGTGCTACTGCCACTGAGAGTGGGTGAGCTCAATAGCTGCATGTCTGGGGTTGTGAGTGGTGACCACAAATAGCAGTCACTGTCAACATTAGTGTGCATAACTCAGAACCCAGACGGTTGTCCTCCCACTGCTGCTGCCATCACCCACACCACGCTACCTGCTGAGAGACCTGAGAAATTGCTTAACCACTCAGCTTACTGCTACCACTACTAGAACCTGAGCAAGCTACGTGGAGGCCCAGGAGTTGGCCTGCTTGGTCATGACAACACTGGTTCCAGCATATGCCACCCTGAAGCCCAAGAACAGGCATGCTTAGTTCACCACTGCAACTACGGGGGCAAAAAAAAAAAAAAAAAAAAAAAATAGTCCACATAGGTATATCTGTCCCCAGCAAAATTTCACCATAGCCTGCACTAATAAACACACATTAATGACTGGGGAAAAATAGATACCACTGATACTGTTCACAGCTGAAGAAACAATACAGAGAATACACTATTGCACACACTCAAAATCAAATACAAAGGGCCCTACACAATAAACACCACTGCTATATCTTCACGTAAAAGTCCTTGTCTATGAAAGCAAATTAAAAAAAAACGGAAGCATTGACTATTACACCAGATGCACAGATAACAATGTAACAACAGAGAAAACATAGTAAAGCAAGGATATACAACACTTCCAAATAAGCACAATAATTATTCAGAAACAGATTCCAATAAAAAATAAAATCACAAAATCCAGGAAAAAAAATCAAATATCATAAAAAAGAACTAAACAGAAATTCTGGAAATGAAGACCTCTTTGAATGAAATAGATAATATACTCCTAACTTTCAACAATAGACTAAATCAAACAGAAGAAAAAATTTCAGAAGTGGAAGACCAGTAATTTGAAATCACCAAGTCAGATAGAAATAAATAAAAAAGAACGGTCAAAACCTTTGTGATACATGGGAAACCATAAAGTGAACAAATACATGAGTTATTGAAACCCTAGAAGACAATGAGAGAACAAAAGAAGAGTTGAAAACCCTATTTAATGAGATAATAGATGAAAACTTTTCAAGTCTAGCAAGATATTTAGACTCCCAGATTCAGGAGGCCTAGTGATCCCCAAACATATATAAAGCAAAAAGGTCTGCTCCATGGCACTTTACAAATTATCTAAAGTCAATGACAAGGGAAATTCTAAAAACAGCAAGCAAAAATCATCTAGTCATCAATAAAGAAGCCCCCATCAGACTAACAGCAGACAACTCAGTAGAAAACTTACAGGCCAGGAGAGAATGGTAAGATATATTTAAAGTGCTGAAAGAAATAAAATGTCCCTCAAGAATACTATTTTCAGCAAACTTATTCTACATTAATAAAGGAGAAATAGTCTTTACAACATAACCAAATACTGAGGAATTTTATTACCACTGAACTTGTCCTAAAAGAAATGCTCAAGGGAATTCTAAACCTGCAAGAGAAAGGAGGGCATTTGCCATTAGGAAAACAAATGAAAATATAAAACTCACTGGTAAAGCAAACATACAAATGAGGATGACAGAAGATCCAAATGGTACTAATACAAAATTCAGAAAACCAAAAGGAGAATAAACAAAAGAAAAAGAGATAATAAACACACAAAACAATCGGAAAGCAATTAACAATATGATAAGAAAAACCTCACATATTAATAATAACCTTAAGAGTAAATGGATTAAATACTTCAGTTAAAATATGTTGATTGGCTGAATGGATTTTAAAAAACCCAAAAACCACAATCCAACTTCACACTGCCTACAGAAATCTAATCTCACTTGTAAAGACACATATTGACTGAAAGTAAAGGGAAGAAAAAAGATATTCCACACAAGTGGAAGCCAGAAGTGAGCAGGAGTAGCTCTATTAATATTAGATAAATAGATTTTATGTTAAAACCAGTAAAAGTCTATAGAATGGTTATTAAATAAAGATAAAATGATCAATCTAGCAAAAATATATAACAATTCTAAATATATATGTACCCAACACCTGAGCACCCAGATTCACAAAATAAATATCAGGTCTAAATAAGGAAATAGACTGAAATATTATTTGGGGATTTCAACATCCCACTCTCAACATTAGATAGATCATCTAGACAGAAAATTAACAAAGAATCATTGGACTTAAACTGATTTTTAGACCAAATGGACCTAACAGACATTTACAAAACATTCTAGTCAACAGCTACAGAGTATACATTCTTTCCAACAGCACATGGACATTCTCCGTGATAGACCATGTCAGGCAACAAAACGAGTCCCAACAAATTTTTAAAACTAAATAAAAATAATTTAAAGTATCTTCTCATATCACTATGAAATAAAACTAGAAATCATACAAAAGGGGACTTTGGAAACTATACAAATACATGAAATTAAACAATATGCTCCCAAACGATCATTTGGGTCAATGAGGAAACTAAGATGAAAATAAAAAATAAATCTACGAAACAAATGAAAATAGAAACACAACATACAAAATCTGTGAGACACTGCAAAAGCATTATTAAGAGGGACAAGTTTATAGCAATAAATACTTACATAAAAAAGAGTTTCAAATAAACAATCTAATGATGCACCTCAAGGAACTAGAAACAAGAAAAAACCAAACCCAAAATTAGCAGAAGAAAATAAATAATAACGACCAGAGTAAAACTTAAAAATATAAAAGATCAATTAAATAAAAAGTTGGTTCTTTAAAAAAGCTAAGCATAATATCACCACTAAGTAGACTCAGCAAAAAAAAAAGAAAGAAGACCCAAATAAACAAAATCAGAAATGAAAATGGAGTCATTATGACTGATACCACAGAAATACAAAAGATCATCAGCGACTGTTATGGACAAGTATATGCTAATAAACTGGACAACCTAGAGGAAATGAATATATTTCTGGAAACATACAATCTACCATGATTGAATCAGGAAGAAATAGAAAACCTCAACAGACCAATACCAGGTAGCATGATTGAATTGGTAATAACATGTCTACCAACAAAGAAGAGCCCAGATACAGATGGATTCATAGCCAAATTCTACCAAACATATAAAGAAAAGCTATTATCAATCTTCCTTCAACTATTCAAAAAATTTCAAGAGGAGTGAATTTCTACCTAATTCATTCTGAGGCCAGCATTATCCTGATACCAAAACCAGACAAGGACAGAACAACGACAGCCACAACATCATCAAAAAACCAAAGGCCAATATGTTTGGTGAACATAGACGCAAAAGTCTTCAACAAAATACTAGCAAATCAAACCCAACAGCACGTCAAAAAGATAATATACCATGATAAAGTGGGATTTATTCCAGGGATGCAAGGGTGGTTAAATGTATGTAAATCAATAAATGGGATACATGTCACCAATAGAATGAAGGACAAAAGATATGATTATTTCAATAGAGGCAGAAAAACCATTTAACAAAATACAACATCGCTTCATGATAAAATTTCTCAAACTAAGTGTAGAAGGAACCTACCTAAAAATAATAAAGGCCGTATGCAACAAACCCACAGCTAACATTATACTGAGTGGGGAAAAATTGAAAGGCTTTCCTCCAAGGACTGGAACAAGACAAGGAAGTCCACTTTCACCACTACTATTGAACATAGTATTGGGAATCCTAGAAAGAGCAATAGGTCAAGGAAAAAAAATGGCATCCAAATTGGAACAGAGAAAATCATCTTGTTTCTCTTTGCAGACAGCATGATCATATATCTAGAAAAAAACAGAACTCCACCAAAAAAATCTCTTAGAAATGATAAGTTCTGTAAAGTTGCAAGATACAAAATTAACATAGAAAAATCAGTAGATTTTCTATACATGAATAATGAAATAGCTGAAAAAGAAATCAAGAGGGCAATCCCATTTATAATAGCTACAAAAACAAAAAATATCTAGGAGTAAGTTTATCAAAGGAGGTGAAAGATCTCGTTAAGAAGAATTACAAAACATTAATGAAAGAATCATTGATGATACATAAAAATGGAAAAACATCCCAGGCTAATGGATCTGAAGAATTAATATTATTAAAGTGACCATACTGTCCAAGCATCATACAGAATCAATGCAACCTCTATCAAAATACCAATGTCATTTTTCATAGAAATAGAAGTAACAATCCTAAAATTTGTATGGAACCAAAAAAGAGCCCAAGTAACCAAAGCAATCCTGAGAAAAAATAAGAAATCTGACTTTTAATGATAGCCATTATGATTAGTGTAAGATAGTATCTCATTGTGGCTTTGATTTTAATTTATCTGATTATTCATTATGATGAGCATTTTTATATGTTCGTTGATCACTCTAATATCTTCTTTTGACAAGTGTTTGGGATTGTCCTTTTTCCATTTTTCAATAAGGTTATTTGTTTTTTGCTTGTTTAAGTTCCTTATAGACTGTAGGTATTAGGCCTTTGCTGAGTGCATAGTTTGCAAATACTTTCTCCCATTCTGTAGATTATTTACTCTAGTCACAGTTTATTTTGCTTGGTAGAAGCTCTTTAATCAGCTCCTACTTGTCAATTTTTGTTTCTGTTGCAATTGCTTTTGAGACATAATCATAAATTCTTTCCCAAGGTCAATGTCCGGAATGGTGTTTCCTAGGTTTTCTTCTGGGATTCTTAGAGTTTGATGTATTGTATTAAATCTTTATCCATATTAGCTTTTTTTATACAGCGAAAGGCAGGGGTCTAGTTTCATTCTTCTGCCCATGGCTAGCCAGCTATCCCAGCACCATTTATCAAATAGGGAGTCCTTTTCCTATTGCTTATTTTTGTCAACTTTTTCAAAGATAAGATGGTTGTAGTTGTGCATCTTTATCTTTGAGTTTTTTATTCTGTTCTATTGGTTTATGTACCTATTTTTGTACCAGTACTGTGCGGTTTTAGATACTACAGAGTTATTGTACAGTTTGAAGATGGGTGATGTGATGCCTCCAGCTTTGTACTTTTTGCTTAAGATTGCTCTGGCTATTTGGACTTCTTTTTGGTTCCACATGAGTCTTAGCTGATGAAGCTGTGGAGAAAAAAGAATGCTTATACTACTGTTGGTGGGAATGTAAATTAGTCCAGCCACTATGAAAAAAGTTAGGAGATTTGTCAAAGAACTTAAAACAGAACTAACATTTGACCTCACAGTCCCATTACTGAATATATATCCAAAAGAAAGCAAATTGTTCTGCCAAAAAGACACATAGACTCATATGTTCATTGCAATACTATTCACAATACCAAAGACATGGAATCAATATAGGTGCCCATCAATGGTGGATTGGATCATGAAAATGTGGCATAAATACACTGTGGAATATTACACAATTATAAAGAAGAATAAAATAATGTTCTTTGCAGCAACATGGATGCTGCTATGTGCCATTATCCTAAGCAAATTAACAATAACAACAACAACAACAATAAATACAACATTTTATCACTTACAAGTGGGAGTTAAACATTGGGTACTCATTGACATAAAGATAGCAACAATAGACACTGAAGACTACCTGAAAGGGGAAGGAAGGAGGGGTAAATGGGCTGAAAAACTAACTATTGAGTATTATGCTCACTACCTGTGTGATAGGACCATTTGTATTCAAAAGCTCAGCATCATCACACAATATACCTATGTAACAAATCTGCACATGTACCCCCTGAATCTAAAATAAAAGTTGAAATTAAAAAAAAAAGTTGGAGGCATCACATTACTTGACTTCAAAATATATTACAGGCTGGGCGTGATGGCTCACACCCATCACCCTAGCACTTCGGGAGGCCGAGGTAGGTGAATCACAAGGTCAGGAGTTTAGGACCAGACTGGCCAAGATGGTGAAACCACATCTCTACTAAAAATACAAAAATTAGCCGGGCGCAGTGGCAGGTGCCTGTAATCCCAGCTACTTGGGAGGCTGAGGCAGGAGAATCACTTGAACCTATGGGGCAGAGGTTGCAGTGAGCCAAGATCATGCCACCGCACTCCAGCCTGGGCGACAGAGTGAGACTCTGTCTCAAAAAAAAAAAAAAATTTACAAGATTATAGTAACCAAAACAGCTTGGTATTGATATAAAAACACACACATAGATCAATGGAACAAACAGATAATCCAGAAATAAATCCACACATTTATAGCCCATTGATCTTCAACAAAGCCACCAAGGGCATATATTGGAGAAAAAACATCCTCTTCAATAATTTATTCTGGGAAATCTGGATAACCATATGCAGGAAATGAAACTGGACCCCTATTTCTCAGCCTGTAGAAAAGTCAATTCAAGATGGATTAAAAACTTAAATATAAGACCCCAAACTATAAAACTACTAAAAGAAAACGAGAAACTCTTCGGGATGTTGATCTAAGCAAATATTTTACAGCTAAGACTTAAAAAGCACAGAAAACAAAAACAAAAATAGACAAATGGGACTTATTTATACTAAAAACCGTCTGCATTGCAAAAGAAACAATCAGCACTGCTGGTGAAAATGTAAATTAGTACAACCAGTGTGGAAACAGTATGGAGATATCTCAAAAAAAGTAAAATTCCTATACCATCCAGGAATCCCACTACTGGGTATCTATCCACAGGAATAAAAATCAGTACACGAAAGGGATACATGAACTCCCAAGTTTATCACAGCGCTATTCACAATACCGAAGGTATGAAACCAACCTATGTGACCTTTAATGGAAAATAAAGGAAATATGTTTTAAATACACAATGGAATACTATCCAACCATAAAATAATAAAATTATGTGATGTAGAAATATGGATGGAACTGAAGGTCATTATATTAAGTGAAATAAGCCAGGCACAGAAAAACAACTACCACATGTTCTCACTTCAGCTTTTTACCTAAAAAACTTGATCTCATGAACATACAGAACATACAAACAGTCTAAGGAAAGTTGTTTTATGTTTCCCAGGATAGCCTCAAACTGCTGAGCTCAATTGATTCTCCCTCCTCTTCTCCCAAAGTGTTGGGATTGCAGGAGTGAGCCACTGTGCCTGGCCAAAACATATATTATAACTTATAATATTTATTACCACTTAAAGGTACTTAAATTAGTTCATTTACTTGAAGAAGACTAGGCATACATAATAGCTTTAATAAAATTGAAAAAAATGATGAAAACTATTTTTATCCCTTTGTAGTTAATGCCCCATGGAGGAAAATAAATTCAGCTCTAACTAGTAGTTTAAAGTGAGCTTGTGTCCCTGTGTCCTTGTGTCGTTTGCTAAGAAAAACATCAATGAAATACACCCTTAGGGATGGAAGAATGTAAGATCTGAACTTAATGAAGGGTGACAATGACTAATATTGATGTCCTTATCACAAATGACAAGAGGGCTAGGCTGCTACTCTGCCATAATGGCCTTGTACCAGTTCAAAAGCTTATTATTTGAAAACCGTGGTGTTTGTGCCAAGATCTTTCAATGTTCATCAGCATAAAACAAGTTAGACTTCTGTCGCCCAAGCTTTACACTGGAAAGAGTATGTGCCACTGTTGCTTTAGCACAACTTTCTCCCTGGATCATTTTGTAACTCTTAGCATACTAAGACCTCCCAGAAGGGAAAGGTGACTTTATGACTATTTTCTAAGCAATAATGAGAATGCTGCTTTCTGTAATAAGAAACTTTTTGGCTCTTTTTGGCTAAATTAACTCTCTTTTAAAAAATGTTTAAATTTACTAGTGTCTTTGTGAAGGAAAGTATGTATATGATATAACATATTTAGATAAACGGGGTTTCATACTTTAAATAACATAATACAATCTCCTCACAGACTATATCCACATGTATTACCTAGGCTTACTGCCTGATATAATTAACAATAAAATGAAAAGGAAACTCATGGATGGAACATTATGTTCACACCAAATTTTGTCATAAACAGTGTTACTTAGGGTGTACTAACGTGGGTCTTTTCCCTATTAGTAAAATAAATGCAATTATTTTGGAGGAGTTTCAAGGGAGGACTTAGTTCTTGGGTTAAGATAGCAAATTCCACCTAGATGTTTATTTCCTTTTCTGTGGCAAATATGGAAATTTGCCTCTCATATCAATTTTCCCTTTTTACCTGGTAATACAATCCCTAATTTTTAGCTGGGTACATTTTTCAATGGCTATTGTAATGCTGTGTGGCCAAATGACTAAGATCTAGTTAGTGAAATGTAATATAATGAGGGTGCCCTTCTTTGCCACTTCTGCTTTCCTTCTGGCTGAAATCTGTATATTATGGCTGAGATGAACCAGCCTTCTTGGGCCATGACCTAGAAGCCATACATTGAGAAGGTTGGAAAAAGGAGCTAGAAGGAACTGAGACCTCCAATTATCAGGGAACTACAATTTCAGTGCTGGACTGCTTACCTCTAGATTATGTTGGTGAAAAAAATAAATGTATACATTGTTTGAGCCACTCTTGTTTGGGATTTTCTGCCATCCATAGCCAAACCTATCCTTAACTGACAAACCAGCCTCTAAAAATCCAATTACAATGACAAAATAAAGGAAAATATCCATAGAATTGAAAAACAAGAAAGGATTCTCTCAAAAAATCCAGAATATTTGAGAGCACTTTGAAAAAATATAAAACATTAAATACTTTTCATCATGTTTGAAATATTTCACAAATAAAAATTAAACAAAATGTTTGGTAAAATATTAAGAGAAAATCCAATCACAACCGATAAATCTGTAACAAAAAAGAAAAAATATACTTCCCCACCTAAGATATGATTAGGCTGGTTTCCTTTAAAAAAAAAAAAAAAAAGAAGTCACAATACCATAGAAAGCCCATAGAAAACCCCAAAACTCAGAATTGCAAGGATCAGTGCTAGAGCAACCAGCAGAGTGACAAGAAATTATTGATTTGTATCAATCTCCAACCTCATAAAATTGTCTTCCCTCATATGTAGTAAGGGAAGCTATCCAAAGGACTCACTTCCATAGATTGCTTGTTGAATAAAGTACAATAAAATAAATGTATTATAGACTGCTAATGTGAGGTTGGATTCCAAAACTCAGTTGACTGAACCGCCATGACAGAAAAGTAACTTTTTTAAAGGCTCAGAAAACAGCAAACTCCCTAACAGATCTCTGCCACTATAGTACTTCTCTTCTTCAATAATAACTACCACTTTAAAACCAAACAAACCCAAATCTAGGCTCCCAGAAGACAAGTCTCTAGCAGAGCCTGAGAACACTAAATGAACCATTAGTTTCTGAATTATTTGCCAATTAAGAACAATCTAAGGAAAGTTGTGTTTGGCCACACACTTACTTACATCTGCCATCACATAACTCAGTGCAAGGGAAGCCCTAACCGATAGGTGTATTCCTAACTTGGGTGAGAGACTGCTCTTCCATTGATGTCCATTTTCCTATTATTCTTTTTTTTTTTTTTTTGAGACGGAGTCTTGCTCTGTCCCCCAGGCTGGAGTGCAGTGGCGCGATCTCGGCTCACTGCAACCTCCGCCTCCCAGGTTCATGCCATTCTCCTGCCTCAGCCTCCCGAGCAGCTGGGACTACAGGCGCCCACCACCACGCCCAGCTACTTTTTTGTATTTTTAGTAGAGATGGGGTTTCACCGTGTTAGCCAGGATGGTCTCGATCTCCTGACCTGGTGATCCACCCGCCTCGGCCTCCCAAAGTGCTGGGATTACAGGCGTGAGCCACCGCACCCGGCCTGTTATTCTTCTTTAATGGTAGAATCCCCAAGTTTTAGTTGTGCATATTACCATCAAACTAGATACCACATGTCCTAGTCTCCCTTGCAATCAGGTGTGGCTGAAAAATGTGATGTGTGCAGCTGCTGGGTAACATCTTTAATAAGGTTACTTATTGCTCTCTTCTCCATCTTTTCATCTTTCCACTTTTATTGCTGGAAAATGGCAGCAATTGGAGCAGCCCTTTTGGACACAAATATGGAAGCTCCATGTGGAAGCATGGCAAAACCATTTCTTCTAGCTCACGTCTGGATTTTTATAAGAGAAAGATAAAATTTAAACTTGCATAAACCTCTGAAGTCTGGCACCTCATTATTACAGCAGCTTAAGCTATAACATAGTCCATGACACATGAAGGGAAGCCCTGAACATGAATCCAGTCATTAGGAAGCAACCAGAAAATTATAGATTCTAGGACATTCTTAATATAATGGCCTAGAATCTTTAAAAGGACAAAAAAAAAAAAAAATCCCAAACAAACAAAACAAAACAAGCCAACCATTCTAGATAAAGGAATTTAAGAAGATTTGGCAACTACAAGTAATTCATGATTCTTGAATGCCTCCTAGATTTAACACATAAAAGCACATTCATAAAGAACATTACAGAGAAAATTGAGGTATTTTTACTTGCACAATATATTAGATAATAATATTATCACAATGCACATCATGGAGAATGGGGTATCCATACCCTCAAGCATTTATTCTGTCAAAATTATTAGGTTTGATAATAGTGGTGTGGCTATGCAGCAGGATATGTTTGATCTAAGAAAATAGGAGTGAAAAATTATGTTTTCAATGTACTTCAAATTACTCAAATACAATAATATCTGTATATATATATACACACACAGATATATACATACATATATGGGAATAATTATAATTTTAATAATTGCATACAAATGTGAATATAGTTTTATAATTTCATACTAATTAGAATAATTATAATTTCAATAGACAATCAAAAAGAATTTGATCAAATTCAAAACTTCTTTTTTATAAAAGCATTTAGGAGAGAGAGGTATAGCAAGATGGTGGAATGGAAGGCTTCACTGATCATTTCTCCTGCTAAAACACCAATTTAACAACTACCTACACAGAGAAAATACCTTCATAAGAACCAAATATCAGCTGAGTTCTCATAGTATCTGTTTTTGTCTTCATATCACTGAAAGAGATACTGAAGATATTTTTAAAAAACAGTCTTGAATTGCCACTCCACCCCTCCCTCACCCCCTGGCAGCAGAGGCATGGCACAGAGGGCATCTCTGGGTATTGAGGAGGGAGAACACAGAAATTGTGAGGCATTAAACTCAGTGCTGTCCTGTTAGAGCAGACAGGAAAACTGGACAAAACCCAGCTGACACTGGCCCATGGAAGGAGAATTTAAATAAGTCCTAGCCAGAGGGGAATTGCCGATTCCAGCTATCCAAATTTGAGTTGCTGCAAACCTGTCAACTGAAGTCTAAAGTACTCTGGGTCTCTAAGTAAACTTAAAAGGCAGTCTAGGCCATAAGGATTACAAGTCTTGGGCAAGTGTTAGTGCTAATCTGGGCCCAGAGACAGTGGACTGAGGGGGCACATTATCTACTGGGACAAAAGCTAGGGCATCTAAGGGAGCATGGGTATTACTCCTCCCATAATCCCAGGCTGTACAGCTAACAGCTTTGAAAGGGACTCCTTCCTTCCACTTAAGGAGAGGAGAGGGAACAGTGGAAAGGACTTTGTGTTATTCTTGGATACCAGCTCAGCCATAGCAGTATGGGGCAATTGTCAGAGTCATGAGAGCATTGTTCCAGATGCTAGCTCACAGATGAAATTTCTAGGCATGTCTTGGGTGGGCCAGAAGAGAATATGCTGCCTTGAAGGGAATGGCTCAGTCCTGGCAGTATTTATCACCTGCTAATTGAAGAGCCCTTGGGCCCTGAATAACCAATAGCGATACCCAGGTACCATGTTGAGAGTCAAAGGTAAGACTCTGAGGCTTCCTGGCTTTATGTAAGACACAGCACATTACTACCTGTGATGGCTATGGGACAAAATTCCTTTGCTTGAGAAAAGCAAGTGAAAAAGTAAAGAAAACTTTGTCTTACATCTTAGGTCCTAGCAGAGGCACAGGGAAGTAGAACACCAAGTAGGTTCTTGGAGTTCCCAACTCCAGGACTTGACTCTTAAACAGAATTTCTAGACCTGCCTCGGGCCAGAGCAGAGCCCACTGTCCCGAAGGGTAAGTCCCAGGAAAGGCCGCATTCACCACAAACTGACTTAAGATCCCTTCAACCTTAATGGAACATCAGCAGTAGCCTTGCAGTACTCTCTGTGGCCTGTAGTGGCAGTGGCTACTGTGTGACGCTCTTTTGCCTTTGGAAAAAGGAGAGAATAGTGGGAAGGTCTGTATCGTTTTGTATGAATGCCAGCTCAGCTACAATACAGTAGAACACCAGGTAGATTTTGAGGGTTTTTAACTCCAGTTCCTGACTCCTGGACAGTACCTATGGACCTACCCAGGACCCGGGAGACCTTTGCTACTCTGAAGGAAAGGCCACAGGCCTGGCTGGCTTTCCCAAATGCTGATTATAGAGCCCCAGGGCCTTGAATGAACATAGGCAGGAGTCAGGGACTGAATAGAGCAGGACTTGAGAGAGAACCACTGCTATTCTGGCTTCAGGCCTAACCCAATACAGTCATAGTGGTGGTGTCCATAGGGGTGCATGTGTTATTCCTCCCCCAGATTTAGATGACTCAGAACAGAGAAATATACTCCTTTTGTTTGGGAGAAAGTAAGAGAAGAGAACAAGAGTCTCTGTCTGGTAATCCAGGGAATTCCCCCAGATCTTATCAAAGACTAGCAAGTTGGTACCTATACATGTCTGCAAGAACAACAGCATTACTAGGCTTTGGGTGCCCCCCTTTAAAGCAGATAAAGATTAGATCACAACACCCAAGTCTTTCAAATATCTGGAAAGCCTTCCCAAGAAGGATGGGTACACACAAGCCCAGACAGTGAAGACTATAATAAATAACTAATGTCTCAATGCCCAGAACTGAAGAACATCTACCAGTGTCAACACTATCTGGGAAAAAAATGATCCTACCAAATGAGCTAAAAAAGCCACCAGGGACCAGTCCTGAAAAAACAGAGATACGTGACTTTTCAGTCAGATAATTCAAAACCGCTCTGTTGAAGAAACTCAAAGAAATTCAAGATAACACAAAGAAAGAATTCAGCAGTCTATCAAATGTATTTAACAAAGATATTGAAATAATTAAAACTAATCAAATAAAAATTCTGCAGTTAAAAAATGCAATTGGCATACTGAAGAGTTAGGAGTAGAAAGCTTACTTAAAGGGATAATAACAGAGAACTTCTAAACCTATGAATGTTATCAATTCTCAAAATACAAGAAGGTTATAGAACAGCAAGCAGATTTAGCCCAAAGAAGACTACCTCCAGGCATTTAATATGCAAACTTCCAATGATCAAAGAAAAATAAAGACTATTAAAAGCAGCAAGAGGAGGAAAAAAAAAAAAAACAAGTAAGATAGAATGAAGCTCCAGTATGTCTGCCAGCAGACTTTTCAGTGTAAATCTTACATGCCAGGAGAGTGTGGCATGACATATTTAAAGTGCTGAAGGAAAAAGCTTTTACCTTGGAATAGTATATTCAGTGAAAATATCCTACAAACTTGGAGGAGAAATAAAGACATTCCCAGACAAACAAAAGCTGAGGGATTTCATCATCAGACCTGTCCTACAAGAAATGCTAAAGGTGGTACTTAGAAAGAAAGGGATGTTAACGAGCAATAAATAATCACCTGTGGGTACAAAACTCACTGGTAATAGCAAGTATATGGAAAAACACAGAATATTGTAACACCATAAATGTAGTATTTGAATTATTCTTATTCTAAATAGAAAGACTAAATAATGAACCAAACAGAAATAATAACAACTTTTCAAGACATACACAGTACACAAAGATATCAATAGAAATAACCAAAAATTAAAAAATGGGAGAATAAAGTGAAGGCATATACTTTTTATTAGATTTCTATTTGCTTGTTGGTCTGTTTGTTTATGAAAACAGCATTTAGTGGTTATCAGCTTAAAATAATGGATTATTGTTGCAGGAATTCAGGGACCCCGAATGGAGGGACCAGCTGAAGCCATGGCAGAAGAACATAAATTGTGACGATTTCATGGACATTTATTAGTTCCCCAAATTAATACTTTTATAATTTCTTATGCCTGTCTTTACTGCAATCTCTGAACATAAATTATGAAGATTTCATGGACATTTATCACTTCCCCAATCAATACTCTTATAATTTCCTATGCCTGTCTTTACTTTAATCTCTTAATCCTGTCATCTTCGTGAGTTGAGGATGTATGTCACCTCAGGATCCTGTGATGATTGTGTTATCTGCACAAATTGTTTGTAGAGAATGTGTGTTTGAACAATATGAAATCTGGGCATCCAAAAGGAACAGGATGGCGCGATTTTCAGGGAACAAGGGAGATAACCATTGGGCCTGACTGCCTGAGGGGCAGGACAGAGCAGAGTCATATTTCTCTTCTTACAAAAGCGAATAGGAGAAATAGTGCTGAATTCTTTTTCTCAGTAAGGAACAGCCCTGAGAAAGAGAATGCATTCCTAGGGGGAGGTCTCTAAAATGGCTGCTCTGGGAATATCTGTCTTATATGGTTGCAGATAAGGGATGAAATAAGCCCCTGTCTCCTGTAGTGCCCCCAGGCTTATTAGGATTAGGAAATTCCTGCCTAGTAAATTTTAGTCAGACCGGTTGTCTGCTCTCAAAACCTGTCTCCTGATAAGATGTTATCAATGACAATACGTGCCCAGTGGGACATGAAACTTCATCGACAATTCTAATTTCACCCTGGTCCTGTTATCTCACTCTGCCCCCATTTGCCTTGTGATATTTTGTTGCCCTTGAAGCATGTGATCTCTGTGACCCACACCCTATTCATACACTCCTCCCCTTTTGAAATCCATAATAAAAACTTGCTGGTTTCGCAGCTCAGTGGGCATCAAGGAACCTGCCGATATGTGATGTCACCCCTGGACACCTAGCTTTAAAATTTCTGTCTTTTGTACTCTTTCCCTTTATTTCTCAGACTGGCCGACACTTAGGGAAAATAGAAAAGAACCTACATTGAAATACTGGGAGCTGGTTCCCAAGATGGATTATATTATTTGCAAATCTCATGGTAACCTCAAAAACTTATACAACGGATACACAAAAAATATAAGTCAAGAAACTAAATCATATTACCAGAGAAAATCACTCTCACTACAGGAAGGCAGGAAGGAAAGAAAGAAGGAAGAAAAGATACAAAACAACCAGAGAGAAAAATAACAAAATGAAATAAGTAAGTGTCCTTGTTTAACAGTAATAACATTGAATATAAATAGACAAAACTCTCCAATCAAAAGACATAGACTGGCTGAATAGAAGAAAAAAACAAGATCCTCAGATCTGTTGCCTAGAAGAAACACACTTCATCTATATAGACACACGTACACTGAAAACAAAATGATGAAAAAAGGTATCCCATGCCAAAGAAAACCAACAAATGTCAAACAAAATAGGTTTTAAGACAAAAACTACACGAACAGATAAAGTCACTACATAATAATAAAGGAGTAAATTGAGCAAAAGGATATAACAATTGAAAATATATATGCACCCAGTACTTGAGTACCCAAATATATAAAACAAATATCACTAGAACTAAAGAGAGAGATTGGCCTCAAAACAATAAAAAATGGTGACTTCAATACCCCACTTTCAGCACTGGACAGATCTTCCAGTCAGAAAGTCAACAAAGAAACATCAGACTTAATCTGCACTACAGACCAGATGGATCTAATAAATATTTGCAGAACATTTCATCCAATGGCTGAAGAAAACACATTATTTTCCTCAGCACATGGCTCATTCTCAAGTATAGACCATATGCCAAGTCACAAAAAAGTCTTAAAATATTCAAAAAAGTTGAAATTATATCAAGCATCTTCTGTGACCACAAGGGACTAAAACTACAAATTAATAACAAAAGAAATTTTTGTAACTATAAAAATACATGCAAGTTAAACAATATGCTCCTGATTGATCAGTGGGTCAATGAAGAAATTAAGAAAAAAAATTGAAAAAATTATTGAAATAAATCATAATGGAAACATAGCACACCAAAACCTATGAGATACAGCAAAAGGAGTACTTAAGTGGGAAGTTTATAGTTATAAGTGCTTATTTTTAAAAAGCCCTTCAAATAAACAATCTAATGATGCATATTTAAGAACTAGAGAAGCAAGAGAAAACAAAACTCAAAATTAGTAAAAGAAAGATCAGAGTAAAGATCAGAGGTGAAATAAATGAAATTTAAACAAAACAATAAAGATGATCAGTGAAAACAAGTTTGTTTTCTGAAAAGTTAACAATAATTGACAAATTATTATTAGTCAGATGTCTAACTAAAAAAGAGAGAAGATCCATATAAATTTATTGGCTACTAAGAGTATCTACATGCCAATAAATTGGAAAATCTAGAGGAAATGAAACAATTCCTAAACACAGATGACCTACCAAGATTGAACCAGGATGAAATCCACAATCTGAAAAGACCAATAACAAGTAATGAGATCGAAGCTGTAATAAAAAGTCTTCCACTAAAGTAAAGCCCAAGAGTTGATGGCTTCACTGCTGAATTATATCAAACTTTTAAAGAATAATACCAATCTTACTCATCCAATTTCAAAAAATAGAGAAAAATGAATAATTCCAAACTCATTTATGTCACATCAAAAAAAACCCCCAAAAACTACAGGCTAATATCCCTGATGAATATTGATTCAAAAATTCTCAATAACATACTAGCTAACTGAATTCAACAATACATTAGAAAGATCATTCATCATGACTGACTGGAACTTATCCTTGTCATGCAAGGATGGTTCCACATATGCAAGTCAATCAATGTAATACATCATGTCAACAGAATAAAGAATAAACTTCATGCAATAATCTCAATTGATGCTCAAAAAGCAGTTGATAAAAAATCAACATTCTTTGATAATAAAATCAATAAAAAAACTGGGTATAGAAGAAACATACTTCAACATGTAAAAAGGCATTTATGACTGACTCACAGTTGTCTACTGGTATCACACTAGTGGGGAAAAATATTAAAGTTTTTTCTCTAACATCTAGAACACAACAAAGATGTCCACTGTCACCACTATTATTCTACATAATACTGAAATTCCTACACAGAGAAATCAAACCAGAGAAATAAATAAATGGCATCTATATTGGAATAAAAGAAGTCAAATTATCCTTGTTTGTGGATGATATGATATTACATTTAGAAAAGACTATTAGAAATGATAAACAAAATCAGGAAAGTTGGAGGATACAAATTTAACAAAAAAAGTAGCATTGCTCTATGGCAACTGAACAATTGAAAAAGAAATAAAATACATAACATTACTCAAAATAGTCACAAATACAATTACTTACCTAGGAATTAACCAAAAAAGTGAAAGATCTGTATAATGAAAACTATAAAACATCAATGAAAAAAATTGAAGACACCAAATAATGAAAAGATATTACATGTTCAGGGATTGGAACAATCAGTATTGTTAAAATGTCCATACAACCCGAATCAATCTACAGATTCAGTGCAATCCCTATCAAAATACCAATGACATTTTTCACAGAAATAGAACAAACAATCCTAAAACTTATGTGGAACAACAAAAACCCAGAATATTCAAAGCTATCCTAAGCCAAAGGAACAAAACTAGAGAAATCATGTCACCTGATTTTATATTATACCTCAGAGTTATAGTAACCAAACCAGCATAGTTCTGGCATAAAAACAGACACAAAGACCAATAAAATAGAAATCCAAAAGAAAAATTTCCACATACCTACAGTGAACTCATAGTTCACAAAGTTGTCAAGAACCTACACTGGGGAACAGACAGCCTATTCACTAAAGGGTACTGGGCAAACTGGGTATCCTTTTGCAGAGGAATGAAACTAGACCCATATCTCTCACCATATACAAAAATCAAATACAAATGAATGAAAACCTTCAACTCAAGATCTCTGACTATGAAACTACTACAAGAAAAGTTTGGAGAAAATCACCAGGACATTTGATTGGGCAAGCATTTCTTGAGCAATCCCCCACAAGTACAGGCAACCAAAGCAAACATGGATGAATGCAATCACAACAAGTTAAAAAGCTTCTGTGTAGCAAAAGAGATGATCAAGAAATTGAAGACACATCTCCAAAAATAACAGATAATATTTGCAAACTACTCACCTGACACGGGACTAATAACTAGAATATATAAGCAACTCAAACAAATCTATAGAAAAAAATCTAATAAGCTGATCAAAAATTGGACAAAAGATTTGAATAGACATTTTTCAAAAGAAGATATAAAATGCCCTACAGGCATATGAAAAGTTGCTCAACACTATTGATCATTAGAGAAATGCAAATCAAAATTACAATGAGATATATTCACACCCAGGTTAAAATGGCTTATATCCAAAAGCCATGCAATAACAAATACTGGCAAGGATGTGGAGAAAAGTGAACCCTCATAAACTGTTGCTAGGTATGTAAATTAGTACAACAACAATGGAGAACAGTTTGGAGGTTCCTCAAAAAACTGAAACTAGAACTAACATATGATCCAGCAATCTCACTGCTTGGTGTATTCTAAAAAGAAAGGAAATCGGTGTGTTGAAGCGATATCTGCTCTTCCATCTTTGTTGCAAAACTGTTCACAATAGCCAAGATTTAGAAGCAACCTAAGTGTCAATCAACATATAAATGAATAAAGAAAATGTAGTACATATACACAGTAAAGTACTATTCAGCCATAAAAGAGAATGAGATCATGTGATTTGCAAAAACATGGATGGAACTGGAGATCATTAAGTTAAGCAAAATAAGCCAGGCACAGAAGACAAACGTCACATGTTCTAACTTATTTGTGGGATTTAAAAATCAATGCAATTGAACTCATAGACATTGAGAGTAGAAGGATGGTAACCAGTGGCTGAGAAGGGTAGTGAAAGAGTTGGGGAGATGTGGAGAAGCTTAATGGGTTCAAGAAAAATAGAATGAATAAGACATACTATTTTATAGCACAACAGGGTGACTATACTCAATAATAACTTATTTGTACAGTTAAAAATAACTAAAATAATACAATTAGATTGTTTGTAACTCAAAGGATAAATACTTGAGCGGTTGGATACCCCATTCTCTATTATGTGATTACATTACATTGCATGCCTGTATTAAAATATATTTTGTACCTTATAAACATATATACACACTACATTCCAACAAAAATTAAAAACTTTCTTTAAAAAAAAAAGCAGTTAGTAATCTAGGAATACAAATACATCTCCATAACATCACAGAGCATATTGGTTAAAATAAAACTGTAAGTATAATATATGAGAAGCTATCCCATGGAACCTACAAACTACTGATAAATTAAATAATGAAGCCATGATTCAAACTAAAGAGAGAGTTATTGAGTTCATGTTGTCAACTGGCAATTCACAGAATTGGAAACACAGATGACTAATAAATGAGGAAAACCTTTTTCTGCATTATAAAAAATAATTAAACTCAAAGGAACAATGAAGTGTAAATTAATTGATGGATAAACTAAGCCTTGAGTCCAGAAAAAAGACATAAATGTCAGAAAATAATGAAGTATACTGTGAGTAGAGAATTTTTTTTTATAAAAGAGAGATCAGAGTGTAAATAATAAGAAGGTAAGGTATCAGTAAAATTTAAATCACCACACATGTGAAATATGCAGCATACTGTGAGATGAATGAGAGAGATATTAAAATGTAGTAATAGTTTGAGTGGAAGGAGAGAGAACTCAAAAGTGATAGGTCAGAGAAAGTAATAGTGGATCAGTGTTGAAAATGAGATAGATGCAGACAACTAACATGGAAGTAAGAGAAAAAGAGTGCTATGTCCATGGTGGCTGCATGTGTTCCATAATTTTCCATGCTAGCACACCATAATTTAACTCTGTTTTGGAGGTCTTGACAGAGTCAACCTTATATTGACTCTCTCAGAACATCAGAGCCTAAACTGAAACATCTGAAGATAAATTTTTAACCAATCCACATAACACTATTTCCAGGGTCCTGGAATTATGGTTTATAATACTTATTACATGATTATGATGACAGTAGCTGCTGCCATCATGCTGGCTGTAGCAGGGAGGTGCAGGGGGGCTGCACCATGGAGCTGGTGGGAGCCCTGCCCCTTCTGAATTGGGGCAGGAGCTCCCTGAGTGCCACTGCAGCTGCCCAAATCATGTCTGCAGACCCAGGCCTTCTGTTCTACAAAGCAGCAAGAGCCCCACCCTCCCGGGCGGGCCTACAACCACCCAAACTGTGGCTGTGGGTCTGAGCCTCTCCGTGCCTTTGGAGGGCCAAGAGCAGGCAGGATCTGCCCTCCTGGGTGCAGCTGCAACCACCTGACCTGCTGCTGCAGACCTGAGCCTCCTGCTCCACATAGCTGGCAGGAGCTGGGGAAAAGCTGGAACCACCCTGCTCCTGAGTTGGTGAGGTGGGAGCTCCCTGGATGCAGCTGCAGCCACTCTTTCAGGCACAGGACTTGGTCATCTTTGCAGCCTGCATCTTTGGGGGCCCTGGAAGAGACCCCCAATCCCTGCTGGCTCAGGGATATCTGCTACTGCTGCCTGGTTTCTCTCCTCTCCGGGCACATGCTTTGATCTCAGAGCAGGTTTGGTTGGGGCCCAGCCCCATGGCTGGGGCCTTGAATGGCAGTGGAAGGCAGAGTCCTGAGCAGAAAGGGGTGGGTCTCCAGTCTGGCCCCACCTTCAGGCTAGGGAGGCCTGAAGGCTGGGGGCCAGGCTGCCAGTCCCACGAACTGGAGTTCAGACTAGTGGTGTTTCTTCTGGGCTCACCCATGGCCACCTATGGCTGTCTATGGACCAACTGGCATGTACTTCCTCTCCTCTGAGGTCCATAAAAGCTCTGGGCTTAGCCAGAGCAGGGCAGAGGATGGCCAGAGGACAAAGAGGGCAGAGAGATGATGGGACCACCAGCTACAGAGAGGAGCTACCCTTTCTGTTGATAGCAGAAGATGACAGAAAATCCAGCTGCAGAGAGGAGCTAGCCTCTCTGCTGAGAGTTGCAGAGATGACCTGCCAGCAGAGAAGAGCTATCCTCTCCAGGGCCTCCTCTCTGCTGAGAGCTTCAGACATTGGGATGACCAGTTGCAGCAAGGAGCTATCCTCCTCTCCAGGGCCTCCTCTCACTGAGAACTGAACACTTGAAGGATGACCTGCTTACAGAGAAGAGCTACCCACTGCAGGTCTCCTCTGAGCTGTTGTAACACTCAATAAATCTCATTTTCGTCTTGTTCACCCTTCACTTGTCTGTATACTTCATTCTTATTGGATGAAGGACAAGAACTCGTACAAAAGCGCCATGGCCACAGAGGTTTCTGGCCAGAAAACTGACACCCTAAAAATCCCATAACATTTTGGGGTCTCGTCTGGGATTTGCAGAAGTGTGAGTAGAAGTGAATCTGTTTTCTGCCCTTTTTTTTTTTTTGGAGTCTCTAAACTCCACAATAGTCAAAATGAAAGAAAAATACCAGGCCTGTGTCAGCCAGTTAAAAGTGATTAGCACAGCTGCCACACTTAAGACACGGAAAACAGGCTTGTCGGGGAGGGCACTGTCAATCTCCCATCACCTTTGGGTGTTGGGAATGTCTTCGTTCCAGCCCAGTTTTCCTTCACAGAGGTCTAGCCATCATTTGGGACCAGGAAAAGGTCCTGGGGCAACTGAGGGTATTTGGCCGAGGCTACAACACTGTGTTATCCAAAGGCCCCAGGACAAACTCCATTTCCTGACTCCCTGTTAGGGCATCAGCACTAGGACTTCCAGTCTTTCCTATTGTTTCTTTCTTGCTTTCTTTTGTGGCTTTCATGGTTCCCATCTCCTATATACAATGTTAATGTATGAAGGATATTGGAAACCAGAGATATTACTGCACATAATGAGCATTTGGCTTAGTCATCAAGAGTATAAAATGGAAGGTTAAGAGTAGCACAGATGAAGCAAAGTGTGCCTTGTTATGTGCGTTAGTATCTGTACATGTTTGTGGTGAAAATATTCTTGTAGTTTACTTGGTTGCCAACTTGGTGCCAAGAACCTTGAAGCACAGAAAAGCATTGCCTCAGGAAGGAAGCTTTTCTCTAAACACGAGGGCAAATGGTCCAAGGTCCCTTATGTGCAGGCTTTCTTTGCCTTGCAGGGTAACCCAGACATTTGGCAACATAGTAGTATTGATTCAGCTCTCCTAGTGGCCATCTGGGGAGAGGCTTCAAGGGGAAATCCCAGGAAAATAGGGAAGCAAACCCCAGAGGTACTTTCAGCAGAGGAATAACCCCCCTCCATTCATTTCTATCTTGGCTTTCTTTCAAGCTTGTCCCGGCCTAGGAATCCTAATTTTAGACAGGTCCAAGTCTCAACTACCCCTACAACAGATGTCTGGTGAATATGGCCCCATTAAGGTCCAGGTCCCCTTTTCTTTTCAGGACTTAAGGAAATTAGGGGGGATCTTGGCAGGTTTTCAGATGGCCCTGATAGGTACATAGAGGCTTTCCAGAACTTAACACAAGTATTTGAGCTCTCCTGGAAGGATGGCCATGTTACTTTTGAATCAAATGCTGAAATGCAGGCCACTTGGGAAGAGACAGAGAATTTGGGGGATGAGATTTCTATCTTACATAGGGCCAGGGAAGGGGAGGATCCTTATTCAATTAGAAGAATAGCAGTACCATTGAAGGACCCTAAATGGGCCTCCAGTGATGAAATAGGAGAATAGAGGAGGAAACTCTTTCAGGTGTGCATACTGGAGGCCTTGCAAGGGTCTGGGACTAGGCCTCTCAATTGCACCAGGCTATCCATGGTAGACAAGGGATTGGATGGGAGTCACACTGCCTTCCTGGGGGGTGGCTGGGAGGAACCTTGGCAAAACACACCCCTCTATCCCCTTATGTAATAGTGGGACAGCTGGTCCTAGGGGAGAGTTTACTACTCAGGCAAACCCTGATATCAGGAGGAAGCTGCAGAAACAGGCCATAAGACCAAATAGTACTTTGGAGGACCTCCTGAAAGTGGCCACCTTTGTCTTCCACAATAGAATCAGGAGGCCCAAAAGAGAGAAGGAGACATAAGAAAAAGTCAGAGGCTGTAATAGCCACCTTGTAGGCTCACAAACCCCAGAGTTCTCAAGATGTACCTGTTGACTACTGTGAATGTGAACCATTGGAGGGCAGACTGTCCCCAAGACATGGGTCACCAGATCCAGGGCCAGTCTGCCAAATGGTGCAGCAGGACTGGTGGGTCCTGAGGTTTCCTTCCCTGGCTCTGATGATTCAGACTGCCATTGCCATCCAGGAGCCCAGGTGATGTGGGGGATTGAGGAAAGGAGGGTGGACCTCCTCCTGGACTCAAGTGGGCCTTTCAGTTCTCCTCTCCAGTCTAGGCCCCCTCCTTTCTTAGCATGACTCTGAGGGGTGTCCTCAAAACAGCACAACTTATTAGTTATCACCTAATTAGACTAGGCCCCAAATTCCTGGGACTCCCTTTCTCTCCCTTGTTTGAGGAGGACCTGGCCCCACAGCTTCATGTGCTTGTGAATGGGAGGCAACAGAGGAGGAGCCCCTGCTAGTTGCTAGCTGCAATTTGGTGAGGGCCATCTGGAACTAATGTAATGGCTTCATACTCCCTCCTGAGGCACCTTTGTGTCCCAAGCTTTCATTTGAAGCCCTGGAATGGAACACCAGATATAAGGCAGATTACCGTGGGTTTTGAGGGCCACAGTACAGGTGAGCATGACTAATTCCTGCTGATTAGGCCCTCCTGTTTCATGAATAAAGGTCATGCTTGCATCTACGGCGTGGATAAGGTCTAGAGAATTCAATGGTTACTGACAGCAGGTGGGCTTAGGCTCCGCTCAGATGAGTGCAAATATTCCTGTCAGCTATGCCTCCTGCTTCATGGCTGAATGTTACACTTGCACCCACAGTTAACACCTGCACAGGTTGCCAGGACTCAGGGATATAAGTTTGGAAGAAGAAAGGACATTTTTTATTCTCTCTGTCACATACGCCAGGTATTCACTGGAAAGAGAGATGAATAAAGAGATGCCTTTATCCCCTCTTTCCAGATGGGTAACAAACCAATCATGTTCAGCCTGCATTTCTTGAGTGCATCCTAAATCACAGGGCTCCAGGGTCATTAAGAATCCATGTCTTGGGGTAAGGGAACCCAGCAGCCTGACATGCCAGCAAAGGTGTAAAAGTTTTTACCATTCAGACTTCTGGCTTCTCTCTCCCTGTGCAAACTGGTTGCAGGAATGATAAAAATAACTATATTCTCTACCTCTCCATGGTTCAATTGGCCATTTTGGCATACCTAAGTTTGGATAATAAGAGATTTAAAAGGACCTTTTAAAAAAGGAGCACTATAGTTAAAAGTTAACTGAGTTAAAAGTAGATGTCCGTGGGTATCCAAGCTGTCGGTATATTTAAAAGACCTTTATGTCTTTTTTCTTCATGGATCTTGTTTTTCTGGAAAAAGGTTTTCTCAGCTGACTGAATTATTCTTCATTTTTATCTTGCCACTCTTGGTGCACACATGAGAGGCACCTGGATGGCTTCTGATGACCTGGGACTCCTTGGGAAAAATAGGAGGTGCCACTGACCCCTTTTGGGATAAACATGTTTTCCTCTTGGATCTTCAGAGATTCGCGGTGGATGGATCCCTCTCAAAGTCTGTTTTTGTCTTCCAGCTATACCTACTTATTAGGCCTTAGAAACTGCATACATTTTCCTGGCCCTGGTTCTTGAACAGCTACATCCTGGGGCCAGTGATTCAATTAAGAGAGTGGCACATGAAAAATCTTACAACTACTGGATCTCCTTCTGTCTGTGTGTTATATTTGTCATGTTTATATAAAATAGCTCTAACTGATTGGCTTAAAGAAAAATACAAGCTTGGATCAAATATTTTGAAAGAAAAATAAAGCTGTAATGTTTTTTAGTTCATGGCTATCACTCTAGTGGAACAGGAAGCATGGGAAAGCATGGCCTTACAAAGCTCATAGTAGGCCATTGTCTCCGAAGGGAAAACATAAAGTGGGCCCTGGTGCCCAATTAAGGTCAGAGTTGTTTGAGACTCTAAGATTGGATCCCAAAGGGGGATTCCCTGGGGGATCCTCTGGACCTCAACCTCTCCAAAGAGGATGCCCTTGGCAGAGGTTCTGAGGTCTAGTACTAAACCCTCCTTAGAATTTTCTCTCACAGTTGCAATACTGTTTGGCCACAATATTGTATGGAATCTTGAGTTTACTGGTGAATGGGGAAGCAGGAGGGCATTGCATGTGTCCAGGCTTTTGTGCTGCTGTTCTAAGCAGGGGGCCTGGTGAACGTGTGATGCTCTCCTTTGGTGCTGTTTGGTCCCAGTGTTCTTAGGAGTCTGGGGAGGTTTGGCCTTTAAAACTCAAACTGCCATGGAAACTTCTTTACCAGAAATTTTGATTCACAGCCTTCACTGCATTATCTATTGGGGCAAAGAAAATAAAACCAGTGAGCTTGTATTGCTATCTCATGGCTACGGTTCCAATCTATTGGATCTTCGTTTGTGGGTGTGTATACATGTCTATATGTGTTTATTTGTACACTTATTGTCATATATTATGTCTACCAAATTGGCTTATAAGCAAAAGAGTGCTCACAAATGAAGTAAATAAGTCCGAGCAATTTTCAGATTCATGTGATTTAGGTAGGGCTTTGGTAAATAGACTGGCTTTAAAATTATCAGTAAAATAAAAATAGAAATGTCTTCAAAATGTAGACATGGTCTAAATTATGCAAGTCAGAAACCAGGTTGGCTAAATGCTTTAAGGTCATAAACTGCTTTTGACTTTTGAAAATTGTTCGACTTTTCTGCTCTACAGTTTGATAAAGCCTGAGGACATATATCACATTCCTAGCTATGTTGGAAATAGTCAGATCTTATCTGCACCTAAGTATGTAACCAAAATAACTTACTGGGTATTTCACCAAAATTAAAAATTGCTAAGAGCTAACATTAAAACATGTAGTGGAGACTATGGAAAATATTTACATGCAAGGTATGTAAGAAAAGAAAAACGTGTCTTTAGTTAAAAAATATAAGTAGGCATGGGAATGTAAATTTTTGCCTAGTATAGAGGGTTGAAAGATTGTTTTAAATTAGATTAGATAAAGCTAAATGTTCAAACAAGTTATGGAAGGTTTGTAAAAATTAAACGTTTAAAAAGAAATCTGTGTGTGAACATATTGAATAAATTCATAAGGGTATTATTGTTTTTTTTTTTTCCATAAATTGAACATTGGAATAAAAACACAACAAGGTTTTCTTGAGGCACTGACATGTCTTGAACAAAACTTTGTAAAGGGTTATAAAAGGTTTATAAGAATCTCACATCATGGTCAAACTGATTAAGATTGGATGGATTTTTATGTAAGGTTTTATTTTAAAAGATTGGAATTGACATTAATAGACTAATGCAAGGGTGAAATTTGGCTTTACTTCAACAAGATCATCATGCAATGAAAGATTTTTGTTTCCTTTGTGAATAAACTACTGACAAAAGGGATGGGCCGTCAAACTCTAAATAGTCATGCAAAGTGGTCATGCAAATGGAGCCTCAGATGATGGCTCCCTTTTACTGGGGACCCTTAGATAAGCCTCTAAGAGAGACCTGACTGTCGTTTTCCCAAAACAATGCCCCTTGTTAGCATGGGGCAGTTAAAAGCAGTCATTGTTCCTATCCTAACAGTGGTTAGGTGTACCTCTTCAGAGGGGGAATTGATGGCAGTAGCTGCTGCCATCACACCAGCTATAGCAAGGAGGCATGGGTGGGGCTGCACACCCCATGAAGCTGGGGGGAGCCCTGCCCCTTCTGAGTTGAGGTGGGAACTTCCTGGGTGCCACTGCAGCCACCCAAACTGTGGCTGCAAACCCAAGCCTCCTGCACTGGACAGCAGGGAGGAGCCCCACCCTACTGGGCAGGACTACCACCACCCAAACTGCAGCTGTGGATTTGAGTCTTCCTGTGCTCTTGGAGCAGGCAGAATTTGCCCTCCTGGGTGAAGCTGCACCCACCTGACCTGCTGCTGAAGAATCCGGCCTCCTGCCCCACAGAGCGGGCAGAAGCTGGAGACAAGCAAGAACTCCATCCTTTCCAAGTTGGTGGGGTGGGAGCTTCCCTGATGCAGCTGTGGCTGCCCTCCCAGGTACAGGACCTGGGCATCTTTGCAGCATGCATCCTTAGGGGCCTGGGAAGGGCCCCTCATCCCTGCTGCCTTGGGGATGTCTGCTCCTGCTGCCTGGCTTCTCTCCTCTCCTTGTACCTGCTCTGATTTCAGAGTGGGGTTTGGGCCGAGCCCCAGGGCTTGGGCCTTGAATGGCAGTGGGAGGCAGAGTCCTGGGCAGAAGGGGATGAGTCCTCAGTCAGGCACACCTTCAGGCCAGGGAGGGCCTGAAAGCTGGGGACCGGGTTGCTGGTCCCATGAACTGCAATGTGGACTTGTGATGCCTATTCTGGGCCCACCCATGGCTGCCCATGGCTTCCCATGGACTAGTCGACATGCACTTCCTTCCCTCTGAGGTCCATAAAAGCCCTGGGCTCAGCTAGAGCAGGGCAGAGGATGGTCAGAGGATTAACAGGGCAGAGAGATGATGGGACCACCAGCTACAGAGAGGAACTACCCTCTCTGCTGATAGCTGGAGGTGATGGAAAATCCAGTTGCAGAGAGGAGCTACCCTGTTTGTTGAGAGCTGCAGAGACAACCTGCCCACACGGAGGAGCTACCCTCTCCAGGGCCTCCTCTTTGCCAAGAATGGCAGACATCATGACAGCCAGTTGCAGTGAGGAGCTGCACTCTTCAGGGCTTCCTCTCTGCTGAGAACTGAACAAATGATGGATAACCTGCCTACAGAGAGGAGCTACCCACTGAGGGTCTCCTCTGAGCTGTTGTAACACTCAATAAAGCTCATCTTCCTCTTGTTTACCCTTTACCTGTCTGCATACCTCATTCTTCCTTGATGCAGGACAAGAACTTGAACAAAGGCGCCCTAGTCACAGAAGTTTCTGATCAGAAAATTGACACTCTAATGGTGCCCTAACAATTATGTAATTATTGATTTATTTCAGCTAACACCCTACTGGTTATAGCAACAGATGCAAAATATGGTAAATTAATTTGTAAAAGATCAATGTAAAGTATTATGTCTTCATGTTGTGACTGATCTTAGCCCACTTGATCATGTGAGTTATTAGTGATAATAAAATGTTCTCAGAATTTCAAATATTAATGAAAAAGGGAATCTTGTAAAGTAAGCTTATTTCTATCAAAAAAATTTGGTGAGCTGGGTGTGGTGGCTCATGCCTGTAATTCCAGCACTTTGGGAGGCCGAGATGGGCAGATCCCAAGGTCAAGAGATCGAGACTATCCTGGCCAACATAGCGAAATCCAGTCAACAAAAATTAGCTGGGCATGGTGACACGCACTTGTAGTCCCAGCTACTCAGGAGGCTGAGGCAGGAGAATCACTTGAACCTGGGAGGCGGAGGTTGCAGTGAGCTGAGATTGCACCACTGCACTCCAGTCTGGTGACAGAGTGAGACTCCATCTCAAAAAAAAAAAAATTGGTGAAATAGATTACCAACCAATTATGCAATTACACTATTCTGATTCCATTGTAGTTGGGTAAATAATTAAATTGCTTGAGTGTTTTGTTTATTTGGGACTTTGTGTATTGAAGTAACTCAATGTTTTTTTGTTTTTTGTTTGTTTGAGACAGAGTCCTGCTGTGTTGCGCAGGCTGGAGTGTAGCAGTGCGATCTTGGCACAGCTTCAAATTTCAAGGAACAAGAAAGCTACCATAGCAAAATGTCTTATTCCCATCTAAATTTTCCTTGGCTCATCCAGACACAGTACTGATAAATAAATAAAAATTGTTCTCTTCATTCCTCTGATCCAAGGATGGAATAATAAGAATTGTACTCTGTGGAATTTTTAAGAACCTAGAACAATAACCACCCTACATTAACCGAGAGACATTTTACACCATAGAACTGAATGTACGTCACATTATACTTTTGCAGGCTAAGAAGACAGCATCAGAGTTAATGTCTGTTAGTTAAGATTCAGTATGTAACTGGATATACTTATATGATAACTATAAACATATATATTAACATAAATTTATCATAACCATATATATTCAATAAGCATAGATGAATCCTACAATCTTTTAAATATTCAGGTTTTATAATTTCACAAAACCTTACTTGATATTCCAACTCACAATTCTTATTGTGCATAGATGAGGATTTTCAAACATTTTTGTGCTCACTGTTATCAGTGAAAACATTTTTTAACATATACATCAATATATAAAAATATATGATATAGACATATTCTATGGTAAATCATGTCATATCCAAAAATAAGACATAAAAGGAAAGATTAATTTATTTCAAAATTTATGTTTTTGTATTAAAAAATCTTGCTGCACAGAAATATTAGTAATTGGAAGAATAGATAAATAAAACAAAACCCAACAGTATGTGGCTTACAAGAGACTTAATTATAAGAGCACAGAAAGATGTAAAGATTAATGATTTAAATGAAAAGGATGTACTATGCAAACACAAATCAACATAAGGACAGTGCAGTTGCAGTCAGTCCATTAAGAAAATATGGCAATTATAAATTGTATATACCTAATAAAATAGTTTCAAGGTTTACAAGCAAAAAGGAACAGAACTATTTCATCTCAATAGGCTAAGCGGTAATCACATTGTTTACATTTGATATATATATACATATATACACATATATATGTATGTAAAATATACTACAAATAACAATAACAGAAAATACTTCAATTTCAAGTGTACATGTATGCTTCACCAGAACTGACCATATCTTTAGACCATTAAGCATGTCTTAACAAATTTAAAAGCTTGAAATCATAATGAACATGTTGTCTGGCCATAATAGAATGAGAAAGATGACTAGAAAACATATAATTACTTTAAAATAAAGCCACACATCTCTAAGTAAGCTATGGATAAAAGAAGAAATCTCAGTGGAAATCAGAAAATGCTTCAGAATGAATGAAATGGAAATAGCAACATTCAAATCTGTGAAATGCAGCAAAAGCCATGCTTGAGGGAAAATTAATAACCTTAACTATATTCATTAAATAAAAGGAAATGCTGTAAAATTAATGATTTAAGCATCTAGCTCAATAATTTAGAAAATAAACAGAAAATGAAACCTGAAAGGAAGACGAAAATAAAAATCAGAAGAGACATTAATGAAACCTAAAATGACATTATGATAGAGAAAATAAACATGTACAACTATTTTTAGAGAAGACTAATACTATAATTAATCCCTAGTAAGACTGATCCATAAAAAAGATAAAACACAGATGTCAAAAATGAAAACGGGAACATAACTATAGAACCTACAGATATTTCAAAAGTAATGTGAGAATATTATTAACACTCTTGTGCCAATGTATTTTAAAATTCAGATGAAATATGATGTTCTCTTCAAAACTGTATTCAGTAAAACCAACATAAGAAGAAAAAGAAAATCTGGGGAGTAATACATTTATTAAAGTAATTGAATCTGTAATAAAAACCTTACTACAGAAAAATCAAGACTGAAGTGGCAACAGCAATGAGTTTTTCCAACTACTTAAGAAATAATTAACAACAATTTTACATAAACTCTTCCAAGAAATAGAAAAAGAAACTTTCCAACTCCATTTGAAAGACCATCAAAACCTGTATATCAAAACCAGAAAATGACATTATAAAAAACAAAAATACCAGACCACTCTCTCTCATAAATATAGATGCAAAAATCCCCAAACAAATTATTAGTATATTAAATACCGTAATTGTGTTACTTTTCTATTGCTCTAACAAATTATCACACTTAGAGACTTAAAACTACATACATTTATTTTCTATCAGTTTCTGTGGACCAGGAATCTAGACATGGCTAAACTGGCTCCTCTGCAAAGCCAAAATCAGTGTGTTGGCCAGGGCTGCAGTCTCTTCTGGAGACTCAACTGGTGGCAGATTCACATCCAAACTTATTCAGATCATTGGAAGCATTTATTTTCTTGCAGTTGTAAGATTGAGGGTTCTAGCTTTTTGCTGGCTGTTGGCCAGAGGCACTCTCAGCTCTTAGAAGCTACCTGGTCTCCCACATAGTCTCTCTTACAACACTGAAACTTGCTTCTTCAAAGATGACAAATCAGAAAGTTAGTTGACTAGCAAGACAGAAACTTATAATTACAGGAGTAACATTCAATCACCTTTGCCATATTCTATTGTTTAGAATCAAATAATCTATCCTGCCAAAACTAAAGAGGAAGGGATTGACTATATAATGGTATGAACACTAGGAGGTGGGTATCATGAGGACCACATTACAG
Organism: Homo sapiens; assembly: GCF_000001405.40. Classification (NCBI taxonomy): domain Eukaryota; kingdom Metazoa; phylum Chordata; class Mammalia; order Primates; family Hominidae; genus Homo; species Homo sapiens. The sequence goes on from NC_000023.11 coordinate 93,185,787, forward strand.
TTTATGTGACACAGTAACATGAAATAATTATAAATTATGACAATATTCAGTTTAAGAAATGCAAGATTGGTTTGTATTTGAAAGTAAATCCAATGTAATTGGTTTCATGAGATAAATCATATAAACATCTCAATATATGGCAAAAAATCTGATGAAATTTGTCACCCTTCCATGATTTTTTAAAACACCTTTAAGAAAGCTAGTAAAAGAAGGAAACTTTAATCTTAAAAAAGTCTACAAAACAAACAAATCAAACTACAAAAGTTATTACAATTAGCAGTAAAATATTTAGACTTTCTTTTCCGAGATAAAAAGACAAGAATGCCTGCTATCACCATTTCACTCGTGATCTCATTCTGTATTAAAAATTACCACAAAACTTAGCCAGTTAAAACAGCAAACATTTATCATCTCACTGTTTCTGTGGGTCAGGAACCTATGAACACCTTAGTTGGGTGGTTCTGGCTCAGTACGCCTCATGAGGTTGCAATTGAGCTGTCAGTGAAGTCTGCTGTCATCTGAAGCTTCAACTGAGACTGGAGTATTCATTCCCAAATTCACTTGGGTGGTTGTTGGCTGTCTAGTCCTGAGTCTCCTCAGGACTTGGCAAGTGGCCCCGTTCAGAGCATGTGATCGAAGAAAAAAAAGAGGGCCCAAGATGAAAGCTGCACTTTTCTATAAATCTCCAAGTGGATGTCATAACATACTGTATTCTATTGGTCACACAGCCAAACCCTGATACCATGTGGGAAAGGAGTATGCAAGGGTCCAGGAGAAAGGGAGGCATGCAGAACCATTTTGGAGGCTGGTTACTAGAAACACTGTTCTGGAGTCCTAGCCAGTGCAATAAGGAATGAAAAAATAAACAGTTATATAGATTATATTTATGATAATATAGTCAAAACCATGACTGCCACTAACAAAATAGATTGTGTTCAAAAACCATGAGGGAGCATTTTGGAGGTGATGGAAATGTTCCAGAACTTGATTTAAGAGTTGATTATCCAGGTGTATACATTTGTCAAAACTTACCAAGTGTACAATTGAGAACTATATATTTTACTGTTTGCAAACAATACTTTAATAAAATAAAATGCTTACAATGGAATAAGCATTTGTTTGTTTTGCAAATTCTTACCTTTACCTTATAAAGTGGATTGATTTTACATCATTTTTTCAGTTTCTAAAAAATTTGTATATTATCTGTTTTATGGAAATTGATGAAACTTGGTATAAAACCACCTTGACATGGTATTTGCTCGAGGAGATATTTGAGAACCAATTTAATTTCATCAATATTTCTTTATTCCAGTTCTGTGAAATACCTATCCATGCCTCACACAATTTTTATGATTTGCTATAAACCCATTACATCTACATTTTTGAATTTATTGGTGTTAGTTTAACGTTCTCAAGAATTTGAAAGATCTCTGCACTACATATAGTCATGTTACCTTTTTCTTGCTCAAAATATTTTGCATTTGTGAAACCTTTACTTGCTGTCAGTATTGGAAGACACTTGTATACTCTACTGTTATTTGTTTTATTGATTAATGCTATTGCTTTTTACTGTATCACTAATTTCTGTCCTTAACATTTCTTCCCTTTATTTTGGGGAGGTTTATTCTCATGCTTTACTAGCCTCAAGTTAAACACTCATCTCTTTTCTTTTAATAACATATTGCTCGTAATTAATATATTCAATGATATATATTTTTCTAAGAAATATTTTGCATCATCCCACAACATTAATAAATTGTATTTCAGTCGTAACTCAGTTCTAAATACTTAATGATTTCCTTTTTTAACACTTGAATTAATTAGGTGTGAGATTCAAATATATATACGTATATATTTTAATATATACGTATATATATTAGACTATATATTTGTTTTCTTATTTATAATTACATTTTTATGGTAAGAGAATAATTTACAAAAATTGGTTCTTTGGAAATCAAGAGCACTTCTGTGGCATAATATATATGCAATTCATAGAAATCTTTAATGCATGATTTAATAGAATGTATTTTCTCTATTCTTGCTTCCACTTCTTTGCTATTATGAATAGTGTTTCTATGAGTATATGTATATATATTAATGTATGTATATAAAAGTTCTGTGGTAAATAACTAGGAATGTGATTGCTGGATGATAAGGCTTCCACATGCCCTGTTTGACTACACAATTTTAAACTGTTTACAAAAAAAGTTTTTACTTCCTGTTTGTCCACATTCTAACTTTATTTTCTTTACTTTTTTTTTTTACATATTTAATAAACATAAAATTGCATTTAATTGTAATTTCATTTTGTTTCATTTTGGGGGGGTGGGTTTTTTTATTCTGAGATAGGGTCTCACTCTGTTGCCCAGGCTGGAGTGCAGTGGTGCGATCTCAGCTCAACGCAACATCCGCCTCCTGGGTTCAAGCGATTCTCCCACCTTAGCCTGTGAAGTAGCTGGGACTACAGGCACATAGCACCATGCCTGGCTAATTTTTGTGTTTTTTTTGGTAGAGACAGGGTTTCACCATGTTGGCCAGGCTGGTTTCAAACTCCTGAAACCAGGGGTTTCAGCCCCCCACCCCACAACAGGCCCCGGTATGTGATGTTCCCCTCCCTGAGTCCATGTGTTCTCATTGTTCAACTCCCACTTATGAGTGAGAACATGAAGTGTTTGGTTTTCTGTTCCTGTGTTAGTTTGCTGAGAATTATGGTTTCCAGCTTCATCCATGTCCCTGAAAAGGACATGAACCCATCCTTTTTTATGGCTGCATAGTATTCCATGGTGTATACGTGCCACATTTTCTTTATCCAGTCTATCATTGATGGGCATTTTGCTATCCCCATCAAACTACCATTGACTTTCTTCACAGAATTAGAAAAAACTACTTTAAATTTCATATAGAACCAAAAAAGAGCCCACATAGCCAAGACAATCCTAAGCAAAAAGAACAAAGCTGGAGGCATCACACTACACAACTTCAAACTATACTACAAGGCTACAATAACCAAAACAACATGGTACTGTTACCAAAACAGATACATAGACCAATGGAACAGAACAGAGGCCTCAGCAATAAGACAACACATCCACAACCGTCTGATCTTTGACTAAGCTCTTCTTATTAGATATGACATAAATATCTAGTTCCAGTTTGTATAATGTCTTTTTGCTTTCTTTTTAATGGAAAAATGTTTTTAGTGTTAATAGTCTTATTTCTAAAAGTTTTCATTTACATTTTACACTTTGTGTTTATTTTAAAAATCCATCTCTTAATCTATTTATTGAGATAATAAGCACATTCTTTTATATTGCTTTGCTTTTTAAATTTTATTTTGATATAATTTTATATTATATAAACAATTATCAATAAAAGGAAATTAACATTGTTTCCATACTATTGTCAAAACTACAGATTTCATCAGTTGACCCAAGGATGTCCTTTATTACAAAAAAGAAATCCTGGGTCATGTGTGGCATTCAGTTGTCACCTTCCTTTAGTTACCTTAATTTGGACTAGTTCCTCAGTCTTTTTTTTCCTTCTAAATTTAACTGTTTTGACTTACCCATTTAAGTTTTTAATTTATCTGAAAATGACTTTTGTACAAAGTGTAGGGAAAGCATACTATTTTCTTCCATATATATGTAATCAATTGTTCCATCACTATTTACTGAAGAGTGTTTCCTTTACCTAATGGCCTGCAATGTTTGCTCTTTCATAAATCAAGTTCCATAGACATGAGGATTATATTTAAATATCTTCATTCTCCTATTTTATCCCTGAACAAATTCCCTTCCCTGAACAAATTCCATGCAATCTTATAACTTAATATTTATAATAAGACTTATTATACGGGAGAGCAATTTATCTAGCTTCTTCAAAAAGAAGCAATGTTAGTTGGGCATTTGCTTTTTCTGTATGACATTTTTAAAATTAGCAAGTCAAATTCCATAAAAAGCTTTGGAATTTTAATTAGTACTATGCTGAATTTAATTATAAATTTGGAGAGTTGGCATCTTTAAAATACTGAATCTTCCTACTCATTTACTTAGGGCTTTTTACATGTCTTTTAAAAAATGTTATAATTTTCCACATTAAGGCTAAGACATTTTTTGTTAGATTTATTTGTAAATACTTCTCATTTTAGTTGCAATTATATATTTTATCATTTATTTAATTGTTTTTCTGATTATTTTTTAAAAATAGAAATGCAATTGACTTTTGGCTGTTGATTATGTGCCCAACAAACTTTCTTAGCTCTGTCATGCATTTAATCATTTGTTTATGCATTCGAGTTTTCTCCATTGCCAATTGCATTATTTGCCAAACAATTCTTTTCTTTTCTTTACAATTCATATATATGTGACTCCTTGTCCTTACCTTACTTTATGGTTATTATGTCTACTACATTGTTAAAACATATCAGTAATGGCTGACAACCTTTGTTCTTTATCATAAAGTTTCAAAATTTCATCAAGTATGACATGTTCTCTAATTTATTTTAGGAGATACTCTTTGCAAGATTAAGAATTTTCTGGTAATAATTCCCTAAGAGTTTTTAGCATGAATGAATGTTGAGTTTTATCAAATAACTTTTCTGGATATATTCGGATTATTATTTTACCAGATATATCAGATTATTATTTTATCAATTAATTTACATTAATTCCTTTTTTATATTAAACCAACTTTACATCCAAGAACTACCACAGGAACATACCAGGAAAGCTAAGAGAACCCACAGACCCTTTGAAGGAACTGGATAGCCACGGCAGGCTCCCTGAGATGTGGAAAAACTGTGAGTCTGCCTACCCTTTATCAGCATGGAGGCCAGTGGTCTGGGGCAAGTCCTCAGTCCTGGCCACTGGCTGCCTGGAAATAGACTCCTTGCTGTTGGCAGGGGCACAGTGTGAGTGAGACTAGCTTTTAAGACTGTGGGCTGCATGGGAAAGGGGTGAGGCCTGTGACTGCTGGCTTTCTGCCACTTCCTTCGCAACCTATACGACTCAGCAGAGGGAGGCATAATCCTCCTAGGAACATAACTCCAATGGCCTGGGAACCATACCCCATTCCCCACAGCAGCCACAGCAAGCTCTGCCTAAGGAGAGTCTGAGCTCAGGCATGCTTATCCCTGGCCCCACCTGGTGTTCTTTCTCTACCTGCCCTGGTTGCTGAAGACAAAGGACATAATCTCTTGGAAACTGTATGACCCCTCCCACTCACTGAGAAACCAGAATACTTAACCAGGTGACCCTAGGGCAAGTCTACATCCTCCGTATTATACCATAGGTGATGCACTCTTTTTTTTTTTTTTCTATTATACTTTAAGTTTTAGGGTACATGTGCACAATATGCAGTCTTGTTACATATGTATACATGTGACATGTTGGTGTATTGCACCCATTAACTCGTCATTTAACATTAGGTATATCTCCTAATGCTATCCCTCCCCCCTCCCCCCACCCTACAACAGGCCCAGGTGTGTGATGTTCCCCTTCCTGTGTCCATGTGTTCTCATTGTTCAATTCCCACCTATGAGTGAGAACATGTGGTATTCGGTTTTTTGTCCTTGCGATAGTTTGCTGAGAATGATGGTTTCCAGCTTCATCCACGTCCCTACAAAGAACATGAACTCATCCTTTTTTATGGCTGCATAGTATTCCATGGTGTATATGTGCCACATTTTCTTAATCTAGTCTATCATTGTTGGACATTTGGGTTGGTTCCAAGTCTTTGCTATTGTGAATAGTGCCGCAATAAACATATGCGTGCATGTGTCTTTATAGCAGCATGTTTTATGATACTTTGGTTATATACCCAGTAATGGGATGGCTGGGTCAAATGGTATTTCTAGTTCTAGACCCCTGAGGAATCGCCACACTATCTTCCACAATGGTTGAACTACTTTACAGTCCCACCAACAGTGTAAAAGTGTTCCTATTTCTCCACATCCTCTCCAGCACCTGTTGTTTCCTGACTTTTTAATGACCACCATTCTAACTGGTGTGAGGTGGTATCTCATTGTGGTTTGGATTTGCATTTCTCTGATGGCCAGTGATGATGAGCATTTTTTCATGTGTCTTTTGGCTGCATAAATGAGAGCCAAATCATGAGTGAACTCCCATTCACAATTGCTTCAAAGACAATAAAATACCTAGGAATCCAACTTACGAGGGACGTGAAGGACCTCTTCAAGGAGAACTACAAACCACTGCTCAATGAAATAAAAGAGGATACAAACAAATGGAAGAACATTCCATGCTCATGGGAAGGAAGAATCAATATCGTGAAAATGGCCATACTGCCCAAGGTAATTTATAGATTCAATGCCATCCCCATCAAGCTACCAATGACTTTCTTCACAGAACTGGAAAAAACTACTTTAAAGTTCATATGGCACCAAAAAAGAGCCCACATTGCCAAGTCAATCCTAAGCCAAAAGAACAAAGCTGGAGGCATCATGCTACCTGACTTCAAACTATAGTACAAGACTACAGTAACCAAAACAGCATGGTACTGGTACCAAAACAGAGATATAGACCAATGGAACACAACAGAGCCCTCAGAAATAATGTCGCATATCTACAACTATCTGATCTTTGACAACCTTGACAAAAACAAGAAATGGGGAAAGGATTCCCTATTTAATAAATGGTGCTGGGAAAACTGCCTAGCCATATGTAGAAAGCTGAAACTGGATCCCTTCCTTACACCTTATACAAAAATTAATTCAAGATGGATTAAAGACTTAAACGTTAGACCTAAAACCATAAAAACCCTAGAAGAAAACCTAGGCAATACCATTCAGGACATAGGCATGGGCAAGGACTTCATGTCTAAAACACCAAAAGCAATGGCAACAAAAGCCAAAATTGACAAATGGGATCTGATTAAACTAAAGACCTTCTGCACAGCAAAAGAAACTACCATCAGAGTGAACAGGCAACCTACAGAATGGGAAAAAAATTTTGCAGTCTACTCATCTGACAAAGGGCTAACATCCAGAATCTACAATGCACTCTTGAAAGTGTCACCTCCTAGCTGGAGGTCAACCAACACAAAACCGGCAAACTAAACAATAATACAACCAAGGACCTTCACAGAGCTCACTTCACTCCTCTGCTATTTCCACCAGAGCAGGTGCTGGTATCCATGGCTGACAGACCTGAAGACAGATCACATCACAGGACTCTTTGTAGACACCCCCCAGTACCAGCCCAGATCCCGGTAGCTCTGCTGGGTGGATAGATCCAGAAGAGCAAAAACAATCACTGCAGTTTGGCTCTCAGGAAGTCCCTTCCCTAGGGGAAGTGGGAGAACACCACACTAAGGGAACACTCCGTGGGACAAAAGAATCTGAACAGCAGCCCTTGAGTCCCAGATCTTCCTTCTGACATAGCCTACCCAAGTGAGAAGAAACCAGAAAAACAATTCTGGTAATATGACACAACAGGGTTCTTTAACATGCCCAAAGATCACACCAGCACACCAGTGATGGATCCAAACGTAGACGAAATCTCTGAATTGCTAGAAAAAGAATTCAGAATGTTAATTATCAAGCTAATCAAGGAGGCACCAGAGAAAGGTGAAGTCCAACTTAAAGAAACCAAAAACATGATACAGGATATGAAAGAAAAAATCTTCGGTGAAATATATAGCCTAAATAAAAACCAATCACAACTCCTGGAAATCAAGGACACACTTAGAGAAATGCAGAAAGCACTGGAAAGTCTAAAAAATAGAATCAAACAAGATGAAGAAAAAACTTCAGGGCTCAAAGATGAGGCTTTTGAATTAACCCAATCCATCAAAAAAAATAATTTTAAAAAATGAACAAAGCCTCCAAGTTTGGGACTATGTTAGGCATCCAAACCTAAGAATAATTTGTGTTCCTGAGGAAAAAGAGAAATCTAAAAGTTTGGAAAACATATTTGAGGGAATAATCAAGGAAAACTTCCCCAGCCTTGCTAGAGATCTAAACATCCAAATATAGGAAACTCAAAGAACATCTGAGAAATTCATCTTGAAAAAATTGTGGCCTAGGCACATAGTTGCCAGGTTATCTAAAGTCAAGAAGAAGGAAGAATCTTAAGATTTGTGAGGCAAAAGCATCCTATAAAAAAAATTCTATCACAGTAACAGCAGATTTCTCAACAGAACCCCTACAAGCTAGAATTGCGGCCCTATTTTGAGCCTTCTGAAACAAAACAATTATCAGCCAAGAGTTTGTATCCAGTGAAACTAAGTTTCATACCTGAAGGAAAGATACAGTCTTTTCCAGACAAACAAATGCTGATATAATTCTCCGCTACCAACCCAGCACTATAAAAAATGCTAAAAGGAGCTCTAAATCTTGAGACAAATCTTCAGAATAAACCAAAATAGAACCTCCTTAAAGCATAACTCTTACAGGACCTATGTAACAATAACACAATGAAAAAAAACCAACAAGGTATTCAGGCAATAAATAATACAACGAATGGAATTAGTACCTCACATCTCAATACTAACATTGAATATAAATGGCCTAAATGCTCCCCTTAAAAGATATAGAATAGCAGAATGGATAAGAATTCACCAACCAAGTTTTTGCTATCTTCAGGAGACTCACCTAACACATAAGGACTCATATAAACTTCAGGTAAAGGGTGGAAAAAGATACTCCATGCAAAAAGACAACAAAACTGAGCAGGAGTAGTTATCTTTGTATCAGCAAAACAAACTTTAAAGCAACAGCAGTTAAAAAAGACAAAGAGGGACATTATATAATGATAAAAGAAAAGGACTAGTCCAACAGGAAAATATTACAATCATATATATATATATATATACACCTAACAATGGAGCTTCCAAATTTGCAAAACAATTACTACCAGACCTAAGAATTGAAAAAGATGGCAACACAATAATAGTGGGGGAATCTAATACTCCACTGACAGCAATAGACAGGTCATCGAGACAGAAAATCAACAAAGAAATAATGGACTTAAACTATAACAAATCTACTTAAAAGATACTTAAAGAACATTCTATCCAACAACTGTAGAATATACATTTTATTCATCAGTACATGGCATATTCTCCAAGGTAGACCATGTAATAGATTAAAAAACAAGTCTCAGTAAATTTAAGAAAATCAAAATTATATCAAGTACTCTGTCAGTGGAATAAAATTGGAAATCAACTCCAAAAGGAACCCTCAAAACCATGCAAATACATGGAAATTAAATAACCTGCTCCTGAATGATCATTGGATCAATAATGAAATTAAGATGGAAATTAAAAAATTCTTTGAACCAAATGATAATAGTGACAAAACCTATTCAAAACGTCTGGGATACAGCAAAAGCTATGCTAAGTGGAAAGTTCATAGCATTAAATACCTGCATCAAAAAGTCTAAAAGGGTACACATAGACAATCTAAGGTCACACCTCATGGAACTGGAGAAACAAAAACAATTCAAATTTAAACCAGCAGAAAAAAAAAGAAATATTAAAGATCAGAGCAGATATAAATGAAATTGAGAGAAACAAACAAAAATACAAAAGATAAATGAAACAAAAAGCTGGTTCTTTGAAAAGATAAATAAAATTGATAGACATTTAGCAAGAATAATCAACAAAAAAAGAGAGAAGCTCCAAATAAGCTCAATTAGAAATTAAATGGGTGATACTACTACTGATACCACAGAAATACAAAAGATTATTCAAGGCTACTTTGAACATCTTTACATGCATAAACTAGAAAACCTACAGGAGATGGAAAAATTTCTGGAAATATGCAACCCTCTTAGATTAAACCAGAAATATATAGAAACTCTGAATAGACAAATAACAAGCAGTGACATTGAAATGGTAACAAAAAAACAATTGCCAACAACAAAAAAAGCCTGGGAACAGACAGACTCACAGGTGCATTCTATCAGACATTCAAAGAAGAATTGGTACCAATCCTATTGACACTATTACAAAAGACAGAGAAAGAGGGAATCCTCTCCAACTACTTCTGTGAAGCCAGTATCACCCTAATAAAGGATGTAACAAAAACAGGAAACTACAGACCAATATCCCTGAAGAACATAGATGCAAAAATTCTCAACAAAATACTGGCTTACTGAATCCAACATCATATCAAAAAGATAATTCACCATAATCAAGTAGGTTTCATACCAGGGATGCAGGGATAGTTTAACACCCAAAAGTCAATAAATGTGATGCACCATATAAATGGAATTAAAAACAAAAATCACATAATATAAATAGATGCAGAAAAGCATGAGACAAAATCCAGCATCCTTTTATGATTAAAACCCTCAGCAAAATTGGCATAAAAAAGACATACCTTAAAGTAATAAAAACCACCTATGACAAACCCACAGTCAACATTATACTGAACAGGGAAATGTTGAAAGCATTACCCCTGAGAACTGGAACAAGACAAGGATGCCCACATTCACCACTTCTATTCAACATAGTACTGGAAGACCTAGTCAGAGCAAACAGGCAAAATAAAGAAATCAAAGGCATCCAAGTTGGTAAAGAGAAAGTGAAACTGTCACAGTTTGTTGATAATATAACAGTATACCTAGAAAACCCTAAAGACTCATCAAAAATGCTCCTAGAACTGGTAAATAAATTCAGCAAAGTTTCAGAATACAAAATTAATGTACACAAATCAGTAGCTCTGCTGAACACCAGCAGAGACCAAGCTGAGAATCAAATTAATAACTCAAGCCCTTTTAAAATAGCTGCAAAAAATAACCTTAGGAATATACCTAAGGAGGTGAAATTCCACTACAAGAAAAATTACAAAATACTGCTGAAAAAATAATAGATGACACAAACAAATGGAAACACATCCCATGCTCATGTATGGGTAGAGTCAATATTGTGAAAATGACCATACTGCCAAAAGCAACCTACAAATTCTATGCAATTCTCATCAAAATGCCACCGTCATTCCTCACAGAACTAGAAAAAAAACTTCTAAAATTCATATGGAACGAAAATAGAGCCCACATAGGCAAAGCAATAGTAAGCAAAAAGAACAAATCTGGAGGCATCACATTACCCAACTTCAAACTATACTTTAAGGCCATAGTCACCAAAACAGCATGGTACTGGTATGAAAAATAGGCACATAGAAGAATGGAACAGAATAGAGAACCCAGAAATAAAGCCAAATACTTAGAGCCAACTGATCTTCAACAAAGCAAACAAAAGCATAAAGTGGGGGAAAAGACACCCTATTCAACAAATGGTGCTGGGAAAATTTGCCTAGCCAGCCACATGTAGAAGAATGAAACTGGATCCTCATCTCTCACCTTACACAAAAATCAACTCAAAATGGATCAAATACCTAAATTTAAGACTTGAAACCATAAACATCCTAGAAGATAACATCAGAAAAACCCTTCTAGACATTGGCTTAGGCAAAGACTTCATGACCCAAAAGCAAATGCAACAGAAACAAAGACAAATAGTGGGACTTAATTAAAGTAAAAAGCTTCTGCACAGCAAAAGAAATAAGCAGCAGAGTTAACAGACAACCCACAGAGCGGGAGAAAATCTTTACATTCTATACATCTGACAAAGTACTAATATACAGAATCTACAAAGAACTCAAATCAGCATGAAAAAACAAAACAAACAAACAAGCCCATTAAAAAGTGGGCTAAGGATATGAACAAACAATTCTCAAAAGAATATATACAAATGGCAAACAAGCACATGGAAAAATGTTCCACATCACTAATTATCAGAAAAATGCAAACCAAAACCACAATGCAAAACTCCCTTACTCCTGCAAGAAAGGCCATAATAAAAAAATCAAAAAATAATAGATGTTGGCATAGATGTGGGAAAAAGGGAACACTTTTACACTGTTGGTGGAAATATAAACTAGTACAACCACTATGGAAAACAGTGTGGAGATTCTTTAAAGAAGTAAAAGTAAATCTACCATTTGATCCAGCAATCCCACTACTAGGTATCTACCCAGAGGAAAATAAATCATTATACAAAAAAAGATACTTGCACAAACATGTTTATAGCAGCACAATTTGCAATTTCAAAAATATGGAACCGGTCCAAATGTCCATCAATTAATGAGTGGATAAAGAAAATGTGATATATATGTCCATCAATTAATGAGTGGATAAAGAAAATGTGATATATATGTATACCATGGAATACTACTCAGTCATAAAAAGGAAGAAAATAATGTCATTTGCATTATAGCAACCTGGATGGAATTGGAGACTATTATTCTAAGTGAAGTAACTCAGAACGTAAATCCCAACATCATATGTTCTCACTCATAAGTGAGAGCTAAGCTATGAGGACACAAAGGCATAAGAATGATAAAATAGACTTTGGGGACTTGGTGGAAAGCGTGGGGCGGGGGTGAGGAATAAAGGACTACACATTGGGTACAGCATACGCTGCTTGAATAATGGGTGCACCAAAATCTCAGAAATCATCACTAAAGATCTTATTCATGTAACCAAACACCACCTGTTCCCTCAAAACCTTTTGAAATAAAAAATATTACTTAAAAATGTTATATAATTTAATTCTTAATAGTGGCTATATTTAACAGTTAGCTCATACACATACCACATACAAAAGAAGTTCATCTTCCTATGTTAATCCCAAATTAGTCATGATGTAGTACATTTTTTTTTACATCTTTTGTTGGATTTCATTCCTCTGTAATTTAAGATTCTTTGTATCTGTGTTGTTGGTTACTTTCACCTATAAATGTAATAGATAGGGTACAACATAATGTACTATAACAAACATTGCCAGAAAATATAGTGGTTTAAATGAAATAAAATAGAGATTCATTTTTCTCCAACTTAGTAGTATAGATGTAGGTGATAGCTTTGCTCTACCATGTCAAAACACAGCTTCCTTCTTTGGGCCCAAACTGTCTCTCTTCTAGTTCTTGCTATCCTACCCACATTCCAGTCTGTAAAAAAGGAGAAAAATGAATCCATGCCCCCTTTTTTAGATCACTACCGGGAGGTGACACAAAAAAACCCTGTTCATATGTCATTAACCAGAAATTAGTCATGTAGCTACACCTAGCTGCAAGGGAGGACCAAGGAATGTAGTTGCCTTCTAGGAAGTCATGTGCCCAGCTAAAGCTGGGGAGTTCTGTTGTCATAAGAAGAAGAGAAGAAAAGATACTGATGGACAACTAGAAGTTATTGACATAATTTTCTTTCTTTTATCCTCCTTATCTAGCTTTGATATCGAAGTTATGCTAGTCTCATAAAATGAGTTAGAAATGGCTCCTTATTTTTGATTATCTAGAAGAGGTTGCTTAATATGGTGTTTAAATATTTTGATTAAGTTCTCCTATAAAGCCAACCGAGCATGCTGTATTCTTTGTAGAAAGATTTTAAAATATTGATCCTATTTCTTTGATATAAACCATTGATGATTTCTGTTTCATCTTAAGTCACTTTTGGTAAGATATCATCCTAATCATGTAGTTTTCAAGTGTATTGGTATAAGGTTTTAAAAAATTTTTTCTTTCTTTAGTAATCTCTAAAATATCTATAGTTTTTCCCTTTTTATTTATGATACTTATTGGTTGTGACTTTTATGTCTATCATAATTAACCATACAAAAAACTTGAAAATTTAATTGATATTTTCTAAAATCCATCTTTTGGTTTTGTTGATTCTCTCCCTTGAATGATTATTTCCCTTTTCATGGATACTTTGTATTTTTAATTCTTTTTACTGTCTTGGGTAATATTCTTCCTTTTCAAATTAACTTCTCTCTATGCTCAGCTAATTAATATCAAAGTGTTCTTCATTTGTAACGTAAACATTTCTAGGGGGAAAATAACCCCCGCAGACTTTTAGCTGGAATGAGCCCCTGTGACAAAAGACAAACTGACCAGAGAAAAACAAAAATAATTTTGATAATATATACATTTTATATATACACAGAAGACACACAGAGAATGAGTAGTGCTCAAAAAGGTAACTTTGAATTCCAGCTTATATTATTTACTTACTTAATAATTTTTATTCTTTCTTATATCTCCTTGAAAATTTTTAAAAATTTGATTTAATTTTATTTTAAGTTCCAGGTTACAAGTGAAGGACATGTAGGTTTGTTACAAAGGTAAGCATGTACCATGTTGGTTTGCTGCACCTGTCAAACTATTACCTGGGTATTAAGCCCTGCTCCTTGAAGATTTTTAATAGGCTTATTCAATTTTACTTTTTTGAAAATTGTTCTGTTTTTGTCCGTGTTTTTTAAATGTAAAAGACTCCCATCTGTTAAGATCAGGTTTTGACATTTTCAGTCGTAGTCTGGCTCAATTTCAGTAATCGGTTGTGATTTTTAGTTAATAAGCTCAGTTTTTGCGATAGTTTTTAAAACTGTCTTTTGTGATAGTTTTAATATGTGTGTGTGTGTGAATGTGTTTTCCTTTTGTGAGCCCAACGCTCCATCTTTGATGATTTGAGAGTCATAATTACATTGTCCACTTGGGTTACTGTTTCAGAACCAGGTTTTCTGTTCATAGCTAAGAGTTCTCATCTTATCAGCATATCATAAGCAGCTTGACCCAACCTGCTTGCTTGGCTGTTTCTGCTTACACCCGTCACCCTAGGTAAGAGTGCATTATTGGCTGAGGCCCCATGTTGCAGGTGAAATTTTTTTAATCTTAATTTATGTGTGGGATACCCCTGTGAGTGGGGACCCTCAGTGAGTGTGTGGGTGGGATCATGCTCTTGATGTAGGGCCTTTATCATGTATGCTATTGCCCTTTTGAAACAAGAATCAGAGCCATCTTTGCTTGGTTTTGTTCCTGGAGCCTAGAAAGACCCTTGCTCAAGTCCTCATTTATTACTGATTTTACTGCTTAATTGCTGGTCCATGGAGATGGTTACCTAATTTTTAATTATGAGTGAATTTTAAATTATTTGAGAATATTTTATCTATCATTATTCTGTGTTGAGAGTAGTAGAGAGTGGGACTTTATAAAAATTCCCAAGTCCATCTTGACTTAATATTTACTTTATGATATACAGATGAATAAAAGCAGGTATTTACAGAATAACAATTATAATGTAATCTTACTTTTTATAAAATTATGCATGCAAACTCATACACTTATATGTGAGTACATGTTATCCAACTCCAGCCTGCCCTTCCCCTTCCCCAATGTATTCTTTAAACTGTCTCCAAAATGATCTTGTAAAAATTAGACATTAGATAAATATTATTGAAATTGAATTGTTCAAGCTATCTGTGCCATTTCCATAAATCCTAACATAGGACTTCCACTTTTTTTCTAATCACCTTGGAATATATTACCAAATGTTCCTCTTGAGCACTTTGCCTTCAACTAGTTACTATGTCTTGGATCTATGCTAGCAAACTCGTTTCATTTAAGTTTTCACTTTTGAAACTAATCTTCTCTGCAAGCATAATCACCTATTATTTTGCTATTTATTCTGTGTCACAGAATTTATTTGTTTATTCTGTATAACATAGTTTTTCTGCCACACAGTGTCCCAGTATCCACTTTATGCTTTGGCATTATATTTTCAGCAAACGGTTGCAGAGAAATTTCATAGATTGTCCAGAAATAATTGAGCTACAAGTTATGTATTTATTGCTCTGTAATATTAAGAACACCAGAATTGAGTCTGGCCTAACTATTAAATAAGGGGAACACCACATACTTGTATTGCTTTCTGGTGCTGTGCATATTGCCTGTGCTCTGAATTGAAGTCTGTTTTTCCTTATAAGATTTATTTTTCTGATGGCAATTATATTTAACAAGCACAGTTTTTTGCAAGTGTGTCATTTACTTTTTTATAATAATAATAATCTGGCTTATAGTTTAAAACATTAGCTAATATTGTGAGATGCAGTCCCTGGTTTCCTTTTATTGTTGTTTACTGTTCTGTTGGTATTCATTTTGCAACCATTGGCCACTTACAAAGTAGCTACAAAGTTGTTTACTAGTTTTCCCAAAAGTACTCCCCAAAATGTTAGTATTGTTATGATCTCCATCTTACAGATAGACTTTCAAAAGGTTAATAAATTTTCCCAAAGTAATACAGTAAGTCGTGGAATTGGGATTCAAACTCCAGGAACCAAGCTAGCAAGTACTATGAATTCTAATTTGACGTTTTTCCTGGACTAACTTCGGGTGTCGATTATTAACAGACTTCTCTGATAAAGTTCACAAATTGCTGTCACAGCCATGCCGTGGCTATCATTAGTTTGATTCTTTGAACCACAAGATTTCCAAGTATCTTTATCTTTTGATGAAGGTGTTGAAATCTCAAGTTGTACTAACGTCATGAGGTTTCTGGAACCAACAATCAATAAGGAATAATGCCTTCTGTTGAGATGCTCACAATCGGTGGGCAGAAAAAGACATGTAAGCAGATAATTACAGCCAAAAAAAAAATGGTAAGTACTATTACATTGATATTAACAAGATGTAACTGGAAGGACAGAAAAACTAATTGTGTCACTGAAAATTGGACAAGACTTCAAGAGAAGAGTTATTATTTAACTAGGTTTGAAAGAAGAGTAAGGTTTGCCAGCTCACGAAAGGGACAAAGACATTTCAGGCAGACATAATTATACGCCATTACGTGTGAAAATGCATGCTTTCTATGCTATACCGAGAACTATTTCAGTGCTGGCTCTCTAAGATCGTCTTAGCGTGAAATTTAGAGTTCTGGGCTAATGAATTTAACCCACCAACATCGTGTGTCCAGTTGCTGATGTAACAATCCATTACGTTTCTTGGCGTTTTCTACAAATAAATGACATATAATTTCACTTGAGTTTACTGTGTGCACCATTTAAAAAAATATGTATTTACTTATTTTTTGAGATGGAGTCTTGTTCTGTCTCCCAGGCTGGAGTGCAGTGGCACGACCTCGGCTCACCGCAAGCTTCGCCTCCTGGGTTCGAGCAATTTTCCTGCCTCGCCCTTCTGAGTAACTAGGACTACCGGCGTACACCACCATGCCCGGCTAATTTTTGTATTTTGGGTAGAGACAGGGTTTCACCATGTTGGCCAGGCTGGTCTCTAATGGCCTCCCAAAGTGTTAGGATTACAGGCATGAGCCACTCAGCTCGGCCTGTGTGCACCACTTTTTTAAAGGCATAAGTTAAAGATATCAACTGCATTATGAGTTAAAGTGTGAAAGACTTTTGTCAAATGTTTGAAACTTTTTTTTATGAATTGGCCAGTTAAACTCTTATATTGGATATTAATTAATTAACATATATCAATCAATAAGGATATCAATTGTAGTTAGCATTTGGTTAACACTATGTTTTAATAACTTTATACATTAATCTATTTGGGGCTTAACAAGAGTCTCATAAAGTGGATGTTATTATTACTCTATTTTTCAGATACAAAGATGGAGAGACTCAGAGATACCTGAATCTAAGGAATCTTGACTCTAGAATTTGTTCTCCTAATCCAGAGTTTGGACTGAGTGGAGAAATAGTTCATCGCTAATTTCATACCAGAAACTTGGGATTGTAAGGAGAAGGCTAAGCACTTCCAACATTATTGAGAGGGAAGTATTTTAACTTTAAAAAATTATAGAATTGTCAAAATACAATAAAGCTTAAACATCCATCATAGTTTTATTTGTTCTATAATACAAAATTCACTTTTTTCATCAAAATGAAAAACTGATTATTGTACCATCAAAGTCATTCCTGACTCTTCAACATACATTTGTTTTCACCATACAAGTTATATGTGGGAGCCAGGCACAGTAGCTCACACCTGTAATTCCAGCTGCTTGGGAGGCTGAGGCAGGAGGATCACTTGAGGCCAGGACTTCCAGACCAGCCGAAAGGACATAGTGAGATCCTATCTCTTAAAACAAATTATATGTAGTCAGGATGAATATTTCAAAGGAAAAATAGTAGGAAAATACAAGTATAAGCACACTATCTCACTGCCATTTTTCCCACAGTGGTAACAACCATGAAGAATTGCTTTCCAAATACAAAGTATTCAGCAACTTACTTTCCTTATAAGCATATACAGATTCATCATATATCAGTCTGTCTCATTTATAGTGGCTGAATTTTTTCATTGTATACATGTCTCACAATTTATTTAAGCAGCCTCCCTTATGGTCAAAAGGCATGTGCATTTTAATTTTGATTGCAATTGTACAATTGTTCTCCAAGAAGATTACTTCAAACTCACCTCCTAGCAACAAAGTATAGAAGTGCCTCTTTCTGTCATACTCATAAAAACTGAGTATAATCAAAATTTTTATATTCAGCAATTCAAAGTTGCTATCTTATTGCTGTTTTATTATATTTCTTAGATTATAAGTATGGCTGAACATCTTTATATACGTTTTTAAGACATTTGCTCTTTTGTATGAACTGCTCTTTCATATTTCTATTTGATTATGTTACTTTTTCTGATTATTTTAAAATAATGCAGATAGCTCTTTTCCATTCACTAGTTTTTTAGTCTATGTTATAGAGACATGATTTTAAAATCCCGACTCAGTGAATAATAGCAGAGATATGTCCAATGAGTAGTGACAGAAAAACAAGACAGAGTGAAACGTTCTTTGAAATTCCATCCTAGAGTATAAGATACTTTGTAAGATTGTAGGATAAAAATGAAAATAGTAGCAAAGAAGTGACTCTGCTTCACTGACTATTTAATAATTCACTACAGTTGAAGTATAGTCCAGGAGAGGTTTGCCAGGGAATCTATAGTCGATGAACATTTCATACTTTTTTTCACCCATAAACTTATTTATATGGGAGAATTTGGGGGAGATTTTTTCTAGATTCTTCCTATTAGCATCAATATCTTAATGTATTTTGAATTTCAGTATCTATACAATTTGTATCTGACAGTCATGAAAATAAACACAATAAGTAATTACATATTATATTGTGATTCATATCCTTCCAATAGTAGAAATGCATTTCTATGTATTTGAAAAAAATACAGCATATATATATATATAAATCTCTAAAATTCAGATTTGTGTGTGAAAATATTAGTAGCAGCAAGTAAAAAAAAAATGCAAGTTGTATATGGTTTAAGCCTAGGGACTGAGTAACACAGTTACAAAAAAATTCCGAGATATAATCATCCTCACCACCAGCACCACGTTCACGGTCCCCCAAACCTAGCAGTTAAGCATATGCTCCAAGGACACACACATCTAGGCATTTATTTATATTACAGCTTTCTCTGAGACTGGGGTTGAGTAAGTGAGTCAGCAGAGAATGTCACTCTACTATCACATAGTCTATTTTCTCTGGCTGCTTTCAATATTTTGTCTTGGTCTCTGGTTTTGAGCAATTTTATTGTGACATGTCTTGGTTAATTTTCTTCAGGTTTATTTGAGTTTCTTGTATATGTAGGTTTATAGTTTTTATCAAATTAGGAAAATTTCCAGACATTATTTATTCACATTTTTGGTCTCAGCCTCTCTTTCCTTTCCTGCAGGAAGTGTAATTAAAAATATGTTAGTCCTCTTGAAATTATCCCACCATTCACAGATGCTCTTCTTATTTTTAAATATTTTTTCTGTTTCATTTTGAATAGTTTCTGCAGCTATGTCTTAAATTTCACTAATATATTTGTCAATGTGTAATCTGCCTTTTATCCCATCCAGAATATCTTTTATCTTAAAAGTTACAGTTTTCATTTCAAATATTGTGTTCTTCATGTCAAGAAATTCAGTTTGAATCTTTTTCACATCTTCCATGTGTCTTAACTTTTTAAGCATACAGAATACATATGTGCATACACACACACAGATATATAGTTGCCCTTTGCTCATTCTAACATATGTGTCAGTTATGGGTGATTTTCAGTTGACTGATTTATCTTCTCATTATGGGTCCACATTTTCCTTCTTTGCATGACTGGTCATTTTCTTGCTGGAAAACAGACATTATGAATGTTACACTGTTGAGTGCTGAATAACTTTTTGGTCCTATAAATATTATTTTAGTTTCATCCTAGGTGGCAGTTATTTTGAAATAACATGATCTTTTTGGTGTTTCTATTAAGATTTGTTAGGAAAATAGTAATGCTCATTCTAGGACTAATTATTCCTTACTACTGAGAGAATACTGGGAAGTGTCTGTTCATGTCCTTTGCCCACTTTGTTCACACCAGTTGGAATGGCTATTATTAAAAAGTAAAAAAATAACAGATGTGGGTAAGGTTGCACAGAAATGGGAATACTTATACACTGTTTGTGGAACAATAGTATGGTGATTCCTCAAGGGGCTAATAGCAGAACTACCATTTGACCCAGCAATCTCATTACTGGGTATATATTCAGACAAATATAAAACATTCTACCATAAAGACACATGCATGTGAATGTTCATTGCAACACTATTCACAATAGGAAAGACATGGAAGCAACCTAAATGGCCATCAACAGCAAACTGGATAAAGAGAATGTGGTACATATATACCATGGAACCCTATGCAGTGATAAAAAAAAGAATGAGACCATGTCTTTTGTAGGAACGTGGATGGAGCTGGAGGCTATTATCCTTAGCAAACTAATGCAGGAACAGAAAAGCAAATACTGCATGTTCTCACTTGTAAGTGGGAACTAAATGATAAGAACTTATGAACACAAAGAAGAAAACAATAGACACTGGGTTCTACTTGGGGGTGGAGAGTGGGAGGAGGGAGAGAAGCAGAAAAGATAACTATTGTGTACTGGACTTAATACCTGGGTGTTGAAATAATCTGTACAACACATCTCTGTGACACAAATTTACCTACATAACAAACCTTTACATGTACCCCCAAACCTAATAAAAGTTAAAAAAAGAGAGAATTAAAAAAATCAAATACGTAAAAGAAGACAATATAACCAATAAGCCAGAAATATGAAGGATCATAAAGGACTATTATGCATTAACATATGCCAACAGATTGGATAATCTAAAAGAAATAAGTTAATTTCTTGCCACATAGAATCTACCAATATTCAACTACGAAGAAGTAGAAAATCTGAGCACACCAATAATGAGTAAGGAGATTGAATCAGTAATAAAATGTCTCCCATCAAAGTAAGTCCCAGGACCTGATGTCTTCACTACTAAATCCTATCAAACTTTTAAAGAACTAACACCAATTCTTCTCAAATGCTTCACAAATATTAAAGAAGAGGAAACACTTCCAGACTCATTTTATGAGGCCAGCATTACCCTGATATCAATGCTGGACAAAGACACTATAAAAAAAGGTAACTACAGAAAAATATTCCTGATAAACAGAAAGGCAAAAAGCCTAAGAAAATACCAGCAAACTGAATTCAACAGTATACTAAAATGATTATTCACTATGATCAAGTGGGATTCATTCTAGACAAGCAAGGTGGTTCAGATAAGCAAATCAATAAATGTGGAACATCACATTAATAGAACGAAGGGAAAAAACCTATAATATTGTTTCAATATATGTAAAAGAGCATTTAAACAAAACATCCTCACACAGTAAAACCTCTCAACAAATTAGGAACAGGATAATCATGCTATAACACAGTAACGACCATACATGACAAACCCTCAGCTATAATCATCCTCAACAAGAAAAAGTGAAAACTTTTCCTCTAAGACCTGGAACAGGATAAAGATGGCCACTTATGCCTCCTCTATTCAACATAGAACTCTTAAGTCTTAGCCAGGGCAATTAGGCAAGAGAACGAAATGAAAGGCATCCAAATAGGAAAGAAGAAAGTCAAACCATCTCTGCAGATGAAATGATCATAGAAAATCTTAAAGACTCCACCAAAAGTCTGTTAGAACTGATAAACAAATTCACTAAAGTTTCAGGATACAAAATCAACATACAAAAATCAGTAGTATTTCTATACACTAAAAGCAAACTATCTGAAAAAGAAATAAAGAAAGTAATTTCATTTACAATAGCTATAAAAACAAAATAGTTAGAAATAAATTTAACCACGGAAGTGAAAGATCTCTATCCTGAAATCTGTAGAACATTGATGAAAGAAATTGAAGAAGACACAAATAAATGAAAAGATATCTAGGCTCATTAATTGGAAGAATTATATTGTTAAAGTTTCCATACTACTCGAAGTGACCAACAGATTGAATACCATAATATCAAAATACCTATTATATTCTTCATAGAAGTATGAAAATCAGTGATTACATTTGTATAGAATCACAAAAATACCAGAAGTAGTCAAAGCAATCTTGAGCAAAAATAATGAAGTTGAAAGCATCAAACTAGCTGACATCAAAATATGCTGCATAGCTGCAGTAATAAAAACAGTATGGTACTGATATAAAAAAAAAAGAGAGGCATACGCTATTGGAATAGAAAATAGAGCCCAGAAATAAATCCACACAATGGGAAATGAATGTTCTCTTTAAATGGTGCTGGGTAACTGGATATCCACATGCAGAACAATAAAACTAGGCCCTTATCTCATACTGTATACAAAAATTAACTCAAAATAAGTTAAATAACTTAAATGTAAGACCTCAAACTTTGAAACTCCTGGAAGGAAACATAGGGGAAAAGCTGCATGACATTGGTCTGAGCAATGATTTTTTTTATATGACCCTGAAAGCACAGACAAAAAAAGTAAAAAGAGAAAAATGATATTACATTACACTAACAAGCTTCCACAGAGCCAGGAAATCAATAACAGAATAAAGAAACAACTTACACAATGGGAGAAAATAGTTGTATCCTGTACACCTGATAAGGGGTTAATATCCAAATTACCTGAGTAACTCAACTCAATACCAATAAAATAAGTATCCAATTTTAAAATGGGCCGAGAACCTGAACAGACATTTTTCAAAAGAAGATATACGAATGGTCAACTGATTTAAAAAAAAAACAAAAAGTTTAACCACTAATAATCAGGCAAATGCCAATTAAATCTAACACATATGAGGCATCACCTCATATGTGTTAGAATGGCTATTATCAGAACCACAAAAGATTAGTGTTAGTGAAGACATGAAGAGAAAGAAACTCTTGTACACTCTGTGGGAGTATAAATTGGTACCACTATTATGGAAAACAGAATGGAGGTTTCTCAAAAAATTAAAAATAGAACTACCATATGATCCAGCAGTTCCACTGCTGAGTACATGTCCAAATAAATCAAGTCAGTAGGTCGAAGAAATATCTGCACTACCATGTTTATTGCAGCATTATTTATAATAGCATTATTTACAAGATATGGATTCAACCTATCTCTATCAACAGGTGGGTGGATAAAGAAAATGTGGTATATGTACACAATGGAATACTATTAAAAGACAAAAAGGGGAAAAATTCTGTCATTTTAAATATGTATGAGCCTGGAGGTCATTATGCCAAGTGAAAAGAATCCAGATATAGAAAGACAAATACCACATGATGTCACTGATATTTTAAAAAGTTGTTCTCAAAGAATTAGAGAGCGAAATGATAGTTGCCAGAAGGCTGGAGTGGTTGGTGGGGAAGTAGGTAGAGTTTTGGGGAAAAAATTTTAAAAAATCAATGTACAATAAAAGTGGCATTTTATATAATAAAAAAAGGAGTGAAATATTTTATACATGTTTGGAAAACTACTAATAAAAATAAGTTTAGACAATCTGTTTCACACCTTAAACAAAAATAAATTCCAGATAGAGTAAAGCTTTAAATGCTAAAGACAAAACTATAATCATATCAGAAGAATCTCATTGTGTATTTTAATCCCAGAATACAGAAGAATTTATTAATTATGATACAGAACCCAGAAGCTACAGATAAAATAGCAACCAATTTAACTACATAAAAATGTAAAATGTCTATATGATAAAAAGAGAGGCCAAAGATATTTGTAACATTTACGTAAATATATAGTGGTCTCTTAGATCAATAATAAACAACTCTTAGAAATAAATATGGACCAATAGATGTGTAAAAATTACGTGGGCTCACTAGTAATCAATAAAAAAATTGAAAATAAGATAAAACTGAATAATGAAAATAAAGCATCAGTGAGCTACTGATTTTTATTCTTTACTTTGGCAAATATTTAAAACATTGATAATATCCACTGTTGAGGAGAATATTGGGAAATAGGTTTCATCATACCAGATTACTGGGAGTATAATTTGATAAAGCTTGTTTGAATATCACTTTGACAATATCTATTAAAATTCTTGTGCATGCCTTAGACCAAACTATTTTACTTATGGTATTGTATTTGACAGAAAAACTTATACACGTACAG
Organism: Homo sapiens; assembly: GCF_000001405.40. Lineage (NCBI taxonomy): Eukaryota > Metazoa > Chordata > Mammalia > Primates > Hominidae > Homo > Homo sapiens. Next base: position 93,210,074 of record NC_000023.11, read on the forward strand.
TAAGATGTGGTAGAAATTATTGCAGCAATATTTGAAATGTATTTAAAAAGCTAAAAATGCTGGGTGTGATGGCTCACACCTGTGATCCCAGCACTTTTGGAGGCTGAGGCGGTCGGATCACCTGAGGTCAGGAGTTCGAGACCAGCCTGGCCAACCTGGTGAAACCCCGTCTCTACTAAAAATAGAAAAATTAGCTGGGCTTAGTGGCGGGCGCCTGTAATCCCAGCTACTAGGGAGGCTGAGGCAGGAGAATCACTTGAATCCGGAAGGCGGAGGTTGCAGTGAGCCGAGATCGTGCCACTGCACTCCAGCCTGGGTGACAGAGCGAGACTCCTTCAGGGTGGGGGGAACAGTTAAAAACAAGATACATAACTGCTAATCGGGGAAATTGTTAAGTAAATTATGGAATATTTAATTTATGGACTATTATGTAGTTTATTGTAAAAAATGTTTTTTTAATCAATAATCAAGTCACTGAAAAATACATATAGTATGACCTCATTTATGTGTCTGTATATGCATGTATGTGTGTGTGCACACACTTATGGGAGAATCTAGCTGCCTTACAGATCTCCAGTTCCCCTAAAATCCTTTTGGTACTCTCTTTTGGTGTTTTAAGACAACTCATTTTTAACGTCTCCTTTATACCTTAACATCTTTTAACAGGTTCCTGTTCTTTGCAGGCAAATAACCCTAAATCAGATTGAGAGTTTGGATTACAGGTAGAGATTTTGTATTGCTTTGTTAGGGAAGAGAAGTCTTGGGCGCAGTGTGGAGTAATAAGAATTTAACAGAGAGAAACAGATTAATGGTAGAAAAAGGAGATACATTAAAGAGGTGAAGTTCTAGAAGACACAGAATGTTTAGCCTTAAAAAGAAAGAAGTTTACATTTTTAACAAGAAGGGAGAAAGACAAATCTAGAACAAATGATCACAATTGCCCCCTGATTTATAAATAGCCTAAAATGTGTTTAAAGTACTGACATGTCCATGGGAGTACTATGCTTGTTAAATGAAGGGAGGATCATGAATTATTTTAACCTTACTTGAAGAATTTCTGAATGACTCCATTGGCATTACAAGGAACTTCTGGATCCAGAAACTGAAACGAGTACTGAACAATTATTTTAATTCTCCCTTGCCCTTGTCCAATTTATTTTGTGTTTTTTATTGCTACATTGTGGAGAGTATTACTGTCTCCAAATAAATGTTTTAATGAGATCAATAGTGGGAATTGGTTTGGATGAAACATAATCTGATCTAACAGGAGGAAATTGGATGAAAATAAAGTGTGGTGTGCTGGACCTATCCTTGTCTTCACATTTGTGCCATGAACAGGCAATGAGAGTAAGAAGATTGGAAATTACTGAAGAGAAGACATATGTTTTACTATATTAGTGATAATCTCATAGACCATGTAAGTGGTAAAGAATTTAATCTTGCCTAAAAGACAGTAGCTCCTCTTCCATTTTTCATTAGACCTACATTTTGTGTTTCAGCCATACTGTCGTCTTCTGTGTGTCTTCTCCACTTCTTTTTGTGAAATCACATCTTGCATTTTTATTAATGGGTTTTAGTCTTTTGTGTGCTATCAAGCAAAATGTGTGTCAGAGATATCAATCCACATTCTGCACTTCAAAGTATTTTTTGGTAGCCATAGGTGAAGGGGAACCAGGGAAGCAAGATAAATAACCAGAGATCAGTGAGGGGTCTTATTTCTGAGCTCATGTGAGAGCAGGGGACTAGGTGCCTGTTCCAAGTAGAAAGTTAATCATGTACCTGTTCCTTAAATGTGATCTAAGTGAGAGCAGTTCCTTGCCATTATGCATTTGAAGCACGCACACGCAGCCACCCCACTGCCCCCTCCACACACATAAGTGAGAGATATGCATCGTTCTCAGTCTCTGTGATAGCTATTTGCCATGACCGCTTCCAAGGTCTTTTTGCTGATGTGCTGTAAGTATTTTTATCATTTGGTATAGAAAAGTTAATAGGCTGGTCACTGGGAGATGGAAAGAAATAGAAAAGAAGGGAAGATTTATTTATTCTCCACCCTTTAATTGCTTTAGAATAGCATCATTAAGAATCATAAAATGACCTTAACTGTGAATGGATAAGACAGGAAAATAATGTAACCTTTATGTTAGAGTTGCAAGGTAACAAAGAGCTCTAATACAAAATAACTTCACAGCATTTATAGTTAAGTCTATGTTTTCTACTCAATGAAAAATAAAATTATGATTAGCAAATGTTTCAGTAAAATTTTCTTTCTTTTTCTTGACATAGTATACTCAAACCTATAAGGCAGTACCAATTAAACTATAATTCTTTGTAATTTATTCTGATTTTCATTATCAGTTCCTTAATTATTTATCTGCAATTGTTTTGTAGTTTTATAATAACTAAGAATAACTAACTATATTATTATTCAATGGATTTGCTCCTTGAGGCCTTTGCTGACCAAGTACTATATATTTTTATATATAGCATTTTGTTACTGCAAGTACTGCAGTAAGAAAATCCTTTGTTCAAAATACCCTAAAAAACATTTTGTTGTATCATTTGCATGTTCATAGTTGTAAATTAGTGAGGTTTTGGTGTGTGTTATAAATTAACTACCATGTACATAGTTTATTAGCTACCTTCTGTGCTTTGTAAGTGGGATTATCTTTTCATGACTTTAAATATAAGAAACATTTAAGTTAATATTGTTATATACAAATGTATTTCCAAAGCTTATTCATTGACATCATTATCATCATCATCACTATCATCCAGTAATGTTTATTGATTTCCTGTGTGTATTTGCCTTTGTACCAGGCAAACTGTTAATTCTGAAATATTGACCAATATACAAGTAACTTAATAATTAAAGTGTAGTTTTTTTTAAAAAGTGATACTAAAACAAATCTACTCAAAATTTCTTTTTTCAGCTCAGAAATTACTACCAGAGGGTAGTAATTTACCCTCTGGATTTGTGCAGGGAAGAGAATTCTCACTTTAATGCTCTCATTGATTCTCAAGGAATTGGTGGCTTAACTGGCTTGCCTTTTCACCAATTTTCTCATATAGCAGAACAAAAACGGCATTATATGAGGGACTGGAAGCTCACTAGAAAAGAAAAAATTACAAAAATAACAGTTTTCATCCCGTAGGATGGCTGTATTATAAGATTTGAATGTTTTTTCCAGTTTATTTAAAAAGTTAAATATAAATTTTAAAGACAGTTTTTAAACGTACATTATTCTAGACTTTTAAATTGTGCTACTGTTTCATTTGACATTATTAGCATATCCCCCTATAAACTAAATGATACCCGGAAATATGCTTCACCATGTTTATATCTACATAAAGATAATAATAGTAAAAATAAAGCAAAGTTTCTCAACCACAGCACTGTTGATATTTGAGACTAGATAATTCTTTGTTGTAGGGAGCTGCACTTTAGATGAAAGGACATTTACCAGAATTTCTGGCCTCTACCCACTAGTTGTCAGCATCACCTCCTCCATTCTGCCCACCCCTTCTCAGATTTTCACAACCAAATACGTCTTCAGATTTTGTCAAATGTCTCTCCAGGGCGCAAAATAACCCATAGTTGTCAATCACTAGAATAAAGAAATCTCTGTGTAATTAAGAATTTAAAGCAGTCATTTTTTTCAGTATGGCATAATTGTTAAGATTCTGTATTCTGGATCCAGATTAAGTTTACATACTGACTCCTGACCTTGAGCAAGGTAAACTCTGCACTTCATTTTCTATACATGTAAAATGTGGGTAATAGTATATTATAGTGCTTAAGAGGGAAGACACTAGAGCCAAACTGCCCAGGTTTGAATATCAGCTCTGCAACTTCTTTGTGACCCTGGAAAAATTATTTTAACTTCCTGAGCCTCGGTTTCCTGATTTTTAAATGGAATAACAATAGCATCTACCTCATAGAATTGTAATGTAAATCAAATATGTCAATTTAGAGTGCATAGATTAGTGACCAGCATGTAATTACTTCTATATTTCTGTTAGCTAATATTATTATTAAAATACTTGAAAGACCAGAGCAACTATGACTCATTGCATAGCTGCAGTCACTGACACCTTTTTGTGTTAGCTGCTATTTCCATAATCAAGTATATAAAACACACACAAAAAATCAAGTAACAATTTCTGTCCAAAGACCTTTTGCCTTTTTTACTACCAAAACCATCAAGATGATATTAGTTACCCTACATTTTTAGGTAATTATCTGGCTTTACTTTATCTACCTATTCACAATATATACACTTGATAATACCTTGTACTGGAATGCATAGCTCACTGGTTTCAAGTCAGAAGGCTGGTGTTTTAGTATATGCTCTGTTACAAACTTTGTGATCATAGATAAGTCACCAAAGCTTGCCTCAGTTTCCTCTTCTGACAAATGGAAATTATCACCTTGGCCCTATTGATTTTACTGAGAAATTGTGAGGAACATGAGAGTTACTAAACATGAAACTGATTTGAAGAGTAATGTACTTTTAAAAAGTAAGGTGGGAGGCTGGGTGCAGTGGCTCACACCTGTAATCCCAGCATGTTGGGAGGCTGAGGCAGGCCGATCACAGGATCAGGAGATAGAGACCATCCTGGCCAACATGGTGAAACCCCATCTCTGCTAAAAATACAAAAAATTAGCTGGATGTGGTGGCATGTGGCTGTAGTCCCAGCTACTCAGGAGGCTGAGGCAGGAGAATCACTTGAACCCAGGAGGTGGAGGCTGCATTCAGCCGAGATTGTGCCACTGCACTCCAGCCTGGCAACAGAGCAAGACTCCGTCTCAAAAAAAAAAAAAAAAAAAAAAAAAAGTAAGCTGGTATGATGATGATAATGATGATATTGTATTAGCATACGGAACCCAATTCCTAAATATTAATGAACAAAATTTCATTACATAAAATTTCAAATTTTTCTAATTGATTTGATATGATACTACCTATTAAAAATAAGAAAGACAATATAAACAAATCATGAAGTTAAATAATATAAACCAGGTATGATAAAGTTATATGTAATCTGTTTTACCTCAATTTATATGAAGAGTTTTTTAATACATATTCTTATATTTAGTCACATTTTTGCTCTGAATGATGTAATCTGTGAATAGGAATGATACAGTATTCAATAAAGTTTTATATGATCAATTTTAAATTAGAGAAATATATAAAAAATTAAAACTTTTTAAAAATTATATAGTTTTCTATTTATACTAGGCACATCTCTCCTTTTGAAGTATTGTAAGAGTACAGTTTAATAGTCTTCTTTTGCACTGAAATTCACATCAATAGGTCTCATTTCTTACAAAATTTTATGGGATACTTTTTAAAGTCTGTTCTGTCAAGATATCATCCTCAACAACTGTCAGAATAATTCAGACTCCAAAAGATTGAGGCCCAGTGAATACACAGATGCACTGTGGTGATCAAAACAGGTATAAATGACATTTTTTTTAATTACCATGGAGATGGAGGGACACTGCCCAGTATCAAAATCTTCGTTTTTACATAGGACGAATCCTGCATTATACACAGTAATGGCAGGTCAGAGAGCTTTATTTCTCACTGCAAACAGGAATGGAAGTGGGCAAGTTTCTTTCTCTACTATATTAGGTAGCAAGGCCACAAACCTAAGGCAGGTACTTGGCCAGGGTCTTTTTCTCCGTAGAGCTAAGACAAAGAGATTTCCAAAATTAGTGCCATCCTGCAGCAGTGAGAGTGGCCTCTTTAGCAGACACTGCCAAATAAAGGAAGAACCCTGAGTGATACACCAGTCGGAGTCTATGTCGTTCCAAAATTAAAAGGTATATTACAATTTAATTATATAAAACTCTGAAAATCCTGAAGTTGGTTGGCATGTAAACAAAGTATTCATATATAGTGAGTTTACAGTAAAGATTCCGAAAGTTTTACCAACATTACCAGGGAAAATTGAAGACGTGAATGTTTACTCAGTACATATACTGTACTAAGATCTGGTATTAGAATGTCTGTCGCAAAAAGATCATACCCTACCAGGAACTATTTGAGGATGTTCTATAATAGAAATATGTAGATTTTGTGACATGTCTTGTGAGTACAGAGTATGTCTTGTCAGTACAGAAGAGGGGCAGCCAGACAAAACTAATAAAGAAGGGAAAAGAGAAGACTTCTTTGCAGGGTTTGACCCATGAGCAGAGCATAAATGCACCCCATAGGCTGGGCACGGTGGCTCACGCCTGTAATCCCAGCACTTTGGGAGGCCTAGGTGGGTGGATCACTTGAGGTCAGGAATTCGAGAGCAGCCTGTCCAAAATGGTGAAACCCTGTCTCTACTAAAAACACAAAATCAGCCGGGTGTGATGGCAGGCACCTGTAATCCCAGCTATTCAGGAGGCTGAGGGAGGAGAATGGCTTGAACCCAAGAGGTGGAGGTTGCAGTGAGCCGAGATCGTGCCATTGTACTCCAGCCTGGGGGACAAGAGTGAAACTAAGTCTCAAAATAAATAAATAAATAAGTAAAATAAATGCACCCTATATAGGCAGGGTGAGGGCATGAGAGGTAAGATGTACATTCTATAAACAGGTATATGCACTGCAGGCATAGCTTCAACCAGAATGAAGAAAACAGGGGCTGATAAATTTTAATTGTCATTGAAAGCTGAGGGTGATTGAGGTATCCTGTTGAAGAGCACTAGGGGTAGGGTAATAGAAGGCTTTGTTAGGCCTGGACACATAGAAGGTAATCTCTTACAAGAAGTTCTCCCAAACAATAAGTAAGGCACCAGGTTGGGATGACTTTCCAGTTACTAAATCCACGAATTGTCAGTACTATTAAGTCTCCTTTATTCTATGGATAGATGTTGAGTTCCAAAGAGTAGACAAAAAGCAGTAAAAAAATTCCTAACAACTTAGTGATTGGGTGCAATAAAGTTTCACGACTCATCCAAGTCCAATTATCTTCTATGCTTCTAATTGGGAGCCCAAGTTTCTTCCAACTAGTGTGTTCACCATCCCCTAGGGCGCAAGAGCCTTCCAGTGAATCATCTGCTTTTCTTTTCCACAGAGAAGAAAGAAACAGAACCCACCTAAAGGATTGTAAAAGAGGCTTTAGAGGTTAGGCCTGCAAATATTTCTTCTGCCTATATTCTGCTGGCTAAGACTAACCACATGTCTTCATCTAATTGCAGGAGTGCTCAGGAAATGTGGCTCAGCTGTTTATCCAAAAGGAAAAGAACATAAATTTGCTGAGCACACAACAGTTTCCCTGTCACAGATAGGTTATTATTCTATAAGAACAAGATTCAGATTTAGGATAAAGCTCTCTGCATATAGAAGCTACTGAATGGTAAATTGATAAAGTTAATCTTTAATATTTTATTTCTAGAACAACAGGCTCTAGAAGAGCTACAATTACTGGCCAGAATTTTGGGGTAATGTGTTTAGGGCACAAAGAAAGAGCTTTTTCTTGATTTTTCTTCTGTTCTAATGAGAAATCATTTTCATTTAAAATAGCTAGAGTGCCTGCAAGCTAGAATTTAGAGGGATAGACACATCTGGAGTGATTTCCCCAGCTTTCTGGATAGGGATTTCAACCAAGAGAAAAAAGTGTCACTGTCATAATGTAAAACAAGTCCCAATGCCACCTAATGACTATACTAACTGTTCCTCTCGCCATCCACCTAATTGGCGTCAATAGATATTTCCATGATATTTTACACGCCTCAAAGTCAGGGACTCAAAAGTTTTTGTTGGTTTTTAAAAATTGAGTGTAGTAGCCATAACGTGAAAGGTTTCAATGGAAACTACTTTCCTACTGACGTTAATCAAAGTAGCTCATTTTGCATTATTTAAACTACATAGCTAATTGTTATATTAGTTTCATTCAAATATGAATTTTAAAAGTCACTTATTTTTAGCATTTTATAACTTGTTTGAACACCACAACCTAATATATGATTAAGACTCTTAAATATACTTGAGATTTCTCAGTTTCCAACTATGTCCCTCATTAAGCATTATTCGAAAAATTACTTTTCAAAATAGCTCTTTTTGATGCCTCATGAATCATTGAACTCTCTCTGCAGTCAATCAAATGCCCTCCTGCTTCAGTCAAAGCAGTGACTGGTAATGGTTCTAATAGTGACAGTTCCACCAACTCCCTCCTACATCTCTTCTCTACTCTAAACAGTCAAATTGAAAATAAAGCACGTTCTGCACACCAACTTCTCTGGTTAGCAGAGACTATTTTATTCTGATTTTTAAAAACTGTAAGTGAAGCATGCAGTAAACATGAGCTTATACTTTGAAAATGAAATGCACAATTTTGTGATGTCAGTCAGATGAAAATTCTGTTTCATATCAACAAATGGAAACCACAGCAATTGTCAAAACATCTTAACAGTTTAGGGAGCAGAAAGTCAACTGAGAGTATCCAACTGAGAGAAGTGTCCACCCTAAAACAAAGATGAACATTTCTACATTTGTATTTTGTATGTTTGACTAAGAGAGACTTACTTTTGAAAAATTCAGAAATAAAATGCCCAAAAGAAAAACCCAGTTTGCACATAAATCTACAAATGAAGTCCCAATATTGAATAAGTGAGAAAATAAAATCGGCTTAAGTTTCATGAATCAACACCAAAGACCAGTCAGAAAGGAACATGAGTAGTGCTGATTCTATCAATAGAAAAGAACGTAAAGCATAGGAAGAACCTCAGCAAGAGCCTGATATCACCACTTTCCCCTGCTGAAATTGAGATTTCCAATAATAAGTTACAATATTGGTCCTGTGTTTGAACTGGGGTGGTAGGGAGAGTAAGGCATATCCACTGGGCTTCCAACTGGAAACAGATGTCACATTAAAATTAGGATAGTTCAAGAAGGGATTATTTACAAAGGGACTAATTACAAAGGTATGGATGGGACATATGAGCATTACCAAGAATTATGCTGGAACCAAAGGTAGCAGCAACGGCTTTATCAGCAGCCCTTGGTCTGAAGGGACAAAGGTGGAAAATCCCTGCTGGAAACTGCTAAAGCAATACACTTTGTGAGTACCTGTCATCTTATGTGGAGGAACACAGGCAAGACGTGACTTCACAGAGAAGGAGGAACACTGACTTGCATTCATTCCTTCATCCAGTCTCTTAAGGGGTTCCCTCATTGGTTGAGCCCAACTAAAAGCCAGAAGGCTTGTGTGCGTTATTTGATGGTATAAGCCACATATGTTAGACTCCGTGGGCAGAGAGCAAAGAGGAAAAAATGGACAATCTAGAGGAAGGAGCAAACAGACCATATCTAGCACTTCAGGTACAGAGACATAGCTTGCAAAAATCATTAGATATACGTGTGAGTGAAAAGCCAGAGGGAGTTCATCTCTTTGGGGGTGATGGAAATGCTCTAAAAATGAATTATAGTGATGATTACTCAACTCTAAACTCACTTGCACCCTTAAAATGAGTGAATTTTATAATATGCAAATTATACTCCAGGAAAGCTGTTTATTTTAAAAAATAAATAACTAAAAAAAAAATCTTGTAGGGGAATAAGATTATTTAAGAAATACATGTAAAGTAAGAAGGAAAATACAGATTGAAAGGTTAGTTAGTTTGTTTATTTATTTATTTATTTATTTTTTTTTTTTGAGACAGAGTCCTGCTTGGTTGCCTTGGCTGGAATGCAGTGGCTTGATCTCAGCTCACTGCAAACCCTGCCTCTCCGGTTCAAGTGACTCTTGTGCCTCAGCCTCCCGAGTAGCTGGGACTACAGGCGTGCATCACTATGCCCGGCTAATTTTTGTATTTTTTAGTAGAAATGGGGTTTCACCATGCTGGCCAGAGTGGTCTCGAACTCCAACCTCAAGTGATCCACCTGCCTCGGCCTCCCAAAGTGCTTGGAAAACAGGCATGAGCCACCGTGCCCTGCCTAAAAGGTTAGTTTTAAAGAGGAAAAGACACTATACCACCACATACAGAAGTCAACTCAGAATGAATTAAAAACTTAAATGCAGAACCTGAAACTGTAAAAGGACCAGAAAAAAAATACAAGGGAAAAGCACCACAACATTGGTGTGGGCGATTTTTTTTTTTTATTTGACCGTGAAAGTATAGACAACAAAAGCAAAAATAGACAAATGGGATTTCATCAAACTAAAATGTCTCTGCACAACAAAGGAAACAGAGTGAAGAGACAGTCCGTGGAGTAGGAGAAGATGTTTGCAAGCCATACATCTGATAAGTGATCAATATCCAAAATATATAAGGAATTCAAACAACTCAATAGCAAGAGAACAAATAAACTGATTTTAAAATGGGCAAAGAAACTGAAAAGACATTTCTCAAAAGAAGACATACAAATGGCCAACAGATATATGAAAAAACACTCAACATCACTAATTGTCAGGAAAATGTAAATTAGAACCATAGCGAGATATCATCTTAAACCTATTAGAATGGCTATTATTAAAAAGTCAAAACATAACGGTGCTGGCAAGGATGCAGAGAAAAGGGAAGGCTTATACACTGTTGACGGGAACGTAAATTAGTTAATTTCCTATGAAAAACAGTATGGAGGTTTCTCAAAATACTAAAAGTAGAATTACCATATGATCCAGCAATCCCACTACTGTATATATATCCAAAGGAATTGAAATTATATCAAAGAGGTATCTGCACTCCCATGTTCATTGTAGCATTATTTATGATATCCAAGATAGGGAAACTACATAGGTGCCCATCAATAAACTAATGGATTTTTAAATTGTGATATATATACACAATAGAATACTAATCAGCCTTTTAAAAAGAAGGAAATTCTGTCATTTACCACAACATGGATGCACCTGGGGGACATTATGCTAAGGGAAATGAGCCAGACACACAAAGACAAATAGCACATAACCCTATTCGTATGTAGAATCTAAAATAATTGAACTCATATAAGCAGAGAGTAGAATGGTGGTTACCAGAGGCTGGGCCTGCAGAGTGAAAAATGGCAAGATGTTGATCAAAGGGTCCAAAGTTTCAGTTAGTGAGCAGGATTAAGTTTTAGAACTCGATTGTACAGAATGGTGACTATAGTTAATAGTTTATTGTATATTTCAAAATTGCTAACAGAGTAGGATTTTTGTCATCATCACAGAAAATTGGAAGTATTTGGCTCAGATACAGTGACTCATGCCTTTAATCCTAATGCTTTGGGCTGATGAGCAATCGTTTGAGGATTATTCAATCGTTTCAGGCCAGGAGTTTGAGATCCATTTGTGCAGCATAGCTACACCCCTTTTATACAAAAAAAAAAAATTAAAAATAAGCCAGGCATGGTGGCATACACCTGTAGTCCTAGCTACTCTGGAGGCTAAAGCAGGAGGATTGCTTTAGCCCAGGAGTTTGAGGTTGTAGTGAGTTATGATCCCACCACTGCACTCTGGCTTAGGAAATAGAGCGAGACTCTCTCAGAAAAAAAAAAAAAAACAAACAAACTGTAAGTATTTGAGGTGATGGATATGTTAATTAGCTTGATCTAGTAATTATGCAATGCATACATATAGCAAAAGATTACATTGTATCACATAAATATAAACACAGTTGTTATTTGTCAATTAAAACTAAATAAAAATAAATAAAAAGCAGTCAATCCACCTCATCTTCTGAGATTGGAGAAACAAGATGTTTTGGGAGTATGAGTAGGGATACCTTTGTAGGTGTTTCTGTTTGAAAGTTGAGAAAGTTTTTATTATTTTTTTCAATGACACTTTTTCTTGCTTTAATATTGGTTGTCTTTTTCTGCTTTTGAAATGAGCTCTCAATTACAAACTACCAAACTATACTCAAAAGAGGGTGTAGAAAAAGCCAGCCATTGGCACAGCATGGAGAAGCCCACAAATAAGGACAGATAGCAGCAGCAGGTGGTGAGAGGTGGGAGGTGACTGAAGCAGTGGTTACAAATGTTCAAAGGAAGCTAAAACTATCCAACAGGTTGTGCCTTAATGTTAGCACAGGTTAGACTAGTTACTACCTTGCTGGGTGGCCTCAGTGTGTTTGGGTTCAGACTCTACACAGCAATACAATTTCTTCCAGTTAAGGGTTCTTGGCTTGCACCGATCACAGCATGATTGGAGGGTACTGGACCAGTCTTGTTAGTTTTTCAAAATGCTGTTGTGGACCTGATAGATGTATTGAGAGACTTCAGGAGCTCTACACTTCCGTGACAGTGTATAATTGGGGTTTCCTGGCTGCATACGTAGCTCGGCCAAAATCCAAATGCCATTAGTGAGCTTCAGGGATTGGTACAGAATGTCCTGCCCTTCCACATTCCTCTTGGCAATGGTATAAACATTGTTTTGCAACTCGCTGGAGACAGTGTCAGCATTTAAATGACATTCCTTAATCTGAAACTGAAGTTCATTTTCATTGGGAATATTCTTCCATGTTGCAAGGACGACCTGGTGCTCCATTTTGCTGTCTTCTACAAAAAGCACATTGAGTGGGCTGAGGCAGCTGAAGTAGAAGACATCGATACTGTTTTTCACAGCCACCTGCAGGTTATTCAGAGGTTCCATCTTCATGACTGGGCCCAAGGTGTTGAGAGGCAGGGAGACATCAATGCTCTGGTTTGGCATCAGTGGTGTATGGATGGCCAGAGGAGTGCTGGGGATGACACCAGTTAAACTGGATTCCAAAATCCATCCTATGCTGCAGAGCTTTATTGGTGAAGTTCATTTCCATATAGATGTGCCCTTGACGGTGAGTAAATGTTCCTGAAATCTCCAAGCCTTTAGCCTTTACTGCAGGTAGCCAGACAGCCTTAGGAGCCACGTACCCACCGGGTGCCATGCCTATCCCTGTGGAGAGTTCAAACAGGTCATTCAGTCCACTTCTGACCACAGCAGGTGTAGGTGAAGGAGCAAAGGTTGCAGGCACCGATGATGGGATGAAGGATTGTCCCACCAGACTATCTAGTCCTCCTCCTAGGAGATCCACTGCTCCCATCTGCATGGAGGACACCTGTGGCACATTGACTGGGAGACTGAGGTCAAGGTTTAAAAGACTCCCCAGAAGATCACCTTGACGGGGGATAACCTGAGGCTGTTCCAGGTTCGTTGCGGTGGTGGTGCCAACAGGGCTGTCACCTGTGTCAGTGCTCCCATGATGAATTGGCAAGTGTTTACGATGGATTCCATGACTTCCTTCCACAAAAGCACTGGAAGGCTTACGATACACAGAGGCCAAAGAACCAATGTGGCAGATTAGCTCCTCCAACGCAGTTGGCTCAATAGGTTCCGTCTCCTGAGAGATCAGTGGCTTCTCAGACAAGACTACTTCTTTAGCCATGACAGGGTCAGCTGAGAGAGGAGCCCAATAAGTATAGCCCCGTTCTCGAAGGTCAGGATTATCAGAATCCTGTGTTGCCAAAGTCAACATCTGCTGGACTAGCTCTTGTGTTTTGGTGGTTTCTTGAGAAACAGCTTCATTATGGCAGTAAGCAGAGTGAGCTGCACCTGGGTGTTTTCATCATGAAAACCCTCCAGGAAGCTTTCTAGTAACTCATCTGCATTGTCAATTCTTTCAGCTTATTCTCCCACAATCCAAATCATAGCCGATCGAGCATCTGGCTCATCCAGCGAGTCTAAGTTCTCACATAGAGTGGCAATGATACTTTCATACTTGTTGGAGTATTTGCGGAAGATGTCCCTGATGACAACAATCACTTCTTGGACCACATAATTCACTTTGGTCTTGATTAGATCAAGCAATGTGCTTACACAGTGCTCTGCAGATTGCTCCACCTTGATGGCACACCGTCCAGTGGCCCACACAGCTTTTCGAACAAAGTCAACATTCACCTCTGTGGCATATTCCTTCAGTTCTGCCAGAACCTGAGCAATGTTGGCTTGTGATGCCAAATGAATCCTGATGTCCAACTTCTCTAGTTTAACATAGATGGGATCATTGTACTTCACAAAGAAGACTTTGATTTCCTGCTTCAAGATTTCAGGCCTTTTCTGGACAATTAAGTTGATGTTCCTCAGGGAGACATAGTGCACTTCTGACTCCCCAGACATCAAAGTGACAAGTGGAGGGGCTAACTTCTTCAGCAGCATATTGTAGTAGTCAGAATCCTTAGGTAACAATTCTAGAAACTTCATTAGTACTTTTACCGCTGAAAGCACCACTGCTGAGTTGGCATGGGATAGCTGGGGAGTTACCCGCTCACAGATGCTCTGAGCCTTCCGATCATTTTTAGGGTTGTAATTAGACAGGCAGTCCAGCATGAAAATCTGGCCCCTTCAGTGCACTTATTCAGGGCTGTCCGCAGCTTATTAATGTACTGTGTGTTCAGATTGAGTAAGTTGCTGTTTGGGTGAGACTCACTGATTTCAGATAATGCTGCTACAGCATTAGCCACCACCATTGGATTTGAATCTGCTATGAGACCCCATAGAGAATCCAAAAATCCCTGATCTTCCACCATTTGGGCGTTGATGTCATGGAGTTTTGCCACGCATACTGCTGCTGTTTTCCGAACATAGGGATCCTCATCCTCTAAGCACTTGAGGAGGGGCTCAGAGAGATATTCTGTAATTTTGTCTACCCAGATGCACCCCATGGTTCTGACTGCCAAGGCTCGAATCAAAAGATTAGGATCTTCACAGTCCTTCACAAAGCTATTTACAGCTATGATGGCCATGTCTGGCTGACTGTTGGCATAGTTCATCAAGTAGAGATACACAAGCTTCTTTAGTTTCAGATTGTCAGTCTGCATACAGTTCACTATGTCTGGAAAGACAGAACTAACATCCTTCCCCACGGTAATAACAGCAATCACTTTCTTCACAGCCTCCTTTCTCTTTTCTTTCTTTTCATTGCTGAGTTCAGCTTTTAGTTCAAATATTTCTGCTTTTTTATTGGTTGTGAAATACTTGGAGTCAGTCATGACTTTGGATCTTTAATGTGCACCGCAGGCGGAGGCGGAGGGGGAGGCGAAGGTGGGGGCGGGGTGGTGGCAGCGGCAGCCGGAGAGCATAGCCCAGGTGGTGGTGTAATGGTTCGCATGTGGTTGCCTAGATTTTATTGATGAGGTAAGAACAGAAGTGCTCCAACAGCAATCTGTGTATATATCGATAATTGCATTGGGCACAGCACATTGAAATAATTTATGAAAATATCTCACTCCCTAAACCACAGGTTTTTGAATGTGATTCAAAGACCCTAGGAGTCCCTAAAATAATTTTAGAAGGTTTACAAGATCCTCCCTTTTCAACAATGTACCTGTGTGAGACTTAAATGTTTTCATATATGTCAATCAAATAACATATCACAACAGATTGAATGAAGTAGTTATGACAATCCACTTCCTATTTTTATTAAGATAGATATTAAATAAATTTTCAAAGAGGTAAAATAGTTCTACTCTTCTCATCTGTTTTTATAAAAATATCACAATTTTTAAGAAAATATATGTTAACAATGTCAATATGTAGTGGGCTTATTATTGACATGTAAAATAAATCAACAAATTAGCATTGTAAAAATTTCTCAGTTTTAACTTTGAATGTGGCAAATATTAATAGATACAATGCAGATAAACAAAAATAATTTTGGAATTCTCAATAATTTCTAAGAGTGTAAAGGATTCTTAAGACCAAAATGTTTGATCACCACTAATCATAGGATTGCTGAGGGTTGGGCCATCACATTTGTCTTTGTATCTTCAGGGTCTAACACATTGACTGACATATAGTAAGTGCTAAGCACACATTGAATTCAACAGAACTGAAATACCGTGAGTAAGGGATAGAGAGTTTGCACTGAGTTGCACATACTTGCTGAGAAGAATGTGAATGGGAGCTGATCAAGGGTGAGCAAAAGGACTGTCAGCAGACTTTGAAGACACTGATGAAGTTGGAGACCATGAATTTATAGACGTATCGGTCTTCAGGATTGTAAGATTTTATTCAACAGTAATAAGCTGTGTACATGCAGGAATAAGGGATGTCACAAAGAAAAAAGTCAAAGGTTATGTTTTCTTATTAATCTACTTTTTTCATAGGCTTAGGACAGAGCAAAGGGTAAATATACATATTATCTAAATATACACAATTCTTGTCAAGAGCGTGCCCTTTATTCAATGTTTATTTCTGAAGTCAGTGTGTATTTTTTCATATTTTTATATTGATATATCAAAGATATATATATTCTTGGGGTTTGTGATATTTGGTGCCTGTATAAATGTGTAATATCAGTCAGGGTAATTGGGATATCCATCACCTCAAACATTTATCTTTTCTCTGTGTTGGAAACATTACAATTCTTGTCTTCCAGCTATTTTGAAATATACAATACATTATTGTTAACTATAAGTTTCCTATGGTACTGTTGAATATCAGAACTTATTCTTTCTGTCTAACTGTATTTTTGTACCCATTAACCAACTTCACTTCATTTCCTCCTGCCCCTTTCTCTTTCCAGCTTCTGGTAACCATCATTCTACTCTCTATCTCTATGAGGTCCCCTTTTTAGGTCTTAATAGTGAGAGCGTGCAATATTTGGCTTTCTAGGCCTGACTTATTTTACTGACCATAACGACCTCCAGTTCCATCCATGTTGTTGCTAATGACAGGATTTCCTTCTTTCTAAAGGCTGAATAATATTTTATTGTGTATATAACACAATTTGCTTATCTATTTATCCATTTATGGAAACAGGTTGATTCCATGTCTTGGTGATTATGAATAATGCTGCAATAAAAATGGGAGTGCAAATATATTTTTAATACACTGATTTTCTTTCTTTAAGATACGTACTCAGCAGCAGAATTGTTTGATCATATGGTAGTTCTGTTTATAGTTTTATGAGGCAAAGTGTGT
This sequence comes from Homo sapiens, assembly GCF_000001405.40. Lineage (NCBI taxonomy): Eukaryota > Metazoa > Chordata > Mammalia > Primates > Hominidae > Homo > Homo sapiens. The sequence continues at coordinate 93,226,949 of NC_000023.11, forward strand.
ATTTTTTATGAGAATTCTCCAAATGCCTCTTGCCATTGCCCCATCTCTCTCCTTTTTCCCTATAAACAAATGTAAAGAAAGCTAAACGAAAGAGAGAAAAGCTTCTACACTGGTTCACTAATCTAGGACATATCGTAACCCTTACTGAATGATGGTCATTTCATTTAGGCGACTGATAAACTTTTGCACTTTTTCAGGATAATGTTCTGAGTTATCCTCACAATTTAAAATTTATTAATAGTTTTTCTGAGTAGAAATGTTTGTTTTAATTTCTAGCTCTCAGTCTTTACTATCTCTGTGGGTAAAATTAATTCAAGCTAAAATTGGGAATATTCTCTTGGATCAGCAAGGGTTTTTAAAAATGGAAACAATCGCTTTTATTTTGAAAATTGGATTTTTAATGAAGGGGTTAGAGATAAGGTTTTTATAGATGGAGACATTGTTTATTATTAATGTATTGAAAAATCCAGTCTGAGTGCTGGAGCCTAATCTTAGCTTTTAATTTAGATTTAATTTGTATTAAAATAGCAAATAGATGAGAAAACCATATTAATATAATGAAATAATTTGATCCAATATAATTTGATAATGTTTCTTACATTTCCTCAACTTTGTGATATCGCACTTGACAAAAGTCCTTTATAATAATTTTGGCGATCTCATTTCACTGGATGAAAACATTTATATTCTGTACAATGCTTTTCTCAAGAGTTTTAGGATTTTTGTATTAATCATTTCTTTTTAATTTTTCATAGCGTTTCTTTTTAATAGTAAAAGTAATAAATATTTACTGACTCAGATTGTACAGTGTGATTTGGCACACATTAACATCTCTGACCTCATCCTCTACTACTCTAATCCTCACTCAATTTGTTACAGCCACATAGGCCTCCCAACTATCCATTGACCATGTTAGGTACACATCCAACTCAGACATCTTTTAGTTGCCTGGAATGCTGTTGCCCAAGAAATCTTCATGGCTTTTCTGCACATCTTCTCTTGTATTTTTGAATTACTGCCTTCCCAAGTAAGTCTTTTCTGTCCAACATTTTTAAAATAGCAACACCACTCTCCATTCTCCTTCCCACATTTATTTTTTTCCTTAGCACTTATTATCTTATGAAATAATATGCATGGTATTCATATGTCTAAGTAAATGTGGGCTTGAAATTATCTATTTATGTCACAGCTGTATTTCCAAAATCTAGAAAATGTTTTTCTGTGTTCCAGAAAAACATATTTCCAGTGCCTAAAACATAATAGTTGCTCAAAATACATTAGTTGAATAAATACATGATTATAGAAAATATAGGGGACATGCAGAAGAGCAAAGAGGAAAAAAAGAAGACATTCATTATCCCACAACCTGGAAATACTCATTGTTACCATTTTGGTGCATTCTTATGAACATATAAATACACACAAACAAATATACATATGCCTATAGTAGTAGAGGTGGTGGTGGCAATAAATTTAATAATAAGAGTAATAGTAGTGTTAATATTTGTTGGCAGTGTTATCATAACATATTATATCATTTGTTAACCATGTTTTCTCACTTAAAATATTTATCATGACTTTCAATAAAATAGGGGCTTTATGCAGGTCACCAATCATCCATCTAGACATTGACTCCATTAGTTATTTATTTTTATGTAACAAATTACCTTATAAATTAGTTATTTAAAACAACAGATATTGATTATGTCACAGTTTCTGTGGTTAAGGAAGTTTCAAACAGCTTAGCTGAGTGGTGATGGCTCAATGTCTCCCCAGAAGTTGCAGTCAAGATACGGACCAGGCTGTTTTCACCTAAAGGCTGATGAAGGCTACAGATTATACTTTCCAAGGTGATTTATTCTACCTTGGCAAATTAGTGCTGGTCATTGGAATAAGGCTTCATTTCTTGCCTCTCCATGAAGCTGCTTGAGTGTTCTCACATGTCAGCTATTCTCTCCCTCAAGAGAGGGAAAGGAGGAAGCCACAATACCTTTTATGACCTAGTCTCAGAAGTTGTATGTTATCACTTCTACTTAATTCTATTTGTTAGAAGTGGGTCACTAAATGCAGCCCACAATCAAGGAAAGGGAAATTACTTTTTTGAAGGAAATTATATCAAAAAATGTGTAAACATCCGTTTTAAACCACCACACCAACTACATAAGTTGTAAATATAAGGAATGTTGTCAGCAGTGAGACTAAGGATCATTCCGAACTCAATAACATAAGCTGGAAGCAATATTTGCCAAATGTAATATAGTTTATATCAAGTTGCAATGAGTCCCTGGGAACTTAAAAACAGCTGTTATTTTCAAAATAGTGGGAACGTTTTGTGGAAAGTAAGTGGAAGAAATTCTGGTGAAAAAAACACAGACACATTAATTATTGTTCTATTTAGAGGGAAGAGTTGGAAGTGCAGATTCTTCCCACAAATTCCTTCCTCAAAAAACAAAGCAATAGCACTCCAGTGCTACAGAAGTAGTGCTACCAAAGAAAGTAAAACCATGTATTGCATTTTTTAGTGTTTTATGACATGCATGTAAAAGGATTATAGACTAAAATGAGGTGGCAATCACTAAAGTAAAATAATGGACTGGGAAAAAAAGGTATGAGAGAAACAATAGAGTTTCATCAGAGACATTTTCATGGTGAAGGTAAATGTCAGTGAATGAAAGGCAAGTGTATGAGGAAAGTACACCTAGCCAAAGAAAACAAAGTGTTTACAAATTAATGTAACTATATCCAACCCAACTTTTTAACAACTTAGGCAGCTTACCTAAAAAGGAAGATTAAAAATTAAAGCCAAGAATTATTCCAGTGGGAAAATATATACTTAAAAAATGAAGCTGGTTCTAGATGTGAATATTTTCATAAGCTTAGAAAGAAAGCACAAGATAATGTTCTGATTTCAGATAACTAAGACTTAGATCTTGCCAGCTACCTTCTTCTACTCCAGAAAACTGATTGACTAAACAGACAATAGAAGCCATCATCTCTGCCCTCCAGCATTAAGTATTTGATGGTCTCCAGATAAACAGGAAGGAGATCAACTGGAAATCATCAAAATTCTTAGGGAAGCAAAGAATGGATAGAACTATTCTATTCAAACACAAATGAAAACAAAATAGGACAAATAAAACCTGCAACTTTTTGGAAGGAAAAGTATTGCAGGAGAAATTGAATGAAGAACACATTCTGAAAGTTTTGTATGAGAAAACAGAATCACAGTTAGACAAAGATCACTTTAAACTTTTGAGGCAAGGAACATAAACTTCAAATATATAAAAATGAGAGGAAAAATTAAAAATAGATTAAGATACAAAGGAAGTAGTCATAGCTAAGATACAAAAAAGGGAAAAATTATCCCATAATAAAAATTTGAACATATTTTGAAGAATCAAGGCACAGAAATAAAACTGTACAAAATGGAATCCATGATATTAAGATTCCTAGGATCCAGAGGAAAAGAAACACAAAGGTGATTAGAAGAAAGATTAACAGACATGAAAGACAGAAAAGGCTGTTTTAACATAAAGTTGACTGGTGTGGTTGTGTGAGAGAATAGGATGACAGAGAAAAGGTTTCAAAAGCAAAGTGTGATATTGATGTGAATAACCATCTTATTGTTCAGATAAAAATGATCATTATATGTTTATTATGTACCAAGAAACATTAATAAAAAGAACATAACAGCAGTACATGTTTGCATGAAATTATTTAAACACAGGATTAAGTTTTTAAATGTAAAAGGTCACAACAAAACTGCATGCAAAGGGCCATAACAAAATGGAATAAATTCTGCAATAGTACAATAAAAAAAAAGTGAAAATTAGTAGCAGTTAAATAGCACCCCTTCCCAATTATCTATTTGGAAATTTTAAAAATAATACTCTTTCCTTCATTGCATGAATATTTATGAGTATTAACACATCATGAAGTCTTCTAGATATTAAGAAAATAGCAGTAAACAAAAAAAGTAAAAAGATAAGCCTTTATTGAGTTTCTATTCTATTGAAGGGAGAGAGACAATACAAGTCTCAACAAGTTAAATATATCATGTGTAAAATAATGATTAAGTGTTATGGAGAAGGGCAAAGCTGAGAAGGATAGGGAGTTTCAGCCGAGTGTGTGTGAGAGGAGGTGAGTATACAATTTTTTTTTTTTTTTTTTTGAGACGGAGACTCGCTCTATCACCCAGGCTGGAGTGCAGTGGCACTATCTCAGCTCACTGCAACCTCCGCCTCCTGGGTTTTAAGCAATTCTCTCTGCCTTAGCCTCCCAAGTAGCTGGGATTACAGTTGCCCACCACCACGCCCGGCTAATATTTCTATTTTTAGTAGAGAGGGGGTTTTGCCATGTTGGCCAGGCTGGTCTTGAACTCCTGACCTCACGTGATCCACCCGCCTGGGCCTCCCAAAGTGCTGGGGTTATAGGCGTGAGCCACCACGCCCGGCTGAGTATACGATTTTAAATTAGGTGGGAGAAGACCTCCCAGAAAAGATGACTGGAAAATGAGAGAGCGGGTAATGTAACTATCTGGGTAAAAGAACATTCTCAGAATAAGAAAAAGCTAGAGTAAATACCTGCAAATGCGAGTGAGTGTGCTTATTGCAGTCAAGGAAAATTGAGAAGGCCAGAGGGGTTGGAGCAGATTGATTCTGATAGAGGGTAGTGGTTGAAGTTAGAAAGGTAGGAGAAAGTAGGCATCATGAAGGGCAGAAACTTTCAGATTGTAAGGATTTTGCATTTTGTTCTGCACCACATAGGAAGTCATCGGAAGAGTTTGAATAGAGGAGTAACGTGATCTGATTTACATTTCTGAAAAATTCTTTCGACAGCTGTATCGAGATCACTGTACTCTACAAGTGGGAAGTAGGGAAAGTTGTTACGGGCTATTATGATGATCCAGGCAAGAGGTGATGTTGACATAGAACAGGGTGTACAGTGGAAGTGATAAGATTGTAGATATATTTTTAAGGTTGAGGCAGTATGATTTGTTGATAGATTGGATGAGCAGTATGAGGAAAGAGAGAGGAATAAAAATGATTCTAAGCATGAGCAACTTACAGTGATGAATTTGTAATTTACTCAGGTAAGAATGATTTGGGGACAAGTGTAATCTGGTGAAACTATCAGAAGTTGTTTTAGGTCGTATTAGATTTGATATGCCCAGTAACATCCAGGTAGAAATGTCAAGAAAATAATGGTATAGTTGAATATACAAGTCTTGAGTTCAAGAGTGAGAACCAGGCTAGCAGTATATATTTTGAGATCAGTCAATGAATAGATGGCATTTTAAGCTATGGACTGAATAGAAGTATAGATAGAAAATAGATGGTTATAGGTCTTGGAGATTAGAAGGAACCAATAATGGGGTGAGAGAAGGAATGGCCAGTGAGGTAGAACAACTAGGAGAATATGTTATCTTAGATACTAATCTAAGTAACTCTTGGGTTCAAAATTTATATTTGAGATTATAAACTACTTGAAAATTACAGTCAGTGAAAATGCTTCATGTTAAAATTTGGGGGCCTGACCATAGTGAGAGCTACAGTATATTTCAGAGTGTGACTTAATTAGAAAAATATAAAGAATAAAAATAAATAAGTGTCTACCTCAATAAACTGAAAAAAGATAACAAAGTCCCCAAATAATGTAGGAGAAAATAATTGAGTTAATAAGATCCAAAAAAATAATTCCTATTAAAGGTACAATCAATCAGGATGTGTTAATGTTCTTGAAACTTAATGTAGTCACTAACATTTATTGAAAACTTATTACGTGCTAGGCACTGTTTTAAACACTACATGAATTATATCATATGACAAGGAATCATTGGAAGCAATTTTACTAAAGTTGAAAGTAAGACAAGAATGGACACTATCACATTTACTATTGAGCATTGTATTGCAGACCCAAGACAATCTAATACGAATATTTTTTAACATGTAAAAATATGACAAAAAGAAACAATGTCAATATTTACATGTGATCTGATCATCTACTTAGAAAATTTAAGGAGTTCAACTGAAAAACTATTTATTTAATAAAATTTGGTAGAAGGATGTGAATTTAAGATCAACATGCAGAAATTTACAGAAGGTCTGTACATTGGCAATGCCCAATTGTGAAACAAAATAGAAAATAAAAATTGATTTATAATTGTTATGAAAACCATGAAACTACCTAAGTATAAACCTAAGAAGGCACGTACATGACCTTTATAAAGACACTTTAAACTTTACTAAGGGCATGAAACACACCTAATATAGGGAGGAAAAACCTACATTTATCAGTACTCAATGTTATAAATATGTGAATTTTCACCAAAATTGATCTATAAATTTAATTTGTTTTCAATCTAAACAATTCATACAAAGTATTTTAATAGTATTTAGCAAACTTATTCTAGAGTCATGCATTAATGGAGAAGAGAATGCATGAGAACAGACAAGAAAATTATTGTAAAGAAACAAAATGAAAGGTATATGCCCTAATAGTTATCAAAATACAGTATAAAGTTTTAGTAAAGCTGTATAATATTAGTGCATAATAAAAACGCAGATCAATTGATAGAGAAATTTGGAATAGACATTTCTATATATGTAAATTTAAGTTATGGAAAAACATTTCAAATAAAAAAAGTGGTGACATGCAATAAATAAGTTGAGATAATCAGATATATAGATGAGAAAAGAAATGAAAATAGGTAGTCTTTCACAATATACATATGTGTTAATTATAAGTTGAACTGAATGTCTGTATATATGAATAAAAATCAAAGTATAAAGTAATACTTTCATAATTTAGAGGAGGTAATCTTTATCAGATCTTTATCACACAGTCAAAATTAAAAGATAATATATAAAATGTATATAAAAAATTAAATGCCAAAAAAAAGATGTGGAGATAATATTTGAAACATATATAACAAATACTCATGCCTGCAATATATAAAATTCCTATAAATTAATAAGTAATAGAAAACCAATCTATTAAGTTATTGGAACTTTATAGATTATATAAAAGTAGCCAAAGAGCATGAAAAATGTTCAATCACATGAATAGTCAACAAATAATTTTAAAATTAATGTAAAAGTTAAATATTATTTGTCGGCCAGGTGGGGTGGCTCATGCCTATAATCCCAGCACTTTAGGAGGCCAAGGCAGGTGGATCACAAGGTCAGGAGTTCGAGACCAGCCTGGCCAACATAGTGAAACCCCGTCTCCACTAAAAATACAAAAAATTAGCCAAGCATGGTGGCGGGTGCCTGTAATTCCAGCTACTTGGGAGGCTGGGAAAGGAGAGTCGCTTGAACTCAGCAGGCGGAGATTGCAGTGAGCCGAGATTGTGCCACTGCATTCCAGCCCTGGCAACTATGTGAGACTCCGTCTCAAAAAAAAAAAGAAATATTATTTGCCATCCATTAACTGGGGACAAAATTCAAACCTGATATATCAAATAATAACCATAATTATTTAATGATAATCAATAGAAGTACAAATTTTTAAATGAGCCCATTAAAATCAAGAGATCAAGAAAGTTTATGTGCACTGATTTTCTCATCTTTGGTAATGGGCAGTAAATAAGTAAGTGACCTCTCAAAGATTGCCCAATGTAGCATAAACTACCTGTGGTATTATAATAGAATAATGATTTACAACAGCAGAAGTATTACAACACTGAAACAGAGAACAAATAACGTAAAATCCATTAAAAGAGAAAGCGTTCTATAAAATAAGGTAAAAAGATCAAACATCTATAACTTTAATAAGTATTGTGAGGATAACTCTGCCTATTAGCTAAAATAGCTATGTGTAAAATAATGATTTTATTTTATTAATGATAAATAATAAATAAATGATAAATAATTTTATTTTATTTTATAAATTTTATTTATAAAATTTTATTAATTTTATTTTATTAATTTTATTTAATTAATTTTATTTTAAAATTTAATAAAATTAAATTTTATTAATTTAATTTTATTTTATTAATGATTTTATTTTATTAATAATTTTATTAATATATTAATATATAATAATTATTAATAAGAGAAAAAGGCTCCTATAGTTCATAGACAAGAGTACTGTATTTGTAAAACATGGTGACTTAGAATGGTTGAAAGTTAAACAATGGATAAATAAAAAATAATTAAAACAGTAGAAAGTCGAGCTTGCACATGAACAAATATTTGAATTCTTGGCAAGAATCATTATGTATGTATTAGTTTGCTAGAGCTACGAAAATAAAATGACACAAACTAGGTGGCTTACACAACAGAAATTTATTTTCTCATCGTTCTGGAGGCTAGAAATCCAAGATCAAGGTGTCGGCTAATTTTGTTTCTCCTGATACCTTTCCCCTGATCTTGCAGATGACTGCCTTCTTGCTGTACTCACATGGCCTTTTCTCTGTGCATGCATGCCCCTGATGTCTCTTCTTCTTATATGTACACCAGTTGGTTAGCGGATATGAACATACAGTTAGATAAAACTAATAAGTTATAGTATCAACAGTACAGTAGGAAAATTATAGTTAACAATAATTCATTGTATATTTCAAAATAGCTAGAAGAGAAGAATTGTAACGTTCCCAATGAGAGGTGACAGCATGCTGGCAGCCCTCGCAGCCCTCGCTCGTTCTTGGCGCCTCCTCGGCCTTGGTGCCCACTCTGGCCACGCTTGAGGAGCCCTTCAGCCCGCTGCTGCACTGTGGGAGCCCCTTCCTGGGATGGCCGAGGCTGGAGCCGGCTCCCTCAGCCTGCGGGGAGGTGTGGAGGGAGAGGCACCGGCGGGAACCGGGGATGGGTGTGGCGCTTGCGGGCCAGTTAGAGTTCTGGGTGGGCGTGGGGTTAGCGGGCCCCACACTCAGAGCAGCGGGCCAGCCCCGCTGGCCCTGGGCAGTGAGGGGCTTAACACCTGGGCCAGCAGCTGCAGAGGGTGCGCCAGGTCCCCCAGCAGTGCAGGCCCCCTGGCACTGCGTTTGACTTCTTGCTGGGCCTTAGCTGCCTCCCCATGGAGCAGGGCTTGGGACCTGCAGCCCACCATGCCTGAGCCTCCACCCTGTGCCCCCCGCGGTGGGCTTCTGCACAGCCCGAGCCTCCCCAACAAGTGCCACCCCTGCTCCACGGAACCTGGTCCAGTCGACCGCCCAAGGGCTGAGGAGTGCGGGAGCACAGCGCAGGACTGGCAGGCAGCTCCAACTGCGGCCCCAGTGCGGGATCCACTGGGTGAAGCCAGCTAGGCTCCTGAGTCTGGTGGGGACTTGGAGAACCTTTGTGTCTAGCTAGGGGATTGTAAATACACCAATCAGCACCCTGTATCTAGCTCAAGGTTTGTAAACACACCAATCAGCAACCTGTGTCTAGCTCAGGGTTTGTGGATGCACCAATTGGCACTCTGTATCTAGCTAATCTAGTGGGGAGAAAGGAGAAAACCAGTGAGTGACTTCAGCCATCAACATTGCCTGCAACATCCTGGCTAACCAGGAGGTCCTGAGTCTGTCCACGTAATCAGTTCACTAATATTACAAAGAGCATTCAAGAAAACCAGAACACTAAGGTGATCTATAACCAAGAAATCTCACAGAGTCTATGTCATTCCTTTGCTGCCCCCATCAGAGCTGGTGCAGATACTCACCACTAGGAAAACTTGAGGAGAGGTCATATTACTGGATCCCTAGCAGACATTCCACAGCACCAGCATGGAGTGTGGCAGCTCCACTGGATGGCTAGACCCAGAAGAGCAATAGTGATCACTGTAGTCTGGCTCTCAGGAACTCCTACTTTTAGGGAAATGGGGAGAGCACCACATCAAGGGAACACCTCATGGAACAAATAAATCTGATGGCAGACCTTAAGTCCCATATCTTTCTGCTGGTGGAAAGTTTCTATCAGCAGAGACACAATTGCAGTGCTGCTCTGGCGAGCAGCCACGGTGGAAAGGACCTCAGACCGTCATCCTGACCACCCCCACGGCTGTAAAGGTAGAAGGAATCCCAGCCTGGATCCACCACAGCTGTGTGAAACCAGCAGCCGCTGAAACCTGGGAGGGAAAACCGAGCCTGGACAACCCCTGCTAAGTGACTCTGAGGAGGACAACAAGCCCTGCTCCAGTCACACCCGGAAGGTGACTGGTCTACGCACGGCCAAAGCATGAGGAGAATCATCACGGGACTCATTTTCCTTATAATTTCGACTTGTATAGTAAAAACTTCCACTGATTTTCCCCACATGGAGGACTGCTCTCAGTGTATACATCAGGTTACCTAGGTAGGGCAAGAAGTTAAAACAATCTTTCTGTTCTATAGTTACTATGAATGCTTAAGAACTTTAAAAGGAACATGTTTATATAATGACACTCAGTACAAGGAATGTAGCCCAGAAAACGACTGACCAGATGTGTGTTATGACCCCTCTGAGCTTCCCATGTCGACAGTTTTTGAAATAAGATTAAGGACTGAAGACTGGTGGGGACTCATAAATGATACTAGTAAAGTATTAGCCAGAACAGAAGAAAGAGGGGTGCCCAAATGCATAATCTTGAAATTTGATGCCTGTGCTGTCATTAATAGCAATAAGTTAGGAAGGGGATGTGGCTCTTTTAGTTGGCAAAAATGCTATATGACCAAAAATAAGTACATTTGTCATGAATTAGGACTGTCTGGAAACAAATGTGGATACTAGTCTTGTGTCATTTGGGCCACTTGGATAAAAAAAATGAAAAGGATCCAGTCCACCTTCAGAAAGGACAAAAATGGCCCTTCCTGTAATAAGGGCCAATGTAACCCCTTAGAGCTAGTAATAACCAATCCCCTTGATCCTCTCTGGAAAAAAGGGGAGCGTGTGACCTTAGGAATCGATGGGGCCAGACTGGATCCTTGAGTAAATATCTTGGTTCGAGGAGAAGTTTACAAACACTCTCCTGAGCCAGTGTTTCAAACTTTCTATGATGAATTGAATGTGCCAGTACCAGAAATTCCAGGAAAGACAAGAAATTTGTTTTTGCAGTTAGCCGAGCATGTAGCCCAGTCTCTCAATGTCACTTAATGTTATGTATATGCAGGAACTGTAATGGGAGATCAATGGCCATGGGAAGCAAGAGAATTAGTACCTACAGACCCAGTTCCTGATGACTTTCCAGCTCAAAAGAATCACCCTGATAATTTCTGGGTCCTAAAAGCCTCTATTATTGGACAATATTGCATAGCTAGAGAAGGAAAAGAATTCACTCACCCCATAGGATGACTTAGTTGTCTGGGACAGAAACTGTATAATGGTACCACAAAAACAGTCACTTGGTGGAGTTCAAATCACACAGAGAGGAATCCATTTAGTAAATTCCCAAAGTTGCAAACCGTGTGGACCCACCCGGAGTCCCATAGAGACTGGACAGCCCCCACTGGATTATACTGGATATGTGGGCATAGAGCTTATGCCGAATTACCTGACCAGTGGGCAGGTAGTTGTGTTATTGGCACTATTAAACCATGTTTCTTCCTACTGCCCATAAAAACAGGCGAACTCCTGGGCTTTCCTGTTTATGCTTCCCGCAAAAAGAGAAGCATAGCTATAGGAAATTGGAAAGATGATGAATGGCCCCCTGAGAGAATCATACAATATTATGGGCCTGCTACTTGGGCACAAGATGGCTTGTGGGGATACCGGACCCCCATTTACATGATCAACCGAATCATATGGTTACAAGCTGCCTTAGAAATAATCACTAATAAAACCGGCAGAGCTTGACTATTCTAGCCCGGCAAGAAACTCAGATGAGAAATGCTGTCTATCAAAATAGATTGGCTCTCAACTACTCGCTAGCAGCTGAAGGAGGGGTCTGTGGGAAAGTTAACCTTACTAATTGCTGTCTACACATTGATAATCAAGGGCAAATAGTTGAAGACATAGAGATATGACAAAACTGGCACATATGTCTGTGCAAGTGTGTCATGGATTTGATCCTGGGGCCATGTTTGGAAAATGGTTCCCAGTGCTAGGAGGATTTAAAACTCTTATAATAGGAGTTATAATAGTAATGCTGCTTACTGCTCCCTTGTTTGCTACCTGTACTTCTTCAAATGATAAAAAGCTTCATCGCTACCTTAGTTCACCACAATGCTTCAGCACAAGTGTACTATATGAATCACTATCAATCTGTCTTGCAAGAAAACATGGGTAGTGAGAATGAAAGTGAGAACTCCCACTATTCAGTGAGATTCTCAAAGGGAGGGAATAAGGGAGGAGACAACTCCTCATATTGTCTTATGCCCAATTTCTGCCTCCAAAGAAAGAAGAAGTAAAAACTAAAAGGCAGAAATGAACCACAAGCAAACAGCCCAGAGCCACACCCTGGGCCTGGTAGTTAAGGATCGACCCCTGACCTAATTGGTTATGTTATCTATAGATCACAGACATTGTATAGAAAAGCACTGTGAAAATCCCCGTTCTGTTCTGTTCCATTCTAATTACCGGTGCATGCAGCCCCCAGTCCTGTAACCCCTGCTTGCTCAATCGATCATGACCTTCTCACACAAAGTGCCTTAGAGTTGTAAGCCCTTAAAAGGGACAGGAATTGCTCGCCCGGGGAGCTCGGTTGTTGGAGATGTGAGTCTTGCCAAACCTCCCAGCTGAATAAAGCCCTTCCTTCTTTAACTCAGTGTCTGAGGGGTTTTGTCTGTGGCTTGTCCTGCTACATTACAAGATAGAAGAGATTGGGGCCCTATCTTTGGCCTCCTTAAACAGAATAATTGTCATCCAGGAATTTTGTATTCAGCAAAACTAGGTTTTAAAAATGAAGGGGAAATAAAACCATTTTAAGACAAGCATATGCTGAGGGAATTTGCCACTACCAAGCTAGCACTACAAGGAAAGCTAAAAGGAGTTCAAAATCTTAAAACAAAAGTTTGATATGCACCACAATAGAACCTCTTGAAAGCATAAAAAAATCACAGGGCCTATGAAACAATAGCACAGAAACCGTTAAAAAAAATCTAGGGAACAGCTAACATGATGGATAGAACAGTACCTCACATCGCAATATTAATGTTGATTTCAAATGGCCTAAATACTCCACTTCAAAGACACAGATGGCAGAATGGGTGAAACATCACAAAGCAAATGTCTGCTGTCTTTAAGAGACTCACCGAACACTTAAGGATTCATATAAACTCAAAGTAAAGTTGTGGATAAAGATATTCCAAGCAAATAGAAATCAAAAGAGAGCAGAAATAGCTATTCTTATATCAGACAAAACACACTTTAAAGCAACAACAGTAAAGAAAAAGACAAAGGAAGTCATTATATAATGAGGTATTTAATGAGAAAAGTATCAATCCAACTAAAAATTACAATCCTAAGTTTATATGCACCTAACACTGAAGCTCTCAGATTAATAAAACAGTTACTACTATGCCTAAGACATGAGATAGAGAGAAAGACAATAACAGTGAGGGACTTCAATACTCCAGTGGCAGCATTAGAGAGATTATTGAGACAGAAAATCAACAAAGAAAAAGTGGACTTAAATTATACATTAGAACAGATAGACTTAACAGATATTTACAGAACATTCTATCCAATAAGTGCAGAATACACATTCTTCTCATCAGCACATAGTACATTCTTCAAGACAGACCACATAGTAGGTCACAAGACAAGTGTCAATAAATTTAAGAAAATCACAGTTATATCAATTATCTTCTCAGACCACAGTGGAATAAAACTAGAAATCAATTCCAAAAGGAACCCTCAAAACTATAAAAATACATGAAAATAAAATAATCTATTCCTGAATGATTTTGCAGTTAACAATGAAATCAAAATAGAAATTAAAATTATTTGATATAAATTATAATAGTGACAGAAGTTATCCTCTAGGATACAGCAGAAGCAGTGCTAAGAAGAAAGTTCATAGTGTTTACTGCCTACATCAAAAAGTCTGAAACAGCACAAATTGACAACTTAACATCACATCTCAAGAAACTAGAGAAACAGGAACAAACTAAACACAAAGCCAGCAGAAGAAATAACAAAGATCAGAGGATAACTAAATGAAAATGAAACAAAAGTACAAAAATAAATGCAACAAAAAGCTGGCTCTTTGAAAAGATAAACACAATTGATAGACCATTAGCAAGATTAACCAAGAAAAGAAAAGAGAAGATGTAAATAAGCTCAATTAGAAATGAAACTGGAGACAATACTACCAATACCACAGAAATAAAAGAGATATTTCAAGACCACTATGAACACCTCTATCTATACACAAACTAGAAAATTTGGAGAAAATAAATAAATTCCTAGAAATGTATAGCGTTCCTAGATGAAATCAGGAAGAAATGTAAATACTGAAAAGACTAATAACCAACTGTGAAATTGAATCATTAATTTAAAAATTGCCAACAAATAAAGGCACAGGAACAGACAGATTCACAGTTGAATTCTACCAGAAATTTAAAGAAGAATGTCTATCAATCTTATTGAAACTATTCCAAAATATTGAGAAAGAAGAAATCCTCCTTTAATCGTTCTATAAATCCAGTATCACCCTAAAACTCAAACAAGGAATGAATATAAAAAAATGAAAAGGACAAACCAATGCCCCTAATTAACATAGATGCAAGAATCCTCAGCAAAACACTAGCTAACCAAATCTAGGAGCACATCAAAAAGATAATACATAACAATCAAGTGAGTTTCATCCCAGGGATGCAAGGACTGTTTAACATACACAAGTCGATAAATGTGACATATTACATAAACAGAATTAAAAACAAAAACCATATGATCATTTCAATAGATACAGAAAAGGCATTTGATTAAATCCAGCATCCCTTTATAATAAAAACCCTCAATAAACTAGGCACAGAAGAGACCTCAAAATAATAAAAGCCATATATGACAAACCTACAGACAACATCATACTGAATGGGAAAAAGTTGAAACCATTCCCCTTGAGAACTGAAACAAGACAAGGATGCCCACTTTCACCACCCCTATTCAACTAGTACTGGAAGTCCTAGACAGCAATTGGGCAAGAGAAAGAAATAAACGGCATTCGAATTGGAATAGAGAAAGTCAAACTAGTGCTGTTTGCTAATAATATGACTGTATACCTAGAAAACCCTAAAGGCTCATCCAAAAGACTTCTAGATCCAGTAAACAAATTCAGTAAAGTCTTGGGTTACAAAATTTAAGTACACAAATCCGTAGCACTGCTATACACTAACAATCAAGCTGAAAATAAAATTAAGAACTCAATTTCTTTTATAATAGCTGCAAGAAAAGTAAAATACCTAGGAATATACTTAACCAAGGAGGTGAAAGTTCACTACAAAGATAACTACAAAACATTGCTAAAAGAAAACAGATGACACGAACAAATGGAAACACAGCCCAAGCTCATAGATGGGAAGAATCAATATTGTGAAAGTGACTATACTGCCCAAAGCAATCTATAGATTCAACGCAATTTTTTTTTTCAAAATAGCAGCATTTTTTTTGTGTGTGGAACTAGAGAAAACAATCCTAAAATTCATATGGAACCAAAAAGAGCCCGATTACCCAAAGCAATACTCATCAAAAGGAACAAAGCTGGAGGCATCACATCACTAGACTTAATATTACACTACAAGGTTATAGTTACAAATACAGCATGGTACTGAGAGGAGTTGGCTAGCTTGCCTTATGTAGACATCAAAGGAAAGGTCCCTAGAGAGCCCCCTGCCCATGGGTCAGTGCCTTATGCCCATGCAACATAAAAAGAAGCCTGGGAAAAAAGTCAAGCTGCGGGCACTGATAAGGGAACTAGCACAGGGGGTTGTGCCTGGAGACATGGCCGCAGCTGCTCAGATAGCAGGACCTCCAGCCTATTCAGACAAAAATTTTCACAAACCTCCAGCTCACTCAGATAAAAGAACAAGGCCTGACATAGAAAGGTTTTTGTCCTTTGTATAATCAGCGAGCTTCCAGGAAAAAGTTTCTTCTCCTTTTGTGAGCATGAACATAGTGGGCTCTGGTCGATTCCGGTGGGCACTTTTCTTTCCTTTTTTAGATTGTGAGCCCAGGCTCTATGAATCATCACTTCAGCCCATGATTGGTCCCAAGCCAAGGTCCAGGGCTAAGCTTTCAGATTGGTCCCAGGCCAAGGCCCTGGGGCAAGCTGAGTCACGTGTTCTCCAAGATAGCCCACAGACTAAGCACATTCCTTTCCCTTCCCAGTCCATAAAAACCCTGGACTCTAGCCTCATAGGGAGCAACCCATTTGGGCCCCCTTCTCCACTGGTGGAGAGCTTTCTTCTTTTGCTTTTCAAATTTTCACTCCAACCTCACCCTTGTGTCCGTGCTCCTTAATCTTCTTGGATGTAAGACAAAGAAATATGGTTATTATCTCAGATAATGAGAGACTGTTACACATTGGTGCACTGGCAAGACTACAACAGTGCTGGTATAAAGAATAGGCACTTAGACGAAGGGAACAGAATGGAGAACGCAGAAATAAAGCAAAATACCTACAGACAACTGATCTTTGGCAAAGCATACAAAAACATAAATTAGGGAAAAGATACCCTGTTCAATAAATGGTACTGGAAAGACTGACAAGCCACATGTGGAAGAATGATACTGGGTCCCCCATCTATCACCTTTTACAAAAATCAACTCAAGATGAGTCAAAGATTTAAATCTGAAACCATAAAAATTCTAGAAGGTGTTGGGAAAACTCTTCTGAACATGGGCTTCATCAAAGAATCCATGAATAAGACTCCAAAAGCAAATGCAGGAACAAAAAACAAACAAATGTAAACTAATTAAACTAAAAAGCTTCTGCACAGCAAAAGGAATAATCAACATATTATACAGACAACCCACAGAATAGGAGACAATATTTGCAAACTATGCAACTAACAAAAGACTAATATCCAGTATCAACAAGGAACTCAAATTAGCAAGAAAAAAAAAACCAAAACAAATAATTACATCAAAAAGTGAGCAAATGACATGAATAGACATTTCTCAAAAGAAAATATGCAAACAGACAAAAAAATTTGAAAAAAGGCTTAACAGTACATCAGGGAAATGCAAATTAAAACCATGAGGTACTACCTTACTCCAGCAAGAATGGCCATAATTAAAAAGTCAAAAAACAATAGATGTTGGCATGAATGTGGTGTAAAGGGAACACTTTTACACTGCTGGTAGGGATGTAAATTAATACAACCTCTATGAAAAATAGTATGGAAATTATTTAAACACCTAAAAGTAGATCTATCATTTGATCCAGCAATCTCACTACTGGGTGTCTACCCAAACAAAAAGAAGTAATTTTATAAAAAGGACACAGGCATACATGTTTATAGCAGCACAACTCACAATTGCAAAGAAATGAATAGATAAATAAAATGTGGTATATATACACCATGTAACACTACTCAGCCATAAAAAGAAATGAAATAGGCTGGGTACGGTGGCTCATGCCTGTAATCCCAGCATTTTAGAAGGCCAAGGCAGGTGGATCACTTGAGGTCAGGTGTTTGAGACCAGCCTGGCCAACACAGTGAAACCCCATCTCTAATAAAAATACAAAAACAAACAAACAAACAAAAAACCTAGCCGAGAGTGGTGATATGTACCTGTAATCCCAGCTACTGGGGACGATGAGGCAGGAGAATCGCTTGAACCCAGGAGGCGGAGGTTGCAGTGAGCACCACTATACTTCAACCTGGGTGACAGAGTGAGACTCAGTCTGAAAACAAAACAAAAAAATGAATGAAATAATGTCTTTTGCAGCAACTTGGACAGAGCTGGAGGCCATTATTCTAAATAAGGTAACTCAGTAATGTTCTCATAAGTGGGAGCTAAGCTATGAGGACAGAAAGAGAGGTATAATGGACAGTCGTTGGGACTGGGCAGGGGGATGGGGTGGGAGATGAAGGATGAAGGACTACATATTGCATACAGTGTACACTGCTCGGATGACAAGTGCGCTAAAATCACAGAATTCAACACTATATAATTCATTCATGTAACTAAAAACCGCTTGTACCCCGAAAGTGACTGAAACAAAAAATACAATAAAATAAATGAGAAAAAACAAAATCCACAGTGAAGATCTATGAAGAATTTAATGCAGACAACAGCAGCATCAAAAATTGATAAAGTAAGAACTACACAAAATAGGAGAAATATACAGAAACATAATAATATTAGACTTTAACTCACAGTTCTTGGCAAATTTAAATAGTCAAAAAATAAGGAAGTGCAGATCTAAGTAACAATAAATTGAATACATTTAAATAGGTTTAAAACAAGCTTTCTACGTTGAAAATTGAGGATATACTTTTTAACATCCATAGAATATGAGCAAGAATAGGGTTAATGCGCCGCAAATAAAATATCAAAAATTGCAAAAAGTACAAGTAGCACAGACAACATTGTCTAACCGATATGTAATGAAGCTAGAACTACATAAAATAGAAGACAGAAAACCTCAGTCGTCTGGATATGAAATAAACCCTTCTTAAAACATTTGTATGCAAAGAGAAATATAATGCAAAAAAATCTACAAAGTATCAGAGAAAAATGTATGGCATTGAATGAGAAAACTTACATATGAAAGCATTTGGGCTTGGGATCATTGAAGGTGGTATTTATCAGCTTTATTTATTTATTTGTTTGTTTTTTTGAGACTGAGTCTTGCTCTGTCTCCCAGTCTGGAGTTCAGTGGTGTGATCTTGGCTCACTGCAACCTCCGCCTCTCAGGTTCAAGCAGTTCTCCTGCCTCAGCCTCCCGAGTAGCTGGGGTTACAGGCATGCACCACCACGCCTGGGTAATTTTTGTATTTTTAGTAGAGATAGGGTTTCACCATGTTGGCCAGGATGTTCTTAATCTCTTGACCTCGTGATCCGCCCGCCTCGGCCTCCCAAAGTGCTGGGATTGCAGGAGTGAGCCACGGCGCCTGGCCTTTATCAGCTTTTTTGTGGTGACAAAATAACCTGGAATCTTCTTTGTATCAAGAATTATCTGCGGTTTCAGGCTGTGCCCTATGTAGGATGTCATGTGTCTTCTCATTCCAGGTCATAGTTAAGGATGGAAACCCTACATGGAATATATCCATTTATTTGGCAGAGAAGTCGGAGAAGCTGTTGAAATCATGATTTCTCTAAAATCTTCTGTTAGATGTGCCACGTATCATCTCTTCTTACATTTCATTAGCCAAAAAAAAAAAAAAAATGTCATTTTATCAATCTTGAAGGAGGCAATGAGGTGGGAACAAGTACTCTCTCATTGGAGGTTGCAAACACTACAGATGGAGATATAAAATCTTCTTGGCATGGAAGGCATGAGGGACTGAATACTTTTAGAAACATAGTTTTTTTTTATGATATTGTACTCTGCAATGATTTATTTTATTAATATTATACTTTAAGTTTTAGGGTACATGTGCATAATGTGCAGGTTAGTTACATATGTATACATGTGCCATGCTGGTGTGTTGCACCCATTAACTCGTCATTTAGCATTAGGTATATCTCCTAATGCTATCCCTCCCCTCCCCCCCACCCCAGAACAGTCCCCAGAGTGTGATGTTCCCTTTTCTGTGTTCATGTGTTCTCATTGTTCAATGCCCACCTATGAGTGAGAACATGCGGTGTTTGGTTTTTTGTCCTTGCGATAGTTTACTGAGAATGATGATTTCCAATTTCATCCATGTCCCTACAAAGGACATGAACTCATATTTTTTATGGCTGCATAGTATTCCATGGTGTATATGTGCCACATTTTCTTAATCCAGTCTATCGTTGTTGGACATTTGGGTTGGTTAGTTTTTCTGTTTATTCTATGGTTCTCAGTATATATGCATTTTCTAATTTCTCACAAATAATCTTTGGTAATTTATATATATTCTGGAAAGTCACCCATTTTATCTAAAATATAAAGGCATCCCCAGTCTCACAACTTTAAATCTCTTTTGAATATGTAGGTACATCCTCTTTCTCATCCTAATGTTTTATATTTACATGTGTTTACTTCTTTCCTTGACCAGAATTGCTAGCTTTTGTTTTTTCTAATTGTACTAGTCTATCCTGAAAACTACTTTTAAAGTTTTATTTACCAATTCTATGAATTTATTTCTAACACATAAATTTGTGCTTTTATACTTATTCATTCCTTTTCCAATTTTATTTTGCTTGATGTTGCTTTCTGTAACATTTTAATTAAATTCTTATTTATTTCAATCTTTATCATTTAATATTAAAATAACTTGTAACCAATAATTTCCTAAAAATATAGCTTTACCCACATCTCATAGTTTTCTAATTGCTTTCAATTTCAAATTGTTTGCTTTAATTTTTCTTTGACCCTAAAGTTATATAATTGTGTTTTTATTTTAATGTACTTAATTTTTAGTTTCAAGTTTTTTGTTTCATATTGTTAATGTCTTGTTAATTTTATAATGGTCAAAATCTGTGGCCTATACATATTTATTATTTATATGTTACTATGTTAATACTATGCTATTACAAATAAATATATATTATTTAATTTATTTATGCTTTTTGAGAGTGTGACCCAATACACTATAAGTTTTTGTGACCATTTGATAGGCAGAAAAATAAAAGAATGAGTGCCCTGCTTATAGATATCTTTGTTTAAATCTGTAAAATATACGTATTTAATGTACCCTAAAACATAGACTACCCAGTATGTTCTAATTAAAGAATTCCATTTTTTCCAAATTTCTGAGGAACACACATATTCTAAAAATACATTTTAAAATGTAGAAATTTGACAGACCATATTCTCAGAACACTATATAATAAAAAAAAGCAGACACAAATTAAAATACCTTTTTTATATTTAAGGATCTTAATTATATTATTGCAATTGTGTGCATTTTCATTTTTCATCTAGTTCTAGCTCAATTCTGAGAAGTTCCCTGGTATAAATTTGTCATTGTCAAAAAACCTTATTTCTAAAAGTTTTTGGTTTCCATTCTTCAATAAAATATTGTTTGATGTGTAGACATCTATAACTGTTACATTATCTTGAGTTAGAGCATCTATTGTTGTGATAAAATGTCCCTCTTAATTCCATATGACATTTTTGGCCTTAAAAGCTCCTTTTTTCTTAAATTTCCATAGGTGACTTCTTATTAGCATTAAAAGCTACTTTTTTTCTAAATTTTCATCTAGCTGTCTTCTTATCAGCATTTGCTTGTTATACTTTTTGCATCATTTCACTTTTAAATTGTAGTTATCTTTTTTCAAATAGTCGCATTTTCGCTTTTTTACCCATTCACAGAATTTTTGGTTACTTTAGTTATTTAAAAGACATTCACATGCATTATCCAAAGTTGAAGTTTTGTTCTATTGTTATATTTTGAGTCTATATTTATTTTCTAAGTTACATATTTTCTAGAAAGACATCTATTTTATTGATATTTTCAAATTTCTTAGCATAATATATTTTAAGTAGTATTATTTTATATATTTATAATGTTACCTCTGTCCATGATTATATTTTCCTTTACATCCAGTATAGCATGGCTATTTTTACTTCATGTGACTTGCCATAGTTTTTTCTATTTTATTAATATTTGAAAATTTAGCTTTTGCATTAATCAAGTATATTGGGGTATTTTTTGCTTCATATTGGTTTTTAATCCATATTTGTTGATGCTTTATATTTTTCTTAGGTTAATTGTGCTGTTATTGATTTGAATGCATAATGCATTTACTCTATTGTCACAAAAATTCTTATTGATTTTCCTTGATTGAAAGACTAAATTTTATGTTTTAATATGTACCCTACAAAATATCAGGTCTATGCCAATTTACTTACTTTCTCAAGTCTCAGTTTCTTCATCAGTAAAATGCATATCTTCCTTGAAGTCATTATTGCATAAATCATCTGTATTTATTTTCATTTTATTTTAACATCATAATTCCTTAGGAGAAGCTCTTTTAAGTTGTTTTGCTGTTTTTATTAACACACCTCTTTATCTGCTAACAATGAGATTCTTAGATATGTATTGTCATTTGAACAGGGCACCCAATCTCCAAGTTTAAAAATAACATCTGAATTGAATCACTATTATTGACTAAAGATTATTATGTCACTCTGAATTGAGGATGAGGATAGAAAAAAATGAAGTTTGAATTACTGGTTTCGATGCTGATAGGTTATCCTCTTTATTTTTATAATTTAATAGGTTTTCTAGGCTATGCCTACATGTGGGTTTCTTTTTATGGCTCTTGCATGGAATGTAATTAGAATGTTCTTTTAAAAGCAATATTTTCCTTGCAGTTAACATAAAATATGAACAGAACCTAGGTTAAATTTTAGACAGATAAACTACCCTAATAACAATTTTAAAAAGCAGAAATATGCTAAATTGGTACTAATATAATGTTTACCAGAATTTAAGATTCTTTTCTTTCTCTTTTTTCGTAGACAGTGATATTTTTGCAGATGGAATTATTTTAAATTCACCTCATAGGAGTATGCTTTTGATTCTCCACACTCTATCAATATCACTAATAATATTCTAATTTGTATTTTTCTGACTTAAACTAATCTTGTTACCAACAGTTTTTCTGTCTCCTTCCTTTTGTTCCCATTAAACATAGGTCATGCTGCTACTAGATTCAAGTTCCTAAAACACAACTCTCATTACATCACTCATTTGCTTAACACACACACACACACACACACACACACACACTCTCTCTCTCTCTCTCTCTCTCTCACATTACTGCCTCCTAGCTTCCCATTACCTACCAATTTTGGTAAAAGTTTCTTTCCCTGGTTTTCACATCCCTCTACAATACAAAGTCAAACTATAGTTTTAGATTTTAGTCTTATTTTCTTACATAAACTCTATTAATATCCAAATGATCCAAATGCCCCTTCTGCTTTCTTAATTTTCTTTATTTTCTTTGTATGTTATCACTATCATGCCTTTTTTGTTCATTTTTGCTAATCTTGCCTGGTACTCTTTCTATAGCTTCATAATTTCTAGCTTTCAAAATACTACCTCTCCTTCAAGTTCTGATTGGAATATTATTTTTATGTAAGTTCTTTATCTCCCAATTACATATGATCTTTTCCTTCTTTGAGAGCTTATGCTGTTTTTTGTAGTGTATTTTAGGATATCTTATTTTTATGGTACCTTATTTTGTCTTCTATCATAGTTATTTTCATCCTTGCTTTGCCTCTTCCAGTGAATTTTAATCTTCTTGAGGGCATAGACTCTCACTTCTATTAGTGATTATTTCTTGCATTTAGCATTCTATCTTGCATTTCTTACATTCTTATTTCTTTTCTTGCTAAATGGGGATTTGTTGAATTAAGTATTATCTTACATTTTCCTTCAGGACATTTTCCTTCAGGGTGTTCAGTGTCCTGTAAAACTTTTGGGAATTCAACAAAATGAAAAATGGTCCATTAAATTCTGGTTTTGAAAGATTAGCTCAAATCTATTGGATAGCATTGTAAAAGATATTGTAAAACTTCACATTAATTCCTTTCCAATCTATAACTAGCTTATAACCATGTAATTTATCTTCTAAGCTGAGCACTCTGAGAGTGAAAAGAGAAACTATTAAGAATTATGTTGGCACAACAGGTATCAAAGATGACTATCCTAGGCAACTCAAGATGTTAGGTAAAGCAACCTTAACTTAATTAACATAACTTTGCCTGTTTTTTCATTTGGTTTTAGTCCTACTGCTCAGTCACATGCTTATTGAACATGCCTATTCTTGAGATACCTCATTAAATAAGTATACTGAACTAATGCCATGCTAAAATTAATCAAAACTTTCTCAAAAGATTCAATGAACCTATGCAAATCACTGTTACAACTTGGAAATGACTGATGGTCTTTTATATCTGAATTTTCTCCACATACTTTCCTAGATTATATATTTTTATAAAAAAATTTAATGTAATATTTCCAGCATATAACATATAGAGAATATTATAATGAAATAAACACGTGAGTGCTACCACCTCACTTAGTTCTAAATATATGCCATATGTGATCATACTGACTTTTAATGAAGAAAATATTGCAAATGCAGTTGATAATTCCTGTGAACTTCTCCCTGATTCCATTCTACTCCATCCTTCTTCTATATTGAGAGAAATGGGAAAATATAGATTGATATTGTTCAATGGGACAGTGTTATCATAGTGAGTCTTGATATCCACAAGAATGGTACTTCTCTCCTTTTATTGAAGTCTTTATGTAGGCCTATCAGTAAAGTTTACTAATTTTGTCCATTAAAGTTTTCTGTATCTTTTGTCAAACTTCTTATAAGTACCTCATAGTTTTATTACTAATATAACTGGTTTATTTTTGATAATTAATAATTAAAATTTTAAATTGCAGCTGATAAAATGAAGCACACTGATTTAGGTGTATTTTACTTTTACAAGCAATATTACTGAGCTGTCTTATTAGTTTTGATGATTCTGTGGATAGTCTCTTAGATTTTCCAAGTGGACAATAATATAAAATTGACAATTTGAGGCATTCCTTTTCAATCTTCATTCATTTCATTGCATCTTTATTAAGTTTCATTATGGTATTATCTATAATAGAAAAAATTATAAACAACATATGGGTCCTGCAACATAAGAATAATTGAGCAAATTGTAGAAGAACAATACAATAAAATATCATTTAATCATTAAACATAATAGTTTAACAAAGAGTTTTATTTATTTAAGTTTGCCTAACTTTTAAAATAATTTTAAACTACTGGACATATTTATTATTTTGCATTTAGTAGCTTTTGTTATTTTATTTTTAAGTGACACATAATAATTTTAGATATTTATGGGGTATGTTGTGATGTTATGATACAAATAAACATTGTGGAATGATTAAATCAGGTTAAGTAATATATCCATCCATCACCTCATATACTTATAATTTTTTGTGGTGAGTATATACAAAATTTACTATTTTAGGAAATTTGAAATACACAATGTATTATTTTTAATTATAGTCACTATGATGTGTAAAATATCACTAGAATTTATTTCTCTTATCTAACTAAACTGTGTATCCTTAGACAAACAGTTCCTCTTTCCATGTCCATTCTCCCCAACCAGCCTTTCTGGTAACCAGCATTCTATTCTATACATCTATGGTTTCAACTTTTTTAGATTCCACGTAAAAGTAAGATCATGTGGCATTTGTCTTTCTGTCTCTGGCTTATTTCACTTAGCATAACATCCTCCAGATTCATACATGTTGCAAATGACAGAATATTCTTCTAATTGATGAATAGTATTCCGTTGTGTATATGTAGCATGTTTTTTTAAATTGTTACAATTTTTGTAGGTACATAGAAGGTGTATATATTTATAGGGTAAATAAGATGCATTGATATAGGCATGCAACGTGAAGTAAGCACATCATGGAGAATGGGATATCTATCCCCTCAAGCATTTATCTCTTGAGTTACAAACAATCCAATTATACTCTTTAAGTTATATAAAAATGTACAATTAAGTTACCATTGGCTATAGTCATCCTATTGTGCTATCAAATAGTAGGTGTTATTTATTCTTCCTAACTTTTTGACCCATTAACCATCCCCCCACTACCCCACCCAGCCCCTGGTAACCATTCTTCTACTTTATATATTCAAGAGTTCAGGTGCTTTGATTTTTAGATCCTGTAAATAAGTAAGAATATGTGATATTTGTCTTTCTGTAGCACATCTTCTTTATCCATTTGTCCGTTGATGGACATAGCTTGATTCCATACCTTGGCTATTGTGAATAATGCTGCAATGAACATAGGAATGCAAATATATCTTTGATATACTTATTTCAATTTCTTTGGATATATACCCAGTGGTGGGATTGCTGGACCCCATGGTAATTCTAGTTTTAGAGTTTTGAGGAACATCCATACTGTTTTTTATAATTTACTAATTATGGAAATTAGTATATATACGAATTCACTAATTATGGAAATTAGTAAAATATATACTAATTCGCTAATTATGGAAATTAGTAAAATATACACTAATTTACATTTCCACCAACAGTGTACAAGGGCTCTCTTTTCTCCACATCCTCACCCTCATCAACGTTTGTTATTATTCATTTTTTTGGTAGTAGTCATTCTAACAGGTGTGAAGTGATATCTCACTGCAGTTTTAATTTGCATTTGCTTAATGAGTCACGATGTTGAACATTTTAAAAATATATCTATTGGTCATTTGTAAGTCTTCTTTTGAAAAATGTCTATTCAGGCCGTTTGCCCATTTTTTAATTAGGTTTTTTGCTTTCTTACTACTGAGTTGTTTGAGTTGCTTATATAGTTTGAATCTTAACCCTTTATAAGACGTATGATTTGAAAATAATTGTTCCCATTCAGTGGACATTCTGTTAATTGTTAAAATTAACATGATGGCTAGAAACTCTAATAAATTGATTAATACCAATTATGATTATCAATGTTGTTGTCTTGTGTTTGACTAAAGTTTTCTGCTTTTAATATTTCACCATTAAGTTTGATGTTTACTACAAATTATCTTTATCAGGTTAAGAAAGTAAAAGTTTAATATTACATTGATCAATTTTCTAATTTATTAAGCAAGCATACATTCTGAGGATAAGTCACTTGGTCAGAATGGATTATATTTTCATCTCTTGCTGAAACTAGATTGGTAATATTTTATTTACAATTTTTGCTCTGTGATCAGGTGTGAGAATGCCTTATCATTTTTCTTCCCCCATAGTGTTTTCATCTGATTGTGATATAAAAGTTATACTAGTCTGCTAAAAGGAGTTGGGCTTTATTATTAATTCAGGATGTTTTTCTATATAATATGTTAATATAACAAGCATAAACAATTTTTTGAATGTTTGGTAAGGTTAGTTATACAATAATTAAGATCTAACATTTTATCTGAACTTAAATTTTAACTTGCTTTCGTTTACTTAAAATGTACAGTTTATTAAAATTTTTCACATATTTTTTGAGTCAATCTTATTAAATTGTATTCTTCTAGGATATTGCCTTGCCGTAAGATTGAATCTTTCTTTTTTCATTTAAAAAAGTCTTTATGCGGGAGAACATGTCAGCAAGATGGTGAAATAGGAGGTCTCTGTCTTTCCTGTCTCTCACAGATGCACCACGTAAACAACTACATATAGCTCAATTCCTTCTAAAAAAAATCCAGAATTTAGTCAAGAGACTTCTCCCCACTGAGCAACCAAGACAATATACACACGGAAACTGATCTCCTGGAATCAATGTCAGTTCAGAGTCAGTGTCCAGTAGTCCCTGAAAGATCTGAATATTTCCTTTTCCTCAATGCACAGTTATACTGGTATAAGGCTATAGGTTCCTTAGGGAAGGCAGGGACAAAGATTAACAGTACACAATTTTAGTAGTGTCCAGGATCCTTCTTCAAGGGGACTCAGCTTCTTCTTCATTTAAGACAATCTAGATCTATAAACTGGTTCAAATCTAGGAATTGTTTGAGAGACCATGATTTTCTGTTTTTATGAGTTAGACTTTTTGACCTGGAAGTTTATTGCTTGTACAGATCAGCTAAGAATTTAGTAGGCTTCCTATCTATCTCATTTCTAGGAACACCATGGTTAACAACTCAATGCCATAGACTAGACTATTCAGATTGTTGTTTTGATTCTGTTGTCCTTTAAGGTAACACCCACCTTACCTTTGGCAGTTGAGTGCTGCCACTTGGCCCCTGCCACTACAGGATTCAGTTATTCTCATTAAATTTAAGCTTTCCAATTGAGTGACTGTGATTCCCACTGTAAGGTGTGGCCTACAGTCATGAAGATCTTCAAGGATGCTGAGGCTCCCCTCACAAACCTATTTCTCAAAGTACTGGCGAAAGTTATGTTTTCTGGACTTTCCCAATTTGGGTGAGTAGGTTTCAAGTGACAAATCCACTCTAGCATTCCAATCTCCCTAAGTGTTTGAATTCTGTCCTCTACCTTAAACCAAGGGGAATTGGCCATCTCTACTCACTCATGGTGAACCATCTTTTAATCCATATTTCACCCAACCAACCAAACAAATTTTTGAGCCCTTTCTAACTCCCTGAGCTTCGGTGTTAAATTCAGAATTTCTGCTTACTGGGCCAATATCAATAAATTCTGCCGGATCCGACTTTACACTTCTTCCACCATTATCCCACACTCTTAATATCCATCTTAACACATGTTCCCTGGGTTTCTGCTTACATAAATTTAAAAAAAAAAACTTAAGTGGTTCTTTTGAAGTGTAACACACCTCTTCATGGGTCACACCTTGTACGTCATCTTTAAGGGCCTTCTGGGACTTGAGTATAGTTATAAGTCTAGAAGCAAAGAGAGGTGATGTGAGTGGGTTCTGCAGAGAATCAGCAATGTCTTGCTTGGCAACTGCCTCAGTGGAGGCCATTACCATTTCCTCAGGCAATACAGAGTTGATCCCCTCAGACAGAGGTGAAAAGGTAGATACCACTGTGGGTGAGGAGGCTATTTCCAGTGGGGAGTGAGGATGCTACATCCACTGGAAAAAAAAGACATCAGAATTATGAGTTTAATGTTCTCAGCTTCCTCGGGGTCTTCCAAAACATCCCCATCCCAGCTTACAGAATGTCATTCTTTCTGAATCAATGTCCTAATTTTAATAATAGATACCCTGTGATGCTCATAGTTCATCATTCATTGTAATTCAGCCAAACACATGATGAGAACTTATGTTTAATTTTCAAAAAATTAAGCCCTGGGCCTACAGGAGACAAGATCAGCCTTCAGGGCATAACTAGAAGTGCTTAGGTTATTTATGCGAACCTTGAAAGGGGAATTCAAATCCCTGAGCTCATCCTTTTCTTTCATCACTTTGTCCAGTGACATTAGAAGTAACCAACCAATGTTAGTTTTCTACAAGTATTTGGAAGTACTATATATAGGGTCACTAAGTTCCTTGTCACTTATAAGTGGATGATTAGGAGTATCTGATGCAGATATTTTGAATATCTCTATAAACAGTTCTTACCATCGACTCTCAGTGCTCACTCTACTACTGGAAGTAGAGTCCTTAGCATGTTTAAATCCAATCAGATTAGAGATCCAATTGCAGAAACCCCAAAATCAATTCAGGAAACTCATCCTTAAAATTATGTTTCTCTAAAACTACTCCTGGTATCAAAATCTGTATTAGTTATGAGTTTCCAGAGAGTCAGAATCAGTAGGATATCTCTCTCTAGATAGATAGTTGATAGATAGATAGATAGATAGATAGATAGATAGATAGATGAAAAGAGAGATATGTGAAAGGAGACTTGTTAGAGGAAATGACTCATGTGATTATGGTACAGGAGACAGAAAGAAATTATTTAGGCAGATAGTGAGGGCAACAGAGTCCTTAGCAGAATTCCTTTTCTAACCAAAAGCAGCCCCAAAAATCATTTATTTTCTAACAAAGAGCAGCCTGAAAAATCAAGCTGCTAACATATATAACGAATCTGGAAGCTTGCATGGGGCAATGCTGGCAGCTGGGCCAATAGAAAAGGGCTACCTGGAGGCCAGGCATATCCAACATGGAGGCTCCATCTTCCACTTTTGTCATCACGTGTACAGGAACAAAGAAATGGGAATACCGTGCAACTCAAGCTGAAAACCCACTCTGCATAATAAAAGATTAGGGTGGGGCCTACCAGAGAGTCGCACCCTATGCAAATGGCACACCCGGTCCAACCAGTTTTTTGCACCCTATGTAAATCAGACACTGCCTCTCTACCAGCTCATCTATAAAACCCCCTGCATTTTGCTATGGATGGGCAACCCATTTTTCTGGGACCCCTCTCTGCTGCTGAGAGCTATTCTCCTTCTTTTGCCTATTAAACTCCCTGTGTCAACCCCACTCTTTGTGTGTCGGTGTCCTTGTTCTCCATGGTTGTGAGACAACGAACTTCAGGTGTTACTCCAGACAACAAGGTCATTTCAATTATGGAGACTGAGAAGTCTCGTGATAGTCCGACTTCTATCTGGGTTAACTAGAGAAGCTAGTGGCATGGTTGAGTTCATGTCCAAAGATCTCAGAAACAGAAAGCCAACAGTGTAACTCTCAGTACAAATCTGAAGGCCTAAGAACCTTGGAGTCTACTGGTACAAGTTCCAGAGTCCTAAGGCCAGAGAATCTGGGGTTCTGATGTCCAAAGGGAGGAGAAAATTAGAGGATAAATTCTCCTTTTTTCGACCTTTTTGTTCCATCCAGGCCCCCAGCTGATTGCATGGTGCCTGTTCACATTGGACGAGGGCATATATTCCTTAGTCAGTTCATTGTCTCAAATGCCAATCTTTCCAAATACACTGTCATAGGCTTTCTTAGTCTGTGCTGCTATAACAGACTACCACAGACTGAGTAATTTATAATATACATAAATTTTTCTCCTATGACAGAATCCCACAGACTGAGTAATTTATAATATACATAAATTTTTGCTGCTATAACAGAATACCACAGACTAACTTATAAAAAACATAAATTTATTTCTCATAATTCTGGGGGCTGGGAAGCCCAAGATAAAGGAGCTGGCATTTGGCTAGGACCTTCTTTCTGTATCTTTCTGTGGTGGAAGACAAGAGAGCAAGAGAGAGAAAAGGAGAAAGAGAGAGAGACAGAAAGAGAGAGAGAGAATGTCCAAGAAGGGGGTGAACTCATTCTTTTATAAGAAACTCACACCAATTATGAGGAATCACTCCAACAATAATGTCATTAATCCATTAATGAGGGCAAAGCCTTCAGTCCTAATTATCTCTTAAAGGTCCCACTTAGTAATACTGTTGCACTGGCGATCGAGTTTCCAACACATAAACTTTGTGGGGTGCATTCAAACCATAACAAATGGTTTGGATGGAAATAATACTTTACCAGCTATCTGGGTGTCCTTTAATTTAGTCAACTTGACATCTAATATCACACATGCACAATATAAAATATTTATAAATTATGATTTCAAAGAGGATGCAAAATGGGGGGAGAGAGATAAAGGTGGCGAGTTTGTACATACAAGAGAAATTAATTTGTTATCAGTTTAAAATAGACTGGTACAGTATAAGATATTATATGTCAGTTTCTTGGTAACCCCAAGAAAACACCTAGAGAAGTTACACAAAAGATAATGATACAATAATCAAAACCTATCAATATAAAAAATAACAGAATAAAAAAAATCTCAAGAGAAAAAGGGATGAACAAAAGAACTGTAAGACAAACTGAAAATTAACAAAATGACAATAGTAAATATACTAAGTAAAATAAGTGAGAAGTATAAATAAATAGGTGAACACTTACATATGTAATATACAAAATGGCAAATACATAGAAACAGAGAGTAGAATGGTAGTTACTAGGGGCAGGAAAGGGGGAAATGCAGAGATGTTGCGGAAAAGGTACAAAGTTGCAGTTATATAGAATAAATAAGTCTAGAGATCTAATATACAACCTAGTAATCATAGCTAATAATGCTGTATTATAACTGGAAATTTGCCAAGAGTAGATTTCAGATATTCTCACTACAAAAAAAGATGAATATGTAAGGAGGTTGATATGTTAATTGTCTTGTGTGTGGTAGTCATTTCACTATGCATATGTATATCTAAACATCAGATTGCATATCTTAAATATATACAATAAAAAGTCTTTATGAGATACACATAAATATACGATAGAAATACAGTATATAATATTTTAAATTGATAATGTCATACTTTGTTCATATTTTATACCAAAATGCCTTAGCTGTGGTCAGACAGTATTTCTTTCCAGGCAACTGTTGGGCCGGTCACCTTTGCAAATATTTATTCATATGAGGTTCTATGAATGGATGCTTTTAAATTCGTGGCTTACAGAAAGAGAGAAAGTTACAATAACGAACGGAGAAAGTGTGTATTTATGTGTGTGTGTATAGTTGTTTTTCAGATATGAAACCTCCAAGAAATGGGCAACAGTATGATTAAGATATAGGGGATTGTGTACTGTCTCCCATCACACAGGGAATCATTTTATCCTTCTGTGGAATGATGTGAATTAGAAGATGAAGTAGTTGTGCTTATGAAATGATTTTATGAGACTTTGGGCAAAATTTGGACTGATTTGAGGCCAAACTGACATATCTGAAACAGAGTTGTCAGTAGGGCTATCCAACACATCCCTTCTTTGCACTTTTACACAGCACCGCTTTAGCAATGTAATTACTCAAGGTGGCCACTAGCAGAAAGTAGATTTTTTTTTTTTTTTTTATTCTCATTCTCAGAAAGGGCAATAGCAGCAGAGTGAGAGGCCTTGACAATAAGGTCAGGGAAGAAAAACTCAAATAGACTTACAGCTAGATATAGGTAAGACATAATCCTAAGGACTTCCAGAAATTACTTGAGTAGATTTTATAAGGGTTGGAAATCCAATACTGGTAGGTAGCATCTGAAAATCATGTGTTTTAGCCTTTACTGTGTGCTTGTACACACATAAGCTGTGTCTGAGATTCTGATCAATCTTATTATCCAAGTAGTCATAACACCAAGTTGGAGGTAACTGTTTTAGATATAAATTTATCCACAATAAGTTTTTTGAATTTGACAGGGAGTCAAGGCTATGAAGTCTGTTTTCTATTTATGTATACGATGTAATACAAATATTTGGTAATTGTTTCTTTTTTAACTTTTTTTTTTTTCTGTAGGCTAAAGTCATTGCCTGGTGATTCTATTAGTTTCCTAGAGCTGCAATAACAAAATACCACAGATGGGGTTGCTTAAACAACGTAAATTTATTTTCTCACAGTTCTGGAGGCTAGACACCCAAGATCAAGCTGTCAGCAGGTTTGCTTTCTACTGAGGCCTTTCTTTTTGGTTTGCAGATGATGGCCTCCTTGCTGTGCCCTCACATGGCTGTCCATGTGTGTGTTGTCTGTGTCCTAATCTCCTCTTCTTATAAAAATATCAATCATAATAAATTAGGGCCCACCCTTGTGACCCTATTTTAACTTAACTCTTCAAAACCTCTTTCTCCAAATACAATTACATCTTGAAGTAATGAGAGTTAGGGCTTCAACATACGAATTTTGGAGAACACAATTTAGCCCGTAACAATGAGGTATACAGTTCTTCTAGAACTTTAGAAAATAGAGAGGTGCCAAGGCAAAGAAATTGCCAAATAGTATTTTTACATTCAAAACTTTAATCAAACATATGTTTATTTCCAGTGGCTAACATACTAATATATTTACTATTACCATAGAGATTTTTTTTTTCTTTTCCCATGTGCAATTCTTGGAGCACTTTCAATTAGACCTACAGGGGAATTATTGGCATGTAAACTGAATAGTCAAGAGTTTTCTTTTTATAGAAACATACAAATAAATTATACTTTGGTATAACCATGGCCAAAGATATTGATTTTCTTTGATTTCAAGTTAAGACAAACTCAGGAAGAAAGGTTTATTCAGACATGCTAGTTTTACATTTTTTTAATTAATTAATTAATTAATTTTTGAGACAGAGTCTCATTCTGCTGCCCAGGCTGGAGTGCAGTCCACCATCTCGGTTCACTGCAGCCTCTGCCTCCTGGTCTCAGGTGATCCTCCTGCCTCAGTCTCCTGAGTAGGTGGGACTACAGGCTCACACCACCACGCCCAGCTAATTTTTTGTACTTTTGTAGAGATGGGGTTTTACCATGTTGCCCAGGCTGGTGTTGAACTCCTGGACTCAAGCAATCCACTCACCGTGGCCTCTCAAAGTGCTGGGATTAGAGGTGTGAGCCATGGTACCCGGTCTACATTTTAAAGTTTAAACATAATTGAAGTTTTATACTTGAAGGTACAGTTATTAAAACAGGTAAATGCAGATGAACTTATTTTGCTATATTAGAACAATAAATAAAAATAGACAAAATTTTAACAGGGCTGGAATAATCTTACACAAGAGTCATAATTTTGTCAGTATTTTTTTGCAATTTTCTAAACATGACAACTCCAGGGAAGCATATTAACAAACTTAAACTTTAGATAAGAAAACA
Organism: Homo sapiens; assembly: GCF_000001405.40. Taxonomy (NCBI): domain Eukaryota; kingdom Metazoa; phylum Chordata; class Mammalia; order Primates; family Hominidae; genus Homo; species Homo sapiens. The sequence goes on from NC_000023.11 coordinate 93,261,015, forward strand.
AATCAGTGATTCCTTATAGAGAGCATCTGCCAATCATTATTCAATTTCAGAATTTCTGCTGACTGAATCTAGGAAATTCAGCTAAGCCATCACAGGCTTAGTTGTGTGGCCTCTCATTATTCTAAACAAGTTTAATAAATTGTTTAATGAAATATACACACAGAAGAATACATATAATATATGTATAATAAAATTGCCACTGATTCCAAGGAATAGAACATGGCCAGCACCCCAAGGAACCCCAATATATCCCTCCCAATTAATAGCCTTCCCTTTAGAGATAATCACTTTCCTGTCTATATATGTATATATGTTTTCCTGAACACTGTGGAGTTGAGTTTTGCCTGTTTGGCGAACTTTATGTGAATGGAGTATTATGTATTCCTCTGCATCTTATTTCTTTCCTTCAATATCATATTTGTGAGATTCATACATATTGTCTTGTGTAGTTGTAATTTGTCCATTGTTGTTACTGTATAGTATTTCAGTATATTAATACACTCAATTTACTCATTCATATTAATATACTCAATTTACTCATTCTTTTCTTGATAAAGCTTAGTTTTTTTTTTCCTCCAGTTTGGAATTACCAGGGACACAGCTATATAAATCCCCTGTGCCTACTTCCTTGTGCTCGTAAGCCAGACCTTTTCTAGATTATATAGTTAAATGTGGAATTGCTGCCATAAGGTATATCACTATTCAAGTCTATAATATAATGCTAATATGTTTTCATTGAATGACTACATCAATTTACATTTCCACCAGGAATGTATGAATTCCTATTAATATGCCAGTCTCTTCCATACTTATTATAGTGTTATCAGATTTTTTAAATGTTTGCCAATATGGTGGATATTATAAAGAAGGACTTTATTGAAGTCTTAATTTTCAATTCCTTTATTACACTGAGGCTTGGTATTTATTTATATATTTATTAGACTTATAAATTTCATCTTTTGTGAAGTCCAGGGTTCCCTTAACAGCAGAACCTGGGACCAAAGGCTATATAGGAGTAGTTTATTTTGAGAACGTGATTCAGGAAGCAAGACTGAGAGACTGAGGGAGCCAAGCAGGGAACATGAGGAAGCCAGATAAATAGAAGATTCATTCCTATTCTCATATGTAAACGCTAAGAGGATTCCTCACTATGGTCCTCATCGTTGTATCAGAGAAATCCTGGAGTAGGAAATGTGAGATCCGTTGGCAAGTATAGTCAGATTGTACATACGTAAAGCTGGTTGAAGCCAAGTGGAATTAGTTCATACAGCAGTGGCTAAGTAAGAACTGAGGCCAAGAAATTTGAAATAGGGCACAAGATATGTCAAACACATTTCACTCTATGTACCATTCAGACCCACTCATGTCCTCCATTAAAACCAAGGCATCATAAGGCCTCTTTCAAGGTGACAGTCAACTGCAATCTCTGCAAACACACAATACAGTTCTCTGTTACTGCAGATGATCTTATGTCTTTAATTGATATTTTAAAATAATTATCCCACACTTCCATTATTTATTCTAGATCTCTCTTACTCTTAGTGTATGCTTTGGCTGGTCTAGTTTGCTTGCCTGATAGGGTGACCGAGATCTTCATTGTTTGATCATATTGAGCTGTGGTTGCTGCAATTGCCCACTTGCCATTAGACCTCGTCTCTTCACAGAAGCACAAAATTTGCTCCATTAAACCCAAGTGTCATGAATGCTAGTTATATTCCTGCCTACCCTCCATAATGTATCCAAAACCTTAGCTCCTCAAAGTAATCAGAGTTGATTACCCCCACCAGTACAGAATTTGTGGAGCCTGATATTACAGGTGTTAATTACAGCTTTATGTTCACTGTAATGCAAGCTTGTCTAACCCATGGCCTGCAGGACACATGCAGCCCAGGAAAGCTTTGAATACAGCCCCAATACACGTTTGTAAACTTTCTTAAAACATTATGAGAATTTTTTTTTTTTGTAATTTTTAAAGGTCATCAGCTGTTGTTAGTGTTAGTGTATTTTATGTGTGGCCCAAGACTATTCTTCCAATGTGGCGCTGGGAAGCCAAAAGATTGGCCACCCCTGATGCTTTCCCCCAGTAAAAGAATTTTCCTCTTGAGGATCAGGGCCCCTAATCCAGCAGATTCTAATTTTACAGAAAGTCTGCAAGCAGGTCACTGGTAGTGATGGTGAGAGTAGACAAACCTACTTCTACCTCTTGGTTGCTAGGAACAACACCAAATATCAGCTATTGGTTCAACACATATTCTGTATCCTGGATGATAGCACCCTGATTCAAACTGTTGTCCCTGAGCTGGCAACCTAGCAGAAATTTGTAGGCCATCCCAACTTTGTATCAGGCTAGCCTCCTCTGAGTGATGAGGCATATGATGAACCCAGTGAATCCCATTGTCATGTGCTCATTGTCACATGTCATTTCTCATAAAATTGATCCTGTAGTTTGAGGCAATATAGTGCATAATACTATGTAGATAGATGAAATGTTCTATAGGACTTCAATAGTGATGTTGATGAAGGTAAGACAAATTCATATTTAGAGAAGATGTCAATTAAATAAAGATAAATCACTGCCTCATCTAGGATAAAAGGACTCCAATATAATCAACCTGGCCTCTAGTGGCTGGCTAGTCTCTTCAAGAAATGGCATCATATTTAGGACTCAGCATTGGATGCTACATCTTGCAAGTGAGGCACTCAGCAGTAGCAGTAGTTAGATGAACATTAAAGAGGCAGAGCCCCTGTTGTTGTGCTGATGCATAACCTTTATCCTGGCCATCACACCTACTCTGTTATGGCCATTACTTGGAATTATGAAGGAGAATGTCTGCCTAACATCAATAGGAGGAGTCATTCTGTCCATCTTGCATTTAAAAGTTAAATATTGTCACCTGACCTCTAACATTCCATAATCCCATCATCCTCCCAGAAACTAGGAAACCCAGTTCTGTGGCTGCACCTCCCACTGTTAACTCTCTCTTACAGATAATAATCACCATTGAGCTTCTCAAAGATGCAGTGGCCACCCGACAAGTGAATCCCACCACTTTGGGCCTCTAAGTTCTTCCTCAATAGTTTTTTGTTTACGATAGTGACAGATGCCAATAAGTGGGTCTCCTGGATTAGGGAAATTGTGCATTTAGAGCTATAGTTGGTTACTCTGATAGCATTCATTCATTGCAATTAGAAGTTAAGGGTTTTAGTAGTCTTTTCATTGATATACTGTAGGATGTGAGCCAATCAATTTCCCAAATTTACAAGGTCCGGGGTTGGTATAGTTTCCCATCCCCAGCCATGTGGAACTATGAGTCAATTCAACCTCTTTCCTTTATAAATTACCGTGCCTCAGGTATGTCTTTATTAGCAGTGTGAGAACAGACTAATACAATATAGGAAAATATATTGCCCAGAGTACACCCACATGTGACTCAGAGTCCAGTGTTCTGGCAAGGGTACCTGAAGCCCTTTGTAAAACTCCTTTGGAATGGCTCCTTATAGCTTGGACAAATATAATGACCTAGAGTAAATAATGTAGAAATGCCAGAAGTCTTTTGAAAGACTATTTCCTTTGACCATGAAGCTTTTTAAAATTCACATCATACTTAGCACCTGTCTCCCAGTCATCTTACGTCTTCTGAACTTCTTTTGCTAGCTGTTCCTCATATAACTCTTTCTTGATATAACGATCTTAATCCTGTTTTCCTTTTACCCCTTTTTTGAACAAAATCCCTTATGACTCTGTGACTCCCAGAAAAGATTTACAAGACACTTCATTAGACAATGCTGAAATACCATGGTTTACAAATGACTCATATGTAAAGATGACATGGCAAAAACTGTGAAGGATGTGAAATTACTACTTCTTTTGAAGTCATGAGGCTTTTTTCTATGGCTACTAATGGCGATCTAGTAACAATTACCAAAAATGCACAAAATTGGGCACTAGAACCAAAGAAACAAAATTTGAGTAATGGCTGCTGGTTTGATGATCTAAAAGAACTCTAATTTGGACTGGATAACAAACCATTTCTCTCAAATCCAATCAACAACAATACAGAATCTGGCTCATTGAGTAACTGACTAAATAATTTCTTTATAAAACAACATTGGTAATGTGACATAAAGAAAGCTGCCGAAAGTGCTTATTTGGCTTGCACCACCTGTCCTAAATTTAATCCAGGAACACATTAACACACCACTTGTGGATATTTTAAATTATGTATTGGGTTTTGGCAAATGGATATTATCCAACTCCCCACCCTTCTGTGTGTATATATATGTAATGGTTATGATGTGTATGTTTTCCCATTGCATGGAAGTCTTTCCTTATAGACAAGCTGCTGCTTCAACCATAGACAAAATTTTTCAAGAAAAATTATCCCCACTTGGGGAGCTCCCCTTGAACTTTGTAGTGACTGGGGAACTCACTTTACTGACTATATAATAAAACAGGTACATTCAGCTTGACCAATATTGTGGCATTTTCATTATATCTACAATCCCTAATCCTCTGACTGGGTAGAACAAACAAACAGAATTCTACTGCACTCCAGCCTGGGCAACAGAGTGAGACTCTGTCACACACACACACACACACACACACACACACACACACACACAAAGTTGGAAGAATGTATGGAAATTTTACACCCTCCCTGGCCTAAGGTTTTCCTTTGGTAATTGAGAGCTACTCCCTTTGGAACTCACAAGCTTTTGCCTACTAAAATAACCACAGGCCATCCTATGCACTTAGCTTCCTCTACTTTTGAATCCCAGTTGATAAAAGGAGATATACTAGAATACTGTAAAGACATTATTAAAACAAAGAATAAAAAATATACTTTTGTAGGAAAATCTTTCCATAGTGTTTTCTTTGGAGACAAAGACCTAAAGCAATAGGATTTACTGCCTGGTAACTTTGTCTACTGAAAAAAACACCTACATAAGGACTCTTTCCAGCCTCAATGGAAGGGCCCATATCAAGGCCTTCTCACCTATCCCTGTGCTATCAACCTCAAAGGTATTGACTCTTGTTTCCACATCTCTCACCTAAAAATGTTTCTACCCCTGACCCTGATTGGACCAGCATTCCAACAGGTGATTTAAAGCTAAAGCTCATCCAGAATTGAAGTGGATTGCATCTGAAGTAGACTGCTATCCCAAGATGTCTGAACCATGCCAGTACGTCCTTTTATTATTGGTCTCTTCTTAAGTGCTTTCATTTTCCTGGAGAGGCAATGCTCTAACTCATATTTCCCAATCTATTATCAAAGGGAGATATTTAACTGACTGTTGGATCTGTTACCAAAAACCCAGATCTGTCCATGATGCAAGTGAACCTCTAGTTCACCTGATAACATATTTGTCTAGTGTTCCCACTCCATCTGTTTGTTCAAATTGTACTTCATTTTTCTTTTGCAATGTCAAGCTTTCGAGCCTACATATTCAGATTCCCTGCTTTATGCCGAGTATCTAAAGCCTACAAAAAATTTAAAATGCATATTAAGATTATGTAAAGAAAAGTATAGTGATAAGATTCAAGATAAGATAAATTTCACAGATTTTAAAACATTTATAACCCTAGTTTTCTCATTAAAGACGGCTTTCAACAATGCCATAGTTCAATAATAGAACCTTGGATAAATATTACTGGCACCTTCCTATGAATGACTGTAAATGCAGCAGGTACTCCACATGTAATTACCTGTTGTTTCTCATCAGGATACATTTCAATCTGTGAGAGATTTAACAGTCAACCTTATTTATGGCCAACACCATGTCTCAACAAATGAAAAATAAAACACCAATATGTTTTATTCTGTTTCTGGATTCAAGTTAAACTAACAACATCGCGACACCGATTCACACCTCTTAACTTGCACCATCATATTTAAAGAGATACTCTACCAGGTGACACAAATTCAGCAGAATAGGCTTCAGATGTTAGATCCTGCTTTGTTTTTTTTTTTTTCTCTTGGATCAAAGGACTCACTTAGAAACAATGGTGAGAAATTTCTACTTTACAATTCGATCTATAACCAACTCCACAACTAATGCCATTGTGGCTCGAAAAACTTTGCTAGATTATCTTGTTTAAATGGTATTAGATAATAGGATTGCTCTAGGTTACTTCTTAGCTAAACAAAGGTGGCATTTGTGCAATTTCTAACACTACTTGCCACACATGAATCAATTCCTCTGGGGAAATATAAATACAATTATACAAAATAAGAGAGAAAGTCACCTGGCTCCAACAGGTTACGTCCAACACATCTAAACTTTTCAATCTGTTCAGTTGATTACCTTAAAACTGGGTTAATGGTTTAGAACTACTATACAAACTGGATTTATTGTATTTTTGTTGATTATTCATTGCATTGTGATATTTAAGCTCTGTTCTTTTTGACTGTCAAATCTCTGCAAGGATAACTCTCCCAACAGGAGAATGTTAGGTCAATGCTTCAAAATAATTGCCAATTTCTATGAGACTAATAATATGGAACTTAACACTGGACTTCAGGCAGATCTACCCTGAGAGGGTATTTTCTTCTAGCCTCTTTATTACTCAAATGTGGCCTGAGTCCCTGACATTGACTTCTCTTGTTTCTGTCTAACTTGGGAACTGACCAACAAGGATAAATCTCTCCCAGCACTAAGGGATAATGAAGCAAAATTTCAAGGGTAGTTGATCAGTGATGCTTTCAGGGAAAGATATTAATCAAAATGGGAAAAAGTAAAAGTTGATTTGGAGTCATTCCTGCCATTTCCAATTAAAATATAGTTGAGGGGTCATTGGGGAAAGAAAACACTTGGTCACTGTATTAATCTGTTCTCATGCTGCTAATAAACACATACTAGAGACTGGGTGATTTATTAAACTAAAGAGTTTTAATGGACTCACAGTTCTACATGGCTGGAGAGGCCTCACAATCATGGCAGAAGGCAAAAGAGAAGCAAGGGCACATCTTAAATGGTGGTAGACAAAAGCGAGCTTGTGCAGGGGAACTCCCATTTATAAAATCATCGGACCTCCTGAGACTTATTCACTACCATGAGAACAGTATGGGGGAAACAGCCCCCACGATTCAATTATCTTCACCTGGCCCTGCCCTCGACACAAGGGATATATTACAATTCATGGTGAGATTTGGGTGGGGACACAGTCAAACTATGTTAGTCACAAATGTCAGTTCCAGAAACTCTCACAAGCTCAATCCAATGAAATGGCTTGTTATGACCTTAAAACAAGTTTTACTTAGTAACTGCTGCCTCCTATCAATCAGAGCTGAACGACTCCCAGAGACACTGCCAATACCAATGAACTTTCTTTCAAAACAACTTTCAGTTTTGTATCCAATTTCAGTAAAACCCCATCCCTGTCCTTTGTTCTTTGAACACACTGGAACCACCTCCCCATGGTCTGTGTATGCATGTCCCAAATTGCAATCTTACTTTTATACATTGCTCCCAAATAAAAACCCTTTTGCTTGTATATTCTTCTCTGCATAATTTTATTTAAGATTGACAATGGATTCTAAGTGGTTTTCTACTAGCTCTTATACTATGATACCAGAGAAGCCCTTGGATAAGAAAGAAAAGAAGAAAGGTTCACAGTTGAACACAGTCAATCTGTACCTGTATGCATCTGGTGGAAGCCTGCATGGAACTGGATGCTATATTGGTGGCGGGAATAAGCAGTGAGGCCAAAAGCATTTGAAATGGTGCAAAAGAGATATCTAATACAATTATTAATTCAAGTTTTTTGCCCTTGTTACAACTCAGACTTACTCAATTTAAACAACCAATCTTATATCTTGTTTACATCTGATTGAAAAGAATGTGGTCTTCTTCACGCATCTAGTGTACAGCTTATCTAAGGATAGGGGATGGGAGGTAGAATGGAGGAGAAGGGTCAAGTCTTGAAATGTATGTTTAACTGATGCTATAGTGTTCTCTTTGCTGATCATTGATGCTTTTCTAGTTAATTCCCACTTGTCCTGGATGATCTTTGTGTGTTTAGCATCCAAATACTAATTCTGCAGTGAGATAACTGGTTGAGTGAAAAACTAAGAGACCTTACCCCCTGCCTGATGTGAGAGATATCTCTCCGGATAGACAACTTTCCCAGTGCTTCTGCATGACCTTCTGCCACACGTTGTACACCTCACAGACTTGCTGATCAAACCCAGCTACCTATCACATATTCTCTTTACCCACAGGAAACACATGTATCCTTAATAAACCTAGCTGATCCACACCCCTTCTTTTTGGCCCTGCCGTGTTTTCCAAATATCCTGTCCTCTGCTTAAGCATAGGGAAAGATCAATAACTCCATGCTTCAATGAAAGTCAACCTGAGAATCAAATGTGCTTAATCTTCCTAACAGTATTTCCCACCTTTCTGAGTGGCTCTATTGAAACTTTGTCTTTTTTTTTCTGGTGCATTGAGGAAAGGTTTAGGATGATTACTGATGACAAATGAGCTAGTTTAGCAGCTTGTCAGTAAGCTCTAGGGGCGTGTGTCCAGCCTCAATTATTGGTGACCCCCTTTAGAATGTGGAGATATCTTTTACATCTTTACTTCAGTTGTGGGCCCTACTTTCCAATTCCAGAGCGATAGGAAAGTCTCTTTTGATGCCTTGTCATACACACACACAAATACATACAAACACCGGCATGCACAAACACATTTTTAACTGGAAAGGGATTATACTATTAATGATGTTTTGTGATTGCTCAACAATATTAGAGTCATCATGTGTTTGCCATTATTTTTATTTAAAATAGCTGCATAATGTTTCTCTTTAATAATAGATAACATGACTGATTTAATAAATCTTATATTGACAGGTATTTAAGTTGTTTCTAAATTTTTACTTATTTAAACAGCGCCATAATGAAAATCTCTGTGCATGCCTAACTATACTCTCATCTTTTTACTTATATAGACTACATTTTTAAAGTATATTTGATAATTCCAATTAAATATTCTATAAAGGTCCTGCCAAATTGCCCATCAGAGAAATGATACCACTTTACAATGCAATAAACATTATATAGAAGTGTCTGTAACTTCTCACTCTATTTAACATTGAATTGTTTTCATCTTTTTCATTTTAAGTCACTTAATAGGTGAAAGATTGTCTTTTGTTACCTCATATACCTATTTGATATGTATCTGTTTTGGAATGATAATCAAGTTTAAATATAGTTAAAATGTATTTTTGAAATTTAAATGGTTTTATGCTAAGGATGTTAACCCTTTAGCAAATATGTTACTAATAAGTTTCAAGTTTGACAGTTTTTTCAAATCTTAGTGTTTTCCTGTATTGAAAGTTTAAAATTTCTTATATAATCAACCATATCAATCCTTTTCTTATGGATTCTAATTTCCATGAGCTCCATAAGAGTAAAATAAAAAATATCTTCTTCATTATACAATTTTAAAATATTCACCATTTTTTTAGAATTCACATTGCATTTATATCTTTCAAACATTTGAAAAATCTTTCAAAGTAAGAAATGACATTGTGAATTTAGCTTTATTTTTTCCAAATACATAGTAAATTGAGCCAACATTTTTTATTGAATAATGTATATTTTCCTAATGATCTGAAAAATGAATTATATACCAGCTCCCCAGGTGTAACAGTCTTTCCATGGACTCTCAATTCTGTTTCACTGAAATGTCAGTTCATTTCTGCACTAGCACCACACAATTTTACATATCATAGCATTACATTTTAACATCTGGTTTGTCAAGCTCCCCAACTAATTATTTTTAATTTTCTGGGTTCTATCAATACATATATATTGAGTAACTACTATGTGCAAGGAATTCTTATAGGGACTTGGTATACCTCTGTAAACAAAATTTCTGTCATTATGGTGCTTACATTCCAGTGAATATTTTAATTAATAAGCTCACGATTATTCCTGCATATAAATTTAAAAATAATATAATCAAGTTCTCCTCCTAAATCCTAGTTAGTAATTTTATAGAATAATTTGTGAAAAATCATATTATTGCATTATTTAATCTTTCTAAGTTCTAACTATTTATTGAAGTCTTTATTGTATTCTATAATCAGGCTTTAGATTATTATATGTAAATAGGTTCCTGGATAGTATATATGCTTTTGTTGTTATTACTAAAGTGAATACCATCTTATAAACTTTCTAATTGATTATTCTCAGTAAATTAGAGAGTTGCTTCATTGAAATTTTGATCTAGGTGTTTTATCAAACCATTGTATTACCCAAAGTTTTTCAGCTAGTTCCTTGAATCATTGAGATTTACATATATATGATTATATCATTTATAAGTCATAATTTTTCCTCTTTCTAATTTTATATCCTCTTATTAAAATGCACTGACTACCATTTAAAGATGATTGAAGAAAGCAAAACCTGTTTCACATAGACATTTGATAATAATAGACATTAGTAAGTGTTTTGAGGGAATATCCATTTTCCATTGTGAATATAACTAAACAACCATTATTTTTTAAAATTACACATTGCTGAATCTTGTCATGAGGCAACAAAAAGACAAACTATTTCATATTGAGGAACATTCTGTAAAATAAATGGCTTAGACCAAAAAATAAGGGGCAGTGTAACTGTCCTGGCTATAAAAGCAACATGATAACCAAATGCAGTGTGCAATTCTTATTTGGGTCCTGGTTTTAAAATACAGTTATAAAAGACATTATGTGGGTATTGGGAACACTTGAGTAAGGCGTGTATATTAGGTAATAGTATATACTGTATCAATGTTAAATTTCTTGGGAATAATAATTGTAGTGTAGTTATGTAGGAATATGCCTTTTTTCTTAGGAGAAATATACCAATGTGTTCAGGAGTAATGTGTCATAATGTGTGCAGCATTGGCATATTTTTTCCAGATTATAATTGAAATGCTTTCAATGTTTAAGTAAATATAATACTGGTTGTTTGAAATAAATAATTTTAATTTTAAGGAATAACATTTTATTCTTCTTATTTAGGATATGTGGGCATAATAAATTTTGAAAACAACAAATGCTGTTCTAGCAGTTACCAAAATAAGTACATGGCCTTTCTCCTTGAATTATATTAAATAATAAGAATAAATTTATTAATATTATCATATTTACTCAGTCATTGGATGGTATTCTTTAAATGTATCTCTACGTGCAATTTTTTCATATTTTAGTCAGAATTCTGGCCTTGTGCTATAGTGCTCCATTTGAGTGTTAGTTTTGTCAAGAACTTTGCTGGTTTTAAAAACCTTGAGGAACTTTCTTTTTTAAAAATATTTCCTGGAACAGTATAAATAATCTAGTGAGTATCAATTTCTTAAAAATTATATAAATATACCTGTCAGGTATTCTTATTCAGTATTGATTAATATATAGTTTGGTAAAACTTTTCTGAACAAGAATTTGGCAAGATATACAAAAATTTCAACTATATTAATTTATCTTTTATAAATTTACAAAACAATGTATCCACAAGAATGTTTGTCACATTTCAGTGATGTTTAAAATAATATGCATATCCATCAACATCAGTAAAGTGAAACAGAATCATCACTAGCCATAAGTGATACGCAATATTGGCATCCATGTGGGAGGAAGAAAGCAAATGGAAACAAGGGGGTGTCTGATGGGTTTGAGTATTTTTTTATTTGCCTTTTACTAGTTTTTGATACATTTCTAATACTGCAGTATAGTCAGAAATGTAAGCTATAATATTTTTATATCTTTCAATTTATTGAGGTTCTCTTTTTGGCCTAAGGTATTCTCAAGTTGTTTCAATTACCCAGAGAACCTTCATAATCACAAGGGACATTCTCTGAATTCAGGGACAGGTATTTGATAAGCACATGTTATCACTATCTTACTAATTATATTATTCAGTTCATATATATATATATATTTCCATATGTTTTGCTTAATTGTTCTGAAAAGCAGAGATGTACCATAAATCATTGTTTCTATCAAATTCTATTTGAGACTGGGCACGGTGGCTCACACTTGTAATCCCAGCACTTTGGGAGGCTGAGGTGTGAAAATTACCTGAGCCCAGGAGTTTGAGACCAGTCTAGGAAAAATGGTGAAACCCTGTTTCTACAAAAAATACAAAAATTAGCCAGGCATGGTGGCATACACCTGTAGTCCCAGTGTTGGAGAAACCAACCCCACACCACCCGGCGGGTACCCCAAGTCCAGCGGAGACAAAGGAGTTAGAAAGAAACAGAATAAGAGTTCAAAAGGCGGGTCCAGGGGACCGGAGTGTTGGAGGCTTGCTCAGGGCCCAGAGCTCTTGGGCTCCGCCTATTTATTGGTTTACAAGCTCTTTGTTCTTAGGGCAGATGGGAAGGGTAGGAAGGGATGAGGAAAAGGATTAATCAGTGAAGGAGAACTCGTGAGTCATTCAATAAGATGTATAGCAGTGGCGGTTTCTGTGAATTTCCTTGAGCAAAGGCCTGTGTCTAAATTACTTGAGATCTTTAACTTATAAGGACTGAAATGGGTGAGAGTGGGTTTCAGGAGGAGCTAAGATGTTTGATTATACTCCACTGCTTCAAGGGAGTGTTATCTCCCTGAGCAACCTGTGGAATGCACGGAGCGGTTATGCTCTCGGGGCATAAAGACATGAAGGCAATAAAGAGACTTTTCTCCTAAGAGGCCGCCCATGGCTCCCTGTGGGTGTCTCGCACAGGGAAGACCAACTCATCTGGCACCCTAGAAACTCTCTTTCCCACATCCCAACTACTGGGGAGGCTGAGGTTGGAGGACTGCTTGAGCCTCACAAGTGAGGCTGAAATGTGCCAAGATCATGTCACTGTACTCCAGCCTGAGGAACAGTGAGATTGCCTCAAAATTCTTTTAAAAAGATTTTGTAATTTCAGAAGATTTCAACATGTATTATCTTGTGTAATATTTCAAAATGTATTGTTATGTTATACAGTCCATAAATACACATGATATTTAAATAGTCACTGTAGTCGCAATAAAATGTATTGTTATGTTATACAGTCCATAAATACACATATTTAAATATGTCACTGTACATATTATTTTATGTAATATTTCAAAATGTATTGTTATGTTATACAGTCCATAAATACACATGATATTTAAATAGTCTACAGTGACTATCTAAAGTGAGCATTAGAGCTCATTTTGTCTCTAATGCTTTCAACTGACTTTTACTTTGTCATTAATATAGCTATACTGCTTTCATTTTGTGATTTGTTTCCATTTATTTGATGTAACTTGCCTAGTCTTTTACTTTCTACTTTTTCAGTTTGAGGTATATTATTTTTAGGTAAAATATAGTTAGAATTGTTTTTCACCCAATTGGTGATTTTTAGTTTTTAAAATTATTGAATAGGTTTGCCAATTTTTATTTAAAGTCTTAAGTTTGGTCTCACTTTTGTCATCCTCTTTTAAGCCCCATTTTCTATATTTATATAGTCCTTCATTTATTTTCTAACTTGTTCTGCATAATCTGTGCTTTCTTTTCCTTTTCTCTCTAGAAATTTAGAAAATGTATCCTCTCTTTTTAGTGCCACTAGTGGTTATTTTTGTAATTTAAAAAGAATGCATAGGGCTGTATTCATTTATTTGTCACTTTTAGAAATAAAATTATATACATTGAGTTTATCTGGAACATAAGAATATTAGTACTTTAAAATTTCTTCCCACCTTTTACCTTTTATCCCAGGATTTTAGATTTTGTACTTTTGTTCAAAACTAAAATTTAAATCTGGTAGGAACTGGTAGCCATAATAATTTAAGTTTATTAGACAAAATTCAATGTTATGCTAATTTGAATGCATATCATTCCTTTCATAACTCAACTTTTCTATTGACTGATTTATTGATTTTTATTCTATTTTTCAGTTGCATAGATTATAGATTATGTCTTTAAGTAAATTTATCACAAAAGGGACAGAATTGGGGTACTTTAGTTTTTGTACATGTAAGAATATATTAAATATTTATTCTGATGCCTTTACACATGTATGACAAATTAGATGAATATAAAATTTGGGGATCATACCCTTTTACCTAAAAGTAGATATCTCTTAGGTATCTATTTCCTTCTGGGAACTAATGTTGCTGAGGAAAAGTCTCATTAGAATGTTCTGTTTCATATGCCAGAAATTTTAAAGTTTTTATCTTTTCTTGAAATTTTATAATATATAATAAATTTCAGTATTGGTGTTTGTCCATTTTTATTACTATTTCTTTACTCATGAAAAGCCCATTTGAACTGCCAAATCACTTTTTTTTTTTTTGTTTTGAGAGAATGTACTTCCATTAAATTATTGAGAATTTTTTCCTGGTTATTTGTTCTGGTCCTATCTTCTTGCATATCAGTTGTTGATATGTCAAATCTCTATTATCTGTATTCTATAACTACATTTTCACTAATAACTTCCAATTGTTAATGTGTGCTACTTCATTCAGTATAAAGTTGTCAAGTGTATTACTGGTTTCATTTTACTTATTTTGTTTTTTATATTTATTTTTATTTAGGATTTTTGAATAAAAAATTATGCCTAAATTTTTTATTATATCCCAGATTACATTCTTTAAATCCTTATTTGAATATCATAGAAGCTTATGTTGACATTTTTAAATTACAAAGGATGAAACTTAATAAATTCATCAAGTAGTTGTTGAAAATGTATATTTTTTTCCATTTCTTTGATAGAGTAAACTCTATGATCATTCAGAGCATTATAATTGCTTTAGCTTTTCTAATGAATAAAGTCACTGTATATTACTACTTAACTCAGGTTCACTGATCTATTTTCTCTAGTTAATGTCTCAAAGATAGGATGACTGATTTTTTTTCATCTTAGCATTTTTGTTTATCAATTTAGTATGACTGTAAATGACAAGAAACAACTTTCATCAAGAAAAATGGGGCTATAATTCTATGGGTTTAGTTGTTATTTGAGAAATTAGAGGACACCTAGGTGATATAAACAATATAATTTAATCATTGATTTTTATTATAATTTTATACTGGTATAGGCTTTTACTTTGTGGTAACATTTAAATTTTTATGACATTTTGTTTGGTTTGTTGCTGAAGTAGAGGATATTTAAAATTCAATTCATGCTTTTATTTTGAAAGAATCTCTACTATTAATAGTATGTTTGAAACAATTATGCTACTCATATTGTGACAGTCCAGTTTCACTCTTGTGTATTCCTTCCATTTATTTGACTATGTAAATGTCTGATTCTAATAATATATATGCTATTTGACCATAGGGTTCTTTATTCCTTATTTCTACTGCCAAAGTTTACCCAGTGTATGACACACAGAAAGTAGACTACTAATATAGGTTAAATCAATGTTTATGTGTCAAGCTGTCATTGTCATACTTGCAAGACTTTCACTCAGACACAGTTTCCTGTTTTTGTACCTTTCTCTCACTCACATCTACCTGGGCAGATCATTGCCTTCCCTGTCACCAATGTGGTGGGTGAAAAACAGCAGCATCAACCCAGCAGCAACCAGAAACAGATGTGAAATATCAGGACAGTGCTAGATCACAGCTGGGGTGAAGGTACTACTAATAAACTGAGGTCAATCAGGCCTCTGAGCATTTCCTACACTCGGCCTTTGAGTTAGGTGGTAAAAAACGAAGAAGGCAGCTCTTGAATAAAACACTATCTGATGCTAAGATATAGTAGTGATTTTTTAGGAGCAGATGTTCACAAGGAAAGGTGCTGAGCCTGAATTTTAATATTTTTACCCGAAGGTTCACACGTGTCTCCCCAACACATACACACACCTACACACTCATCAGCGGGTGCCAGGAGTGAGTGAGGGAAGGCATGTACAGGCAGAGTACAGATGATTTGTAAGCCAGTAAAAATAGTCTGTATGATATTATAATGATACATACATGTCATTATACCTTTATTCAAACACATAGAATGTACAATAGCAAGATTAAGCTCTAATGAAAACTATGAATATTTGGTAATAATAATGTATCAATATAGGTTCTTATATTATAACAAATGGACCACTTCAGTAAATGAAGTTAATAGTGGAAGGCTGCGTAGGTGTGGGGGCTAACTTTGTACTTTCTGTCCAATTTTTTTTGTAACTCCAAAACTGATTTTTTAAAAAAAGTCTATTAAAGAAATCAGTGAAAAAAGAGCAAATTGTTTTCTATTGGTGAAATGGCCTCACTATATGTAGAAAAAGTAAAGTGGGTTTTTCTATATAAACAGTATTTTTAAAAACTGCTCCAATTGGTGGAATAAAGATGGAATGAGGTGGTCAAATAGAACCCACCAGCAATTGTCCCCACCACAGAAACATCAACTTGAACAACTATTTACACAAGAAATCACCTTCATAAGAAGCAAAAATGAGGTGAGTGCTCACGGTACCTAACTTTAACATCATAGCAAGAAAAGAGGTGCTGAAGAAGGTAGAAAAGACAGTCTTGAAGTGACAACATCACTCCTCTCCCTTCCTCTAGCAGGAGCTGCATGGCACAGAGAGAAAATCTGTGTGCTTGGGGGAGGGAGAACAAAATGAACAGATTGTGAGCATTTAGACCAGCCCTAGCTAGAAAAGAATCATCCATCCCAGTGGTCAGAACCTGAGTTCTGGCTAGCCCCTCCACTACAGACTAAAGTGCTCTGGGGTTCTAAATAAACTTAAAAAGTAGTCTATGCCACAAGGACTGCAATTCCTGGGCAAGTCCTGGTACTGTGGTGGGCTCAGAGCTAATTGACATGAGGTTTACATGACCTAGTGAGACACTAGCCTGAGTGGCCAAGGGAGTGCTTACATTACCATACCCACAACCCCAGCTTGCAATTTCTGGAGTGACTCCTTCCTTTTGCTTGAGGAGAGGAGAAGGGAGAGTAAAGGGGACTTTGTCTTGCAACTTAGATACCAGCTCATCCACAATAGAATAAGGCACTAAGCAGCATCCTGAGACCCACACTTCAGGCCTTATCTCCCAGATGACATTTCTAGGCACCTGCTAGACAAGAAGGGAACCTACTGCTTTAGAGGGAGGGACCCACTTCTGGCAGGATCCATCACCTGCTGACTAAAGTGCCCTTGGGCTTTGAATAAACATCAGTGGTAGTCAGGTAGGACCATGGGCCTTGGGTGAGCCCCAGGGCTGTGCTGACTTCTGGTATGACCCAGCATATTCCCAGTTGTGGTGGCTATGGAACAAGACTCCTTCTGCTTGAGTAAAGGAGAGGGAAGAGTAAAGGAGACTTTATCTTGCAGTTTAGGTACTAGCTCAGCCGTAGTAAAATAGAACACAAAGTGGGCTTCTGGGCTGCCTGATTTCAGGCCTTGGCTTCTAGAAAGCATTTCTGGACTCACCCTGATTAGAAGGGATCCCATTGCCCCGAAGGGAGAGACCCAGGCCTGGCAGCATTTGCTACAAGCTAACTGAAGGGTCCGTAGACCATGAGTGAACATCAGTGGTAGAAAAGCAGTACTTGCTGTGGGCCTGGGGCAGTACTGGTCATGGGGATAGTCTCCTTCTGCTTGAGGAAAAGAGGAAGAAGAGTGGAAAAGATTTTGTCTTGTGGTTTGGGTGCTAGGTCAGCCACAGAATAACAGAGCATGAAGAGTTTCCTAAGTTTCCTGGCTCTGGGCCTTGGCTACCAGATGGCATTTCTGGACTTATTCTTTGAGGGGTGGGGGCGGGGCAGGGCAGGCTGTGGCTAGCTTGCTACCCTGAAGAGAAGAACACAAGCATGGCTAGATTCATTACCTTCTGGCTGAAGAGCTATTGGGCCTTAAGTGAACATTTGTGGTAGTCAGACAGTGGTCACCATTGGCCTAGGGTTAGCCCCAGTGCTGTGCTGGCTTCAAGTCTGACCCAGTGCAGTCCTAGTGCTGGTGGCACAAGGGTGCTTGTGTCACCCCTCCCCATCTCCAGGAAGCTCAGCACAGAGAGAGACATTCTATTTGTTTGGGGGAAAGTAAGGGAAGAGAATAAGGGTCTCTGCCTAGTGATCGAGAGAATTCTCTCAGATCTTACCCAAGGTCATCAAGGCAGTACCTCTAGGAGTCTGCAAGAGTCAGCGATACTGGCTGTGAGTGCCTTCTAATGTAGATATGGCTGCAGACACTGAAGACTTAGATCACAACACTCAATTTCCTTTGAGTACCCGGAACACCTTCACAAGAAGGAAAGGTACAAATAAGCCCAGACTGTGAAAACTATAATAAATACCTAATTCTTCAGTGTCCGGATGTCAAGAAATATCTGCAAGCATCAAGACCGTCTAGGAAAACATGACCTCACCAAGCAAACTAAATAAGGCACCAGTGAGGAATCCTGGAGTGATAGAGATATGTGACCTTTCAGACAGAAAATTTAAAATAGCTGTTTTGAGGAAGCCTAATGAAATTCATTATAACAAAGAGAAGGAATTGAGAATACTATTATATACAATTTAACAAAGAGATTGAAATAATTTTTTTAAATTATTTTAAGCAGAAATTCTGGAGCTTGAAAATGCAATTGATATAGTGAAGAATGCATCAGAGTATCCCAACAGCAGAACTGATCGAGCAGAAAAAGAATGAGTGATCTTGAAGACATGCTACTTGAAAATATACAGTCAGAGGATACAAAAGAAAAATATAATAATGTACACCAACACGATCTAGAAAATAACCTCAAAAGGGCAAATCTAAGAGTTTTTGGATGTAAAGAGGAGATAGAGAGACAGAGATTGTGATAGAAAGTTATTCAAAGGGATCATAACAAAGAACATTCCAAATTTAGAGAAAGATACAAATATTCAAATACAAGAAGCTTATAGGCCACCAAGTGGATTTAACCTAAATAAGACTACCTTGAGACATCTGATAATCACACTATCAAGGTCAAGGATACAGAACGGATCCAGAAAGCAGAAACAGAAAAGAAACAGCAAAAACATACATAAAACAAAGATACAATACTTCCAGCAACTGACTTTCATTGAAAATCTTATAAGCCAGAGCAGAGTGATATGACATTTTTAAATGACTGAAGAAAAACAAATGCTTATCATAGAATAGTATATCCAGCAAAAATATACTTCAAACATGAGGAAATACAGACTTTCCCAGACCCACAAAAAATGCTGAGTGATTTCAATAATGGAAGACCTGTCCTACAAGAAATTCTAAAGGAAATTATTCAATCTGAAACAAAAGGACATTAACAAGCAAGTAAGAAATAATCTGAAGGTAAAAGACTCACTGATAATAGTAAGTACACAGACCAAAACAGAATATTTACCTCTGTAATTGCACTGTGTAAACTGCTCCTATCTTGAGGAGAAAGACTAAATGATGAATCTATCAAAAGTAATAACAATGACGTTCAAGACATAGTATAAACAGATATAAACATAAACAAAAAGTAAAAAAGCTGGGGGGATTAAGTTAATTGTAGAATTTGTATTAGTTTTCTCTTTTCTTGTTCATAAATTTGTTTTTGCAAGCCATGCTAAGTTGTCATAACTTTAAAATAATGGGTTATAAGAAGTTATTTGCAAGCCTCATGGCAATCTTAAGTCAAAAACCTACAAGGGATACACAAAAGATAAAAAGCAATAAATCAAAACATAAAACAAGAGGATCACATCAAGTTAAAAAGTTTCTGCACAGCAAAGGAAACAATAAACAAAGTTTAAACAGCTCATAGAATGGAAGAAAATATTTTCAAACTACCTACCTGACAAGGGATTAATAACTAGAATATGTAAGGAACTTGAACAACTCTACAGGAAAAAATCTAATCGTGATTAAAAATGGGCAAAATATTTGAATAGATGTTTTTCAAAATAAGACATAAAATGGCAAACATTAACATCATTGATCAACGGAGAAATGCAAATCAAAACTGCAATATCATCTCACCCCAGTCAAAATGGCTTATATTCAATAGAGAGGTAATAACAAATGCTGGTGAGGATGTGGAGAAAGGGGAAACCTGGTGGTTGGTACACTGTTGGTGGGAATGTGAATTAGTACAGCCACCATGTAGAACATTTCAGGTTCCTTATAAAACTAAAAATAGAACTGCCATATGATCTAGCAATCCCACTGCTAAGTATATACCCCAAAAAAGGAGATCAGCATATCAAAGAGATCTCTGTACTCCCATGTTTATTGTAGCACTATTCACAGTTAGTAGAATTTTGAATCAACCTGTTTATCAACAAATGAATGGATGACAAAAAGGTGGCACATATACAAAATGGAGTACTCTTCAGCCATAGAAAAAATAAGATTCTGTTATTTGCAACAACATTTATGAAAGTGGAAGCCAGACATTATGTTAAGTGAAATAAGTGAGGCATAGAAAGACAAACTTTTCATGCTCTCATTCATTTGTGGGAGATAAAACTTGAAACAATTGAACTCTTGGAGATAGTGGAATAATGGTTACCAGAGGCTGAGAAGTGGGAGGAAAGTGGGGTTGGTTAATAGGTATGAAAATATATTTAGATCGAATCAATAAGATCTAGCAGTTGATACCATAACAGGGTAACTGTAGTCAACAATACTTTACTGCATATTTTAAAGTAACTATAAGAGTATAATTGGAATGTTTGTAACACAAATAAATGATGAATGCTTGAGATGATAAATTCTCCACTTACTCTGATGCAATTATTATGCATTGAACATCTGCATCAAAATATCTCATGTACCACATAAATATATACACCTAATATGTGCTCATAACAATTAAAAATTATTTAAATTTAAAAATATATACCTCAAATGGAGATGGCACCAGAGCAAATATGGCAAAGGCTTATACAATAAATATCCACATTAGAATGTCTGAAGAATGGGCCCAGGAGTATACAGTTTGTAAAAGTACCTTAATTTGATTCTAACTGGCACCTCCAGCTAATAAAACCTGCTCAGATCACATCTTTGATACTTTAATACATAGCACAATAATTTGTTTTGTGACATGCTTTGGCATCATTTGACCAAAGTTCTATGGCCATATCGGCAATGACTTTAAAAATATATAACTGTTCATATAAGAAATTGATTATGTCAAAGTTTGCCAGACAACCTCAGATGAGAAAATAATAGGTATTTTGTATAAGAAATGTTTTTTGCCTTTCTTGCCATATGACATGCTTGCTCTCCCTTTGCCTTCTGCCATGATTATAAGCTCTTTAAGACCCCCACCAGAAGCAGACACCAGCACTATGCTTCTTGTGCAGTCTACAGAACTGTGTCAACACGATTGGATTAAGGAATACCTAGAGAAGTGGTAAAATGTTACTGCTGGGTGAGTTTGTGAGAGAGTTTCCAGACGAGACTGCCATAGCTGGGACTCTTCTTCTCCTTCCCTTGGACATCGGAACTCCAGGCTCTCTGGGCTTTCTACTCCAGAACGTAAACCAGGGGCCACCCAGTTTCCCAGGCCTTTGGTCTTGTACTGAGAATTACACCAACAGCTTTTCTGGTTCTGAGGTTTTCACATTTGGACAGAGTCACGCTATTAGCATCCCAGGGTCTCCAGCTTGCAAACAGCCTACTGTAGGACTTCTCAGCCTCCATAATTACATGAGTCAATTCTACTAATAAATCTCTCATCGGCTGGGTGCGGTAGCTCACGCCTGTAATCCCAGCACTTTGTGATGCTGAGGTGGGTGGATCACGAGGTCAGGAGATCGAGACCATCGTGGCTAACACGGTGAAACTCCGTCTCTACTAAAAAAAAAAAATACAAAAAATTAGCTGGGCATGGTGGTGGGCACCTGTAGTCCCAGCTACTCGGGAGGCTGAGGCAGGAGAATGGCATGAACCCGGGAGGCGGAGCTTGCAGTCAGCAGAGATGGCACCACTGTACCCCAGCCTGGGCAGCAGAGTGAGATTCCGTCTCAAAATAAATAAATAAATAAATAAATCTCTCATCTATCTATCTATCTAATCTATCTATCTATCTATCTATCTATCTATCTATCTATCTATCTATCATCTATCTATCCTATTGGTTCTGTCTTTCTGGAGAAGCCTTAACATAGACATCAAAAGCCTAGCTTACATCGCAGGCAGAATCTTTGGAATAAAAGGAAGTAAGGGGAGGGACTATGGTAATGTCTCTCCATGTTGTGGAAGACTGACCTTGGGAATAGAAGTAAAACTCCTTTGGAGGCACAAAAATCTTGTGGACCTTTTATCCAAAGAGTTTTAGAAATCAATTTGGCTACCTAAACAGAATGTATTATTATCTAGAGCAATTAAATGAAATGTCTACATGTCTGTCAAAAGAACACCCGAAATAAATTTGAGACCAATGAAAAAAAGAACTTTTTTGTTGAAATCCTAATAATATGAGGTTCATTTTTTAAGGATTAAAAGATATGTTACTATAAAAAGTCAGTGAAGACTAACAAATTAAGACATCACCATAAAAATAATAAGAAGTAACTACTATTGTTATTTCTATCACTTAAATAGTGTTTACTGTATATAGGCACCATTCGCAGTGTTATACATATATTAACTAATTTAGTCCTCATATTAACTTTATTAGGTAGGTGTTATTATTGTTTCTGTTTGGAAAATGAAGAAACAATTGTAGACAAAGATTAAGTAACTTGTCCAAAGTCACACAACCAATGGTGGTGTAGCTGGGATTCAAATCCAAATATTTCATCTCCAGAGTCTATACCCTTAGCCAGCACACTAAATATAAACTATGCCTAGTTTTTAAAAATATTGAAAAAAAATTACAGTAGAAACTGGACAAGAGTAAAGGAGAATATTGTATTTTAAGAGAACATGTAACTTAAAGAATACAAGGAGAAAAGTTGAAAAGAAAAATGAAAGGAACAGAAATTATAAAAGCATTTCAACACATATTTTGGAAGTACAGTCATGCATTGCTTAATGTCAGGGATATGTTCTGATAATTGTGCCTTTAGGCAATTTTGTCACTGTGTGAACACCATAGAGCATACTTACACAAGCCTTTATGATATAGCCTGCTACACATACAGGCTATAACGTATAGCTGTTGCACCTAGGCTACAAACCTGTGCAGCATGTTCCAGTATTGAGTATTGTAGGTAATTGTAACACAATGGTAAATATTTATATATCTAAACATACCTAAACACAGAAAAGTTACAGTAAAAATACAGTATTATAATCTTATTGGACCACTGTTTATATATGTGGTCCCTTGTTACCTGAAATAATGTAATGTGGGGTGACTATATTATGTATGAACCTGCAAGTGTTCTAACTGCAAAGGATAATTCAGTGAAAAATAGACAAGGAAAGCATGGAGGTACCAGAAATTATGGAATAGAGCTGGATTTTCTGATTGTGTCGATTTTTCTTTGGATTATAAAAGATTATTCTTTCACTTCAAAGCACTTCACCCTTCAGCACCTAAGAGTGTAGCCCTTTAATACGAATCTACGCCACCTTGAATAAGAATATTTTTCAGACTATCTGTAGAAAGAGGGCATGGCTCTGAATTCAGCAACTATGCACAGCTGAACTGAAGGAATGTTTAGTAGCTCTACCTCAGAATTCATTCTCATTACTGGCAAATATCTTTTCATGCTTGTTGTGTTTCTCTAACTAGATAGAGTTGCTCACTAATACTGATGACTTTGTTTTCTACTTATTTTCTTATCTATTTCCAATAACTGATTCTAGAATTCAGATTATTTTATACATCTAAAGGAATAGTGTCATAAAAGATTCAAGTAATCTTTGCATATTTTATTTCTCCCAGTTACTAAGTGATATATGGTATGACTTTTAAAATAAAAAACATATTAGTGATAACAGCTTACTATTGTTTACAACTAACCCTAAATGGTTAAGGAAAACATGTGGCATATTTAGCAAGAAGCTAGCATATACTGCCTGTTTCTGAGAGGAGCAGCTGCACGAAATGTTGATGCAATTCTCAGTATTGCAATGTAGGTAAATATCAGAGTACATTTCTGTACAAATCTAATTAATCCTAGATTTGTTTTTTAAATTGAGAAAATAAATTGAAACCCCAAGTCAAAAAATGTATTCAACCAAAAGACAATAAAATTCATGTAGTATAGTAACTTTAATTGTTCATGGGAGTTCAGTTCAGACCCAATTTAATCTTTGAAACCTTAAGGATCGACCCTTATTTTTAATAGAAAAATTATATCTCTCTAATGAAAGGTGAAAATTGTGATTTGTGTAATTTATTTATTATGCTATGGCATAACTTTGCATTAGCAATTGCTATTATATAATTATGCAATTTATGATTTTAAAAATAATTGATACATGTGTTTTTTCACTTACAGAGACCCTCTTCTGATGAATGAGAGGGAGGCAGTCTTTCATTTACGTGCAACAAAAAAGGAATAGATATAGCCCATAGAAAAAACAAAAAACTTCACAACCTAATCAATTTCCTTTATCTTGAGTCACAGTTTCTTCTTGTTTAATTAATTACACTTTTGTTAGAGACAATGATGCACGTGAATTATCATGTTTCCTCCATACAATTCCTCTTCTGTGTGTGTGGGGTGTGTGTGTGTGTGTGTGTGTGTGTAAAATTTCCTTCATCTGTCTGATTTCTGAATTTCTATAGTTCTTTCCACTTATTTGAACAAATGTGGCAATTATTACATTTTAATAAGGATTAATTATGAGTCTAATATTTTCATACCCACTTTTCCTGCCATAAAATGCTCGTGCAAACCCCAGGATTTTCAACTTCCCAAGGGAAATAGCCTTTATTTTATTTTATTATTAAACCTTAAGTAAATTGTAGAAATTGAATTTAGCAAACAAGTACAATTCATGCAAACATTCCAAAATGTTTGTTTTTGTCTTTGTAACATACGACTATTTCAAACCCACTATCCAAACTGATTGTGGAAAAGAGCCAGCTACAGAGAAGTTTTACAGACATTGGGTCAAAGAAACAACCTTCCTTATTTTCATGTAACAGAGAATGAGGTCTATATTGCAAAATACATGTGTCTTACTTATAATTCATGTGATAAGTGGTATCAAGAAAGCTAGAGTTGTTTAATTTAATAGCATATAACTGTACATTAAACAGACATAGGTGAAATTATAGGTTTATCTACTAGTTGTCTTTCTCTCTCAGTTCTACAGAAATACAGCCTTTGGTTACATTTTATCACTGTGGGCTGTTTATCTCCTGTTCTGTTATAAAATAGACTTCTGTGTATGGGTTCCCATCATGCTACATTCAAACAGCCCATGGGATACTTTAGGGAGAATGGTGATAAGCTATTCTATTGACAGAGTGGTTGAGGCCTTCCATTGAGTTATTACGGATCTGTGTTACATTCATGTTGGCATGAGCCTGAGGAAGAAAATTCTGAATAATGTGAAAAGTCAGCACCTGGGAGGGATGCTCGGGGTTCTAAGAGAAACAAATATAGTGTCTGACATCCTTATCCAAACTAGAGCATTAGTAGGTAGGATCTAAAATGAATGAAGGTGTGTATTTCAATGGTCTTTGAGAGTGTGGTCTACATAATTCAATGTGTGATTGTATTGGTCTGTTCTCACAGTGTTATAAAAAATACCTGATACTGTATAATTTATAATGAAAAGACATTTAATTGGCTCATGGTTCTGCAAGCTGTATAGGAACCATGATGCTGGCATCTCCTCAGCTTCTAGGGAAGCCTCAGGTAACTTACAATCATGGTGGAAAGCAGAGGGGGAGTGAACATTTCACATAGCCAGTGCAGGAGGAAGACAATGAGCAGGGAGGTGCTACACACTTTTAAACAGCTAGATCTCACAAGAACTCACTATCCTGACAACAATACCAAGGGAGATTGTGTTAAACCATTCATGAGAAACCACTCCCATGATCAAATCACCAGGCTCCACCTCCAACATTGGGGATTACAATTTGACATTAGAGTGGAGACACAGATCCAAACCACATCAGTGACTGAATGACGTGATATCAAAATAAAGACTATCCTACCCACATCATTGATTAACAAAACCAAGGACTTATTCATGAACAGAGAGGCATAGGATTACTAACTACAAGTTTTGCTAGTGCTCAGAATATAATTTTATTGGAATAATTTAAAAGAAAGCCTTAGATATAGATATCTCGAATATTATGTTTATAGACTCTCCACAATCTCTGAGAATGCTGGCATGCAAATCTTCACCCTTTAATATCAAATTTTCACATTCATGGCTATTGAGGATGAATATGTATTGGGGTATTTTGTTTATTTTTTTATTTTTATTTTTTATGTTTGCCTCGCAATAATAACTTTTATTTCACTCAAATTAGAGCAATAATCTTTCATACATAAGCATCTTCCCTGCCCAATAATTCAAAGAAAAAAAATCCAAAATGATTAGTAAAAAAAATATAAGAATTAACAGACCCTTTAAATTTGTTTTAAATATTTTGAAGATTTAAAAAGTGTTTAAAGTTTGTAATTCCTAGTAGGAAAACATTATCTGAATGAATACCCTAATGGCAAACCACTGTAAAATGCTTCAGCTGCATTTGGGGGAGAGGGGTAGGGATTATCTTCAAAGCACCCCAGCTCTCTTGATGAGAAGGACAGCGGTACATTGGTTTGTATTATTGCGACATCCATAAGGTGATCTAGGTTGCTTTTCCTTCAGCAAGGGCATTATTTATCAGAAGGGCATTACGCTTGACCTCCAAATTTGGCTGACAATTTACTGATGAGATTCATAACCTTTGGGTTGCTCTGGTATTTTGACATATTTGCTGGGTTCTGAGCCACATCCTGGAAGGCCACCATAACTTCTGGATCCTGCATGGCTGCAAGAACCTCTGGATCACTAAGAATTTCATTGAGTCCAGGCATTCCGGCCATTCCAGGCATGCCCCCTCCCATTCCAGGCATTCCTCCAGGAAAATTACCAGGCATTCCCCCAGGAAAGCCACCTGGAAAACAGCCATACTGAGCTCCTGACTGTCGTCTGGCTTCTTCCTCCCTCTGGGCTCTCTCATGCTCTTCTCGAGCCTTCTTAACTCATTCTATTCTTTCTTTGATCTCTCGCTCTTCACTTTTTCACCCATACTTTCTCCGATGTTCTGCAATTTTCTGTGCCCTAGGTTGAACTTCTTTCAGCATTGCACTAGCATCTTCATCATAATCCAATTTACAGGCAAGGGCAAGATCATGGGTTGCTTCTTCCCAGTGGCCTAGAAGTCTGTGTGCTTTCCCCCGCCATTTCTAAGGCTGAGCTGAATCAGGATTTATTTCAATGGCTCTGTCACAGTCTCGGATGGCAGTATTTGGCTTCTGTAATTTGACGAAGACACTGGCCCTCTTGGCATACAAAAGGGCCAAGTGAGGATTCAGCTTGATGGCATCTGTGAATAAGTCAATGGCTTTCTGGAGTTCACCATCATTTAGGGCTTCGATAGCAGCCAGTTTTTTATTGTTTGCCTTATCCATCATCTCCTCCATTATCTCCGCATTTTCGTCTCCCATTTCTTGAGGAGCATGAGTGTCTGGTTCAATCGCACCTTCTTTATCAATTTCTAGATCACTTTCCTCACTTGACGGTTTGTCTGCCTTTAAGTCTTCCTCCACCTTCTTACTATCAGGTTTTTCTTCCTTGTTATTTTCTTCTGATTTAGCTCGGATCCTGCTTACACATTTTCACAAAGGCCCAAAGCTCATTCACTTTGCGGGGGTCCATGGTAGTGAGGTGGTGGGCGAAGCTTGGGGGCTGTGGCCTGGTTCCAGGCCCAGGTGCTGGCTCGGTGTGACCACGCAGAAGGGCTTATTTAATGTTAGATAGCTCATAAGGCGCATAGGAAACCTGAGGGAATAAATTTATAAGTGTCTTAGTTAATTTTCTGTACTTATAACAAAACACCTGAAAGTGGGTATTTATAATGAAAGGAATTTATTTCTTACTGTTATCAAGGCTGAGGAACCACATCTAATGAGAGCCTTTTTGCTGGTGGAGACAGTCTTGTGGTGTCTTGAAGCGGTGCAGTGTAACACATGGCAGAGGAGCAGAGCATGCTTGCGTGCTAACTGAGGTCTTTCTTTTTGTATGAAGCCACCAGTTCTCCTCCCATGATAACCCATTAAGCCATTAACCCACTAATCCATTAATCCATAAATGGATTAACCCATTCATGAGGGCAGAGTCCTCATGATCCAATAACCTCTTAAAGGCCCCATATTTCATTGCCGCCACGTTGAAGATTAAGTGAATTTCGGAGAGGACAATTATTCAAACCTTAGCAAAAGCTAAGACAAGAGTTACAATCAACAGATTTTTGCCAAGGAGGAATAAGTTTGTTTACGTCTGTAGAATAAAAATATGCACGTTGGGATTAGACAAACTCTTCGGAAGCATTGTCTGCATCCTGCTGGTTGTGGAAGCGTTTTCCCTGCAAAAAGTTGTTGAGATGCTTGAAGAAGTGGTAGTCAGTTGGCAAGAGGTCAGATGAATATGGTGGACGAAACAAAACTTCGCAGCACAGTTCATTCAACTTTTGAAGCAGTGGTTGTGTGACGTGTGGTTGGCAATTGTCCTGGAGAAGAATTGAACACTTTCTGTTGACCAATGACAGCTGCAACCATTGCAGTTTTTGGTGTATCTCATCAATTTGCTGAGCATACTTCTCAGACGTAATGGTCTTGCTGGGATTCAGAAAGCTATAGTGGATCAGACTGGCAGTAGGCCACCAAACAGTGACCATGGCCATTTTTTTTGGTGCAAGTTTGGCTTTGGGAGCTGCTTTGGAGCTTCTTCTCAGTCCAACCACTGAGCTGGTCATCATCGGTTGTCTTATAAAATCCACTTTTCATTGCACATCACAATCTGGTAGAGAAATGATTCATTGTTATTGCCTAGAATAAAAGAAGACGACACTTCAAAATAATAATTTTTAAAAAATCATTTTAATCATTAAATTAAATTAAATTAAATTAAGTCATTAAACCATTTAAATTTCACTCAGCTCATGAGGCACACACTTATCGAGCCTTTTCACCTTTCCAATTTGCTTCAAATGCTGAATGATAGTAGAATGGTTAACATTGAGTTTTCCAGCAACTTTTCATGTAGTTGTAAGAGGATCAACTTCGATTATTGCTCTCAGTTGGCCGTTGTCAACTTCCAATGGCTGGCCACTATGCTCCTCATCTCCAAGGCTCCCATCTTCTTTGCAAAACTTCCTGGACCACTACTCCACTGTACGTTCATTAGCAGTTCCTGGGCCAAATGCGTTGTTGATGTTGCGATTTGTCTCCACTGCCTTACAACCCATTTTGAACTCGAATAAGAAATTGAATAAGAAAATTGCTCGTATTTGCTTTTTGTCTAACATCATTTCCATAGTCTAAAATAAAATAAACAGCAAGTAATGTCATTAGCAAAAATAATTATAATAATAAAGCGAGTAATGTGCATTAAAATGGTGTATAACATAACCACATTTATTTAAGAATGTGTTCCAATATCAAACGGCAAATTTCAACATTGCAAAAATTGCAATTACTTTTGCACTCATGTGTTGGGGGTGCAGTGATAAACTATTCAATTGCCAGGACACAGTTCCTAAGTTTAATGAACCCCAACATTTTCTTCCATTCTTGTTTCACTCGTCTCATGATCCAAATGTCAGAGAAAGAGACTCCAAATGACTGAGCTTATCTCACTTGTCCACTCTATTTCTATTTTCATTACAATGCAATAAGAACAAAGTTTGGAAAAAGGATTATTTCTTTTTAATTTCCCAATACTAAGTTTCTATAATTCAGTAAAAGTAAATTAAGTCAGGAAAAATCTAAACACAAAAAAATCAAAATCACCAGAATTCTCTTACATTTTTATGCTGATATCATACACTATCCCTCCAGCAATTTATATCAGATCACTTGATGTGATTTCCCTATTTAGAATCAATACTCTGGAGGAACCAGATTGTAGCAGCATCTCTAAAGTCATCAGAGGTGTCTCAGAGGCCTGAAGAAAAGGAAAAGAACTAGTGCTTGGACTACAGATGCCTCACTCCACTTCAACCAAAGCCTCATCTCTTTCATTGGTTTATTTTAGCAGAGTTCTATTACCAAAAGTGTGTTTGAAAACCACTGATCAAAGGCCCCATATAAATAGTTAATATTATAACTAAATTCCCTTAAATCTGTGTAGTGCTGTCTGATTTCTTATGGAAAATCGGAACTAAAAATTTGGAAAATTTGGCAGCCATCACGTTTGTTATGTGGTAAACCTCTTTGAATTCCCACTTTTTTTTTTTTCTAGCTATCCTTAACACCAGAAACTATATGCCCATTTACATCAATTCTCATTACCCACTTCTCTTCCATTCCTTCTCAGGGATCTAATAAAGAAAAATGGGGCTGTTTATGTCTTTAACAGGTAACTAATTGGAAAAATCTTCTAAAAATTAACACTATAAATTTAAAGGTGAACTAAGACAAAAGTAAACCAATGCCTTGTACAGTAAATAAACTTATTTGATCTTCCCCAGACTTTAAAAAATTTGATGAAAAATTGCACATATCATATCATCTCCATCATAAATAACAATTCTGGGAAATCCACAGACATTTAAAAATTCTTGTACTACTTACTTTTATGACTAATGTTTTGATCATCCTGTCTGCCTGCTTTGATTGCTTTTTTCAAACCAAAATATATTTTTTCCAAGAAAGAAATTTTCTCAAAAAAAGAAAGCTACACAATAATTCTGAAAATGTTCCATATTATTTTGATATGTTACCTGACTTTCCAATTTAACTATTTACTATTGTTTCTGATAGAGTGATACAGTTAACCAAGAAACTGTTTTGAAATTTAGAAAAATAAATGTAGTAACCTGACATACACTAACATATAGTTTAAAGAGTTGGCATTATAGGAAGTGCATTGGTGAAGATGAAGCCTATTCTAAATGGTCCGAACTTGAGAGACAATACTAGAAATCTCCTTTTCTTGTTGGGATCATTAATCTTCTTTTAGCATTAAGGGCTACGTAGTAATGAAATAATTGTTAACAAAGCAAATAAGCAGAATAGTTATTCTCAACACTGAGTTAGGCTTCCCACCAATTAAAAAAAAAGCAATATCAAGAAGTAAA
Organism: Homo sapiens; assembly: GCF_000001405.40. Taxonomy (NCBI): domain Eukaryota; kingdom Metazoa; phylum Chordata; class Mammalia; order Primates; family Hominidae; genus Homo; species Homo sapiens. The sequence goes on from NC_000023.11 coordinate 93,292,181, forward strand.
TGAAGGAGGGTAGAGCATAATGTTGGAATAGGAGCTTTCATCATTCTTCCCCCATGCAGGAATACCACATTTTAAAAACTATCTGCACACAGAAAAGCACTGTCACAAGAACCAAAATTCATGTGAGCAATCACAGTATCTGGTTGTAACTTCATATCACAGAGAAAAGGCACTGAAGAGGGTAGGAAAGAAAGTCTTGAATCACTGACACTACCCCTGCTCCATCCCCGGCAGAGGCCATCCAGCCATCCAACACAGAGAGACTGTGCACTTGAAAGAGGGAGAATGCAGTGACTGGGGGACTTTACATTGAACTCAGTGCTACCCTATGATAGCATAGAGAAAAGTTGTGCTGGGCTCAGCCAGCACCTGAGCATAGAGGGAGCATCTGGACCTGACCTAGCCAGAAGGGTATCACCCATGCCAGTGGTCAAAACTTGAATTTGTTGACAAGCCTTAACACTGCAGGCCAAAGTACTCTGGGGTCCTAGGTAAACTTGAGAGACAGTCTAGGACACAAGGGCTACAATTCCTAAGCAACTTTTTGTGCTGGTCTAGGCTCAGAGCCAGAGGACTAGAGTGGCATGTGACCTAGGGAGACACCAGCTGGCACGATTAAGGGAGGGCTTTGCCACCTGTCCTCCAGCCCCAGGCAGTGCAGCTCACAGCAACAAAATAACTTCTTTCTTCTGCTTAAGGAGAAAAGAGCAAAGATTAAAGAGGACTTTGTCTTGCAACTTAGATAGCAGCTCAGCTTCAGTAGAACAGGGCACCAGAGCCATGAGGTCCTATAGTCCAGACAATATTTTCAGACAAAGGCTGGGCCAAAAGGAAACTCACTGCCCTGAAAGGAAGGATATAGTCCTGGCAGGATTCATTACCTGATGACTAAAGAGCCCTTGGGCCCTGAATAACCAGTAGTAATTTCAAGGTAGTATGCTGTGGACCTTGGGCTCTGAGATGTGTCGACTATAGGTTTGACTCAGCACATCCCCAGCTGTGTTGGATATGGTGAATGAAAGACTCCTTCTCTTTTAGAAAAGCATAGGAAAAAGTAAAGGCAACTCTGTTTTGCACCTTAGGTACCAGCTCAGCCACAGTGGCCAGAGTAACAGGCAGACACTTGGGGTCTCTGAGTGCAGGCCTAGGCTCTTGGGCAGCATTTCTGGACCTGCCCTGGGCCAGAGGGGAGACCACTAACCTGAAAGGTGAGTCCCAGGCCTGGCAGCATTCCTCACAAACTAAATGAAGAGCTATTATAAATAAACTCCATTTGTTTTGGGGAAGACAAGAAGAAAAACAAACAAACAGACAAGATTCTCTGCATTGTAATCTAGAGAATTCTTCCAGATGTTATCTAAGACCATGAAGACAGTACCTCTACAGGTCTGCAAAAACCACAGTGATATTAGACATCCATGTCCCTGCAGAGGACATGAATACTATGGCTGCATAGTATTCCATGTTGTATATGTGCCACATTTTCTTTATCCAGTCTATCATTGATGGGCATTTGTGTTGGTTCCAAGTCTTTGTAGCAAACATTTAAAACTTGTAACTAATATTAACCAAAATAGTTTGACTATGATGGAGCTCACATTTTAGTAATAATAAATATTTATTATTTATAATAAAGATAAGAGGTAAAGATAAAGTGATATGGTTGAGATAAAATATAATTTTATATAACACAATAAAATACAATATAATACATAACACCAGGCAGTGACACGTGCTACATGGAAAAACAAAGTGGGGAAAGGGGCTAGTAAAGTGGGAACTATTTTATATAGGGTGGTGACGAAAGGCCTCTCTGAGAAAGTGACATGTAAGCAGAGATTTGAATGAAATGAAGAAGCTTTGATGGTGAAAAATATTACAGGCAAAGGTAATAGCAACAGAAAGTTTCTTTGTTGGAAAAGAATTTGATGTTGTTAAGGGACTATAAGAAGGCCAGCATGAACAGCGTAAGAGGAAAGTGATAGTAGATAAGATGACATACTCGAGACAGATCATGTAGGACCTTGTGGCTCCTGATATGGGGTGTGGATTTTCCTTAGAGTGAGTGGATAGCCATTCGATAATTCAAGAGACGTAATTTGACCATTTTGTGAGAATCGTTTTTATTATTGTGTGAAAAAAACAGTGTTAGTGTGGAGGAGGGGGAGAGAGGAAGAGCAAGATGGCAGAATAGAAGGCTCCATTGATCAGCCCTTCCAGCAAAGACATGGATTTAACAACTACCTACACAAAAAAAGTACTTTTAGAAGAACCAAAAATCAGGTGAGCACTCACAGTACCTGGTTTTAACTTCGTATTATTGAAACAGGAACTGAAGAGGTAGAAAAAAAGTATTTAATTGCTAGAGACACCTCTCCCCCTTGCCCCTGTAGCAGCTGCATGGTACAGAGAACTTCTCTGGGCACTGAGGGAGAGAGAACACAGCAATTATGAGGCATTGAACTCAGTGCTGTCTTGTTAGAGCAGATAGGAAAACTAGACCAAACTCAGCCGATGCCCACCCACAGACAATGCATTTAAACCAGCTCTAGCCAGAAGCGAATCACCCATCCCGGCAGTTGGAACTTGAGTTCTTGCAAAGCACACCACCGTGGGCTGAAGTTCTCTGAGTCTGTTAGTATACTTGAAAAGCAGTCTAAGACACAAGGACTGCAAATCTTAAATGAGTCCTAGGGTTGAACTAGTCCCAGAGACAGAGGACTGGGGAGCCATGTGACCTACTGAGACACCACCTAGGGCAATTAAGGGAGTACTGGCATCACCTCTCAACCAGGCTGCACAGCACGCATCTCCAAAAGAGACCCTTTCCCTCCCGTTAAAGAGAGGAGAGGGAAAAGTGGAGTGGACGATGTCTTGCACCCTGGATAACAGCTCAGCCACACCAGGCTACAGTACCTGTCAGAGTTGTGAGGTACCTGTTTAAGACTAGTTCCCAGATCACAGATCACATAGACACACTCTGGGCCAGAACACAACACATTGTCTTAAAGGAAAGAACCCAGTCCTGACAGCATTGTAAGTCTCCTCTGTCTTTGGAAAGGGAAGGGAACAGTAGAAAAGACTGCATCTTGTGGTTTGAGTGACAGCTTAGCCACAATACAATAGAACACCAGATAGACTTCTAAGGTCTTTGACTAGTTTCTAACTCTAGGATAAAACCTCTGGACCCACCTGGGGCCTGAAACAACTTGCCAACCTGAAGGGAAAGATACACGCCAGGTTGGTTTTGCCACCTGCTTATTGTAGAGCCCCAGGGCCTTAAGTGAACACAGACAGTAGCCAGGGAGTAGTTATAGCAAGGCTTTTGTGAGATCCAGTACTGTGCTGGCTTCAAATCTGACCCAGTGCAGTCACTGAGGTGGTGGCCACAGGGAACTTGTCCTAGATCATCAGGCAGTACCTCTATGAGTCTGCAACAGCCACAACATTACTGGGCTTTGGCTGTCCCCTAAAGTAGGTACAACTTGGACCACAGCACCAAAGGCTTTTCAAATGTCTGAAAAGTCTTCACAGGAAGAATGGGGAAAGACTATACCAGACAGTGATTACTACAATAAATATCTAACTATTCAATGCCCAGATACAGAAGAACATCTAGAAGTATCAAGATAATTCAGGAAAACATGACCTCACCAAATGAACTAAATAAGGCTCCAGAAATCAATCCTAGAGAAAGATAGATATATGACATTTGAGACAGAAAATTCAAAATGCCTGAGTTGAGGATACTAAAAACAGCTCAAGATAACACAGAAAAGATATTCTGAATTACATCAGATACCTTTAGCAAAGAGATTTACATAATTCTAAAATTACAGCAGAAATTCTGAAGCTAAAAAATTTAATTGGCATACTAAAGAATGTGTGAGTCTTTCAATAGCAGAATGGATCAAGCAGAAGAAAGAATTAGTCAGCTTGAAGACAGGGTATTTGAAAATATATAGACAGAGGAGAAAAAAATACAATAAAAAAATGCATACAGGATCTAGAAAATAGCCTCAAAAGGGCAAAGCTAGGAGTTATTGGCCCTAAAGATGATGTAGAGAAAGAGATAGGGAAAGAAAGTTTATTCAAAGTGAGAATAACAGAAAACTTTGCAAACTTAGAGAAAAATATCAAGTCTAAGTACAAGAAGGTTATAGAACACCAAGCAGATTTAACACAAAGAAGACTACCTCAAGGCATTTAAAAATAAAACTTTCAAAGATCAAAGTTCAAGAAAGGATCCTAAAAGTTGTAAGAGAAAATAAACAACACACACAAGGGAGCTTCAATACATCTGGCAGCAGACTTTTTAGTAGAAATCTTACAGGACAGGAGAGAGTGGCACGACATATTCAGTGTGCTGAAAGAAAAATCTTTTAACCTAGAATAATATATCTGGCAAAAATATCCTCCAAATGTGTAGGAGAAATAAAGACATTCACAGACAAAAGCTGAGAGCTTTTATAAACACCAGACCTGTCCTACAAGAATAATTTTGAAAACTATACAAATACATGCAAATTAAACTATATGTTCTTGAATGACCAGTGGGTCAATAAAGAAATTAAGAAAGAAATTGAAGAATTTTTTGAAACAAATAATAATGGACACACATCATACAAAAACCTATAGGATAGAGCAAAAACAGTATTAAGAGGGAATTTTATAGCTATAAATGCCTAAATCAAAAAAGATGGAAAACTTCAAATAAACAACATAACAATGCACCTCAAAGAACTAGAGAAGCCACAACAAACCAAACCAAAAATCAGTTGAATAAATAAATAATAAAGATCAGAGCAGATATAAATGACATTGAAATGAAGAATACAAAATATCAATGGAACAAAATGTTAGTTTCTTGCGAAGTTAAACAAAATGAACAAACATTTAACAAAACAAAGAAAATAAGAGAGATAATCCATATAAATAAAATCCAAAATAAAAAAAGGGAGACATTACAACTGATACTGCAAAAAATGAAAGTATCATTAGTGGCTACTTTGAATAACTGTATGTTAATAAATTTGAAAAGATAGAAGAAATGGACAAGTTACTAGATACATACAACCTACCAAGATTGAACAGGGAAGAAAACCAAAATATGAACAGACCAACAAGAAGTAACAAGTTCAAAGCCATAACAAAAATTTTCCAAGTAAAGGAAAGCATGGGTCCCAATGGCTTCACTGCTGGATTCTGCCAAATATTTAAAGAAGAGCTAATCTAATTTTCCTTCAACTTTTAGAGGAGGGGGGAATACTTCCAAACTTATTCTGTGAGGCAAGTATTACCCTGATACCAAAACAAACCTTAGCAAAAGAAAACTACAGACCAATATCTATGATGAATATTGACAAAAATCCCTAACAAAATACAAGCAAAGCAAATTGAACAATACATTAGAAAGATCATTCATTGTGACCAAATTGGATTTATTCCTGGGATACAAGGTTAGTTCTACATATGCTAATCAATCAATGTGGTACATCATTTTAACATAATAAAGGATGAAAACGATATTATTTCAATTAATGCTGAAAATGCATTTAATAAAATTGAATGTGACTTCATTATAAAAATCCTCATTAAAATGGAAATAGAAGGAACATCTCAACAAAATAAAAGCCATATACAACAGACCCACAGCTAGTATTATACTGAATGAGAAAAACCTGAAAGCCTTTCTCTAAGATTTAGAACATGACAAGGATGCCCACCTTCACACCTGTTATTCAACTAGTACTGTAAGTACTAGCTAGAATAATGACAAAAGAGAAAGAAATGGCATCCAAATTTGAATGGAAGAAGTAAAATTATCCTTGTTTGCAGATGATATGATGTTATATTTGGACAAACCTAAAGACTCTACCAAAAAACTGTTAGAATTGATACACAAATTCAGTAAAGTTGCAGATACAAGATCAATGTACAAAAATTCATAGCATTTCTATATGCCAACAGTGAACAATCGAAAAAAGAAATTTTAAAAGTAATCAAATTTATAATAACCAAAAATAACATTAAATATCTAGAAATTACCTTAATCAAATATGTAAAAGGTCTCTATAATACAAAATAGAAAACACTGATAACAGAAATTGAAGAGGATACCAAAAAATAGAGAAATATTCCATGTTCATGGATTGAAAGAATCAATATTGTTAAAATGTCCATACCAACCACAGCTATCTACAGATTTAATGTAATCCCTATCAGAATACCAATAACATTATTCACAGAAATAGAAAAACAAATCCTAAAATTTATATGGAACCACAAAAGACCCAGAACAGCCAACAATATAACAAGCAAAAAGAACAAAACTGGAGAAACACATTAACTGACTTCAAATTATACTGCAGAGCTATGCTAACCAAAGCAGCATGCTACAGGAATAAAAAGAGACATGTAGACCAATAGAACAGAATAGAAAACCCAGAAACACATCCACACACCCACTGTGAACTCACTTACAATAATAGTGCCAAGAACATAGACTGGTGAAAAGACAGTCTCTTCAATAAATGGTGCTGGGAAAACCAGATATGCATATACAGAAGAATTAAACTAGACTCGCATCTCTCACCATATATGGAAATTTAAAAATGCAGATTAAAGACTTGAATCTAAAGCCTCAAACTATGAAACTAATACAAGAAAATATTGTGGATAATCTTCAGAATATTGGTCTGGGCAAAAATTTCTTGAGCCATACACCATGATATGGTTTTACCCAAATCTCATCTTGAATTGTAGCTCCCATAATTCCCACGTGTTGTGGGAGGGACCTGGTGGGAGAGAATTGAATCACAGGGGTGGTTTTCATCATACTGTCTCCTGGTAGTGAATAAGTCTCACAGGATCTGATGGTTTTATAAGGGTTTTCCCCTTTCACTTGGCTCTCATTCTCCCTTGCCTGCCACCATGTAAGACATGACTTTTGCCTTCAACCATGATTGTGAGGCTTCCCCATCCACGTGGAACTGTGAGTCCATTAAACCTCTTTTTCTTTTGAAATTACCCAGTTTTGGTTATGTCTTTATCAGCAGCATAAGAACAGAATAATACAGTAAATTGGTACCAGGAGTGGGGCTCTGCTGTAAAGATACTAAAAAATGTGGAAATGACTTTGGAACTGGGTAACAGGCAGAGGTTAGAAGAGTTTGAAGGGCTCAGAAGCAGACAGAAAAATGTGAGAAAGTTTGGAACTTCCTAGAGACCTGTTGAATGGCTTTGACAAAAATGCTGCTGATGATATGGACAATGAAATACAGGCTGAGGTGGTCTTAGATGGAGATGAGGAACTTGTTGGGAACTGGAGTAAAGGTGACTCTTGCTACATTTCAGTAAAGAGACTGGCAGCATTTTGCCCCTGCCCTAGATATTTATGAAACTTTGAACTTGAGGGAGATGATTTAGGGTATCTGGCAGAATAAATTTCTAATTGGCAAGATTTGATTTGAAAAGCATTCAGTTTTAAAAGGGAAGCAGAGCATAAAAGTTTGGAAAATTACAGCCTGATGATGCAATAAAAAAGAAAAACCTATATTCTTGGGAGAAATTCAAGCCTGCTGCAGAAATTTGCATAAGTAACAAGGAGTCAAATGTTAATCACCAAGACAATGGGAAAAATGTTTCTAGGGCATGTAAGAGGTCTTCACAGCAGCCCTCCCCATTACAGGCCTGGAGGCCTAGGAGAAAAAGAATGGTTTCATGGGCCAGGCCCAGGGACCCTCTGCTTCATGCAGCCTCGGGGCTTGGTGCCCTGCATCCCAGCCATGCCAGCTGTGGCTAAAAGGGGACAAGGTATAGCTTGGGCCATGGCTTTAGAGGGTGCAAGTCCCAAGCCTTGGCAGCTTTCACATGGTGTTGAGCCTGTGAGTGTAGAGAAGTCAAGAATTGAGGTTTGGGAACTTCTGTCTAGATTTCAGAGGATATATGGAAATGCCTGGATGTCCAGGCAAACATTTGCTGCAGGGGTGGAGCCCTCATGGAGAACCTCTGCCAGTGCAGTGTGAAAGAAAAATATAAGGTTGGAGCTCCCACACAGAGTCTCCACTGGGGCAGTGCCTAGTGGAGCTGTGAGAAGAGGGCCACTTTCCTCCAAACCCCAGAATGGTAGATCCACTGACAGCTTGCACCATGGACCTGGAATAGCCACGGACACTCAATGCCAGCCCATGAAAGCAGCCAGGAGAAGAGCTGTACCCAGCAAAGCCATGGAGGTGGAGCTGTCCAAGACCAGGGGAACCCACTTCTTGCATTAGCATGATCTGGATGTGAGACACAGAGTCAAAGAAGATAATTTTGGAGCTTTAAGATTTGACTGCTCTGCTGAATTTTGGACGTGTATGGGGTCTGGATCCCCTTCATTTTGGCCAATGTCTCTCATTTGGAATGGATGTATTTCATCATGCCTGTATTCGTCATGTCTAGGAAGTAACTAACTTGCTTTTGATTTTACAGGCTCATAGGCAGAAGGGACTTGCCTTGTCTCAGACGAGACTTTGTACTGTGGACTTTTGAGTTAAGGCTGAAATGAGTTAAGACTTTCGGGAACTGTTGGGGAGACATGATTGGTTTTTGAAATGTGAGGACCTGAGATTTGGGAGGAGCCAAGGGCAGAATGATATGTTTTGGCTGTGTCCCCATCAAAATCTCATCTTGAATTGTAGCTCCCATAATTCGCACATGTTGTGGGAGGGACCAGTAGGAGATAATTCAATCATAGAGGTGGTTTCCCTCATACTGTTCTCCTGGTAGTGAATAAGTCTCACAAGATCTGATTGTTTCATAAAGGGTTTACCCTTTCACTTGGCTCTCATTCTCTCTTGCCTGCCACCATGTAAGACGTGCCTTTCACCTTCTGCCATGATAGTGAGGCCTCTCCAGCCACATGCAACTGTGAGCCCATTAAACCTTTTTTCTTTATAAATTTCTCAGTGTTAGGTTGTCTTTATCAGCAGTATAAGAACAGACTACTACACACCATAAGCCTAGGTGATCAAAGAATAAGTGAACAAATGGGATCACATCAAGATAAAAAGCCTCTGCACAGCCAAAATAAAATAATGTGAAGTGATAACCTACAGAATGCGAGAAAATATTTTCAAATTACTCATCTGACAAGGGATTAATAACCAAAATATACAAGGAGCTCAACAACCCTATAGGGAAAAATCTGTAACAATCTGATCAATAAATGGGCAAAATATTTGAATAGACATTTCTCAAAAGAAAACTGGCAAATAGTCATATGAAAATGTGCTCAACATCACTGATCATCAGAGAAATGCAAATTAAAAGTACAATGAAATATTTCACCTCATTTAAAATTGCATATATTAAAAAGACAAGCAATAACAAGGGAAACTTTCTTCTTTTTTCTCCCACATTACATTACATTACCTTAATTTCTTATCTCAGTTAATGTTTTTATTCACTCAACAAGACACCAAATGTTTGAACCATTTCAGATTTTCTCTTTGCTTTTACTTAGCTAAGAATCTCTCCCTAGATTTTGTGATAAGGTTTATCTTTATTTTCTTATTTTTTTATCCACTCTCATGTTCAACTCCTTAGTTTGAGCCTAAATGTCTTCAATATTAACTATTACAGTAGCCAATTAACTTGGATTTTTGAATACAGATATCTGCTTATCTCTAGAATTTTTTTTATTTAAACTTTGTTTTTATTATGTTGTCCCCTTTCTTAAATAAAAAGTAAATATACCCTATAGGCCAGACTCAAACTTCTTTGCCTTGTATCCAGGGTCTTCTAAGTTCTGGTCCAGGCCTTTATTTCCATCATAAGCTCCCATATTCCAAAAAGCAAGCACTCTATGTCAGTTGAACTAAAACTTTGTAATTCTTACCTTAATATGTTTGTTCATGACATTTTTCTCCCTTAAAAGCCTGCCCTCATTTTCTTTACCTTGTGAAGTCAAACATATCCTTTTAGGCTCAGATCACATTCTTATCCCACTATGTGATATCTAGTAATCCTACCATCAGGAACGTGATTGCTATCTCTTTACCACTTTCTAGAACTTCTTATATACACTATATTTTTTCATGTGATTGACAAACATCTCTTTGCACAAGTATCCAGAACAGTGCATTGTAGGCATAGAACATGTTCAGAAAACAAGTATAAAATGGGACACTATTTTACAGGTTGCTGTGAACTTTAAATGAAGCACCTAAATTAATATAAGCACTTACTACAATAGTTGAAAATAGTAGTACCTCAAAAAGTCTTAGCTATCATTAGTTATCATTAATATTTTTAGTTAGTAAGTATAATATCACTTGATACCTTAAACTTAAAAATTTTCTATATCTCAGAGGTCCTTAAACATATATTAATTGCTTAGGTACTTAATTTTCCCTCAGGTATAAGTTTTGAGAAATATAAATCATTTTTTAAAAACAAAATTATTTTTTAAGTTAATGTTATTGCTATTACTTTGGAAGGTAATAATAGTTAATTCCTATATGTTTACACAATATTCTTCAAAATATTACTCTACCTCGATTTATCCAGAATTCAAAATGTCAGAAAGCTAACATATCCTGAAAATGTTTTATTCTATATTTCAAAACACATTAGCAATAGGCCATTTAAAAATATGTTTTCACAATGTCTTAGTCCATTTGGGCTGCTATGAAAAACGCTATGTACTGGATAACTTATAAATAATAGAAATTTATTTTTCACAGTTCTTGAGGCTAAGAAGTCTCAGGTAAATTCTTGCAGACTGTCTGGTGAGTACTCACTCTCATTCATAGACACCTCTTTCCGTGTTACCACATAATGAAAAGAGCAAAAGTTTATCTCAGGTCTCGATTTTAGAGGCACTAGCTTCATTTATGAGTGCTCTACTCTCATTACCTAATCCCCTCTCAAAGTCCTCATTTCCTTTCCCCCAACACCTTGGGAGCAGGAATTTCAACATATGAACTTGGGAGGAATGCATTCAGTCCACAAAACAGGGTAAGCCCTAAAATTGGTACAGAATCATTATAAACGCCTACATCGTTTGAATCTCTATAATCACCAAATAGAAGAATTGATAGTTGAAACAATGGTCCTAAGATATTCCAAATACTGAAATGATGTTAAAATAAAAGAATAATCTACACTCATCATAAATATTATTGTTGTGCTTCTTTTTGTACTCCTAGTCTGTGGAAATTGATAATCCAAATATGGGAGTAAATAATAGTAACAATAATAATGATAATTACTTTCTATGAAGGTAGGGACCATGTGTAATTTGTTCATCACAATATATCGAGTACCAAAATTGGTAGCTTCCTTATGAAAGCTACTAGATAAGTGTTTTCAAATAACTAGTTATTCTTTATAATACTCAAAGCTGGCAATTTTTTGAGCCTATGGTATGAGCCAGAAATTATGCTAGGTACTTCATATTCATTATGGTAATCTTTACGACAACTTTTATAGTATGCAACATTTTTATCCTCATTTCTCAGATGAGAAATCTAAAGCCCAGAATATTCACATAACTTGCCTAAGAAAACACAACTAATAAGTGGAAGAGTTGGACTGCTAATTCAGGTCCGTTTGGCTGCAAAATGAGACACTTTTCTGTATATAATTTTCTATCTTAATAGCTGTTTAACAGAATTTTTAATTACTAATTCACCAAAAAAAAATCAGGTAAAAAAGACTAGTTTACTGTTGAATAATGCTATCTTCAATTTGCTAAAAGGAAAGAAATAGATCTAAACTCTAATGGGTTATGATAAGAAGATATGTTATGGAACGGAGTGTTATTCTTATCTTGCTGTACCTCTTCTCTACAAAAATTTCCTTTAATTTAATAACAGAAAACTTTTGGGGGTGTAGTTTACATATCAGTTGGAGTAAAAGGTATTTTTCATATAATGCAAACACTTCAGAAAACCTCAGTAAATGACAGAACTGAGATAGTCTCCCTTGCAGTAGAAAATATGTGAGTTGCCTCAGGTAAAAAAAAAAACTGCATTTTTCAATACTGAACTTATTTAATGTAAAGAGAATATTTTTCCCTAGTTTTCCCATTCTTTTATTTAAGAAATAATTCTTTGTTACTAGATAAAAACCGACTTCTGTTGGACCAAATACACTTTAGATATATTATCTGTAAAAATATAACTGCATATAAATTCTAAAAGACTTATAAGGTTCCCTACTGGGAGGAATGCTAACAACTTTCTAAATATCTTTTTGAATTATTTTTATGTCTAATACATATTTTGGCACAGTTATTGTTTCTCTAAGGAACTTTTTAAACAGAGCTGAGTTGTTTTTCATAAAAACTTGTAGCAATTTTGAGTTTTAGAGGGGAAGAGGGTTTTGTAGGAAGACAATGCTAGATATCAGAGGAAAGGGCAAGGTAGTGATAAAAACAAAAATAATAAGAGCTAACATTATATTGAGAATTTGCTAGGCACTGTCCTAACACTTTTATATACGTCGCTCATTTATTCCTCAATACAATCCTATGAGGAAAGTAATATCTTTATTTTCTTGATTAGATAAGCAAGCCACAGAGAGACTAGATATTTTTCCCCAAATCACATCACAAGTATATAGTGAAGACCAGACTTTACACTAAAGCAATTGAGTTCTAGAACTTGTTGTCTTAACCAATATGCATAGTTAGGAAATCAGCCAAAAAATATGGAAAGAAGACAGATGTATTGAGGAAAAAAAAAACAGACAAAAGTATTTCCTGTGGATAAGATAACCAAATAATTTTAAAATTTGGTTATCTTATCCACAAATAGATAGTGGAGAACAAAGATCTCCACTATTTAATTTTACTTTTCTGGTGGGCAGTTTTGGGATGAAAGCTCCCATCCATCATTTCCCAGAGACTTGAGTGAATTTGTAACAAATATCAGCAGTGTATGTGAAGGACTTTGGAGGAACAAGGGAGAAAAATACTTTATGTTTAAGTGCACACACCTGACAGAAAAGAAAAACAATAAGAAGTAAAACAGGAATATAATGAAAATTCAGAAGCAAAAAGAGAGGACAAGAAGAGATTAAAGGAAACAAATTTCATGTGAATCATTAGATGCTGAGGGATGCTGAGTTTTTTTTATCATTTTTGAAATGAGTATCTGAGCCATTTTAATTTAAATATAAAGTAAGGGTTATCCTATAAAGATGAAGAAAAAATGTATACCCAGTCACTAACACTGAAATAATTTCAGCATTGTTTCCTGAAGATTAGTAGTTTCTAAATGTGAGATTTAAAACTTAGTTATTTAAATCTTAGTTATTTAAAACTTAATCTTAGTTATTTCTTTTCAACTTTCAAACAAAATTTTGCTATCACAATGGAGAGGCACAGAATTACATCCACTAAAATGATCAAAAATTTACACAGGATGAATAATTACTAAATAAGATGAAAAATTCTCCAGGACACTATTTTTTCTTTCTCTCTGTATATATTTTCCCATGTACTCAGTGTGAGCAATCTCAAATACACCTTCAGCTTCAACTGCCATGTTTATGCTTATTCCCACATCTGCCAAAAGCTCCCAGTTTTTTTCTCCTGGCCTTAATTTCATATTAAACATCTCCCTACTGTTTTCCCAAATTCCCCTCATTACAAATATCTCTAAAATTGTAATTTTTTTTATCTCTTCCCACTCTGTCCCCACTCCACATACTCCCCATCCTGCTGGATGTCATCATTATACACCCTGTCACCTAAGCCAGAAACCAGGAAGTAATCTTTTATTCTTTCTTCTCAAATATTCCCTTGCACACAATTAATCATCAAGTTGTGAATTTCTTTTGTACCTATCCCCTTCTCTCCATCTCTACTGTTACTGCCTTAGGTCAAGCCCTCAGTGCCTCTCACTTGAATTATTTTAATAATTTTTTTTTGCCTCCAGTTTTCATTTTGCCAATATAGCTTTAAAATATCCACAGAATGATACGTTTAACACACAAACTTAATCAGGTCACTCTCTTCTCAAAATTCATTCAGTGCTTGGCATCATCCACTGAGATATAAGGCTTTCCATGATCCAGATTCTGTACATTCATTTATACTTATTTCCAGCCACCTTCTCTTTCCCACTTTACACTAGCCATCCTGAATTACTAAGATTTCTCCATATATACCATCCTGCTTTATGCTTACTATGCCTACATGCCTCTACATATAGCATTTCTTCTGCCTACCATGTCCTTCTTGCTTTTTAAAAAAATAATTGTAAAGTCCTATTCATCTCTGTAGCCTGGAAACAGATGTTACTGCCTCTTAGAAACCTTTTCAGATGACCAGGAAACTAGGTGCTGTATCCTCTATGTCACCAATATCCTTTTTTTAGCAAAGCCATAAACCTCTATTTAACAATTCCCTTATTCTATTGTAATTTTATGAAATGATGAATAAATAAATGAAGCTAATGAGTCAAATATCTGTCAAGACAGAAATTAAAACAAAAGCTAATCATTATTTTTTAAATAGCAAACAATGCATAGATGAGAAATTAGAAAAGACGTAGGAAGGTATGGTGTAACACAAAGAAAAGTGATCAATATTTAGCAAAATAGCATGCATATAAGGAGCTGCAAATTACATCTTAGAGAGACACAAGTTTTATCAAGAAAAGTGAAATCTAATGATAAATACAGATATTTAGAGAGAAGACAATATTTTTAAAAAATTATACATATTTTGAATCTAGAGTCAAAGAAGTGACACTCAATTCTACTTCCACAGCCAATAGCATTTGAAATGAAAAGAGAAACATCTCTTAATAAAGTGGGTTAAAGGCAGAAAAAAAGGAGACTGAAAAAGTGGCTGGGAAAGCAATAGCTTTCTCACTAGCCTTAACTATATGGGCTATATTTTACCCAAGTTATCTGCTGGCCAACATGCACCCATAGACAATATTTATTACTGCTAGAAGCATTAGTATTGAACAATAACCTCTGCTGCCAGATATGTGGATAATCTAATATTTACCTGAATTAACCATGACATCTTTACAGAATACCCTAGGTGATCGCCAAATCATTGTTCTGTCACCAGAGAAGAGATTATTAACAAGTGATGACAAACAGAAAATAAACACATGAAAAGCACATCGATCCTTTTTCACAACATGGATTTTTATTAAGCTTCTTCCAAATGCATGTTTTTTTCTGCTTTTCTATGATATCAGAGAAACTAGATAGTGAAAATAAATAGGCTTATAATGGAGAATTTTATTCATTAGATATTAAGGAACTGTCCCAATTGCGTTGTTTTACTTAACTCATTCGGTTTATGGAGGGCAACCAGGAAAAAAAGGTTAATCACCCAAAGCATTCTTAGTGGAATTAGGAAATAAATCATAACCTAAGAAGTCCAGTAATGGGGTATATTTTGTTAATTCCAGTAATACCTTTATTGCTCTGTTACTTAAGAAGGCCTTGATTGCTGATAGTCTATGGTCTTGCCAATCCAATTTTGACTAAACTTGTTTTCTTTTGTTTATAGCTGCTTTTCTTGAGGCTTGTGTACTAATCCAAGGAGATTCAAATAACTTCATTTTTTTAATCATTTCTAATCTTATTCTCTGTTTACCGGATTGCTATTATAGATTGATAGATTAAGGAAATTCTGTAGACATTCTATTTATATATTAGGAATATACTAGGAAAGGTCTCTCAGATAGTTTCAAGTATAGAATGGAAATACGTGTTCTATTTGTGAGTATTATTAGGTAGTTTTGTAGCTGGCTGAACAATTTTATTTAAAAGATGTTGATTATTCAATGTCAATTTTATTTACTTCTTCCCTAATCTTTATTATTTATTTTCTTCTACTAAGTTTGGGTTTGGCTTATACCTGATTTTCTAGTTCTTTAATATACATCATTAAATTGTTTATTTGAAGTTTTTCTTTTTTGACGTAGGAACTTATAGCTATAATCTTCGCTCTTAGTACTGCTGTTGCTCTATCTCACAGCAAAATTGACAAAACTTGAGACAAACTAAGAAAAAATAGAAAAGGTACCAATAAATAGAGTAGGAAATGAAAAAGAAGATATTGCAGAAATGGAAGGGATTATTAGTGACTACTAGGAACAACTATGTGCCAATAAATTTGAAAATCTAGAAGAAATGGACAAATTCCTAGACACATACAACCTACCAGATTGACAAAGGAAGAAATCTAAAACCTGAACAAATCAAGCAAGTAACTATATTGAAGCCATAATAAAAAGTCTCTCAGTATACAAAAACCAAGAACCCAATGGCTTCACTGCTGAACTCAACCACATTTTTAAACAAGAGATAACGTCAATCCTCCTCAAACCGTTCTGAAAAATACAGGAGGACAGAATACTCTCGAACTCATTCTGTGAGACTAGCATTATCCTGATATCAAAAGCACACAAAGACACATTTAAAAAAAAAAGAAAACTACAGGCCAATATTTCTGATGAATATTGACACAAAAGTCCTCAGCAAAATACTAGCAAACCAAATTCAAAAATAAATTAGAAAGATCATTCATCATGACCAAATGGGATTTATTCCCAGGATGCACGGATGGTTCAACATACACAAATCAAACAATGTGATACATCATATGAACAGAATGAAAGATTGAAATATATGATTATTTCAGTTGATGCTGGAAAAGAATTTCACAAAATTCAAGAATCCTTTATGATAAAAACTCTGAAAAACTTGGGATAGAAGAGATATACCAAAGCATAAGAAAAGCTATGTAAAACAGATCCACAGCTGGTATCATGCTGAATGGGGAGAAACTAACTGCTTTTCCTCTAAAATATTGAACAAGACAAGGATTCCCACTTTAATCACAATTACCTTTCATAGTATTTAAAGATCTGAGTGGAGGAAAAGAAAGAAAGCAAGAAAGAAAGCAAGAAAGGAAGGAAGGAAGGAAGGAAGGAAGGAAGGGCGAGTATCAAAATTGAAATGGAAGAAGTAAAATTATCCTTGTTTGCAGATTATAGAATCTTACATTTGGAAAAACCTAGAGACGCTACCAAAAAACTATTAAAACTGATACACAAATTCAGTAAAGTTGCAGATACAAAATCAACATACAAAACTTCATGGCCAGGCCTGATGGTTCATGCCTGTAATCCCAGCATTTTGGGAGGCTGAGGTGGTTGGATCACGAGGTCAGGAGATTGAAACAATCCTGGCTAACATGGTGAAACCCTGTATCTACTAAAAATACAAAAAAATTAGCCAGGCATGATGGCATGTGCCTGTAATCCCAGCTACTCGGGAGGCTTCAATCACTTGAAGCCAGGAGGTGGAGGTTGCAGTGAGCCGAGATCGTGCCATTGCCCTCCAGCCTGGGCAACAGAGCTAGACTCTGTCTCAAAAAAAAAAAAACAAAAAAATTGTAGCATTTCTGTATGCCAACAGTAAACAATCAGAAAAAAAAATTAAAAGTAATCAAATTAGTAATAGCTACAAATAAAATTTAATATCTAGAAATTACCTAAATCAAATATATAAAATATCTCTACAATAAAAGCTATAAATCACTGATAAGAGAAATTGAAGAGGACACTAAAAAATAAAGAAATATTTCATGTTCCTGCGTTGAAAGAATCAATATTGTTAAAATGTCCATACTACCCACAACTATCTACAGATTTAGTGCAATTCCTATTAGAATATCAATAGCATTCTTTACAGAAACAGAAAAACAAATTCTAAAATTTACATGGAACCACAAAAGACCCAGGATAGCCAACATTATACCAAGCAAAAAGAATAAAACTGGAGGAATCACATTAACTGACTTCAAATTATACTGCAGAGCTATAGTGACCAAAACAGCAGGGTACTGGAATAAAAACAGACACATAGACCAATGGAACAGAACAGAGAACCCAGAAACGCATATACACACCTAATGTGAACACATTTACAATAATGGTGCCAAGAACATACACTGGTGAAAAGACAGTCTCTTCAATAATTGGTGCTCAGAAAACTGGATATCCATATACAGAAGAATTAAACTAGACCCCTATCTCTCACCATATACAAAAATATAAAAATATGGATTAAACACTTAAATCTAACACCTCACAATATAAAACTAATACAAGAAAACACTGTGAAAATCTTCCAAATATTGGTCCGGGCAAAAATTTCTTAAGCCATATACCCTAAGTATACACAACCAAAGCATAAATGAACAGATTGCTTCACATCAAGTTAGAAAGCTTCTGCACAGCAAAGGATACAATCAACAGAGTGAAGAGACAATCCACAGAATGGGTGAATGGGTAAAATATTTGAAACAAGCAATGGGGAAAGGATTCCCTATTTAATAAATGGTGCTGGGAAAACTGGCTAGCCATATGTAGAAAGCTGAAACTGGATCCCTTCCTTACACCTTATACAAAAATCAATTCAAGATGGATTAAAGATTTAAACGTTAGACCTAAAACCATAAAAACCCTAGAAGAAAACCTAGGCATTACCATTTAGGACATAGGCGTGGGCAAGGACTTCATGTCCAAAACACCAAAAGCAATGGCAACAAAAGCCAAAATTGACAAATGGGATCTAATTAAACTAAAGAGCTTCTGCACAGCCAAAGAAACTACCATCAGAGTGAACAGGCAACCTACAACATGGGAGAAAATTTTCGCAACCTACTCATCTGACAAAGGGCTAATATCCAGAATCTACAATGAACTCAAACAAATTTACAAGAAAAAAACAAACAACCCCATCAAAAAGTGGGCGAAGGACATGAACAGACACTTCTCAAAAGAAGACATTTATGCAGCCAAAAAACACATGAAGAAATGCTCATCATCACTGGCCATCAGAGAAATGCAAATCAAAACCACTATGAGATATCATCTCACACCAGTTAGAATGGCAATCATTAAAAAGTCAGGAAACAACAGGTGCTGGAGAGGATGTGGAGAAATAGGAACACTTTTACACTGTTGGTGGGACTGTAAACTAGTTCAACCATTGTGGAAGTCAGTGTGGCGATTCCTCAGGGATCTAGAACTAGAAATACCATTTGACCCAGCCATCCCAATACTGGGTATATACCCAAATGACTATAAATCATGCTGCTATAAAGACACATGCACACGTATGTTTATTGCGGCATTATTCACAATAGCAAAGACTTGGAACCAACCCAAATGTCCAACAATGATAGACTGGATTAAGAAAATGTGGCACATGTACACCATGGAATACTATGCAGCCATAAAAAATGATGAGTTCATGTCCTTTGTAGGGACATGGATGAAATTGGAAACCATCATTCTCAGTAAACTATCGCAAGAACAAAAAACCAAACACCGCATATTCTCACTCATAGGTGGGAATTGAACAATGAGATCACATGGACACAGGAAGGGGAATATCACACTCTGGGGACTGTGGTGGGGTCGGGGGAGGGGGGAGGGATAGCATTGGGAGATATACCTAATGCTAGATGACACGTTAGTGGGTGCAGCGCACCAGCATGGCACATGTATACATATGTAACTAACCTGCACAATGTGCACATGTACCCTAAAACTTAAAGTATAATTAAAAAAAAAAAAACATTAAAAAAAAAAATAATAAAAAAAAAAAAAAAAAAAGAAAATTACCCATCTGACAAGGGATTTATAACCAGAATATATAAGGAGCTCAAACAAATCTATAAAAAATCTAATAATCCAATAAAAAATAGGCAAAAGGTTTTAGTAGACATTTCTGTTTGCCTGAAACCATATCTAGCCTTAACAATGAAAGACATTTTATTAGAAATTTTATCTTGTTGCAATTTGCAATGATACAGATTAACTAGGACATTATGCTAAGTAAAATAAGCCAGGCCCAGAAAGACAAATCTACACAATCTTACTTATATATGAAATCCCTAAAAGTTGAATTCATAAAAACAGAGGATATAATAGTGGTTGCCAGTGCCTGGGGATAGAGGAACTGGAGAGATTTATGTCAAATAATATGTAATTTCAGTTATAAAATCAGTAAGTTCTGGGAATCTAATGTACGGGATAGGTGGTGGTGGATGTGGTAATTAATTTGATTATAGTAATCATTACACAATGCATATGTGTATTAAATCATTATGTTTTATACCTTGAATATATACAATTTTTTGTCAATTAAATACTTAAATTTTTAAATTTTCTTGGTTCTGCAGAGGCTTGTAGAAATTACACCTGTCCTTTGACACTTTCTGCTCCAACATTATGTGATTTTTATTAATTTGTCTTAACTACTATAAAGAAAATAGCCTAAAAATAGACCCATTGCAAATTACCTTGTTTAAATGAATCAATTCAATGATTTCAACTCTCTTAAATTAAATAATATTTTATTTATTTATTTATTTATTGAGATGGAGTCTTGTTCTGTCGCCCAGGCTGGAGTGCAGTGGCGCGATCTTGGCTCACTGCAAGATCCGCCTCCTGGGTTCACGCCATTCTTCTGCCTCAGCCTCCCCAGTAGCTGGGACCCCAGGTGCCCGCCACCTCGCCCGGCTAATTTTTTGTGTTTTTAGTAGAGACGGGGTTTCACCGTGTTAGCCAGGATGGTCTCCATCTCCGGACCTCGTGATCCGCCCGCCTCGGCCTCCCAAAGTGCTGGGATTACAGGCGTGAGCCACTGCACCCGGCCCTATATATTTTAATTAGTTCAAAGTTTTAGTAGATAAATGTCTCTGGTACTGTGAAAACCTTATCCTTTCTGAGAAACGGCGGGGTGGGGGGGGGGCGGATAAAAATAAATGAAGTAAAGGTGGCACTTCTGCCTTAAATATCTCAAAAAATATCCCACAAAAAAACCCCAAAGTCACATATCCATTCTGTGATATTCATAAGTGTGACTATGACTCCGAATGATGTTTTACTAAAAATGACCATATAACTATACTACTAACCTGAGTAATTGTAATAACTCCTAAAGCAAACATTGCCAAGTTTTAACTTTCACCTACTTATAACCAATTAAAAATGAAAGGAGGTAAGAAGAGTACAAAATTAAGAAGAGTAACTTTGTTTTTTTCTATTTTATCATCAACTATCTTTGCCATCAATCAGTAAGCTGAGCTTATTTCTGAAAATAAAAAACTATTCCTACAGGGTATACAATGTCCAATATCCTCCTCCTTAATGCTTAATAATCTTGCATGTGAGGAACCAATGTAATTTGTGAGAACAAATTGTTCCTCAGGGATGTTTCTACTAAATCTGAATATATTACTCATTTTTAAAGTAGCGATAAAGATTATATAAGACGTAGTTCATTATTTTTCTAACTGTTTCATGATTCCATTGGGAGGTGAGACTTAAATCATATACAGGATGTCTACCTTAAAAAGGCTGCTTTTCAAATCAAATACAATATAATTTTATTATAAAAATGTCACTCAAAGGAAAGATTTCATTTGAAAAGACAATCAATGCAATTTAAAGGAAAATATCTTGGTACGGGCTATATAGAACATCTAAATTCTGGTCAGCACTAAAATTGCCACAAGAGGTTCTGGACTCCTTTTACTAATATATTAGAAAATCATATTAGTTTTGAAAAGCAAAGACTTTAGGGAAAAAATATGCTAGGACATACAATTATGCATGCTAATATTCAAAATAAAAAAAACAATGGGGGCATGCCAATAAATAAATTAGATTACTAAGGAGCCTATAGGCGTAACTTCTTTCTCTGCCATCAAGCAACCTGTGAGAGTTGCCTTATATTTTTCTCCATTAACTTTAAAATACCCTTCTTCTGCCCTGACTTTACCAACAAATTAAATTCAGCATCCAAAGTCCTCCTAGATGAAAACTCAGACTAGCTGTTCAGCCCTATCTTCTACATCTCTTCACCCACTTTCACTAAGATAAATGAAAAACCTTTCTCTTCCTAGTACACACACCATATTTTCTTCTTTATGATTTTATTTATATTAATTAACCTGGTTCAAATTCTTCTCTAAAATATCAATCTATTTATTTATCTATCTATCTAATCTATCTGTCCACATGCATAGCCTAACATAATTTTTATTATATATTTATGACATAAAATGTGTTTGCTAGTTGTGCACAGCATTAAATGATTAAGTTAAACAAACATGTCCATCAACTCACATACTCATCATTTTTTATGAGAAAATGAAATCTACTCAGCAATTTTCAAATATATAATAAATTAACTAAACTCAAAATGCTGTACAATAGGTCTCCAAAACACACTCCTTTTAACTAAAACTGTATACTCTTTGATTAACATCTCCCCTTTCCTGTACATCACTCTTCCTCAGACTCTGGTAACCAGTATTCTACTCTATATTTCTTTACTTTTTTTTATTATACTTTAAGTTCTGGGGTACATGTGCAGAACGTGCAGGTTTGTTACATAGGTATACATGTGTCATGGTGGTTTGCAGCACCTATCAACCCCTCATCTATATTAAGTATTTCTCCTAATGCTATCCCCCGCCTTGCCCACCACCTACCAACAGGCCCTGGTGTGTGATGATCCCCTCCCTGTGTCCATGTGTTCTCATTGTTCAACTCTCACTTATGAGTGAGAAAATGGGGTGTTTGGATTTCTGTTCTTTGTTAGTTTGCTGAGAATGATGGTTTCCAGCTTCATTCATGTCCCTGCAAAGGACATGAACTCATCCTTTTTTATGGCTGCATAGTATTCCATGGTGTATATGTGCCACATTTTCTTTATCCAGTCTATCATTGATGGGCATTTGGGTTGGTTCCAAGTCTTTGCTATTGTGAACAGTGAAACAATAAACATATGTGTGCATGAGTCTTTATAGTAGAATGATTTATAATCCTTTGGGTATATACCCAGTAATGGGATGGCTGGGTCAAATGGTATTTCTAGTTGTAGATCCTTGAGGAATCACCACACTGTCTTCCACAATGGTTGCACTAATTTACACTCCCACCAACAGTGTAAGAGTGTTCCTATTTCTGCACATCCTCTCCAGCATCTGTTGTTTCCTGACATTTTAATGACCGCCATTCTAACTGGCATGAGATGGTATCTCAATATGGTTTTGATTTGCATTTCTCTAATGACCAGTGATAATGAGCTTTTTCTCATATGTTTGTT
The DNA here is from genome assembly GCF_000001405.40 of Homo sapiens. NCBI lineage: Eukaryota > Metazoa > Chordata > Mammalia > Primates > Hominidae > Homo > Homo sapiens. Next base: position 93,315,338 of record NC_000023.11, read on the forward strand.
GGCTGCATAAATGTCTTCTTTTGAGAAGTGTCTGTTCATATCCTTTGCCCATTTTTTGATGGGGCTGTTTTTTTCCTGTAAATTTGTTTAAGTTCTTTGTAGATTCAGGTTATTAGCCCTTTGTCAGATGGATAGATTGCAAAAATTTTCTCCCATTCTGTAGGTTGCCTGTTCACTCTGATGATAGCTTCTTTTGCTGTGCAGAACCTCCTTAGTTTAATTAGATCCCATTTGTCAATTTTGGCTTTTGTTGCCATTGCTTTTGGTGTTTTAGTCATGAAGTCTTTGCACATGCCTATGTCCTGAAAGGTATTGCCTAGGTTTTCTTCTAGGGTTTTTATGGTTTTAGGTCTTAACATTTAAGTCCTTAATCCATCTTGAGTTAATTTTTGTATAAGGTGTAAGGAAGAGATCCAGTTTCAGCTCTCTGCATATGACCAGCCAGTTTTCCCAACATTTATTAAATAGGGATTCCTTTCCCCATTGCTTGTTTTTGTCAGGTTTGTCAAGATCAGATGGTTGTAGATGTGTGGTGTTATTTCTGATGGCCTCTGTTCTCTTCCATTCGTCTATATATCTGTTTTGGTACCAGTACCATGCTGTTTTGGTTACTATAGGCTTGTAGTGTAGTTTGAAGTCAGGTAGCGTGATGCCTACAGCTTTGTTATTTTTGCTTAGGATTGTCTTGGCTATGCAAGCTCATTTTTGGTTCCACATGAAATTTAAAGTAGGTTTTTCCAATTCTGTGAAGAAAGTCAATGGTAGCTTGATGGTGATGGCATTGAATCTATAAATTACTTTGGGCAGTATGGCCATTTTCACGATATTGATTCTTCCTATCCATGAGCATGGAATATTTTTTCATTTGTTTGTGTCCTCTCTTATTTCCTTGAGCAGTGGTTTGTAGTTCTCCTTGAAGAGGTCCTTCACATCCCTTGTAAGTTGTATCCCTAGGTATTTTATTCTCTTTGTAGCAATTGTGAATGGGAGTTCACTCATGATTTGGCTCTCTGTTCATCTGTTATTGGTGTATAGGAATGCTTGTGATTTTTCCACATTGATTTTGTATCCTGAGACTTTGCTAAAGTTACTTATCAGCATAAGGAGATTTGGGGCTGACATGATGGGGTTTTCTAAATATAAAATCATGTCATCTGCAAACAGAGACAATTTGACTTCCTCTTTTCTGAATTGAACACCTTTTATTTCTTTCTCTTGCCTGATTGCCTCGGCCAGAACTTCCAATACTATGTTGAATAGGAGTGGTGAGAGAGGGCATCCTTGTCTTGTGCCGGTTTTCAAAGGGAATGCTTCCAGTTGTTGCCCATTCCGTATGATATTGGCTGTGCGTTTGTCATAAATAGCTCTTATCATTTTGAAATACGTTCCATCAATACCTAGTTTATTGAGAGTTTTTAGCATGAAGCGCTGTTGAATTTTGTCAAAGGTATTTTCTGCATCTATTGAGACAATCATGTGGTTTTTTTCATTGTTTCTGTTGATGTGATGCATTATATTTATTGATTTGACTATGTTGAACCAGACTTGCATCTCAGGGATGAAGCCAACTTGTACGTAGTGGATAGATAAGCTTTTTGATGTGCTGCTGGATTTGGTTTGCCAGTATTTTATTGAGGATTTTCGCGTCAATGTTCATCAGGGATATTGGCCTGAAATTTTCTTTGTTTGTTGTGTCTCTGCCAGGTTTTGTTATTGGGATGATGCTGGCCTCATAAAATGAGTTAGGGAGGAGTCCCTCTTTTACTATTGTTTGGAATAGTTTCAGAAGGAATGGTAGCAGCTCCTCTTTGTACCTCTGGTAGAATTTGGCTGTGAATCCATCTGGTCCTGGACTTTTTTTGGTTGGTAGGCTATTAATTACTGCCTCAATTTCAGAACTTGTTATTCTTCTAGTCAGGGATTCACCTTCTTCCTGGTTTAGTCTTGGGAGGGTGTATGTTTCCAGGAATTTATCCATTTCTTCTAGATTTTCTTTCTTTTTTTTTTTCATTTCTCCCATATATCTTTATTTTATGAAATACAAAAATCTAATTCTTCACATTTCATGTTATTGAAATATTATCTAGCAAATAGCATAAGCTCAGCCATATTGGCAATATCTGTACTTTAACTGTACAATAAGTCTCCCACACTAAATAACTTATTTGAATACTATATTTTGTTTCTTGAAATACTCAGCAGTGTTCTCCTATGCATCTTCTAGTGGTATTTTCTAAAAAAAAAAAAAAGAAATATGTTTGTCTCCAAATTGATTTTTCTGTATTTTGACTATGAAATATTTCATGCATGCATTTATAAAACGTGACTAAACATTTTAAAGAATAACAAAATAAGATGATGTATACCACATCCCAGCTTAATAACTAGAACATAATGATTTCTAAAATCTACACAAGCCTATCTCTTTTCCTTACACAATCACCCCCACCCCATTGTTGAGTTAGCTGTAGTCCAAATTTTGTGTTAATCATTCTCTTGTTTTCTTTTGTTTTATCACTTTCACTAGTTAAGGTATGGATTGGTCACCACAGCAAAGACCAAAAATAGCAACAATTTCAACAAGATAGAAATAGGCTGATATAGTGGCTCCTTCATCACCATGCCCCTGACTCTTTCTATCTCTTCTCTGCCATTTCCAGCACTGGAACCTTGTAGTTCAAGATGGCTCCCCCATCTCCCTCCGTCCATTCTGTACCGCAGCTAGCTGCTCTAGGAAAGGAGAAAGTGGAAGGCATATGTTCTTAAAAATTATTCTATTACTTTCCTGGATTTAAGAGTATTCAGATTTTCTATTTCAACATCAAACAATTGCATTTTGAAAAAGAAATTTATGTGTTCCATGTCAAATTTAGTAGGGTGTGGTTGTTTATAATATTTTCTTATATCTATTTAATTTCTATAGTATTTATAGTTATATGTCTTTATTTCTAACATTTTCCTTGTGCTTTTAAAACATTTTTCAAATAATCTTTCCAAACTATGTCTATTTTATTAGTCTTACAATTCTTGTCAAAGAACCAACTTCTGACTCCTTTCACCCTCTCTATTTAATGTATATTTCACATTATTTTTAATAGTTTTCTTTATTACCTTGTTCTGTGTACTTTATTGGTGTATTTATGCTCTTGCTCTTTTGCTAATTTTTAAAATCTGACCTTTACCTTATTAGTTTTGAGTTTTTCCTCTCTTCCAAAGTAAGGATTTAAGGATATGAATTTGCTTCTTCTTCTAGATTTGCTAGTTTATTTACATAGAAGCATTTATAGTATTCTCTGATGGTAGTTTGTATTTCTGTAGAATCAATGTTGATATCCCCTTTAACATTCTTTATTGCATCTATTTCATTCTCCTCTCTTTTCTCCTTTATTAGTCTTGCTAGTGGTCTATCTATTTTGTTGATTGTTTTCAAAAAACTAGCTCCTGAATTCATTGATTCATTGATTTTTTGAAGAGTTTTTCCTGTCTCCATCTCCTTCAGTTCTGATCTGATCTTAGTTATTTCTTGTCTTCTGCTCACTTTTGAGTTTGTTTGCTCTTGCTTCTCTAGTTCTTTTAATTGTGATGTTAGGGTGTCGATTTTAGATCTTTCCTGCTTTCTCTTGTGGGCATTTAGTGCTATACATTTCACTCTACACACTGCTTTAAATGTGTCCCAGAGATTCTGGTACGTTGTGTGTTTGTTCTCATTGGTTTCAAAGAACATCTTTATTCCTGCCTTAATTTCATTATTCACCCAGTAGTCATTAAGGAGCAGGTTGTTCAGTTTTTTTTGCTGGCAAGGTGGCCGAATAGGAACAGCTCCAGTCTGCAGCTCCCAGTGAGATCAACACAGAAGGCAGGTGATTTCTGCATTTCCAACTGTGATACCTGGTTCATCTCATTGGGACTGGTTGGACAGTGAGTGCAGACCACAGAGGGTGAGCTGAAGCAGGGTGGGGAGTTGCCTCACCAGGGAAGTGCACGGTGTCAGGAGATCTCCCTCCCCTAGCCAAGGGAAGCTGTGAGAGACTGTACCGGGAGGAATGGTGCACTCCAGCCCAGATACTGTGCTTTTCCCACGGTCTTCACAACAGGCAGACCAGGAGAGTCCCTCTGGTACCTATGCCACCAGGGCCCTGGGTTTCAGGCACAAAACTGGGTGGCCATTTGGGCAGACACTGAACTAGTTGCAGGAGTTTTTTTTTTTTTTCATACCCCAGTGGCTCCTGGAATGCCAGCAAGACAGAACCATTCACTCTCCCGGAAAGGGGGCTGAAGCCAGGGAGCCAAGTGGTCTGGCTCGTCAGGTCCCACCCCCATGGAGCCCAGCAAGCTAAGATCCATTGGCTTGAAATTCTCACTGCCAGCACAGCAGTCTGAGCTCGACCTGGGATGCTTGAGCTTGGTAGAGGCAGAGGCGTCTGCCACTGCTGAGGCTTGAGTAAGCGGTTTTCCCCTCACAGTGTTAACAAAGCCACTGGGAAGTTCGAAATGGGTGGAGCCCACCACAGCTCAGCAAGGCCACTGTGACCAGACTGCCTCTCCAGACTCCTCCTCTCTGGGCAGGGCATCCCTGAAAAAAAGGCAGCAGCCCCAATCAGGGACTTATAGGTAAAACCCCCATCTCCCTGGGACAGAGCACCTGGAAGAGGGGGTGGCTGTGGGCACAACTTCAACAGACTTAAAAATATTCCACTGGTAAACTCAGTCATAATATGTAATTTTTTTTATTATGCCACTGAATTCCATTTGTGAGTGTATTGCTGAAAACTTTTGCATTGATATTAATAATAATATATTCTTCTGTAGTTTTTTTTCTCGCAGTCTTTTTATTTGGCTTTGGTATCAGGCTAATTGTGTGCTCATATAATTAGTAAAGAATTTTTTCTTCCTCTTCAATTTTTTGAAAGATTTTAAAGAAGGTTGGTGCTAATTGTTCTTTAAATGTTTTGTTGAACTCACCAGTGAAGCCATCTGATCTTGAGATTTTCTTTCTTGGGAGGTTTTTGATTACTGTTATAATCTTCTTGCTTGTATATTCAAATTTTGTATTTTCATGATTGAGTTTTGATAGATTGTGTTTCAAGAGATTTCTATATTTCCTCTAGGTTATCCAATGTGTTCCTAGAACACAGGCATGGTTTCACAAAGGAAAACCAATCAGTACATTAATGGAATAAAAATGAAAAAAACTACATGATTATCTCAAATGAGGCTGAAAAAGTATTTTTTGAAGTTTGAAACATTTTATTTATTTTTTCTCTTCTTGAAAATCGTTGTAAGTACATGGTAGGTGTATATATTTATGGAAAACATGAGATGTTTTAATTATGTCATGTAAAATAAACACATAATGGAGGATGGGGTGTCCATTCCCTCAAGCATTTATCCATTGATTTACAAACAATCCAATTACACTTGAGGTTATTTTAAAATTTATAATTAAGTAATTATTTATTATAATCACTCTATTGTGCTATTGAATAGTATGCCTCATTAATTCTTTCTATTTTTTTGTACCCATTAACCATCCCCACCTCAACCTCATCCCCACCCTACCCTTCCCAGCCTCTAGTAACCATCCTTCTACTCTTTGTGCTTATGAATTCAATTGTTTTGAGTTTTAGATCCCACAAATAAGTGAGAATATGCAATGCTTATCTTTCTATGCCTGGCTTATTTCACATAATAATTACCAGTTCCATCCATGTTGCTGCAAATGACTGGATCACATTCTTTTTTATGTCTGAGTAGTACTCCATTGTGTATATGTACATTTTCTTTATTCATTGCCCTGTTGATGGACACTTAGGATGCTTCCCAATCTTGGCTATGGTGAACAGTGCTGCAACAAACATGAGAGTGCAGATATCTCTTTAACATGCTAATTGTCTTTCTTTTGGATATATATGCAGCAGCAGGATTGTGTGATCATATAATACCTCAATTTTTAGTTTCTTGAAAAACCTTCAAACTGTTCTCAGTAGTGGTTGTAAAATGCATTCTATCTCTCCTGCCTCCATGCAACACGTGTCTTGCTTCCCCTTTGACCTTTCACCATGATTGTAAGTTTTCTGAGGCCTCCCAGACATGTTTCCTGTAAATCCTGTGGAACTGGGAGGTCAATTAAACCTCTTTTCTTCATAAATTACCCAGTCTCAGGTAGTTTTTTATAGCAGTAAGAGAACGGACTAATATACTTTCCTTCTTTTTTTAATGGCAGAGGAGCCCTACTCCATAGCCACCACCATTCCTGGCCATGAGGAGTACTGCCAGACTGCCAAGGATGTTCCCTTAAGAATCAAAGTGTCATATGTCAGCTTGTCATGAATACTGCTTGACCTGATACTCACTCTTTAGGGTAGTGGGCTCCCTGCTGGTCCAGGATAGGTCCAAAAATACCATCAAAGTGTCAAGTTCTTGAGATGGGGACCCCAAGACCCAGCTTGGTGTTCTATGTCCCTGTAGCTTTGCTTGTATCTAAGGTAAAAGACAGAGTCCCTTTTACTTTTTCCTCTGGAGTTTTGCCCCATAGCCACCACATCTGGTAATGTGCTTAGTCTCACCTAAAGCCAGTAAGTCTCAGAGGCTCACCCAAGGCCTTCGATGTAGTACCTGTGTCTCGCTGCTGGTTATTCAGGGCCCATGGGCTCTTCGGTTAGCAGGCGACAAATACTGACAGCACTGTGTCCTCCCCTTTAAGGCAGTTTGTTCTCTTCTGACACAGGATATGTCTGGATCTGTCCGGGAGCTAGGGCCTGGAATGGAGGGCCTCATGACTCTAAGTGGTGCCCTATCTTGCTGTGGCTGAGCTGGTATCTAATATGCAGGATAAAGTCCTCTCCACTCTTTCCTCTCCTCTCAAGTAGAAAAATGGAATCTCTTTTAGATTAGTGAGTTTTGCAGACTGAGGTTAGGGGAGGGATGGCGCCAGCACTCCTTTGGCTGCCCCAGCTGGTATCTCAGTATGTCGCCTGCATCCCCAGTCCACTGGCTCTGGGCCAAGTTCAGCACTAGGCCTTGCCTAAGAGCTGCAATACTTATAGCCTAGACTGTCTATCAAGTTTACTTGGAGACACAGAGTGTTGTAGACCTTGGTGGCAAGGTATGTGGGCACTCAAGTTCGAACCACTTGGATCTGCAATTTCTCTCTTGCTAGGGCTGGTTTAAATGCTCCCTCTGTAGGGAGGCGTTAGCTGAGTTTGATCCATTTTATCTTTCTGTTTTAACAGGACAGCGCTGAGTTCAATGTCTCACAATTGCTGTGTTCTTCCTCCCCCAGTGCCCAGAAATATGCTCCACACCAAACTGCAGCTGCAGGAGGTGGGGGACAGATGCTGTCAGCAACTCAGGGCTGCTTTTTCCATCTCCTCAGTCTCTCTTTAGGTGATATAAAGTTAAAATAAGATACTATTAGTACTCTCCTGATTTGGGGGTTTTATGAAGGTGTGTTTTTTTTTTTTTTTCTTTCTGTGTATATAGTTATTAACTTGGTGTTCTTGTATGGGGAATGATCAATGGAGATTTCTATTCTGCTGTCTTGCTCCACCCTCTCTGACAAAATATTTAACAAAATTTACCACCTGTTCTTATGGAAAACACTAATTAAACTAGGAATAGAAAGAAACCGCATCATGATAAAGTCATATATGAAAACCCCACAGCTAATATCATACTTATTGGTGAAAGACTGAAATCTTCTCCCATATATTCAGGAAAAAGAAGGATACCTTGCCACTTCTATTCAACATAAGTATTGGAAGTTCTAGCGAGAACAATTGGACAGGAAAAAAGAAATAAAGATACCCAAATGGGAAAAGAAAAAGTAAAATGATCTGTTTCCTAATAACATAATTCTATATGTAAAGAACTATAAATACTGCACAGTAAAAGTGTACAAAGATAATAAATTCAGCAAAGTTGCAGGATAAAAAATTAACATGCAAAATCAGTTGCATTTATATACACAAAAAAGGAACGGCTTAAAAAGTAAATTAACAAAACAAAATGATAATACTACCCAAAGCAACCTGCAGATTTAATGCAATCTCTATCAAAATCCCAGTGTCATTTTTGCAGAAATAGAAAAATATTGAAAATGCATTTGAAATACCAAGAGACCCCAAGTAGCCAAAACAATCTTGAATGAGGCATCCAAATTTGGAGGACTTGTCCATGTCCTGATTGTGAAACATACTAAATAGCTGCAGTGGTTTAAATAGTGCAGTACTGGCATAAGAGCAGACATATAAACCAATGGAATATAAAATATTTTTTATTCCCCAAATAAATCCTTACATATGAGGCAATTGATTTTTGACAAAGGTGCCGAAAACATTCAATAGAGAAAGAAGTATCATTTCAACAAATGGAAGTAGGAAAACTGGATATCCACGTTCAAAACAATGAAGGTGGACCCATACCTTACATCATATATTAATATGAAATTTACTTCAACATGCATCAAAGACCTAAACATAAGAGCTAAAACTATAAAACTCTTAGAAGAAATCATAGAAGAAAATTTTCATGACACTGGATTTGGTGATGAGTTTTGATGTTAACATCAAAAATAGAAACAACAAATTAAAAAATAGATGAATTGGACTTCATTAAAACTAAAGGCTTTTGTGCAACAAAGGATGCTATTGAAATAGTGAAAAGACAACCCACATAATGGCATTAATATGGGCAAATCAAATATCTGATAAAGGCTTTATATTAAGAATATATAATTAATTCCTACAACTCCACAGTAAAAATCAAAAATTCAAAAATATGAAAAGTACTTGAGTAGGCATTTATCCAAAGAAGATATGCAAATGACCAGTTAGCACATGAAATGGTGCTCAACATTATATCATTAGAGAAATGCAAATCAAATTTGCAATGAGTTAGCATGTGACACATATCACAATGACTATCCTCAAGAAACATGGAATATAAAAATTATTGGTAAAGATATGGAGAAACTGAAACACTTGTTCATTCTTGGTATGAATGTAAAATGGTATGTAGCTGCTACAGAAAGCAGTATGGTGGATATCCAAAAATATAAATATAGAATTATCACATAATCAGGAATTCTACTTCTAGATACATACTACAAAAAAGACTTAAAGCAGGGACTCAAACAAATACTTACATACCAATTTTTACAGCAGCATTATTTACAATAGCCAAAAGATGGAAACAACCTAAATGACTGTCACAGATAAATGGATAAACAAATGTAGTATATACATACAACAGAACACTGTTGAGCCCTAGAAGGTAATGAAACTCTGATACATGGTACAATATGGATGCACCTTGAAAACATTCTACATTAAATAAGTCAGAAGCAAATTGACAAATATTGTATAATTATTCTTATAATAGGTACTCAGAATTGGCAATTCAGAGAATCAGAAAGTAAAACAGATGTCACCAGAGGCTTGGCAGATGGGGCAGTGGGTACTTATTGATTAGTGGGTTCAGAGTTTTAGTTTGAGATGTTGGAAATGGTTTGGAAATGAATAGTGTTCACGATTGCACAACATTGTGAACATACTGATGCCACTGAATTTGTGCTCTTATAAACAGTTAATATAGTAAGTTTTATGTTTTATATGTTTTACTACAATAAAAAATTAAGTATAAAACATTTTGAAAATTTGCTAGGTGAGATAAATTAATTTCCATTATTCTTATTACAACTAAGTATTTTTCATATGTTCATGTCTGTGCCAATGGCAAATATTCTATTGATGTGTTCACCCTTCTTTTACTGATTTGTATAGGCTTTTTAAACATTAAAGTTAAGTTATTAGTGTGTAAAGATAAAATTGTTCATGCTCAATTATTTTCTGTGTATCTGTCTAGTCCCAGCACAACTTCTGAAATGTCTTACTTATTGTAGAGTGTTAATAAATTTTAATAGAGCTTGCCTTTATTATTTTTTTCAAAAATGTTTTGACTATTCTTTCTCTTACGTATCCTTTTAGATCAATTTTGGGGTGATGTAAAATTTCAAACATCACCTGGGAATTTTGACTTATTTGATTTATTTTTTGACTTTTTGGATTTACAGCTTCAATGCTGTAAATTATTTTGGAAATAAATCATATCTTTTTTATTAGTTTTCTTTTGCTGCTGTTAATTACCACAATTGGACAGTTTACAAAAGCAAGAATTTTTTATTTTACAGTTCGATAGGTCAGAAGTCTGAAGCAGATTTCACTGGGCTAAAAGCCAGATTCTGAGAGGGCTATATTCCTTTCTGGGTACTGTAGGAGAGGATTAATATTCTTGCTCATTTGGATTGTTGGGAGAATCCCATCCCTTGTGGTTTTTGGATTGAGGTTTCCATTTTCTTATGGGATGTTTGCTAGGGAAAACTTTCCAGCTTCTAGAGCCTGCCGCATTCCTTGGCTTGTGGCCCCTTTTCTCCACCTTCAAAGCCATCAATAGCTGCTTGAGTCCTTCTCATATAGCATTTACATGACTTATGCTTCTGTCTTTCTCCTCCAATTTTAAGAGCACATGAGATTACACTGTGCCTACCAAGATAGTCTCATGTAAGCCCCCTCTTTTAAGGTTAGCTGATTGCACACCTTAATTCCATATGCAATCTTCAATCTTTTTTACCATGTAAGGTAATATATTCACAGGTTCCAGGGATTAAAATATGGACATAATGGAGGGGGGCATTATTCTGCCTAGCACATCTTTATAATATTACTCTTCCTATAAAAGAAGACAAAATATTTCACCATATACTTTAATTCAGTATTTTGTTTTGTTTTTTAGTGTTTTGTTTTGCTTTATATTTTTGTGGTTTTCCTCTCAAGGGGACTTTATGTTTTAGGCTGCCTGTACTTTTCTCTTTTTTACAGAAAATGTTTTTTGAGTTTTCATAGTGCCTAATATAAAATACTCACTAAATGTTTGTTAAATGAATGAATTTTGCTTTCTATGTGGTGATTGATGATATATACCAAAAATATTATGTGTACATTCATTTTACATTCAATCACTTTACTAAATTTTTATATATTCCACATACATTCTCTCAGGTATTTTAAAAAGCCCTAAGCCACTTCCCAGTGTCTCCCAGCAATCTAGTGCATTTGTGTTGAATTAAAATTTAACATTTGTCTGCATACATGTCATTTTCTCTGACACTGAATGAACATAATGTATGAAAAACTATGATCTCATACATGCACTACTACCAGAGTTTACCAGTTTCTTATACTGTGTTCATCATTTAACTTGTTGAGAATAAACCTTTCAGAAAGCAACCTGCTAACTCAGTTCCTGCCGTTATTTATTCTGATAAGGGAGAAATTTGGGTGTTGGTGTGAAAGGGGGAGTGCCATTTTCTGATCAACTAGAAAACGGTCACATTTCCCTTAAAAGATGGCTAATGCAAATTTCTAGTTGGGAGAAATTCTACATTCTTAATAGACAGGCTACAAGGAGAGGAAAAATTATTCCTTTTAGTTTTTCAAGTGTATAGTTCTGTAGCATTTCAAGCATAAAATATGTGTCATTCACTGATGGCTATTCTTGGTCCAGAAATTAAAATGGTACTGGAAAATCTTCCCCAGACATGGCTTTATGGAGACTTTAAGTACGATCTTTAACTAATGTTATGAGTTTGCACCTTTATCTGCATTGGTATACATATTTTAATAAGAGGTTGGGAGAAGCAATGTATAGCTTTGCTAATCAAATTCCATTTTAAAACAAAAATAGATAAATATTAGTGATTTAACTGTGCACTCATTTTCTGATAAGATCTACAAATGATAATGTTTATCATTCAAAGGTAAATGTAGAAAACATATCACATAAGATTCAAAATCAATAAAGATTTTAAGAAAAATATATTGGTGTCTGTGTCTCTGTGTCAATTTATGAAGAGTGAAAGACATTCTATAGTTTTTGTATTTCCAAATGAACAATTCTTATAACTTTACAGCCTCTTATTAAGTCAAGAGTAGGTTGGGCAACTCAGTGACTTTCTTCCCTTTAGCAAATGACACAGCTCTAAGTGGAACACAAATGTATATTGAGAGTGGTGGGGAAAGTTAGACAATGTTTTGTTAAATGACACTTTATTTCAGAATTATTGGGTCTCTGATGATTCAAAGAAGCATTACATATAGTAATGTATAATTACTAAATCTGCTAGTCATGAATATCAAATACTATGTATACGTCCATATTTTGACTGGTATCCAGCGAATATTTACTATATGAGGTGATACGTGCTATAACAAAGGCATGCAAAATAAAAGACATCCAAGAGATAAAATCGCTAACATTTATTTTTTTGCTATGTGCACTTTTTGGCAATTATTTTTACCAGTAACCTAACATGAATGTAGCAACTAATATTTAAATAACATACTTTACAAAACACTTTTTAACATATATACTCATTTAACTATTTGTGTGACTTTGAAATATTTTTTCCCAGAGGAGATGATGGTTTTAATCAATAAGAAGTAAGATTTTTTCTTTCTCTCTCACAATGTTAGAACATTTATGAAATTGCAGTCCAAATACATAGGTGTATTGTGACCATATAATATTTGAAAAATAATGGTCTTTTGCTGTTGGTGTTGTGTGTGTGTGTGTGTGTGTGTGTGTTTTATCTCACCATGTATATTGTTCAGTTACACATTTAACTAGTATTCATGGAGTGATTTCAATATATCAACACACTTTCAGAGAGGTGGGTGAATCCAGTAGTAATCAAGACAAAGTTTTTCTTTTCCTATCTTATAGTGTGAAAGACATACACAAATTTAATTAACAAATAAATGTATGTGTTAGAAATTAGGGAAAATAATAAAAGGATAGAAAGGGAGTAGACAGAGGGGTGCTATTTTAGCTAGAATCATTAGCGAAAGCTCTGAAAAGGCAACATTTGATCTGTGACCTGAACAAGGAAAAAGAGATAGGCACATGGGCACTAAAAGCATAAGAAATGAAGTGCACAGTGGCTCTGATGCAAGAGTAAGCTTGACCTGTTTGAGGAACAAGAGTAAGGCCAACTCTGTCTCCTAACACTGATTCTTATACTGGTATCCCAGAGAAAAACTTTATGTAAACATTACAAGCACTTACCCTGTCAGTAGATTGGTAACAACATCCTTATACAGAAGGAACAACATATTAGTTCTATCAGTTACCTGACTTGAAGTATCAAGTGAATAAAGAAAGAAAATTCAAACCAAAAAATTTCAAAACTTGCTATCACAATTTAACATTGTACTAATTTTTCTGCACCTATTAACATTTATGGATATATGCGAATACAGCTACAATATTCATGTCCTAAGGCATTTATTACCCCTATCTTTGTGAAAATTGAACTCTGCTAGCTGTATTAAGAACAAATTATCAAACAAAGATGACCCTCTCTATTAATGTATAGACAACTGAAAACAGAAACATTGGTTTCTTAAATAAAAGGTATGGTTGTGCAAGTGACAGAATCTTGAACCCAGCTAACTTACAAAAAAATGATAGATTTTTATGCTAATGTTTAATGGAGGAAAAATTCTAAAATATATCTGAGTTTTAGGTTAAGCATCATTTAGAAGCTTAAATGATGTCATTGGGGTCTGGTTTGTCTCTTTCTCTAAACTCAGCATCCTCTATGTTATTCCATTCTCAGGCAGACTCTCCAGGTAAAAATAGCAAAATGGCTGCTGGAAGATAGAGGCTTTAATCTTTACAAAAACACATCCAAATAATAATAATAATAATCAAACATGGCCATGCTGCAGAAGTCTGGGTAGCACCAGACAAATTATGGTCAATATAAATGGTGCCCCAATAGATGGGCAATGCATGTGCAACTTTGTGCCGTGTTCCTGAAAACAATGACCTCAATCTCTCTCTCTCCTCCCTTCCCCCAGTCAAAGTCTGAAGATTTATTCTCATTGATTCTCATTGGGATCTATTAGAATCTCTAAACTAATCAATGAGTTGATTGACTTAGATCAACTGGGTTACAAATTCAGCCAAAGCACAAGGTGTGAATTGAGGGTGGAGTGGACTTAATAATCAGAGGTAAATTATGGGCAGGAAAGATGTACACCACAGTTAGGAAGTTACTTATTTCTTATAAATGCTTCTGTAAACTTTCACCCCCATTCTCAGGCCCTCTAATGCATCCTCAACCCTCACTTTCATCAGATAAGTCATCATCCATCCACGACTATGGAGAAATTTATAATTTTCTGCCACAATCACCTTCAATATTCCATCACCATCTCAAAGATATCTTTTCTTCTGTTCAAGGCCACTACCATTTGTATCTTTTACCTAATCCCCGAACTCATCTCCTCCAAGACCTTAAACTCTTTCCTGTAGTTTTAATCTCTCTTACTGATGTATTCTCTATTATTCTATAAAAGTACAAGGGAATCTTATAAAAATAATAAATACTATTTTCAATGCTTGTTCCCTCTAGCTACCTACTAATCACTTCTCCCAGTCTCATCTAAACATCTCAAAATTATAGTTTATATTCACTCTTTACTTATTCACCTCCCATTCTCTCCTTGTTTCTCTTTAATCTGTTTTTTTTTGTCCAAAATATTACAGCTAAACTAGTTTCATTAAGATTTTCAGTGACCTCCATATTATAACACTCAATAGATTTTTTTTCTATTAGTATTTCCTTCACTAAACTTCTCTTTGACATTAATTACTGTTGATTGGTCCTACCTTTTTAAAACTTTCAATTATCTTGGCTTCTGGGATGCTATGTTGTCTTGACCACTTTGTCTGTCTCAGTCATGGGTTCATCTTCCTTCATCCAAGAAATAAATGATGGTGTTGATGACAATCCCATCCTTGGTTCACGATTCACTACTCATCTCCATACTACACACGTGGTTTTTTTTGTTTTTTTGTTTTTTTTTTGAGATGGAGTTTCACTCTTGCCCAGGCTGGAGTACAATGGTGCGATCTCTGCTCACCACAACCTCCACCTCCCAGGTTCAAGCGATTCTCCTGCCTCAGCCTCTTGAGTAGCTGGGATTCACAGGCATGGGCCACCACACCCAGCTAATTCTGTATTTTTAGTAGAGATGGGTTTTCTTCATGTTGATCAGTCTGGCCTCGAACTCCCAACCTCAGGTGATCCACCCACCTTGGCTTCCCAAAGTGCTGGGATTACAGGCGTCAGCCACCGCACCTGGCCTCATACTACACACTTATGTTTGATATCATCTATTCACTATCATTAGGATCTTAATCCCCAAATAGAGATTTTCAACTCTAACTTCTCAAGCTTTTATATTCATTTTTCTGAGGTTTTGGAGACATTTCAAAGCTAGATTTCTCATAGGCACAAAACATTCTAACATTTCCAAAACTAAAGCTCCTAATCCTTGTCCCAAATATTTCCTTCTCTTTAATATTTCTTGGTTGATGGCACTATAATCCATGTATTTACAGAACTTAGAAAAAAGAAAATCATGCTAGATTCCTCATTCTCTATTATTATCACAGTTGTTCTCAAATTATTAAGTTATTATCAAATCATGTTGACTTTATTTTATAAGCATTTTGCAAATAGCTTTCTACTTTTCTCACTTTTGTTATTTATTAGTTCAAATACTCATTAATTTTTGCCTATACTACTGGAAGTAGCCTCCTAAATGGTCTCCTTGACTCAACTTTTCTCCATCTCTAACCCATTCTACACATCACCAACAGCTATCATAAAAAATCTGATCAAGTTACTTCCATGCTTAAAACTTTCAATATTTTATTGTGACTTTCAAATTAAAGTACAAAATTCTTAGCATACAAGATCCTACCTAGATTTCTAGCTTTATTTTACACCGCTTTCTATTTCACACTTTTAATTTCCAGCAGTGACAAACCTGTTTTCCTTGTAGTCAACACATAAACCTTCACAATTCACTTTTAGGACATTGTGCATGCTGTACCCCACTCCTCCATGTGCATAACATACTTGAATGCCTTATACATATTTCTATCAGTGTACTTATCACTAGTTTTATAACTTTGTTTGTGTTTGTCTACCGAATTAGATTGTGAAAGTAATAACGAGTTCTTTGTTGTGATCCTTGAGAGAGCTTCCAATAAAAATCACCCACATTCTCCACCCGATTCTGAAAATATTGAGAACAAAAACAAATGGTAAAATTGGTAGCCAATCTATTGTTTTTATTACTGTGAGGGGCTAAGTTGTAAGAGGAAACCTTACTTTGAGAAACAAAAGAATATGCTGAATTAACCCCACAATCAGGCAGACTTACCCATCCAGTCACTGTCACTCCAGGTCCAGAGTTTTCTACTCAAAATGGAAACATTGTTCAGGTAAAAAATAAGGAAGGGCAGAAGAGCACTGGCAACTCTGGGGAAAGACTCACCTAGAAGAAGCAAAAGAAGAATATAGCCTATGCATTCCTAGTTATTGCTTCCAAATTTCACAAACGAGTCATGCATGGTTCCCAGAAACAGTGATTAAAGGTCCAGCATGGAGAGAGGGCTAGAATGTGCTTAAGTAAAAATGCTTCCTTATGAAAACTCCAGGGTCAGGAAATATGTTTCTCTTGTAATATTATTAATCGTTTTATTTCCAGGGTTTAGTTCATGGGCCTGATACACAGTCAATCCTTAATGATTTCTGAAAGAATAAACAATGGTTAAATGTATAACCAACTGCAAGAGGGATGAAAAATATAAACAACTGCAATGAAAGTAACAACTGTCAACCAAGAAGATACTTTCAGAACATGCTTTTAAAGTATATGTAATTTTTTAAAAAGTAGATTAGTACTGGGCATACATTTACAATGAATTGCTGTTTTCCTACTATGTCTTATGATAAAAAAAGAAGTAGCTTAGAGGTAGCAGATAACCTGTTTTGACAAGAAAATAATAAGTGTGTTGAATTTTTTTTCTGATATTGATAAGATGTTATATTTGAAGGGTGAGCAAATTGGCTGCTGGGATCTTGATAATCCAATAAATGGACTTTCTGCCTAGGCTAAATTTTCATAAAATGTATTTTTATAATTTATTAGAGGCATATTTTAGTTGCTTTTGAATGTGCTACTTTGAATGTCATGAGTTTCAACAGACTATAATCAGTGCTCTCTGAAGCAAGCAATTTTGCCTGTTATTTCAGCACTTTGATTAATTGCATGTTGACAGATCACATGCCGACCTGAAGAAACAGTCTTTTACATGTTGTTCATTCAGGCTGATAGCTGGACTCCCTTTTTATATTTTTTCTTTCACATCCCTTGAAACTCAGGTCTGAGCTTCCCATTTTAGTTTTGCTCATCCTGTAATATTTACTGGAAATAGTAATTCGAGTTAAAGGTGAATTCCTCTGCTAGGATTTAAATCTTTTCCTTTCATTGTAGTGTATCTTAGAGGGACGCATTGTGATTAATCCTTACTTTTAGCCTCAGCTTCTAGTTAATAATATAAATTATTTGGTTGGAAATCTAGGTTCTATAATATTGCATTTTTATATCTATTGAAACTATAAAATGTGTGACAAAGTATTTTGAGAATTTTATTTCAATAGAAATAAAATTGAAATTTCAATAGAAATAAAGTTGAAATCTATTTCAATAGATATTTACTGAACATTTTCTTTGTGTAGGATATATCAAGCTGGGTACTTGGACAAATACAACTGTTTACTAGCAAGGAATTTAAACCAAATTAGGTATCTGAAGACAAATTCTTAAATGTCAAACAGGCAGAATGTGACAAATTTGATGAATTAACATGTATAGAGCTTACTATTAATTCTCAAAACAAGGTAGATTCTATCCAGTTTGGGATACCCAATATCCAATAATGGGATGTTTCCATTAAAAATTGCTGCATAACAACTCATCCCAAAGTTTTGTGGCACAAAACAATTAACATTCAATTATGTTTATTATTACAGAGCAATGACTGTAGCCTCAGCTAGGGTGGATTAAATAGCTTTAGGTTTCTCAAACAGCTAGCTGTGGCTGGGATAACTTAAAGGGTTACATATGTCTGGGGTATTGACTCTGGCTAGTGGCTGAAATTTTTTTCCCTCTCTGTTTTGTCTGCCAAGACTGTAATGTCCTATATGTCTTTTTAACTCACGTATCTTTTACGTATAATGGGATGGCCAGAATAACAAGGGCTGGCCAAGCATCTCTCTCTCTCCGCACAGCCCCTCAATGTTGGAAGCTTGGGTTTCTTTATACCATGATAGTTCCAGATAGTCAAACTTCTTTCACGGCAGTAGACTTACCCCAGGGCCAACAATCCAAGTCTCGGGATGGAAGCTGCTGATTTCTTAAGGCCCAGATCTGGGACCTGTCCTAGTGTCACTTCTATCATTTTATATTAGTCAAAGTAGTCACAGAGCCCAGAGAAATTAAAGGGGAGGACACATAGACCCCACCTCTCAGTGAGAGAAGTACCAACATATTTATGGCAATCCTTACTAGCTAAAGGGGATCAGAAAAGCCCTAAGAGAAGAGGTAGCATCTGAAATTGTTTTTAGAGGATGGGGAGAATTTTGACAGGCAACATAATATGATAGGTAGTTAAGGTAATGAGATGCACGTGAGTACACATGAAGGTAAAAAATCAAAGTGACTGACATATCCAGAAACAGTAAACTAGCAGTTTATAATGTCTATGGAATGACATACAAATAATATACATGTGATTGAAAACTGCAAATATAATAGTTAATATAATTGGTCTAAATGTTTCGCACCTCCTAATAGAACACAACATTTAAACTCTTCCTCTGATCAAATGATAATATCTAATTTTTCTTCTTTTATGAGATGTTTTCCAGATATCTTCTTTATATTGGATATCGGTGAGTCAGATCAGTTGCAGCTTGAGTTAAAATCACTAGTTAGCATTTATTTTTACTGGAGAGTAATTAGACTGAAAGAAATACTGCATGTCTATTTCTTTGAGACATAAATTGCCTGCTTTAGTAGAATATTTCAAGCCCTGGTCAATTGTGTATATGGATAACAATGATTTATCTCCATACAGTTTCTACTTATCATAGTGATACAGAAAGAAATCTATAACATTACTGAACACAATTAGTGCTGTTAAATTTGCCACTTAATTAACACTGACCCACAGGGTCATCATCTAAAGAAATTATTTGGAAAAACAAATATGCATCTCATCTCCTTTGGTATTCTTGGATTTCTAATATTTGTTTTCATCAGTTTTATCATCTCTCTGACCCTAGAAGCATAAGAAGAGTCATATTTTTGTGATTCCCCAAAAATCATGAGAAAAATTAAAATTTAAAAAATTCTGCAGCCCCAAAACTAAATTAAAGTAAGGTAACCAAACTGTGACTATCAAGGGCACTTCAGAGTTCAAATGAATAGTGAGACAAGAAGCTGAACAAGACCGAAGAGGATGTACTATAACATAATTAGTGATCTGCACAGATTGTGCAGTGAAGAGAATAAAATAATCAATGTAAACACAGTCAAAAGAGATTAAGTATTTGGCGAATAATCTTTCGTAAATTAGTACTTAGTTCTTATGATATCTAGAAAACCTTAAATTGACTCACACATTTTTAGTTTGTCAGGTTTTTTGAGAAATTGAAAGAGAGAGAGAGAAAATACATGCTCCGGTCCAACTGTCTGTGTTGAACCAAGACCCTGAACACTTCATCAGTCTGAAAGATCATGGGGTGATGGCATTACTTCATTTTGATACAACTAACTACAGATACCAAAGGTTTAACATTTTTATATGTAAGAAATATACCTACTTATTAATTGCTAAATCCCTCATCCTTTATACTTTCTTCCCCTTCAGCTTTATTATTCTATCTGTTATCTGGTCAAATATGCCCTAATAGTCTAATACATATTCTGGCATGAAAATTCCTGAGTTAGTGTTTGAACTGGTCATGTTTATGACTTAACATCCAGACCATTGATTGATGAATCACTCATGATCCTTCCTAAAAAGCATTTCTATTTTTCTTAGAGCTCATGAGTACTTTGCTATTAGTGTCTTCATAATATCAAAAACAGTGTCTTTCCTTAGTAAAAGTTGGACTGCTATCTGACTTTGACATTCCAGTAAATGAATTTATTCAGGTTGCATGAAAACTTTCAGCCCAACTTCTTACCTAGAACTTTTCTTTGAGCAGGATGAAGCACAGCAGTTGGAACTAGTTTTCTTCTAGTAACAAAAATGGAGAATAGAAGTAATATAAAATTACCTAAAACCAGTTTTTGTTGAGTTTTGAAATTCTCCGATATTTGCTTACCTTTTAAATTACATTGACCTTCTCTGGTCATTCTCAAATGCTTACATTTCTATTATTACTTTTCTCCAATTTCCTAATTCCTATCTCTCGAAAAATTTAACTATTTACACAAGGCTCTCAAATGAAAAATGACAGTGTGCATGGTTTATCATTTTTAATTTCATAAATTGTTGGATCAAGGAGTAAGCATAACTACCAGAGCCATTTATGACCCTGAATGCTTTATCTTATAAGAAATGATTTATATTTCTTTAATACATCCGACTATAATTGTGTTTAGCTGTAAGCCCCTACTCACTCTGACCATCTAGACTGCTAGTTTTGTGGATTGTTATGTGGTATCAATGACATTACACTTGGACATGCCTCTAGCTCCTTCACCAGGGTAAAAATCTTACCTCTTTCATCTACTAGATGGAGGCCAATAGCTCTCCCATGGTAGGTAAATTGTCCACGGTCTCTCTAGATTTTATATATCCACATGATGCCTAGTCTCTATTCATTCAAATATAAAATGTTAAACTACCAATCAGTGTATACAATTAGAATGGAAACATTTGATGATCAAGAGCTTTTAATATAAATATTTATGAGGCCGATAAAATACATTCAATACTACTTATAATTATTAATATAAATTGGAATAAAGAATGTATAAGGAAGGCTTGAAAACACAGTAGCATCTTTGATATCTGGATATATACGGTTCTTAGAATTACTTTGAAGTTTTAAATATACAGAGAGAAGAATAAGGGAGTAAATGACAAAAGTATTCACCTTTCCACCATCTTGGGTACCAATTTTATTGAATGAAAAAATGTTAAATATTCCCAAAGTCATAATATTTCCAAAATAGAAATTAAATGTTTGCAACTAAGAAACTTCACTCCTCTCAGAGAACCTATATTCCACACTACTTTGCACTGATATATTAGAACATGAAGATCTAATATTAAATAAATGGCATATGAATTATGATGAGATTATATAGCCAAGAGAATAGATGTTTATTTATAAGATATTAGCAACAATGACTCATTAAACTTAGGTTCTGGTAAATGGTCTTCTTCTAACATATGTGACGGGATCTACAGTTTACAGTTTGCTACAGACCACGGGGGAACATTTTCTCCTTTTCAGTCTTGAGCTACATGTTATGCCAAGAAGACTGGATTCAGTAACTCATGATGTCTACCTACCCTGAGAGTTGATGGAAAAGCACTGGACTTCTAGTCATTTTCTATGTAGTCTTCATCACCTTTCCTAATTATTTCCTCAGTAAGTTATTCAATACTTGGCACTTCACATGATTTTACTGAAACCAGTGCTTCAAACCTCATTAGCTACCTGGCTGCTCCTCAGTTCCTCTCATCTCCACTATAGGTGGGCAGAAAGCTATCAAAAAGTAAAGGTGAGGAGAACTGGGAAGATGGTGGAATGCAAGGGAGCGTTCTGGGGAACGAAAAGTCTTCACCTTACTTTCCTTAATGCAAAAGGTAGAAATGGAAACGAAGTTTCTTGATTATTTGTCTGTTCAATTGCTGTATATCAAAGAGACAAATGCAAGTGTTCAGAACTTCCTGTATTTAATTAGAAATCCTTGATCTTTGTAGATACTTATTTTCTACCAGAGCAAACTGTTCTGGAGATTTATAATGGATTTTGTAATAATGTACTTTTCTATTTTTTTGATCCTCATCTAAACTAGTTCAATCCTTTTGCCAACAGCTTTTTCCCTTAAAAAAGAATATTATTTTCCACCTATAAAATGGTAATGTATTTAAAATAAAACAAGAAAGCTGCAGTAATTTAAATTGCTATTACCTAGAATAAATACCACAGTTTTCAAACCTATTTACCAGATATTTAAAAAGTACCTCAGGCAATTTAGGTTGATATTTCACCCTGGGAAGATGGGGCCTCCTACTAGGTATATTGTTAACCTAAATTGGCTGTACCCAGTGGGAATTAATTTTCCCTAACCACTTATTTGTGAGGATTATCTCTAACATAACAATTATCCTCTTAAAACTGATTTTCTTGAAATTTTATGCTGAGTTCATAAAATGGTTGTGTTATTTCCTATTACACATGGTCATTATAAAGCTGCTTATGAAACATTTTAGAAATAAATAAGTTATAACATGATCAATAAAGAGAAATTATCCTAAATTCAGAATGAGATTATCTCTTGTTTAACAGGTAAGACTGTTTTAAGGCCAGAGGCAGTAAAGAGATATTGAAGTACTGAGAGGATATAGATTACTAATCAGTTTTGGAGAAAACTGCTTTACTGCTCTCCAGGATAGAAGTATAATTGCTGGCCGGGCGTGGTGGCTCACGCCTGTAATCCCAGCACTTTGGGAGGCTGAGGCAGGAGGATCATTTGAGGTCAGGAGTTCGAGACCAACCTGACCAACATGCTGAAACCTCATCTCTACTAAACATACAAAAAATTAGCCAGGCGTGATGGCGCATGCCTGTAGTCCTACCTACTCAGGAGGCTGAGGCAGGAGAATTGCTTGAACCCAGGAGGCAGAGGTTTCAGTGAGCCGAGATCGTGTTACTGCACTCTAGCCAGAGCAACAGGGCGAGACTCCGTCTCGGGGTTGGGGGGTGAAGTATAATTTGTAATTGATTGCTATAAGAAGAAGACTAATCTGGATGGGAGGAAAAGACAACAACAACCTTTAGCTGGATTTACACTTGAAAGAATGAAAATTTCAGCTGGTGTGTTTATGAGACAGTGGCTCACAAGTATGGTCTTTGGATATAGCTAATTACTGTTGTATCTTCATGTGCTCAGCTTGAGTTAGTTTACCATATCACAAAAAGAGTCTAATATAAGATTATATCTAACATCCCATATTCAAAAACCAATCTTATCTAGAATATAGAAAAACTTTTTTACAAATCAATAATAAAAACCCATACAATCCAACTTAAAATCATAATGAGATACCACCAAACATGCAGCAGATTGGCTAAAATTAGAGAGTAAAAAAGAAAACGCTCAATTGGTGAGGATATGGCAAAGAGAGAAAACAGAAACTATTATTCATTGCTGGTTGAAATATAAAATTATACAAAAACTCAAGACAACTGTTAGGCCATTTCTTATCAGTTTAAATATATACATACCCTAAAACTTGACTATTCTGTTTTTTTGGTACGTTATCCCAGAGCAATAAAAATATCAATGCACAAACTGATTTTTATAGTTACAGCAGCCATGTTTATAACAGCAAAAACCTAGAAACAACCACAATCCATCAAGAATGGATAAACACATTTTGGTATCAAAAATAAACTACTGTCAAAAACGCAACAACATGAATGAATTTAGAAAATAATATATTATACAAAAGAAACCAGACACAAAAACATGCATATTATATAATTCCATTTATTTGAAGGCCAAAAACAGGCAGAATATAATTTATGATGATAGAAATCAGAAAGTGGGTATCATAGGGACATGGTAGAGATGGACTGGACAAGGGCATGAGGGAAATTTTGCAGTGGTGGAAACTACATTTTGTTTTTGGTGGTAGATATATGAGTATACACAATCAACAAAATTCCTTAAACTTGAACAATTAAGATGTGTGAACTTCATTGTATGTCGCATATCCCTCATTAAAAATAAACAAGAATAATTAAATATAAAATAATTCTTCTGGCACCAAAATATACACAGTTTACTCTCAAACAACATAGGTTTTAATGTGCAGGTCCACTTATGCATAGATTTTTAAAAATAAATATATATTACAAAAATTTTTGGAGATTTGTGACCATTTGAAAATCTCACAGGTGAACCACATAGCCTAGAAATTTTGAAAAAAAAGTCAGGTATATCATGAAGGCATAAAATATTTGTAGATACTAGTTTATTTTATTATGTACTACCATAAAATATATACGAATCTATTATAAAAAGTTATACTTCATCAAATATTAAGCACACAGTTACAGACTAGACATGGCACCATTCACAGTCAAGAGAAGTGTAAACAAACCTAAAGAAGAAGTGTTAAATCATAATTGTATAAAATTAACTATAGTACATATTGTACTGCTTTAATACTTTCATAGCTACCTCCTGTTGCTATCACTGTGAACTCAAGTGTTGCAAATGTACACTTAAAACACCATGTGATACTAGTCATCTCCACAGGACTAGTTGTCTCCCCAGTAAATTGCATATCACAGTAAAAAGTGATCTCTTGAGATTCTTGCATATTTTTCATCGTATGTAGTGCAATACCGTAAACCTTTAGTAACACCGTGGGTCCCATGTGAAGTGCACTAGTGATGCTTGAAGTGGTCCCAAGAAGCAGAGAAAAGCCATCACATTACAAGACAATTTGAATTGCTTGATATATAATGTAGATTGAGGTCTGCAGCTGCAGTTGCCTCCCATATCAGACAGATGATTCATCTTGTAAACAGATGATGTAAACTTATGGCATTGATAAATACATTACTGTAAATGCATTTTCTCTTTTTAAAGATTTGCTTTTCTCTATCTTACTTTCTTGTAAGAATACCATATAGAATACATGGAACGTACAATATATGTGTTAATAGACTGTTTATGTTAAGGGTAAGTCTTCCAGTCAAGAGTAGGCTATTAATAGTTAAGTTTTGATGGAGTTAAAACTTTTATGTGGATTTTCGACTGTGTGAGTTTTCTGGCACACCTAGTCCCTCACATTGTTCAAGGGGTATAAATCCTGATCACCCAAATATTAGAATTCACTAGAAAATTTTACTTTAATTCTTAAGTCTAAACGTCATTATTAGTAATAGCATTTAACACATTTATTGAGATAGAACTCACATTCCATACAATTCACCGATATAAACTGTACAATTGAATGACTTTTAGTATATTCAGATAGTTGAGCATCATCACCACAATCATATTTAGAATATTTTCAATTTCCCAGAAGGAGTGCCATCTCCTAACAATCGTCTTATTTCCCTCAGCCCTAGACAACCACTAATCTACTTTCTGTCTGAGTAGATTTGACTATTGCGATCATTTTATATATACAGAATTATATAACGTGTGACTTACTGTGTCTGGCTTCTTTCACTTAGCATATGTTTTCCTGTTTTCCATATTGTAGCATACATGATTATTTAATTCCTTTTTATGGAAGAATAATATTTTCTTTATTGATACAGCACAATTTGTTCACCCATTTATTAGTTGATGGACATCTGGGTTGTTTCTACTTTTTGTTCTTGTGAATACTACTGTTATGAACATTCATGTAGAAGTATTTGTTTGAATATCTATTTTCAATTCTCTTGGCTATATACCTAGGAATGGAATTGCTTGATCGTATGGTAACTCTATGTTTAACTTTTTGAGGAACTGATAGACTGTTTTTCAAAGTGGCTGCAACATTTTACATTTCTACCAGTAGTGTATGAGAGTTCTGATTTCTCCATATCCTTGGTAACACTTGTTATTATCTTTTTTTATTACAACCATCCTAGTGTGTGTGAAGTGGTATTTCTTTCTGGCTTAGATTTGCATTTCCCTGATGGCTAATGATGTTGAGCATCTTTTCATCTGCTTAATGGCTAGTTGTATAACTTCTTTAAAGAATTGTCATTCATATCCTTTGGCCATTTTAATGCGTGATTTGTCTTTTTACTCTTGAGTTTAACTTGAGTTAGGATGGTGTGATCAGGGCCCCAGTATTCTCATTCTACTGTGCTTGGTGTTGAACCTCTATCTTTAGAGTCCAGGCTGGATGGAAGAAGTGACTATCCAACCTCTAGGCTGTATTGACCAAAAAATTTGCCTCTTAAACTTGGAGTTAGAGGGGCTGAGAAATGCTGGCAGATTGCTCCTCCTGGTGAGATATGTTGTATTAATATCCAGGGGCTTGCATGACAAAGAACCCCAGACTCAGTGGCTTAAAACAACTGAAATTTCTTTCACAGTTCTGGAAGCAAAAAGTATAAAATCAAGGCTGAGTAGGGCCATACTTCCTCTGAAAAGCTCTAGGAAAGAATCCTTCTTTGCCTCCTTCTTGCTTCTGATGGTTGCTAAAAATCTTTGTCATCCCTTGGGTTGTAGCTACGTCACTCCGCTCTCTGACTTTGTTATTTACATTCCCTCTGTGTGTGTCTTCTGTGTGTCTATATAAGAAATCTTTCTCTGAATAATGACAGGAGAAACTGGATATAGGGTCTACCTTAATCTAGAAAGACATCAATTTAACTTGATTATATCTGCAAAAGCTATTTCAAAACACAGTCAATTTCACAGATACTGGACTAGGAATTGACACGACTTTTTGGGGCACACAATTCAACCCATCATATACAGTAGCCCTTGATGAGAAGGTGAAGGGAGAAGGAGAATTGCTTGTCTACACCCAGCCAGAATGTAGCTTCCCCCAACCTGACCTAAGGGCAGATGTAGATGAAATTGGTCATGGCTCAAATACCACATATTCTCACTATTCTTACTGAGCTTTAGTAAATTTTTTGACCAAATTAATTTGCTATATGCTATTAAAACAATCTCCAGAAACTTTGAATGTTTATTACATAGTTTTCACTAGTATTGCTTATTTCCTTAAAGAATGGGTAATGGAGCTCCTTGCACTACCATTCTAGAAGTGGAACTCCTCAAGGAATAGAATTTTAATGCTTTTTTATGTGACAGAAACTGTGTTAAACATTTTATCAATAATAATAATTGAATATTTGGCACAATTGTAAGAATTGAGTAAAATATAAACCCAATTTTATAGGTAAGGAAACCAAAACTCATAAAAATAAGTAAAATCCTCAGGACCCTATAGCTTTAAAGTACAAACATAGACCAAGGTTCACCTAACTCCAAGTCTGCTAATTTTCTTTTCTTTTTCTTTAATTTTAATTTTTGTGGGTACATAGTAGGTGTTTATATTTATCAGGTACATGAGAGGTTTTGATATAGCCATGCAGTGCATAAAATTACTTCAAGGAAAACAGGGTATTCATCCCTTCAAGAATTTATCCTCTGTGTTACAAACAATCCAATTACACTTTTTTAGTTATCTTTAAATATACAGGTAAATTATTATTATTGACCATATTCACCCTGTTGTGCTATCAAATATTAAGTCTTATTCATTCTTCCTATTTTTTGTACCCATTAACCATCCTGACCTCTCCCAATCCCCCAACTACACTTCCCAGCCCTTGGTAATCATCCTTCTACTTTATATTTCCATGAGTTCAATTGCTTTGATTTTTAGATCCCACAAGTAAGTGAGTATATGTGATGTTTTTCTTTCTGCACCTAGCTTAATTCACTTAACATAATGACTTCCAGTTTCATCCATGTTGTTGCAGATGACAAGATCCTATTACTTTTCAATGGTTGAATAGTACTCCATTGTGTGTAAGTAACACATTTTCTTTATTGATTAATCTGTTGATGAACACTTAAGTTGATTACAAATTTTGGCTATTGTGAACAGTGCAGCAACAAACATGGGAGGGCAGATATCTCTTGTATATACTAATTTCCTTTTTTGGGGAGGATATACCAAAAAGTGGGATCGCTGGATCATGTGGTAGCTCTATTTCTACTTTATGAGGAACATCCAAATTGTTATCCATAGTGGTTGTATTAATTTACATTGCCACCAGCAGTGTAGTAGGGTTCACTTTTCTCCACATCCTCGCCAGCATTTGTTATTGACTGCCTTTTGGATATAAGCCATTTTGACTGGGGTGAGGTTATATCTCATTGTAATTTTGATTTACATTTCTTGTATGATCAATGATGTTGAGCACCTTTTCATATACCTGTTTGCCATTTATATGTCTTCTTTTCAGAACTGTCTGTTCAAATCTTTTGCCCATTTTTTGATCAGATTATTTGATTTTTTTTTCCTATAGAGTTGCTTGAGCTCCTTATATATTCTGGTTACTAATGCCTTGTCACATGAATAATTTGCAAGTATTTTCTCACATTCTGTGGGTTATTTCTTCACTTTGTTGATTGTATTATTTACTGTGCAGAAGCATTTTAACTTGATGTGATACCATTTGTCCATTTTTGCTTTAGTTGCTTGTGTTTCTGGTGTATTACTCAAGAGATTTTGTCCAGACCAATGTCCTAGAGTGTTTCTCCAATGTTTTCTGGTAATAATTTTATAGCTTGAAGTCTTAGATTTAAGTCTTTAATCCATTTTGACTTGATTTTTGTATGCAGTAAGAGATAAGGGTCTAGTTTCCTTTTTTTGCATATGGATATTGAGTTTTCCCAGCAACATTTATTAAAGAGACTGTCTTCTCCCCAGTGTATGTTCTTGGTATCTTTGTTGAAAATGAGCTCACTGTAGGTGTGTGGATTTGCTTCAGAACTCCATATTCTGTTCCATTTGTCTATGTGTCTGTTTTTATGTCAGTACCATGCTGTTTTGGTTACTATAGGTGTGTAGTATAATTTGTAGTGAATTAATGTGATTCCTTCAGTTTTATTACTTTTGCTTAGGATAACTTTGGCTATTCTGAGTCCTTTGCGGTTCCATATAAATTTTAGGATTATTTTTTCCATGTCTGTGAAGAATGTCATTGGTATTTTGAAGGAGATTGCATTGAATCTGTAGAATGCTATGGGAGGTATGGACATTTTAACAATATTGAGTCTTCCATTCCGTATACATGAAATATCTTATATTTTTTGTTGTCCTCTTCACCTTTTTTACTTACAGAGATCTTTCACTTCTTTGGTTAAGTTAATTACTAGGTATTTAATTTTATTAGTGGCTATTCTAAAAGGGAATACTTTTTAATTTCTTTTTCAGGTATTTATTTATTTATTTATTTATTTATTTATTTATGCTTGTTTTTTTTTTGAGATGGAGTTTTGCTCTTGTTGCCCAGACTGGAGTGCAATGGCCCAATCTCAGCTCAGTGCAACCTCTGCCTCCTGGGTTCAAGCAATTCTCCTGTCTCAGCCTCCCAAGTAGCTGGGATTACAGATGCCCATCACCATGCCCGGCTAATTTTTGTATTTTTAGTACAGGCGGGGTTTCACCACGTTGGCCAGGCTGGTCTCGAACTTCTGACCTCGGGTGATCCACCAATCCCCACCTTCCCAATGATTTCTAGTTGTATTTCATTGTGGTCAGAGAAGATTCTTGGTATTATTTTCCCTTGGTATTATTCAAAGTGTTTTCCCATCAACACTTTAAATATATTATGCTGCTATCTCCTGGTCTGTAAGGATGACACTGTAAAGTCTGCTGCCATATGTCTTGGTTCTCCATTGTATATTATTTGTTTATTTTATCTTACAGCTCTTAGGATCTTTTCTTTATCTTTGGCCTTTAGGAGTTGGATTATTAAATGCTTTGAGAAAGTCTTCTTTGGGTTAAATCTGCTTGCTGTTCTTGTACTTGGATAGCATTCTTGTACTTGGATATTGAAAATGTTCTCTAGGCTTTGGAAGTTCTCTGTGATTATCCCTTTGAATAAACTTTCTACACTTATTGCTTTCCTCTACCTCCTGTTTAAGGCCAATACTTTTTAGATTTACCCATTGGAGGCTATTTTCTATGTCTGGTAGAAGTGCTTTATTTATTTTTTCTTTTTCTTTTCTTTTTTTTTTTTTTTTTTTTTTGGTGTGTGTCCTCTGGTTGTGTATTTTCAAGTAGCCTGTCTTCAAGCTCACTAATTATATCTTCTGCCTGATCATTTTTGCTATTAAAAGACTGTGATGCATTCTTTATTATGCCAGCTGCATTTCTTCAGCTTCATAACTTCTCTTTGACTTTTTAATTATTTCAATATTTTTGCTATTTTTTTGATAGAAGTCTGAGTTCCTTCTTGGTGTTATCTTGAATTTCTTTGAGTTTCCTCAACAATGATATTTTGAATTCTCTGTCTGGAAGGTCACAAGTCTCTATTTCTCTGAGATTGGTCCCTGGTGCCACATTTAGTTCTTTTGGTGAGGTCTTGTTTTCCTGGATGTTCTTGATGCTTGTGGATGTTTGGCTAAGTCTGGGCACTGAAGAGTTAGGTATTTATTATAGTATCTACAGTCTTGGCTTGTTTGTACATATTGGAAATGACTTGAGTATTACACTCTAAGCTGTATCTGTTTTAGGGAGCACCCCAAACCCAGTAACACTGGTTCTTGCATACTCATTGAAGTAGTGCCTTTATGATCTTGGACAAGATCCAAGTTAATTCTCTGAATTACCAGGCAGAGATTCTTGTTCTCTTCTCTTACTTTCTCCCAAACAAATAAAGTCTCTCTCTCTTTCTGTTCTGAACCACTTGGAGCTGTGGGTGGAGTGACACAAGCACCACTGTGGCCACCAAAGCTATAACTGATGGGTCAGACCTGAAGCCAGCAGTGCAGTTGGTTTCACCTAAGCCCTGCTGTAACTATTCTCTGGCTGTGGCCTATGTTCGCTCAAGGTCCTGTGCCTCTACAATCAGCAGGTGGCAAAGCCAGCCAGGCCTATGCTCTTCCCCTCAGGACAGTGAGTTCTCCCAAGCCCCAGACAGATTCAGAGTTGCTGTATGGGTGTCAAGGACTAGAGTGAAAAAGCTTAGAAGTCTTCCTGGTGTTATATCATACTGCATCTGAGCTGTTACTCAATTGACAAGATGCAATCTTTTGCACCTTTTCTTCCCTTTTCCAAAGGCAGAGAAGCCTCATCCCATGGCCGCCGCCACCTCAGGCCAACTTGAAGTACTGCCAGACTACTTTCAATGTTCCCTTAAGGCCCAAGGGCTCTTAAGTCAGCTAGTGGTGAATGCTGTCTGGCCTAAGAGCTACATTTCAGGGCAATGGACTCCTCCCTGTCCTAGGTCAGGTTCAGAAATGCCATCCAAAAGGCAAGTACTGGAGTCAGGGGCCCCAAGAGCTCACTTGGTACTCCACCCGCCTGTGGCAGAGCTGGTAACTTTCCTTTTCCCTTTTCTTTTTCAAGCATGAGGAGTCTTGCCCTATAGCCATCACAGCTGGGAATGTGCTGAGTCTCATCTGAAACAAGGAAGTATTAGAGTCTCACCCAAGACCCTTGATGTAGTACCTGAGTATCACTGCTGGTTATTCAGGGCCCAAGGGCTGTTCAGTTAGCAGGTGATTAATCCTGCCAGGACTGGTTCCTTTTCTTGAAGCCAATGTGTTTCCTTCTGGCCCAGAGCATGTCTAGAATTGTCTTCCAAGAGCTATGCCCCGGAAAGGGGGCCTCATGGCTCTGATGACTGGGGCTGTGCTGGTATCCAGGATGCAAGACAATGTCCTCCCCATCCTTCCCTCTCCTCTGTGGAGACAAACAGTCTCTTTTGGAGCCACAAACTGTGCAGCCTATGATTAGGGGTCAGGCAATGCCAGCACTCCCTTAGCTGCCCTTAGTTGGTGTCTCAGTAGGTCGTGTGCCTCTGCACTCTGCTGTCTCTGGGCCCAGTTAAGTACGAGGACTCATATAGGAGTTGTCATCCCTGTGGCTTATATTGGCTTTCAAGTTTTTTTAAGACTATAGAGCACTTTATCTCAGTGTGGTGAAGCTTGTGGGCGCTCATGTTCAGACTGCTGGGATGAGTTTAAATAATAATTTAAACTAGGGCAGTTTAAATGCTCCCTCTGTGTGTGGGTATCAGCTAAGTTTGGTCCTGTTTTGTTTTCTGTTATAATATTGTACCACTGAGCTCAATGCTCCACCATTGCTGCACACTCCTTCTCCCCATGTATATAAATGCTCTCTGCACCATGCCACCACTGGGGGGTGGCATCAGGGATTCACGGAGGAATCAGGGAGGAGGAGTGGCATCAGGGATTCAGGACTGCTTTTCCTACTTCTTCAAGTTCCTCTTTCAGAGATATGAAGTTAAATCTAGGTACTGTGAGTGCTCACCTGATTTTGCTTCTTATGAAGGTGCATTTTGGTGTAGAGAGTTTTTAAATAATTGGTGTCCTCGCATAAGTGACATTCAGCGTAGCCTTCTATTCTGCCACCTTGCTCCCCTTTTTTTTAAGAGGTGGGGACTCTCTCTGTTGCCCATGTTGAAGTATAGTGGATCACTCATAGTTCACTCTACCCTCAAACTCATGGGATTTAGCAATCCTCCTGCCTCGGCCTCTCAAGTAGCTGAGACTACAGTTGCATGCCACCACACCTGGCTAAATTTTTGCAGAGATGAGGTCTCAGTACGTTACTCAGGCTGATCTTGAACTCCTGATCTCAAGTGATCCTCCTGCCTTGGCCTCCCAAAGGTGCTGGGATTACAGACGTGAACCATCATACCCAGCCTTGTACTTTTAAAGACGATACTGCTTACTCCTCCACATATGCTGAAATTAAATCACTCTCAGATTTGATGTGGACTAATGTGAATGACTTTGCATCTCTATAGATTCTCAAATGTAACAAACTGGGTATTTAAGCTATTTTCATTATTTCAAAAGACCCAATAGAAATTACATGCTTCTAAGTAGTATAACAGCACAGGCCTATCAGAAAAAGTGAGAGAGACAATAGCTGTCTGAATGTCAAGTTGCTTTAGAATGAAAGCAACTTCTCTCAGTAGTATCTTTATGTTAACTTTTGTCAATAAGCAGCTCTGATATGAACATTTATGTAATTAATACAAATAGAGAAAAAGGTTATTACTCTAAAGAGTTTGTATTAGTCAGGACTCTCCAGAGAAACAGAAACAAAGGAGACAGAAATATATAAATAAAAGGAGTTTTATTATAGGAATTTGTTCCCACAGTTATGGAGGCTAATAAGTTCCATGTTCGCTGTCTGCAAGCTGAAGAACCAAGGAAAGCTGGTGGTGTAATTCACTCTGAGTCCGAAGGCCTGAGAATGGGAGTGTGAGGAAGAGGCAGTTACGGTGTAAGTGCCAGTCAGGATCTGAAGGACATGAACCAGCAGCGCTGATGTCCAAGGGTAGAAGATGGATGTCTTGGCTCAGGCAAAGAGTAAATTCACCATTTTTTGTTCTCTTTAGGCCCTCAAAAGATTGCACCTGCATTTGTGAGGACAATCTTCTATACTCAGTCTAACTCAAATGCTATCTCTTCCAGAAATACTCTTCACAGACACAAGCAGAAATGTTTTACCAGCTATCTGAATATCTTTTAGCCCATTTAAGTTGACACGTATTAATAAATGAATTGTCACAGTGCCATTTATTAGACAAAATATTTGTGTATATGTGTTCTATGAAAAAAAATGACCGAAGTCATTTTTGTACAAATTTTGGAACCCCTGACACAAAGAGTTCCTTGAATTTTTCAGATACCATTCATTTATCTGATAAAAGTTTTGAAAGATTTCTCTCAGTCTGTGAATTATGTTTTCATGAACTTAACAACAAAAAAATTTAAAACACGGGCAATGTCTTGAATAGACATTTTTCTAAAGAAAACGTATGAATATCCAACAAGCACATTACAACATGCTCAACATCACTAATCACTATGGAAATGCATATAATGAGATACCAATACATACCCATTAGGAGGACCACTATAAAAATATACAAAATGAAAAGGACTGACTTGGATGTGGAGAAATTGGAACACTTGCCCCCTGTTGGTGCAAATTTAAATGGTGCAGCCACTATGAAAAACAGTATGGCATTTCGTAAAATAATAAAAATAAAATTACCATTTAATCCAGCTATTCCTTTCCTTGGTATATATCCAAATAAACCAAAAGAAGAGTCTTGAAGACACATTTGTACACCTATGTTTATAGTAGTATTATTCACAGTAGACAAAATCTGGGGGCAAACCAAATGTTCTCCTTTGAATAAATGGATTAACAAAATTTAATCCACACAATAGGATGTTAT
Source organism: Homo sapiens (assembly GCF_000001405.40). Taxonomy (NCBI): domain Eukaryota; kingdom Metazoa; phylum Chordata; class Mammalia; order Primates; family Hominidae; genus Homo; species Homo sapiens. The sequence goes on from NC_000023.11 coordinate 93,349,500, forward strand.
TTAGCTTTAAAAATGAAGGAAATACTGACATACACTACAACCTGGATGAATTTTGAGGACACTATGCTAATTGAATTAAGCCAACCACAAAGGACAAATATTGTATGATTCACCTTATATGAGGTTTGCAGATTAGTCAAATTCATTGAAGGAAAAAGTAGAAACATGGTTTCAGGGGCCTAGGGAAAGAAGGAAATGGTGACTTGTTTAATTAGTATACAGTTTTAGTCTTGCCAGATGCAAAGGGTTCTAGAGATTGGTTGTAAAGCAATGCGAATATAAATTATTAAGATGGTTAATATTATGTTACATGTATTTTACCACAATCTTTTTTTTACAAAATCTTTCTTTGGTATTAGACAGACAGGACTGTGTAGGTAGAAAATCCCAAAGAACTAACTAAAAAACCCATCATGTCTATAGTAAGGTTGCAGAACACAAGGTTAATATACAAAACTCAACTGCTTTCTTATGTACCAGCAATGAGCAATTTGAATTTGAAAGTGAAAGCACAATATTATTTACATTAGCACAAAATTCTAGGTTGGTGATTGCTTTCTTTTACCACTTTAAATATTTCACTCCACTCTCTTAATTGCATGGTTTCTGAGGAGAAATTCAATGTACTTCTTTCCTTGTTACTCTGTAATTAAAGTTTTTTTCTTCCTCCAGCTTCTTTCAAGTTTTTTTGTTTCTGATTTTTATTTTATATAGTTTGAGTATGATATGCTTACTTGTGTAATTTTTGGTATTTATTCTGCTTGGTGTTCTCTGAGCTTCTTGGAACTGTGATTATGTGTTTATCACTAACTTAGGTAAATTCTTATACATGATTGCTTCCAATTTTTCTTCTGCTTTACTTTTCCTTTCTTCTCTTTCTTTTATTCTCATTATGTATATATATTTTTTAAGTGTTCCACAGATTTTTTATACTTTATTCTGCATTTTTTATCATTTTTTCCACTTAGGTTTCATTTTTGAGGTCCCATGACATTTCTTCAAACTGACTGATTCTTTCTTCAGCTGTGTGTAGTCTACTGATGAGTTTATCAAAGACATTTTTCACTTCTGTTATGATGTTGTGGATTCCTCCTTAGAGCTTCCATTTCTCTGTTTATATGTTGTCTATTTTTAGAGCCTGGAGCATATTAATCATAGTTGTCTTTGGGCCTGATGCTTACTCTCTTTTCAAAGTGTGGTTTTTGTCTTTAAGTACATCTTATTATTATCTTTTAATTTTCATAAATTTAAAGATGTTCATATTTATTTTTCTGTGGACCATAGGATATATTTTACCATTTTTTACTTTGCAGATATTCTTTTTTGTGTTTTTTAAAATAATTTCAACTGGTATTTTAGAATCGGGGGTACATTTGTTGGTTTGTTATATAAACACATGATATTTTTGTTGCAAGTCAGATGTGATGTACTGTTTGAAAAGAACTGAGGAAAATAAGCCTTTAGTGTGAGGTTTTATGTTTATCTGGCTTATTGTTAGCCTGTGTTTGCATCTGCTGTAGCTGTAGAAGTCACAGGCTAAAATTTCCTCTAATGTCCTTATTTTTGTCTCGCCTCTTATCTTGGAGTTTCCCTAGAGACTTCTTAAATGTCATCTGAGATGCCCATTCTTTCTGTTGTATTCTGCTGTTATACAGGAGTCCTCTTGCTGTGGTGGTGAGGTCTGGAGGAGGAGAAGTGTTCTATATTCCTGTGGTTAGGTCTCAGTCTTTTGGTGAGTTTTGCCCTTGGCCTGTGACCTTCACAAGAATTTCTCTCTCTTTTTTTTTTTTTTTTCTGATAAAACCAAAGCAGGTGAGGTCCTGGTAAGATAGTTTCTTTGAGGGAAGGCCTTGTTGAAACAAATTGAATACTCTGAGTACATTTTAAAGTGACTACATTTTCCCTCTACCTGCTGGAAACATGAAAGGATATTTCTCTCATCTTCAGTATGAGAACCTGGAGGTAAAGCTCATGAAACTGTGGGGGTCCCCATTAAGGCTGGACTCCCTGGGGTTTTTAGCTTTCAGTCTTGTCCACAAAGAGCCTCTAGCAATTCATTAGTTAGAGATTATGTTTTCTCCTCTAGTACCAATTCTCACAAAGTTTTCTACTACTGAGATTCTGCTCTGATAAGTTGTGATTCTCTTTTTTCCACCTGTTTATCTCTTCAAATTTGGGGGCTGTGTTTGCCCCGTGACTCCAGTTCTCTCATACATCAGGAAGAGTTGTTGATTTTCAGTTTGTGCAGTATTTTTTCTTGTTGTATGAATGGGAGAATTAATATCTAAGCTCCTTACATGCCGCACCAGAAAATAAATTTCAGTAACATTTTCAACATATGAATCTTGCCATATTAGTCAAAACCAAAAGAAATGTCCTATTGCTTTTAGAATATAATATTAGAACTTTCTTATTTCTGAAGTGTTTTGTTTTTTTCTTGTTCCTGGGCTTGAAGAGAGGACAGGTTAGTGAATAATTTATTATCTGAGAAATACACATGATTATCTGTTTCCATGGAGTTTTATCATTCTCTACACATTCATAAATGTGAATGACTATTCAAGTAAACAGTGTTTGGCAAAGCATTTCAACAAGCTTGCTCTCCATCCTACAATTCAAATTGACAGCAATTAAATCTTGCCAAAGAAGGACTTGCTTTTTAAAAGCAAAAATGAGCATATCATGAAAACCAGTGTTTTGAGGTCAGTTACTACTCTGAAAAATGGTGGTACTCAACTAGTTTATTTCAATGTCAACAATTTAGCCATAAGAAGCATGGATGTTAATTGTGTTAAAATGCAATTAATTGTAATATTAGGCAACTAATTCTTAAGGGCCTAGGACAGAATGATGAAAAAGATGAAAATAATCATTTTTAAAATTTAAGTAAAAAGAAAAGTCCTTAGTTATTTCCCTTACATATCAGTTTACTTGAGTCAAGAATTGCCGAGTAAAGGAATTTAGGAAAAGGTACAGAAAATAGAAGGGAATCCCTATATAGTGTCATTTAGTTTATTCATTCCTAATGATAGATTTATTTTAAGTGATATATATCAAATGCCAAAATGTATAAGTCCACACTTAAAATAATAAAATAAAAATCTCTTTTGTCATCTAAATACGAAGCAAGCTGCTGCTAAATCAGGTTTATCCTTTACCCTGAACATCATTTCATAATGTACCAGATTCAATACTCTTGTTCTAACGCAGACCAATATGATTTCAAAGAAATCTAAATTATTTTGTTTTTGCTTTATATTTACTTTGAATATAAAGATTATTCATTTCTTAGAAAATTGTTTTGAATGAGTATATTTTAAAAATGTACTTCTCAGTAGGATAACTTGAATTATTAATTCCTATAATTTCCTACAACTTCTTTTTTGGACAATATGGCCCAGAACTCTGCTACAAAATTTCTAGATTTTGAGTAAAATGTAGGTTTTGTTGCCGAAAGTAAGGGTGACCTCCAATAAGTCATCGGAAGCAAAGGAAAGCTGAAATACTGAAAAAAAAAAAAAAAAAAAAAAAAAACCTGTAAACTGGGAAAAATAATTACTTTTTAAAGCGTTCTAATGTTTATGCATTTTTTGGTGGGGATAAGATACTTACTGAAAATTCTGTTACCTGTGCATTGTCACATTTTAAGGAAAACTATGGGAAGAGTAGCAATTGAGTGTACAACTTGAAAATTGGCAGAGGTTAAGTAATAGAATTCACAAACAAATCCCAATGCTTAAAAGGCAAGAAACAAGAAAAACAAAAAGGTAGGGCATAGAAAAAGCAGGACAAATACAAAGCAAAAGTAATTTGGTAGAAACAAGTTCTCATATAAAAGTAATTACAACAAAGTTAAATGAACTAAACTCATTAGTTAAAGGACAGAGGTGGTTAGAATGTTTTAAAAATTCTCTGCTGTATTTAAAATGTAAGAGTATAATAAATATGAAAGTAAAAGGATGAAAGAAGATATACTAACTTCTTTGGTCAAATATTAACCAAAATAAGCCAAATGAACTGCATCAATAGCAAACAATAAGGTAAGATTAACACATTATCAGGGATAAGGATGGTTACCACAAGAAATAAAAGATATAAAGCATGAGAAAATTATAATTATAAACTTGTACATGCCTAATAGCACAGCCTCAGATTATAAATGCAGGGAGATATTGCCAATTCCACCAGCATAGCAGAAGAATCAATACAACTTCCAAAATTAGAAAACAAACAAAAATATTGATCGAAACTGACCACCATAAAACAAGATTTATTTTATAACTATTATATTTTATTGTAAATGTGTTTCAAGATTTATATAAACCTGATAGAGACGACAAAAAGGAACTAGACATGGTAAAAATTCCTAGCATGTTAAATAATATCTTGGTATTTTCTAAAATCAATTTTCCCATAGTAGCTTATTCTTACTTAAAATGAATATTAAGAGGTATTAAGAGGTGAAACTTCTGTATAATTCTGAATTCTCATTTCAAACCCACATTTAAATGTATAAAATATAGAACACATACTTTTTTTTTCTATAAGATTTCATATCCTCTGTAATGCATTGGCTTGTCTATATGGCACCCTGATTCAACATTATTAGGATGGAATCAGATATTTCTCACTATCCTAATCACAGAAGATCAAAGATTAAAATAAATCTCCAAAATGTCAGGGGTTAAGAGATTCAGTCCATTTTTAGACACTGACTTATAAATCACCAAACAATTTTAGGGTTAAGAAGTGGCATTTGGTATCCATTGGCAAATAGTATTGGGTGTGATTAAGTTTTCATTTTCTTTATTGTTACATATTTTAAAAGTGGTAAATCTCATCCAACTTTAACAGTATGTGGTACTCCAATAAATTACATACAGTATATTTGTTTTTTATTTTAATTACTGGAAACACATAGTGAGAACGCTTTTGCAAAATTATAACTGAGAAAATTATGACAGTGAAAGTAATTAGACCTAACCAACTCCATCTTCCTTCTAACCTTTAAGCTATTTTGTTCATTCCTGGGCTTAAGCCGAACTAACTTTGGGAAGGAATGTTTTAGGAAGTTCATGGTTTAAATCTGAAACCAAATTGATAAAATCCCTTTCCCGAAAAGACCCCCTTCTTGCCTGGGACCAGTCTGCTTTTGCAGGACTAACAAATTAGCTACAAGATTAGAAATTACAGTTTAGAGGTCATGCACCCTCTGGCTCCAAGTGTCTGAACCTCCCCAAATTGCTCGTGGGGATAACATCACTATTGTCAAACCTAAGATCAGTGCTTGAGATATTTTGCAGAACCTGCACTGAATGGATCTCGGCTGACACCACCCAGACCTGTAATCTGGCTCAACCAGTTCTGCCATCCCACCCAGGAACAGAAGACAACAAAAGAAACCTCACTTCGACCCCCTAAGAGTCTATCTCCAACCTGACCAATCAGCACTTTCCATTTCCCTAGCCCCTATCAGCCAAATTATCTTTAAAAATTCTGTTCTCCGAATCGGGGAGACTGACGAGTAACAATAAAACTCTGGTTTCCCGCACGGCTGGCTCTGCATGAATGACTCCCCTGTAGTGATAAATTGACTTTGTCTAGGCAGAGGGCAAGGTGAACCCATTGGCCAGTTACAATAGCTTTACTATTTATAAACAGTTAAAGTAACATACCCACATTAAAAGAAAACTGTTTCTCTGGAGTTTTATTTTCCTTGAGCATAAAAGAAAAAGCTTACTCTTATTTTCAAACATTATTAACTGAGAATTGTGTAACCAATGGTCTAAGGTCATTATTACTATTCAAATACACAATTCACTATATAGTACTGACTTTTTTTTAAAAAAAAAGAACTTGCTAGATAAGATTTTTTTTTTTCTTTCGGCACCTCAAATGACTGTATAAGCTTCTACCTGAGTGTGATTAAATGGCATAATATCCCAAGTATGGCTTAGAATACTATTTATAGAATAATTGTAGTTTTGAGTAATATCATTATTTTAGCTATGTATGTTATTTATAAAAGATTACTTGTAAGACTGATTTGTATAGTAAGCTAAAGGATAGCATTATTAATTTTTGCTCATTTTAAGTGCTACATGCTATTTTTAGAAATGTTGATGAGAATGTAAATTAATATAGTCATTATGGACAACTGTATAGAGATTCCTCAAAAAACTAAAAATAGAATTACCATATTATCCAGTATTACCATTTCTGAGTATCCTTAAATATTTGAGATCAGTATGTCAAAGAAATGTCTGCTGTCCCATATTTACAGCACTATTTACAGTCGCCAACTTATGGAATCAACCTAAATGTTCATCAATAGATAAATGGGTAAAGAAAATGTAGTATACATAAACAATAGAATTCAGTTTTAAAAAGAACATAAATTTGTCATTTGACAACATGGATGAAATTAAAGACCATTATGCTAAGCGAAAGAAATGAGGCACAGAAAAACAAATACTGCATATTCCCACTTAAATGTAAAATCTAAAACAATCAAACTCAGAGATGCAGAGAATAGAATGGTGGTTAGCATAACCTGGGGGTGTGGAAGGAATGAAGAGATGGTCAAGGTGTACAAAGCCTCAATTAGAAGGAATAACTAATTTTTTTTTACTTTCAAATATACTGCACAGCATGGTGAATACAGTAAATAATTATATATCATATATTTGTTTATTTTATTTTATTTTTTTTCCATAAGTTATTGGAGTACAGGTGGTATTTGGTTACATGAGTAAGTTCTTTAGTGGTGATTTGTGAGATTTTGGCGCACCCATCACCAGAGCAGTATACGCTGCATCATATTTGTAGTCTTTTATCCCTTGCCTCCCCCCCACTCTTACCCCATTGTATCTTACCCCATACAATGGACTCCAAAGTCCATTGTATCATTCTTATGCCTTTGCGTCCTCATAGCTTAGCTCCCACATATCAGTTAGAACATACAGTTTTCCATTCCTAAGTTACTTCCCTTAGAATAATAGTCTCCAATCTCATCCAGGTCGCTGCAAAATGTTGTTAATTCATTCCTTTTTTATGGCTGAGTAGTATTCCATCATATATATATATATATATATGTATATATCATATATATATCACATCATATATATATATCACATATATATGTGTTTCTCCTGTGATATATATATATATGATGTGATATATATCACATCATATATATATATATATATATATATATCACAGTTTCTTTATCCACTCATTGATTGATAGGCATTTGGCTTGGTTCCATGATTTTGCAATTGTGAGTTGTGCAGCTGTAAACATGCATGTGCAGGTATCTTTTTCATATAACGACTTCTTTTCCTCTGACCTAATACAGCCAGGGTAGATACCCAGTAGTGGGGCTGCTGGATTAAATGGTAGTTCTACTTTTAGTTCTTTAAGGAATATCCACACTGTTTTCCATAGCGGCTATACTAGTTTAATTCCCACCAGCAGTATAGAAGTGTTCCCTGATCACCGCATCCATGCCAACGTCTATTGTTTTTTGATTTTTTTTATTATGGCCATGCTTGCAGGAGTAAGATGGTATCCCATTGTGGTTTTGACTTGCATTTTCCTGATCATTAGTGATGTTGAGCATTTTTTCATATGTTTGTTGGCCATTTGCATATCTTCTTTTGAGAATTGTCTATTCATTTCCTTGGCCCAGTTTTTGAAGGGATTGCTTGGTTTTTCTTACCTATTTGTTTGAGTTTATTGTATATTCTGGATATTAGTCCTTTGTCAGACTATAGATTGTGAAGATTTTCTCCCACTCTGTGGGTTGTCTGTTTACTCTGCTGACTGTATTATATATTTGAAAATCACCAAGATTATACATTTCAAATGTTCTCACCACAAAAAAAATATAAGTAGCTGAAGTGATAAATATGTTAATTAGTTTGACTTAGTTATTTCACATTTTATTCATATGTCATAACGTCTCTTTGTACCTCATAAATGTATACAATATAATACGTATAAATTTATAATTTAAAAATTAAAATTGGCCAAGCATGGTGGCTCATGCCTGTCATCTCAGTACTTTGGGAGGCAGAGGTGAGCAGATCACCTGATGTCAGGAGTTCGAGGCCAGCCTGGCCAACATGGTGAAACCACATCTCTACTAAAAATACAAAAATTAGCTGGGCATGGTGGCATGCCTAGCTACTCAGAGGCAAAGGCAGGAGAATCACTTGAACCCAGGAGGCAGAAGTTACAGTGAACCTAGATCATGCCACTGCACTCCAGCCTGGGTGAAAAAGGGAGATTCCATCTGAACAAAAATAAATAAATAAAATTAAAACAAAAACATTTATTATTTTACACTTTAGAATGAATTCAAAACTAATGGTGATGACTCTATTATATTATTTATTATTACTTGAAATCCACATAATTCTTTTTGTTAAATGAGTCTCTTAAGCTGCAAGCAAAAGTACTATTCAACTTCGACTATTTTATCATGATAATATTACATAGTGTTTTCAAAGATATGCTAATGAAGCTGGTGGAATGGAATAAAACACTAATGCATGTATAACAATTAAACGAGGTCAAGTGATAGAATACAGAAAGCAATCCAATGTAGAATATTTGTTTTCTACCTTATGAGAAATATACTATAATAATTATCTCTTAATGAAATTTAAAACATCTTTATAGATGATGGCCCCAAGTCACTGGAAAGTTCTGTAAATTCTGATATTGAATGGGAATTCAACTTCAGACCTGTGACTAATATTCTTGCCTCAATTTTTGCTTATTTCATCATTGTACAGAAAATAAATAAATAAGTTTTGAATGAGCTGAATCATGTAGAAAATCTAAATACATAGCAAAATCTGTGTTTCCTTCATAAAAAGGTAAATTTTTAAATCATCTTTTTTTCTAAGAATATATTTTAGATTAGTCAGAATGATAATCCTTGAAAACTAAGCTAGAGCAAATCCCAGCAATTGCAATCAGTAAGGAGATAGAAATAAAAGGCATTTAAATTAGAAAATAAAAAGTCAAACTATTTCTCTTTGCTGATGATATAATTCTGTACCTAGAAAACCCTGAAGCTTTTGCCAAAAGACCCTGAAACTGAAAAAAAAAAAATATACCTCTAGTAAGGTGCCAGGATACAAAGTCAATGTACAAAAATCAGTAGCATTTCTATACACCAATAATGTTCATGATGAAAGCTAAACCAAGAATACAATCCCATTTACAGAAAACACAAAAACTCATACCTAGGAATATATTTAACCAAGAAGGTGAAAGATCTCTACAAGGAGAACTACAAAACATTGCTGAAAGAAGTCATAGTTGACACAAATGAATGAGAAAAATCTATGCTCATGGATTGGAGGAATAAATGTTGTCAAAATGGCCATATTGCTCAAAATAATCTACAGATTCAATGCTATTCCTATCAAACTACACATGTATTTTTTTACACAATTAGAAAAATACTGTTCTAAAATTCATATGCAACTAAAAAGGAGACTGAATAGCCAAAACAATCTTAACCAAAAAGAACAAAGCCAGAGGCTTCACATTACCCCCCTTCAAACTACACCATAAGTCTACCCCAAACAGCATGATACTGGTAAAAAACAGACATACAGACCACAGGAACAGAATAGATAACCCAGAAATAAAGCTGCACACCTATAGCCATCTGAACTTTGACAAAGTCGATAAAAATAAGCAATACAGAAAGCACTCCCTATTCAATAAAAGGTATTGGGGTAGCTGGTTAGCCAGATGCAGAAGAATGAAACTGGACCATTTTTACCATATACAAAAACTAACTCAAGATAGATTAAAGATTTAAATGTAAGACCTCAGAATATAAGAATTCTAGAAGAAAATCTAGGAAATAACATTCTAGACATTGGCCTTAGGAAAAAAATTATGACTAAGTTCTCAAAAGCAACTGCAACCAAAACAAAAATTGACAAGTGATACTTAATTAAACTAAAGCGCTTTTGCACAGCAAAAGAAACTATCAAAAGAGTAAACAGCCTACACAAGGGGGGAAAATATTTGCAATCTATGCATCTGTCAAAGGTCTAATATCCAGAATCTATAAGGAAGTTAAAGATTCAACAAGCAAAAAGCAAATAATAATTCCATTCAAAAGTGGGCAAAAGACATGAACAGACACTTCTCAAAGGAAGACATTCAAGCAGTCAGCAAACATGAAAAATGCTCAACATCACTATCAGAGAAATGTTGATCAAAATCACAATGAGACACCATCTCACACCAGTCAGAATGGCTATTACTAAAAAGTCAAAAATCAAAAGGTGATGGCAAAGCTGCAGAGAAAAGGGAATGCTTATACACTGTTGATGGAAATGTAAATTAGTTTAGCCATTGTGGAAAACAGTTTAGAGATACATCAGAGAACTTAGAACTACCATTTGACCCAGCTATTCTGTTACTGGTTATATATCCAAAAGAAAATAAATCATTCTACCAAAAAGTCACATGTACATGCACTTATATGTATCTCACAGCAGTGTTAATAATATCCAACACATGGAATCCACCCAGGTGCTCATGAATACTACATTGGATAAAGAAAATGTGGCAGATATATACCATGAAATACTATGCAGCCATAAAAGTAACAGAATCATGTCCTTTGCAGCAACATGGATGTCATTGGAAGCCATTACCCTAAGCAAATTAACACAGAAACAGAAAACCAAACAACACATATTCTCACTTATAAGTGGAAGCCAAACATTGTGTACTCATGAACATACAGATGGCAACAATAGTCAATGGGGACTACTAGAAGGAGGAGAAAAGTATGGGGGCAAGGATTAAAAAACTAACTATTGAGAACTAAGATCACTACCTGGGTGACTGGATCAATTGTACCCCAAACCTCAGCAACACACAATATACCCAGCAAACATATTTGCACAAGTACTCTCTGAATCTGAAATAAAAGTTGAAATAATAAAAAATAAAATGAGATAAATATTTTAAAGTTTGTCCCTTGCATAATTTTTCAAAATTTGTGGTTGTCATAATAATCAAATTTGATCATTCACATAATGAATCCAAATGATTATTCTGTGATCCACTATAAAGAACACCCTTTAAAGTAGATAAATATTTAGTTCATAGAAACACTGAGTGAAATGGTGGTTACTAGAGGCCAAGGATGGTGGGGAGATTGAGGAGATGTTTGTCAAAATACACAAAATGTTAGTTAGAAGGAATAAGTCAAAAGATCCTATTGTACATCATGATGACTACAGTTAATATATTGTACAATTGACAGTTGCTAAGAAAGTAGATTTTATATGTTCTCACCATAAAAAATAACGGCATGAGATAATGCATATGTGAATTATGTTGACAGTCATTCCACAATGTGCACATATATCAAAACATCATGTTATGAACACCACTACACTTGGATCAGCCTGAAAACATCATGTTGTACACCATAATATATAAGATGTTTACTTGTCAAATAAAAATAAAAATATCAGGCAAACAAACAGACCTCTGGTTCCCTGGTTCAGAGAGTATCAGGAAAAGACGGTCTAGTATCCTGGGTATGCTGACATGGAGAAGGGTCTTTGAATGACTAATGCTGACATGATACATTTTTATCCTCAGAGTACCAGGATCATTCATTTGACTGCACTTTTTCTCTGACTTTCTGGTACATTACATATAACTCCATTTATTTTTACAATTATTACATAATTATTGTCATTAACTGCAAAAATGTTTGGTCTCTACAGGAACACATCACTGAATGTGACTTAAGTTCTACAATGGGAACTTTGTTTTCTCATCTACAGGAATGTACTATAGGGACACTCTTTATCATATAATTTATATCTAGGAATCTAACTTGTCTAGGAAAATGACAGCTAGAGTTGGAGAACCTGTTAAATCTTACATCAAGGGGCAGTGGCTCCAAGGAAAGGGAAACTCTTAGTCACGATATTAATTTTTTCTCTCAGAGGAAAGAGGGCCTGTAAGCTGGCCAGAAACACTGAAAGTAATTTGCAGCCTAAGGAACACAATTTTTTCTTACTTGAAATCAAAATCTACATGAATGATTTTGTTTTCAGTTTTTCAGGTATTTGGTGTTGAATGAATTGACCCATAGTGTGGCTATGCAGAACAAAAGCAGACACATGCTATATTATATAATCATTTTTAAGGTTCTCTTTATTCTTATTTTTCCCTAAGTGTCTTTTTAATACTTTCAAGTAAGAAACCTTCTAGTAAGTCATATAAGCCCTAATACTTACCAAGCTAACCATTTCTCTTACATTATCTTACCAAAAAACAACTTTATATAACTGTGTAGCATAAACACACCCATACCAAATGGTATAGCTAACTAGTTAGAGGAGTGAGCTAACGCATTTTTCTCCCTTTAATATCTGACTTCCAAAATACTTATTTTCGTTTTCCCTCACAAGGCCAAGATGTACAATATCTTATATTGTGGAAATAATTTTTGTTATGAATAGAAACAAAGAAAAATAGTTTCCATAGCAACATATCTTTCTATGTGAAAACAGAATATTACTTTCATCACTATTCAAGTTTTGTCTTATTTTGTCAGTATGCCTATTGATTTACTGAGAGAGAGGTCAGATGCTGAGTTTTTTCGAGGTAAGAATGGAGGCAAATTAACAGTTAAAGAAAAAAATGTATTCTGTTTTCACACTGAGTAAGCTATTTAGTGACAGGCTTTCTGATATAGGCAAATTGTAAAACATGATGTGGTAAAAAAGAATTAAGCTATATGTTAAAAGGTTGTCATGTAAATTTTGCAAGAACATATAAACAAATAGATTTTTGGAATTGGCATATGAAGATGAATGACTATTGATTGATGGTACTATAAATACATGTGCATGAAATGAAGCGTAGCATGATAATATAGGTAAGGTTCAGAAGCTGGAGAGAGAGCGAGAGAGAGTGGGGAAAGTCTGACATTGAAACTATCAATAAAAAATATATTCCAAGTGCCTCAAAATTCATGTATCCCAGATGAATTAATGAAAATAAAACAAGAATAAATCCCTGACCCAACTGAATCAATTACCTGAGTAATCCATGTTGTACACTCTTGAATCAGGCATGTAATTTATTCTCTCTCTCTTTCTCTCTCTCTCCCCCCCACTTTGCTTATGTGTTTGTATGAGAGAGAGAGAGACAGACAGACAGACAGACAGACAGAATGAGAGAGAAAGAAAGTGACATATAAACTGGATTAATTGAATGGGTACCAGACAGTCTTCTGGACTCTATGGTATTCAGATGAATGTGAAATGGGTCAGTAGGGCAGTAGGCACACAGATAAAGAACAACTCATACTGCTTGGGAAAACCAAGAACAGTTTCATAGAAAAGGTAACAATGGAATTGGTCATTGACAAATGAGTAGGGATCACCACACTGCTTTCTACTATCGCTGAATTAATTTACACTCCCACTAACAGTGTATAAGGATTCCTTTGCCTCTGCAACCTCACCACTATCTGTTATTTTTGACTTTTTAAATAGCCATTCTGACTGATGTGAGATGATATCTCATTGTGGTTTTGATTTGTGTTTCTGTAATGATAAGTGATGTTGAGCTGTTTTTTTCATAGGTTTATTAGCTGAATGTATGTCTTCTTTTGAAAAGTGTCTATTCATGGAGCTGGAGGCCATTATCCTTAATAAACCAACTCAGGAACAGAAAACCAATTACTACATGTACTCACTTATAAGTGGGAGGTAAATGATGAGAACACCGGACACAAAGAGAGGAACAACAGATCCTGGGGCCTACGGGAAGGTGCAGGGTTGGAGTAGGGAGAGGATCAGAAAAAAATAACTAATGGGTACTAGGCTTAATATTTGGGTGATGAAATAATCTGTATCAAAAAAACTTTAATATGAGTTTACCATATACCCCTGAACTTAAAATAAAAGTTAAAAAAGAAGGATAAGTAGGAATTCTTTAGGAAGATGAGAAGAAAGAATTTCACATCAAAGAAAGTAGTATTAACATTAGAAAGATTGCAATAAAAAGCATGGTTTGTTTTCGGGGGCGGTGTAACCTGCTGTGTTGGAAATACACATTTTATCTTCATAGTGGAAGAAAAAAATATTTTTTAGATTTGGGAAGTCCCGACAATATTTGGGTCACAATGTCATGAATTAGTTGAACTATCATGTTTCATCATAGCAGCATAGAAGGGAAGGATGCAAAGAGAAGAGGTATGTAAGAGAAACTGGGTGACTGGACAGAGAACAGACATAAAGATGTGCAGTAAATAAGCCATCTGACTGAGATTGACAAAGAAGCTTGAAAAAATGGATAATATGGGAGACAGACATTTGACAACTGAAAGGAGACGGAAATTGAGAGGAATTTCCTGTTGTATTGCTAATTGTGCTACGTCTATGTTGTAAAACCTATCTACTAATGAGCAAGTTTCTCTACCTAAGACCAAACAATAGAGCCGACCCTATAAAAATTTGTGAAAACAGCCTCTCACTTCCCTTTTAGTATCTTATTCCTACCTTGTGTTATCAACTGCAGCCTCTTCATGAATATATACCATCCTATGCTTCCATGTATCACAGGTTCTTATGCTATTGTTTTGTTACCTTAAGAGCCTCACAACGGTGTTATGTTCAAGCTCGTTGTGCCTGGGCAGGAACACATATCTCTGCCTAATTTCACTCAATATTCCTTGTTCTGTGTTCCAGATCTTATCAGATCTACTTTCCAATGCTTATCAATTCTTCCACTTCTTTCTGTCCAAAGCACAATTATCTTAGTTTGGTCTTCCATCGTTCAATGGTTCTCTATTGCTTATAGTATAAAATTTAAATTGTAATGATAAGGGTATAAAATAAGTTAATAGCATTTCTAAAAGTACGTTAACTGTGCTTTATGGTTTGCTTACACTTTAAAAGAATCATCCAGGTTAAATCAGCAAGTTATGTAATACATGAGTAAGAATGATATTGGTCATATCAAATGTTTATAGAAGAGGAAGGTTGGATGTAATATTTTATAAAGTTAAACATCATGTATAATACAGTTACAAGAACTTGTCTCATTGATGTAATGTTTTGCAAAAATATGTTCTTTAAAAATAATACCATTACAATGCTAAATTTGCACATATACTTGTGCTCTTTCTTAACTCTTAGTAGCAAGACTACTTTTTATGAAGTTTTATGCAATCTCACTGGTAATAATATTATAAATCTGGACAAACTTGAATAGGTTTTTACATTTATTTTTCCATCGTTTTTTGCAGAAGGCCTTATCTTTGATTACAAATTATTTAGACTGTACCATCAGGGAAATATATGTAATCTCCTAAAACATTGTAAGATTTTCTTTTTGTTTTAGACTTGATTAAGCCTACTTTTAATTTAAACTTTTGAAATGTCCTTTCGTGTGACTTTGGACAAGTCTCTTAAACCATATGTGCATCAGTGTTTCCATCTATAAAGTGATAATATAAGCCATAATAATGTTTCTGATAAGGTTGTTATGAGGAATTAATAAAATAATGTATGTGAAATATTTAGCATATTTCTTATCACATGGAGAGTTTAGTTGAATATTAGCTGTCAATATCATAATTATTGTGATTATTCTATACTTTCTAAGAAGAGGCCATTACAAATTATTTTGGTATTCATTAACTTATTTCTGTTTTTTGTTTACCAACTCTATCATCAATGATATAAAATAATAATGATATTTAGGGTTTTCATTATAACCGGTATTACTGGACCTTAGAGAGAACAGGAGCAAAGATGGAAAAAGTATATATACATATATATTCTTACATACAAGACTGTGTATATTTGTATATTCTCATATATATACATATATACCTACATATACATATATATTCTCTCTCTCTATATATATGTATGTCAGGATAGACTATAGTGCAGCAACAAACAATCCCAAAACTTGGTAATTTAAAACAACAAACGTTTACATCTCAATTATTTTACATGTTCATTAAAGGGCATGTGTTGGGGGGGTCTCTGTTCATTATACTCCCCAAGAATCTCAGCTGACAGAGAAACCACCATGACATGTTAAACCACCATATCAAAGAGAAAAAAAGAGCTCTGTAGGATCATGAGCCTGTTACTAAATGCCTTGGTCTGAAAATGACACACATCTTCTGCTCAAAATCATTGGCCAAAACAATCACATGGCCCCATGCAAACATAAGAAAAACAGGAAGTGTAATATACCTTGTGTACAGAAGATGGAGAGAATGACATATTTGGCAAACAACTCCAGTGGCTATAACAAGATTCAGATATATTCAAAGCTTGGTTAGATTATACTATCAAATAGAGGCCCTATTTCTGTTGAAGCCCAAGGGTTTTTCATACTTGAATTTACTATTGAGAATTAAAATAAAAACACTCTCTATTTGTTTCATGAAATTGAATAGTACACAAACCCATCCAACAGTTTACTTAGACTCCTATGATCACTTCATGGGAAGTTTTCCCAATAATGAAGGTCCTTGCCACTCAAATGTGGGTTAAAAAATTAGACGGGCTGAATTTCTAAACTGTGACAAAGGAGAAAGAGATACACTGAACAGGACCTTGTCATTAATCGACATGAGGAACCCGTACTAATTCTCAGGTTCCTGTTCAGAGTGGCTAGGATGGTGACAAGTAGTTATTTCACTGACATAAATGCTAGAGAAGAATAGATAAGGTTTAGTAGTGTTACATTGTATGTGTACACCACATATTTTTTGTTCATTCATCTGCCAATGAACATTTAGGTTGTTTCCACACCTTGGCTATTGTGAATAGTGCTGCAATGGACATGAGAGAGATAACATTTCTTTGAGATCTTGATTTCAATTATTTTGGATATGTATCCAAAAGTGGGTTTGCTGGATCATATAGTAGTTCTATTTTTAATTTTTTGTGTGTGAAAACACCATACTGTTTTCAGTAGCAGGTGAACCATTTTGCATTCTCATTAACAGAGTACAGATGTTCCAGTTTCCTCACATTCACATCAAAACTTGATGTTTTAGTTTTTTGATAATGGCCATCCTAATAGATATGAAGTGATGTCTCATTGTGGTTTTCATTTGTATCTCCTTTATGATTAGCGACTTTCAGCATTTTTTCATGTCTGTTGGCCATTTGTATGTCTTCTATAGAGAAATCTCTACAGCCCATTTTAAAATTAATTTTTTCTTTTTGCTATTGAGTTTGAGGGGTTACTTATTTATTTGGGGAATGAACTCATCAAATTTATGGTTAGCAATTATTTTTTCCCATTCTGTATGCTGCTTTTTTACTGTATTGATTTTTCTCTTTGCTATGCAGACATTTTTTAATTTGATGTAGTCCAACTCATGTATTCTTGCTTTTGTTGCCTGTGTTCTGAGGTCATATTGATGAAATCATTGTCCATTCCAATGTCGAGAAGCTTTTTTCCTATGTTTCCTTTTAGTAGTTTTATGGGTTCCAGCTGCATTTAAATCTTTAATCCATTTTGAGTTTATTTTTATATATGATGTGAAATTAGAGTCTAATTTTATTCTTATGCATTTGGATATCTAGTCTTTCCAATACCATTTGTTAAAGACAGTATTATTGCTCCATTTTATACGCTTGGCATTCAGTCAGTGATTGTTTGGCCATACGTGGGTGAATTAATTTCAGGACACCCTATTATGTTCGATTGGTTTATATGTCTGTCTTTTGTCAGTACCATAGTGGTTTGTTTTCCTTTTTCTTAATTTTTAAAATAGTAGATGTGTATATTTATGGGGTACATGAGATGTTCTGATACAGGCATATAATGCATAATAATCACATCATGGAAAATGGGGTATCCATCCCTTCAAGCGTTGATCCTCTATTTTATAAACAATCCAATTAAACCATTTTAGTTATTTTAAAATGTACAATTTATTATTGACAAAAGTCGCCCTACTAGATCTTATTTATTCATTTCACCTATTTTTTTGTTTTGTTGTTCTTGTTGTTGTCATTGTACCCATTAATCATCCCCACCATTCACCCCCCCACCCCCCAACTACCTTTCCCAGCCTCTGGTGACCATCCTTCTACTGTCTATCTTCATGGGTTTAATTGTTTTAATTTTTAGATCCCACAAATAAGTGAGAACATGAAATGTTTATCTTAATTGTGGTAGCTTTTTAATATATTTTGAAATCAGAGTGTGATGCTTTCATTTTTGTTCTTTTTTTTTCAAGATTATTTAGGGTATTTGGGGTCCTTTGTGGTTCTATAAGAATTTTAGAATTGGTTTTCATATTTCTGTAAAAAAATGGCTTTGGGATTTTGATAGGGATGACATTGAATCTGTAGATTGCTTTGGTTATTTGGACATTTTAGCAATATTAAGTCTCACACTGTCTTTCCATTTGTTTATCTCTTTTTGAATTTCTTTTAACGACGTTTTGTAGCTTTCAGTGTACAAGTATTTCACTTTCTTTAAGTTTATGTCTAAGTATTTTATTCTTTTTGATTCTATTGTAAGTTGGGTTATTTTGTTTCCTTTCATATAGTTCAGTATGCACATTTAGACGCACAATTGATACTTTATGTCGATTTTGTATCCTGAGACTTTACTTATTTATTAGTTTTAACGAGCTTTTTTGGAGGATATTTATGATCTTCTATATATAATATCAGGTCATCTGCAAACAGAGACCATTTTACATCTTTTTTTCCAAACCTGGTGTCTTTCATTTATTTTTCTTACCTAATTATTCAGACTAAGACTTCTAGTGCTATGTTGAGTAAAACTGGTAAGAGTGGGCATCCTAGCTTCATTCCTGATGTTAGTAGAAAAGCTTTCAGCTTTTCACTATTGAGTATGATGTTATTAGATGTGGGATTTTCATATATGGCCACTATTATGTTAAAGGGTGTATTCGGTTATTTTTG
This sequence comes from Homo sapiens, assembly GCF_000001405.40. Lineage (NCBI taxonomy): Eukaryota > Metazoa > Chordata > Mammalia > Primates > Hominidae > Homo > Homo sapiens. The sequence continues at coordinate 93,368,492 of NC_000023.11, forward strand.
TATTTCTAGAAAGAAATACCTGATACTGGGTAATTTATTTAAAAAGATGTTTAATTGGCTCACAGTTCTCCAGGCTGTACAAGCAATGCACTGGCATCTGCTTGGTTTCCAGGGATTTTTTACTCATGGCAGAAGGCAAAGCAGGAGCAGGAACAACACATGGCAAGAGCAGGAGAGAGAGTGAGGGAGATGACACACACTTTTAAACAGCCAGATCTTGGGAGAACTCAGTCACTTTCATGAAGACAGCACCAAGGGGATGGCACTAAATCATTCATGAGAAATTCACTCCCATGATCCAATCACATCCCACCAGTCTCCACCTCCAAACACTGCAGATTACAATTTAACATGACATTTAGAGGGGACAACATCCAAACTACATCAAGAGAGTTTCTCTCTATTCTTACTTTGTAAAGAGTTTTTGTCAAGAAAAAGTGTTGCATTTCATCAGATACTTTCTGCATCTATTGAGATGAATACATATTTTTAATTTTAATTTTGTTAATGTGGTTCATCGCATTAATTGGCTTGCATATGTTGAACCAATATTACATCCCAGGAATAAATCCCACTTAGTCATGATGTATGATGCTTTTAATGTGCTGTTGAATTCAGTTTCTAATTTTTTGTTGAGGATTTGTACATCTATGTTTATCAAGGTAATTGGCTTGTAGTTTTATTTTCTTTTGTTTTCCAGCTTTGATATCAGGGTGGTAGCTCCCCTCAGAAAATGAGTTTGAAAGTGTTCCCTCCTCTTTAATTTTTGGGAAGAGTTTGAGAAAGATTAGCATTAATTCTTATTTAAATGTTTTGTAGAATTTTCCAGTGGTCATCGCTTGGGTTTTTCTTTGTTTGGAGGTCTTTGATTACCAATTCAAACTTCTTATTAGTTATATATCTGTTCAGTTTCTATTTGTTCATTTTTCAGTCTGTGTAGCTTGTATGTTTCTAGGACGGTATCCACTTCTCTAGGTTATCTATTTCACTGGTATTTAGTTGTTCATAGTAGCTTCTTAGGATTCTTTGTATTTTTGTAGCATCAATTATAATGTCTCCTCTTTCATTTCTAATTTTACTTAAGATAATTTTCTTTTTTATCTTAGCCTAAGAGTTTGTCAATATTATTTATATTTTCAAAACCACCTCTTAGATTCATTGACTTTTTAATTGTTTTTCTATTATCTATTTAGTTTATTTCTGCTACTATTTTTATTTTTTTTTCTGCTGCTGACTTTGGGTTTTGTTTTTCTTCATTTTCTAGTTACTTTAGTTAAAAGTCAGATTGTTTCAGATCTCTTCTCTTTTATAATGTAGGGATTTATCCCCACAAACTTTTCTCTAAAAATTGCATTTTCTGCATCCTGTAAGTTTTGGTATGTTGGGTTTTCATTTACTTGTGCCTCCATATATTTTCTAATTTCCATTTTTATTTATTCTTTGACCTATTCATTTTTTAGTAATGTGTTGTTTTATTTCAAAATATTTTGAATTATCTAGTTTTTCTTCTTCTAGTGATTTCTAGTTTCATTTAATTGTGGTCAAAAGAAATACTTGGTATGATTTTAATCTTCTCATGTTTGTAAAGACCTGTTTTGTGACCTAACATTTGATGCAGCCTGGAGAATGTTACGTGTGCACTCGATCAGAATGTATTTTCTGTTCCTTTTGGGATGCATGTGTTTTATAGGTCCATAGGTCCATTTGGTCTTTAGTGTTCTTTCAAGCCCACTGTTTCTTTGTCAATCATCTGTTTTCTGGTTCTACCTATTATTAAAATAAGGCTATGAAAGTCTCTTACTATTATTGTATTGCTGTGTATTTTTTATTTCAGTTCTGTCATTGTTGGTTATATGTATTGAGGTGCTCTGATGTTGGGAGCTTATATATTTATAATTGCTATATCTTCCTGGTGGATTGGCCTTTTTTTCATTATATAATGTTATTCCTGTCTTTTGTAACAATTTTTGACTAAAAGTCTGTTGTTTCTAATATAAGTATAGCCAACCCTGCTTTCTTTCTGTTACCTTTTTAAGGAAATATCTTTTTCCATTCATTTATTTTCAGCCTAAGTGTGTCCTTAAATATAAACTGAGTCTCTTGTAAGCAGCATGCAGCTGAATCTTTTATTAAATCATTCTTCCACTTTATGTCTATCAATTGGGTGCTTTAATTCATTGTCATTTTAACGAATTATTGATAGGGAGGAATTTATCATTGCCACATTTTTTTGTTTGTCTTGTATTTATTTTGACCATTTTTCCTCTCTTCCTGTTTTTCTTTGTGTTTCATTGTTTCAGGTTTGTATTCATATGATTGTTTTTGCTCTTGTTTGTGTATCTTCTATAGGACATACAAGTAATAATAATATGTATCCATTACACATTATTACTGCATATATCTATTAGAAACATGTTATTAACTCTCATAATGTGTGTGTTGGTCCATTTAATAGTGTTTTCTTTGTGGTTATCATGGGGCTTACAAAAATATCTTATAAAAGTCTATTTTAAGCTGATAACAATTTAATTGTAATTATATACAAAACTATGCAGTTTTACTTATCCCCCTATACACACGTTGTTATTGAATTCATAATTTATATGTTTATATTTGGTATCTATTAACACATTTTTAGTTATAGCTCTTTCTTAATAATTTGGTCTTGTAACTTATACTAGAATTAAAAGTGATCTACCCACCACAGTTATGACAATACAGTATTCGATATTTAGCTATATATTAACTTTGCCAATGAACTTTATACTTTCTTATGCTATTATGTTTCTGCTTGGGATCATTTTGTTTCAAGATGAAGAACTCCTTTTAGTTTTTCTTGCAAGGCATATCTAGGGGTGACAAAACTCCCTACAAACTTAGTTTGTGTAGGAAAGTCTCTATATTTTATTTTTGAAGGAAAGTTTTTCTGGGTATAGATTCTTGATTCACAGTAGTTTTCTTTAGGACATGAATATGATATACCACTTCTGAAGCCTGCATATTTCTGCTGAGAAATCCACTGATAGTCTTCTGAAGGTTCCCTTGTATGTGATGAGTGGCTTTTCTCTTGCTGCTTTCAAAATTCTCTGTTTGTCTTTGGATTCTGGTAAATTGATTAAAATGTGTCTCAGATTACATTTCTTTGCCTTCATTTTATTTGGGATTCCTTAGGCTTCCTGTGTCTCAATGTCCATTTCCCTTTCCATATTTGGAAAATTTTTAGCCATTATTTATTTGAAGACTTTCTCTGGTTCTTTCTCTCTCTCTTCTCTTTCTTTAATTCTCATAATGTGTGTGTTGGTCCATTTGATAGTGTCCTACAAGTTCCTTAAGCTTTATTCACTCTTTTCATTCTTCTTTTTGTTCCTCTGACTGAATAATTTTCAATGACCTGTCTTCAAGTTTGTTGATTTAATTTTTGGTTTTGCTTGATCTAATCTGCTGTTGAACCCAGCTAGTGAGTTTCAGTTCATTTATTAAATTTTTTAGTTCCAAGATTTCTGTTTGGTAGTTCTTAATATTTTCTGTCTCTTTGTTTCATTTCTCACTTTCTTCATGTGTTGCTCTCCTGACTTCAGTAAGCATATTTATGGCAGTTATTTTGAATTATCTGTCAGGTATACTGTATATCTACATTTCTTTAGAGTCAGTTTCTGGAGATTTTTCTTGTTCCTTTGTTTGGAACATATTTATTTTTCTTCATTCTCCTTTACTCTCTGAGTTGATGTCTGTGCATTTGGACAAGAAAATCACCTTTCCGTGTCTTTACCTATTTGCATAATACAGGAGAAAACCCTCTCCAATCAGCCTGGCTAGGAATTTAAAGGCCTCTTAAACCCTGTTGCTAGTTCAACCTGCTTTTTTGTTCTTGAGTGCCCTCTGGCATCTAGATCCCATTAATGCTCTGAAGATAAGCTGAGGCCAGTTCCTCAGGAAGTCCCCAGAAATCTGAATCATTAAATGTTCTGTCCAACTCTTTCCCTTTTTTAGGAATAAGCTGGTAATTGAGGTTGTTAGCCTGTTAACTTTGTGCTGAACTTGGGGAGGAAGAGCTGTGGTCACTAGTTATGTGCTAAATCTAACCACTGTCTTTATTCTCACAGTCCTTGGGTGGCTACAGTATGCTGGGTCCTATTAGTAGTCTAAGACAAGCAACACAGAGCCAGTCATTTGAGCACCTCCCAGAAATGTTGGATATCTGTTGCGTGTTCAACTCAATCTCTCATCTTGGAGAATCTGGGAGCTGGGATTTATTGCCTCCTTGCTTTGTGTTCAGCTGAGGTGATGAGCTGGGGTGAGTGCACACCCACTTATTCAAACCACCACATTTTTCTCTGTAGCCCCCAGGGGACCAGCATATAACAGCCCCCACAGCGTTCTGAGACAGGTGAGATAGAAACCACTTCCTTAGGGAACACCCAAAAACTGGGGATATTAAATGTGCCATCCAACTCTTTATCTCCTCAAGGAGAATTTGGGAGCTGGAGTTTATCACTTGTTTTTGTTCTAGGTTGAACCAGGGCAATGAGCTATGGTGTGTCTTCACCCCAGTTTAAACTGCTACTTTATTCTCTGTAGCCCCCAGATACCTACTATATACCTGCTGAGTATCCCTTAATCAAAATGCTTGGGGCTAGAAGTGTTTCAGGTTTTATTTATTTTCAAATTTTGGAATATTTGTTTTATACTTACCTGTTCAGCATCCCTAATTGAAAAATCTGAAATCTGAAATGCTTCCAACAAACATTTCCTTTGAATGCCTTCTTGATGCTTAAAAAGGTTTGGGTTTTGTAGCATTTCTGATTCTGGATTTTTGCATTAGGGATACTCAGCTTTTATTAGTAGGCCCTATCAATTTTCTTAGACAACATGATAGAAGGCAGTCCCTTGGTTAGCATCCAAAAAAGTTTGAACATTAGATCTATGGACCAAGTCCTTCGAAGAAACTAAGAGCTGGGATTTCTCCTTAATCATATGGCATTGTGCCCAGGGTGAAGGTTATGGGAAGAGGATATCTCTGCTTCTCTTACTGATTTTACTATGGCTGGTCTGGTAAACTAGGACAGGATGTAAGAGCTTCTCAACTCATTTTTGGGTTTCTCAAAAAGAAATTGACCTGTGAGTCACTCTTGTATTAGGGATCTTGGGAAGAAGGAGTGTCCAGGTTTCCTATTCTGCCATCTTGCTGATGTCCTTAAACACATTCTTTTAAAGGGCAAATTTTTATTTATGTCAATTACACCTCAATAAACTTGACGTTTTCAAAAAACTTCCATGGATAAGTTATAATCAAGGAACAGGTAGAAGATGAAGCTTGGAAGATTGAGAAAGTATGGTAATAATGCTGGGAGAAAATGCAGAAGCAATATGGAAACCAATGGAGAAATCTTAACATGCAAGGTCGAACTAAACATCTAATGACTCCTGCAAATCACTCTAAGTTTAGTAAACAGAATGTCACTTATGACCTTGGCAAAGAGGGCTTGAAGTACAGCAGTGGGACTGAAAGTCTGAGGTAAGTACATGGTAAAAGTGTGAAATCTATTATATAAAGATTTTTTAATTAAAAGAAAGAAGAGAAAGAAGGGGATAGCTAGATAGGAAAACATGATCAAAGGAGGATTTTTATAATAAAGCTGGTAAGAGAAGAGGTCTACAGATCCAATAACATAAAGAAATGCATTACATAATGAAGTTCTTGAGGAGGCAAAATATCATGGATCAATAGTACACATGGAAGGGAGTAGTATGCTTTGATAAGAGGAAGGATGCTATTATGTGTTCAACTGTACCCCCAACCAACAAATTTACATGCTGATGTCCTTATTCCTAGTACCTCATAATGTGACTTTATCTGTATATAGGGTTTTTACAGAAGTATTTAAGTTAAAATGGGGTAATTACAGTGGGCTCTAATTTGGTATAACTGATGTCTTACTAAAAGAGGAACTTCACACACATAAACATGCAGAGAAGAAAAATGATGTGAAGAGACACAGGGAGAAGATGACTATCTACAAGCCAAGGAGGGAGCCTAAAACAGATCCTTCCCTTAGAGTCTAACACCTTGATATTTGACATCTAGCCTCAAGAACTTTGAGACAATAAATTTTTACTGTTTAAGCCACCCAGTTTGCAGGTTCTTTGTTTAAGACAGCTCTAGAAAAGTAATGGAGACAGCTTCTTCACTGAAACTGGAGTGATAGAGAGCAAAATGAGAGAAGATACAATACAATTTTCAGTGGCAGGGAGGAATATGAAAGAGTTCATAGCTACTATGCTATTTTTTGTGGAATAAGATGCAAAATAGTCTATTAAAAAGAACGTGTAGAGGGCTAGACAAAAATGGTGATGATTTGAACTAGCTGTTCTAAAGAACAAAATAGAAAGCTGACTAGTGATATATAAAAGTTATTATTGGGTAGTATTGTGAGTACGGTTAGCATGAGCAGCCATGGATTTTTAGTGATGCCTATGTGTATAGTTGTGTTCTTCTCCAACATTGCTCATAAACGTGGTGGTAAACTGATCGAGGGTTTGGGGGCATGGTTTGGAAAGGCAATGTAAATAAAATGGAACATGGGAAAAGTAATGTTAATGAGAAATGTGATATAGTCTGGATAGCAAAGGAAGTAAAAACTGAAAGTAGCTGATATGTTGAAAGAAAATGGAGAAGTCAAGGAGCTAAAGTTCCTCATGAGGTAAGAAAGTAAGTGAACTGCTCAGAATATGAGGTTTGGATTATATCTTAAGATTTCAAAGTTGGAGCAGTTCTGGGCATAGATGAGTGCCTGAGATATGAAAGTTGTGATTGAAGTGAAGACATTATGAAGTTAAGACGGTAGTTGAGTTATTCACCTGGGCTTTGAAGTTACCAATGATAGCTTTGGTATGTAGGATTACATACCAAAAGACTGATCTAGGTGCCAACATTTTCATAAGTGGCTAACAGATTAGTGAATATGGATTGCAAGGAAGGGCAAAAGATGATAGTAGGTAATATAGCTGGATGCTACAGGCCTCAAAGAAGAGGGAAATTTCAACCACAGGTAGAGAAACAATTATATTATCTCTTACGTTTTTATTGCAATAAAGGCGTATTATGTCATATATATGTATATGTAGATATAGATATCAGTGTTAAATATATATGCAATTCCATGAAATAAAATTTAATGCCTGGCAAAGTTAACAACATGAAAAGAAATACAGATGGTTCCCCACTTACAATGGTTATACATAAGGTTTTTTGACTTTACAATGGTCCTAAAGTCATATGCGTTTAGTAAAAACCATACTTCAAATTTTGAATTTTGATCTTTTTCCAGGCTTGTCATATACAATATGATAGAATGTATCACTTTTGGGATGCTGGACAGTGGCAGCAAGCTACATCTCACAATCAGCCATGCTAATGTAAGTGCTCTGATCACTTTTAAGGTAGGATAGGCTAAGCTATGATATTTGGTAGGTGTATTAAAATGACGCATACCTTGATATAATGTGCTGTCTCATACTAAGCAGCAAAGTGATTTCTCTACATAGTCGGCCTATGGTAAGGAGGTGATCATGATTAGAGAACACAGTGTAATTATGTACCTTACTCTAAACTCAGGACTTAGGATTCTTTACAGCAGCAACTCTCCCCACACGTCTTGTTCACAGGATGCATCCTCAGGCTCTGATACTTTCTAATTTTCTGTTGCCCACAAAATATTACCATTAAACCAGCACTGTCCAATAAAACATTTTTCAATTATGGCAACTTTCTATGTTTTCACTGTTTAATGTGGTAGTTACTGATAAATTTAAATTTGAATTTAAATAACCATATGTTGCTAGTGGCTATAATATTGGAGAACACAGCCTTAGAGCTTGTTAGATGACATAAAAAACATAATTCATCCTAACAAGTTATTGACCCCATCTATGATGTCCTTTCAAGATGACTGTCTTTTAACTGGGTAACAAAGGTACAAGGCTTTAACAAAAGAGAATGATTCTATAACAATGGTAGGAATTTCAACAAATTGGCATAGCAGAAACTTCTGGGGATAAAGATTGTTCATGGAAATCAGAAAATTCCACTACATATGTAACAGCTCCTTATGCTTGCATGCAAAATAAACTTGGTAGAATAGGTTGCTTTTTAGAGCCTCAGTTCATTGAGAAGTCAGAGGTCTTACCTCCCTAAGGTATAAAAACAACATATTTACATCTGCTTTACAAGCTGGAACTCTGCTCCTGGCCATTGCACTTACATTTTTAAAATGCGTATATGCTCTGATATCTCCAGTTGGGAGTATTAATAAATAATAATCGTCAGAGAAAGGTTAACTTAGGGAGGGAGAGCCCCAGTACTCCAATTGGGCATTTAAAACAATTCTCTTTATTGACATCTCAACTTTCTTTCTTTCTGCATTAGCTTCACCACCTCTTTAGCAGTACTGTTTACTTTCTAAAACTAATGATTATCGAGAACAGGTGTGCAAGATTCTTGTCCTTATTAGAATCAGATATACCGAAGTATTAGAGTATCTGATGTTGAAAATAATTTCCTCCAACACCTTTGGAATGATACCTCTGAAATTCAACTCATTTACTTACTATGGATTGCTGCCTTGTCTCCTGCTATTCTCCAATATGACTTCCTGCAGTTATGCTGTTTAATTATGTGCCTAAGAAGCACGCCCTCTACATTTCTTGCTTTTCTTTTTCCCGCCTCTGAGTGTTAGTTTCGTTACTTTAAAATCAGATGAATAATGCTTAAATCCCTGAAGATTTGTATTTGTATTTTATATGGAAAAACCACTGACATCTGGCACATGGTAAATATAAAAACAATGTTTAAGTGTTAGTTATTTTCCCTTTTTCCTTGTTTTATCCTTCCTAAAAACCTCCATAATAATGTTTGCCATTTATATTATATTGTATTTCAAGGGATTTTTTAAATGCATATATTTTACATAGCCTCACCAACATTGTAATCTTCTTAAAAACAAGGTAGGGAAGAAAAGTCAGCTTATATTTCTTTGTAAATATAATAGTATCTATTACATAGTAGGTGCTTAAAAAGTTAAATTTTGTCAATAGATTTGTAGAGATATATAAGGATATGCTAGTACAACATACAACAGTCACATATGCTTAAATGTAACATGACTGTGAACAAATTCCTTAACATCCCTGAATCTCCATCTCCTCATACATAAGATGAAGATGATAACAATATGTACTTAGAAAGGTTATTGTAGGACGAAGGATAAAACTTAACAGGGGCAGGATTTACAAAAGCTCAGATTCATACCAGATCTACGCTTATGAGTATGCAGTTTGAGAGAGATTTTGACAAACCAAAGATTGTCCAAAATGGAGTGACTAAGGAGGTGAGGTATTTAGAAAAGAGAAAACACAGAAACAAGAACATAACATTAATTTTTAAACGTATAAGTAATTGCTTGTGGAAGCAGAAACATTTAACTCTTACCCTGAAGAGCAAAAACAGGACTATTGGGAGAGATGTAACAATAAGGGCTTCAAATCACTCCAATTTGATTTTCCTATATTATGTAGTAGAAGCAGCATGAAAAAAGGAAATTAAGCACACAAATTTTAGTCCCAACTTTCCAAGCATGCAGCTGTGTGATCTTGGACAATTCATTTTATCTTTCTGAGCTTCAGTTTCAAATACTCAAAATAAGTTTATTTTGCTTAACTAAAAGTTCTCAAATTTGAACATTCTAGGGTCTTAATTTACACAAGAGAAAAAATGTGCCTTCCTGTAAAAGTCAAACTTGAGAGATTTATGTTTTCTAAGAAATCCATGTGAGGCAATTAGATTTTCAAGATTTATGATGATAGTGGACTCAATTGAATTTGTACTAAATTATAACTCTAGAAAAATTACTGTTTTCTGATTTATTGTTTCTCTAATAAATATTTAATGTATAGCTTAATGGTTCATAGTAAGTAAAATATCCAGTGGTGTCATTCTTGAATAATGTATTAAACAATAGCTAAGGAAAATGCCTGGAAAATATTGAATGTATAGGTAACTCTGTCTTGTAAAAGTTGTATTCTTTAATAGAGTAGAGGTCTCTAAACAACTTTTAGAACAAATGGATAGTGTTTATTTTCCTGATGAGAAATAAAGATGACAAAAATAGAAAACTGCTTCTGAGAATTTTAGTTATACAAAGAAAAAAATGATTAAAATGAATGTGGTTTATTACAAGTCTGATATATCAAATTTAAATTGCTGCTTGTTGTGTCCAGGCGTGGTGGCTCACGCCTGTAATCCCAGCACTTTGGGAAGTCAAGTTGGGAGTATCACTTGAGGCCAGGAATTCAAGCCCAGCCTGGCCAACATGGCAAAACCTGTTCTCTGCTAAAAATAAAAAAAAAATTAGCCAGGCAGGGTGTTGCATGCCTGTAGTCCCAGCTACTTAGGAGGCTGAGGCACAAGAATTGTTTGAACCCAGGAGGCGGAGGTTGCAGTGAGCCGAGATCATGACACTGCACTCCAGCCTGGGAGACAGAGACCCTGTCTCAATAAATAAATAAATAAATATGTTGTAAAAAGGAAAAATGTAGCTTCAAATTTCATCACTTTCTTAATAAACATAAGTGTATGTAGTTCCTAGAATATCAATAGCCCAAAGCTACCAAACCATCAAATGAAATATTAAAATTTCATTATATACTTTCTTTAGCAATAGATTTACTGTGGCAATCTATCATTGAAGAAAATATAAAACTAAACTTGTAAGAAGTGTTTATAAAACCTTAAATTGTTGAGTCTAATTTTAAGATTGTATGAGAGCTCAAAGCAATTCATGGTGTCTTTATAATTCAAGAGAACCATCTTCAAGGTGAAACAAAAGTAGAATAACATCATTAAAGCAAATGTGACAATATATAACTTTCTACTTACAAAATAGCTTACCTCATTATAGTTTTACTTTTATACAGACATATATGTATTTTTCTCTACATAATGAAAGCTCTATGCAATACTGTAAAGAGAAAATTGTCATTAAGAAAAGATAATGTTCAAGGTTACACAGTTTAATCAATAACTGTTGAAGATATACAATGGGCTAGGCCTTCTAGAAAGTACAAAGCAATTAGAAGGTATTGTCTTTTCTTTTAAAAAACTGATAATTTGATTCATGGAGCAGGTCTAAAACAAAATAAAATAAGTAATACAAGATAATAAGTGATCAAGGACTTAAATCATGTAATAAAGGCTAGGTGTTACAGAAGTTTCGAAAAGGAGCACTGAATTACTCAAAGGAAACTCCACAGAGGAAGAGGGTGTTGCTATGGTCTGAATTCTGGTGTCTCCCTCAAATCCATATGTTGGAACCTAATACCCAATATGAAAGAATGAATAGATGGAGACTTTGATAAACGATTGAGCCATAAGGGCTCCATCCTCATGAACGGGATTAGTGCCTTTATAAAAGAGGCTCAAGCATGCCCTCTTTCACTTCTGTCACATGGAGGCACAGCTAGAAGGCACTCTCCATGAAAGAGAGACCAAGTCCCAACCAGACATCAAATTTGTTAATGCCTTGATATTTGACTTTCCAGCTTGAAGAACTATGAGCAATAAATTTCTGTTGTTTATAAATTACCAAGTTTATGGTATTTTATTATAGCAGAATGGACTAAGGCAGTTTGTTAGCTAGTGCTTTTAAAAATGGGCAGAATTTGTAGTATTGAGAAGAAGATGTATGACCAATCTTGCTGAAGCAAATGACATTAGAAAATACAATGAAAATAGGAATAAGTGAATTGTTTTAAGGAAAAAGTGACTCTGGCTTTTCCCTTTCTAGACAAAGGCATTCTATGCCAAGACATTGAGTTAAAGAAGGCCTTTTCTTGCTATTCTTTAGTAAAGTCTTGTGTACATTTTGGTTGTTGGTATCATAAAATCTTCCAGAAAGTGAAACTTGGATTCCACAAAGAGAAAAGAAATAATCTTTAGAATCAACAAAGGCACTGTACAGGTCATTTAGTTGGCAACTTGAAAATAAGAGTATGAGTACAAAATGTAATTTTATTCCTCCATTCCATTAATAAGAAAGCAGCTCACTAGTTAGAGTTCTAACATAATTTTTAAAAAATTACTTAATGGGTATGGTGTACATTATTCAGATGATGGATATACTAAAAGCCAAGACTTCACTGTTATACTATATATACACATAATAAAATTGCACCTGCACCTCTTAAATTTATACAAACAAAAATATACCAGTCTATTTGTATAGGGATGGGTAGTGATAGCTAATATTTAAAGATTGCATATTATGTGCTGAGTTCTGCTCTTCTAAGTATGATGTGTAGATTATCTCATTTAATGCACACAATCTTACAAGTAGATAGTATTATTAAGTATATTGTACAATAGTAGAAACAGATTGAGACTGCTTTTCCTTCAGTGACAGAAAATGTTTCCTTGTTATAATTTGAACTTGCTTTAATATAATTTCTACCAGCATTAGACTTGGCATATTTACATGAAGCTCATAGGTAGAATGCAAAGGATCATTGTGTTCTTCCTTCTTCACTTTTAGAAGACATGTCTGGTAAGTGAGCATGTTCCTTACCAAATGAATGCTCAGTTTTCCTTGGGGATAGCTTGAACTTTACATTGATGACAGACATCATGCGTAAAGTGCCTAAATATTGTGGAAGGATAGTTGAGAACTTTTCCATTATTATGTTTCCTTTTTTTGTTTCTAAGCATTTAATCTGTAAGAAATCAGCTATATACATATTTAAGAGCTGAATCACAGCTTTATTAAGAATAAATTATATTGTCCATTGTTTCTTGGAAGTAAGAACAAAATAACCAAGATGTTTTCAAAAATTTATTAGATTCATGGAGTTATTTTTAGACTAAGCAGTCCCTCTATGGGACATTATATGTACAATTTTATAAATTAATGAAGAATAAATTATAAAACAACATGTAATGTTATTATTTGTTATTATCTTGTTGAAAGTCAAAAGTCCCTTCTCTGAATATGTATCACAATTGAATTTCACCAGGGTAAGTTGTTAGTTTAATATTATAGAAATATCAGGAAAGCATGTGCTATCTTCAAGGATGCTATCTTTCCACAGATACATTTATCTGGGTGTTTCTACAGAATCAGATGCAAAGCAGACTGTAAATACACATTCAGGTATATTGCCTACATGACATCAAATTGCTGTAAGCGTCTAATTATTTCTTATCTAGATGTTTGCTGTTACTTAGACAAATTTCAAATATTCTTTTAAAATGGGGAAAGAAACTAAATTTGTCTGTGTCCATTCAGTACCATCTAATTGTCAACTCTTTGACAATTTCATTGAAGACAGCAGAGTTGAATCACAAGAAACCTTCTGTCCATGGCTTATTTTTAAATGTTTATGAAAGACACCCAAAAGAAATAGAAATCCTGAACAGACCAATAATGAGTAATGAAATTGAATCGGTAATTTAGAAATCTCCCAAGGGGGAAAATATATCCAGTACCCGACAGATTCACAGCTGAATTCTACCAGACATACAAAGAAGAACTGGTACCAATCCTACTGAAACTGTTCCAAAAAATCAAGGAGGAAGGAATCCTCTCTAACTCATTCTATGAAGCCAGTAACAACCTAATACCAAAGCCAGGCAAGAACACAACAACAACAAAACTACAGACCAATGTCCCTGATGAACATACATACAAAAATTCTCAACAAAATACTAACAAACTGAATTGAATAGCACATCAAAAAGATAATACACCATAGTCAAGTGGAACTTATATCAGGGATGCAAGGATGGCTCAGCATATGCAAATCAATAAATGCGATTCACCACATAAACAGATTTAAAAACAAAACAATATGAATATCTCAATAGATACAGAAAAGCATTTGACAAAACTTAGCATAACTTCATGATAAAAACCCTAAACAAACTAGGCATAGAAGTAACACACCTCAAAATAATAAAAGGCATATATGACAAACCCATAGCCAACATCATACTGAACCTGGAAAAGTTGAAAGCATTCCCCTAAAGAACTGGATTAAGATGAAACAAAGATGTCCACTCTTACCACTCCTATTCAACATAGTAATGGAAATCCTAGCCAGATCAATTAGGAAAGAGAAAGAAAGAAAAGGCATCCAAATTAGAAAACAAGAAGTCAAATTATCTCTATTCACCAGTGACATGATCTTATACATAGATAACCATAAAGACTCTTCCAAAAGACTCCTTCCTATATTTGGGAAATGAATTCAAAAAAGTATCAGGATACAAAAGCAATGTATGCAAATCAGTGGCATTTCTATACACCAATAAAGGCCAAGCTTAGAAACAGTCAAGAGCTCAATCCCATTTATAATAGCTACAGCTTAAAAACTTAGGAATTCATTTAACTAAGGAGGTAAAATATTTCTACAAAGGAAACTACAAAACACTGAAGAAAGAAATAATAGATGACACAAACAAATGAAAGAAACGTTCCATGCTCGTGGATCAGAAGAATCAATGTCATTAAAATGACCATACTGCCAAAAACAATCTATAGATTCAACACAATTTTTATTAAACCACTGTCAGTTTTCACAGAATTAGAAAACACAATCCTAAAATTCATATTGAACCAAAAATCCAAAGCAATCCTAAGCAAAAAAGAACAAAGTTGGGCACATCACATTACCTGACTTCAAATTATACTACAAGGCTAGAATAACCAGAACCGTATGGTACTGATATAAAAATAGACACATAGCTTAATGGAAAAGAATAGAGAATCCAAAAATAAAGCCACATACCTGCAGCATACTGTTCTTTGACAAAGCTGACAAAAACAAACACTGGGGAAAGGACACCCTCTTCAATAAATGTTGCTGGCATAATTGGGTAGCCACATGCAGAAGAATAAAACTAAACCCCTATTTTTCAATATATACAAAAATTAAATCAAAATGGGCTAAAGACTTAAATTAAGACCTGAAACTAGAAAAATTCTAGAAGTAGACCTAAGAAAAAAACTATTTTGGACATTGGCCTAGGCAAAAAATTTATGACTAAGTCCTCAAAAGCAAATGCAACAATACCAAAAATAGACAAATGAAACTTTTTGAAAATAAATATTCTCTGCATAGCAAAAGAAATAATTAACAGAGTGAAAACAGAGTGAAAAGACAACCTACAGAATAGGAGAAAATATTTGCAAACTATGCATCCGACAAAAGAGTAATATCTAGTATCTTCAAGGAACTCAAACAACTCAAGAAAAAACCCACTAAAAGGTGGGCAAAGGATATAAACAGACATTTTTCAAAAGAAGTCATACAAGTGACCAAAAAACATCAAAAAATCCTCAACATTACTATTTATCCTATAAATGCAAATTCAAACCACAGTGAGATACCATCTTATACCAGTCAGAATGGCTGTTATTAAAAAGTCAAAAACCAACTGGTATTGTTGGTGAAGATGCAGAGAAAAGGGAATGCTTATGCCTGGTTGGAGGGAATTTAAATTTGTAGAAACTTTCAAAAACAATATGGAGATTTTTCAAAAACTAAAAATAGAAATACCATTCAGTCCAGCAATTCTACTGCTGGGTATCTACCTGAAAGAAAAAGGAAAATAAATAATCATATCAAAAAGTACCTGCACTTGGATATTTGTCACAACACTATTTACAGTAGCAAAGATATGGAATCAAACTAAGTGTCTATTAATGGATTAATTGGATAAAGAAAATGTGGGGTGTGTGTGTGTGTGTGTGTGTGTGTGTGTGTGTGTGTGTGTTTGTATACCTGAGTAGTACCATGGAGTACTACTCAGCTGTAAAAAATAATAAAATTATGTATTTTTGAGTAACATGAATGGAACTGGAAGCCATTATTTTAAGTGAAATAACTCAGAAACAGAATGTCAAATATTGCATGTTCTCACTTATAAGCAGGATCTAAATAATGTGTACACAAGAACAATAGAGAGTGAAATAATAGACATCGGAAACTTGGAAAGATGGGAGGGCAGGAGAGTAGTAAGGAATGAGAAATTACCTAATGGGTACAATGTACAGTATGCAGTGATGGTCACACTAAAAGCCTAGACTTCACCACTATACAATATATTGATGTAACAAAATTGCACTTGTGCCCCATAAATATATAAAAAGAAAAATTAAAAAAATCTTCACAAAGACTTCTTGTATACAAATATTAATAATGGATATTTCAAGGTGGTAGTATTTTAGAGCGATTTTGAGTTACTTCTTTGTAATTTCCTGTGATTTTTTATTTATGATGTGGAATGTCATATCTATAAAAGTCTTTATTCCTTACAAATAACACCCATGAACCTAGCAGAAAAGAAAGAATCCTTGGCAATGCCTTCAAGAAGTAATGAAAAGTAAGGCTATGCCAGATTCTGGTAACATTTTTTTTGCAATCTTCCAAATTAGTGGTAAATGATTATGAAGCCTCTTATATCAATAAAAAAGGTGGGGGGGGGGAATACAAATGGACAACAAACAAGTAATTATATACTCAGATTCACTATTACAATGAAATATCAGTTCTCGCTTATTGCACTGGTATTAAGTTAGAGTAGAATGCAGACACATTCTTTGTTAAGCAAAGTAACCAAGTTTATTAAATAAAGAAAAGATATACATACAGGAGAAGACTTATATTCCTTCACTGGCTTATGCTTATATTATTCCTTTCTTTAAAGTATCTAACTGATAAATGTTTTCTAGTCTAATGATTAGTTCAGTTTATTCTATTCTCATAATCTTCACATATAATGATGGTTTCTTTTATTAAATCTCTATGACTTTGGTTTTAATTTTTAATTTTAGTGAAGGCTGATTCAAACAAGGTGGGAATTAATGATATTTAAGTAATTTACATTCTTACCAACAGTGTACAAGAGTTCCCTTTTCTCCACATTCTCAGCAGCATTTGTTATTACTTGACTTTTGGATATAAGCTATTTTAACTGGGGTGAGATAATATCTCATTGTAGTTTTTATTTGCATTTCTCTGATAATCAATGATGTTGAGCACCTTTTTGTATGCTGTGAAGATCTCTAACATGCCCTGGAGACATTTTCTTCATTGTCTTGTTAATTAACATTTGGCTCCTCGTTACTTGTGCAAATTTCTGCAGCTTGCTTAAATTTCTCCTCAGAAAATGGGTTTTCTTTTCTATCACATTATCAGGCTGCAAATTTTCCAAACTTCTACGCTCCGCTTCCCTTTTAAACATAAGTTCCAATTCCAAACCATCTTTCTCAAGTATAAAGTTCCACAGATCTCTAGGGCAGGGGCAAAATGCCACCAGTTTTTTGTTTTTGTTATTTCCTAAAGCTTAACAAGAGTAACCTCTGCTCCATTTCCCAGCAACTTTCTCATCTTCACCTGAGACCACCTCAACCTGGACTTATTGTCCATATCATTATCATAATTTTGGTCAACGTGATTCAACAAGTTTCTAAGAAGTTCCAAAATTTTTCATATTTTCCTGTCTTCTTCTGCCCTCCAAACTGTTCCAACCTCTGCCTGTTACCCAGTTCTAAAGTCACTTCCACATTTTTGGGTATCTTTACAACAGCTTTACACCTCACTCTACTGGTACCAATTTGCTATATTAGTCTGTTCTAAATGCTGCTAATAAAGACATACCTGAGACTGAGTAATTTATAAAGAAAAAGATGTTTAATGGACTCACAGTTCCACATGGCTGGGGTGGCCTCACATAGTGGAAGGTGAAGGAGGAGCAAATGCATGTCTTGCATGGTGGCAGGCAAGAGAGCATGTGCAGGGGAACTGCCCTTTATAAAACCGTCAGATCTCCTGACACTTATTCACTATCATGAAAACAGCACAGGAAAGATTCACCCCCATGATTCACTTACTTCCCACAGGGTCCCTACCAAGACATGTGGGGATTATAGAAACTACCATTCAAGATGAGATTTGGGTGGGGACACAGGCAAACAATATCAAGTATTATGTAGAATAACAGTTGGGAAATTAGGCATTCTTTTCATTTTCCAGATCTTAGAGGAAACATTTTCAGTTTCTCTCCATTCAGTATGATACTATGTGTGGGTCTTTCATATATGACTTTTATTATGTTGTGGCATGTTTCTTCTAAATTGATGTTTTGTCATTTTTTAATCATTAAGGAATGTTGAATTTTACCAAATGCTTTTTCAGCATCAACTAAAATAATCTTACAGGATTTTTTTAAGAAAAAAAAGCTTTATTTTTAAATAAATCAATTACTTAAAGTATACTTGAGATAGCATCTTTCATTTAATCCCAAGTTAATTGTGTATGATCACTATAATATTGCAATGACATTCTGGAAATAAGTTCTAAGTATATCACCATATGCTTATTAGTAGCTATCACATAAATCTACCAACTTTGAGGGAAATATTTTACTAATTTTTCACTGACCCTGAGATATTCATCTCACAGTATAGCTGTGATTTATCTGAACATTTACAAATTTTAACAAAATTTTTTTCTTTCCATTGCAGGAATCAATATGTTAAATTCCATACTACAATTCAAGTAAAATAATGATGGTTACCGGTGTGTTTTCTGATACTGCCCATGATAGGTAGAGTGAAATTGCAGCATAAAGAGTAACCAGAAACCTATATTGTAAACTTTAAATAGCCTTTAACATTATTAGAGGGGAAAAAACCTAATGGGTAACAATGGAGGTTGAGATAGTTGACTTCTAGACTATCACTGGTCTGTGCTGGCTGAATGATCTCAGAAGAAATCAGGTCTATTTTCTTGTTTTGGAAAACACAGGAATAGGATAAAACTTAATTTCTTGGAAAAATTACTTAATCTCACTGGATTCAGTGTTCTTGGCTATTACTTGAAGGAATTGGTATAGACGAGTTGCTGTAAGTTCTGGATGCACTTTCCTGGGACATATAAGAGATATCAATGCTCAGCTATATTTACCCAAATCAATTAAACCAGTCCCTGGAGGATGTGGTCTAATCAGTGGTTCTAAAACTGTAGTGTGAATCAGAATCACCTGAAGAGCTTGTTAAAACACAGATTGGTAGGCCTCACTCTCAGAGCTTCTGATTCAGTAGGTTTGGGAGGGTGAGGCCCGCAAATTTGCATTATCAAGTTCTCAGGTAATGCTATGCTATTGGTCTGTGGACCACACTTTGAGAATGATTGGACTAGGCATCTGTGTAAATGTGTGTGTGTGTATCTCTCTCTCTCTCTCTCTCTCTCTCTCGTGTGTGTGTGTGTATCTCCTCAGGTGAATTCTAATCTCAAAACTCTTGGTATAGAAAATACCAATAAGGTTGCTTAAGTTCTGAGACACAGAGATTTTAACATAATAAGAGTTGTTAAACATCAAGATGATTTATATAGAAAGGAGATCTGTGGACAAATATCAACTTATTGGTGAATTTTCATTAAAAACTTGTTCTTATAAAGCCTTTTACAGTATTTTTTGAAAACTAACTTTTTTTACTGCATATATTGTTCTTCATTTTTCCATAGATAACTTAGTTGATTATCAGTGTCTCATCATTTGATAAGACCAATGGAAGGTTTGAATAGTAGCCAGGTGCTTTCAAATTGCTTGAAGAGAATCTTATAAGTTAGTAGTTCAGAGGCAATTCTGCAATTGTTTCAATACGTGGGATTGCAATAGTGCTCTAAATACTGATTCTTTTACATGACCATGTATAAACCAAGGAGTATTCTGTATTTTTCAGTATCAATAAAGAGCCCAATTTTTTAGATGAACTACTTAAATACTTTTCCTTTGGTCCCTTATATTTTCTTTCCTTTCCTAGAGGCCCTCAATCCTCAGGCCTCTGACACCTCATGCCTTCATCCCCTCTCAGTTCCTCCAGGATGAGGACTGTCTCCCATTACAGTGATGAGCCACTTCATCCCTTCTCAGTTTCTCCAGGATAAGGACTGTCTCCCATTACAGTGATGAGCCAGGAAAACATCTGAATGCATGCTGTCACCAAAATAAACAACCTTGGGCTCAGGTTTGCCAGTCATTTTCTTCAGAACTTTACAGGGGTGGACAGCATTCTCTTGGGAGTACCAGCCAGGCTTACAGAGATGGCAGTGCCTGCTGCTCTTCATTATTCTCGAGTCTCTGGAAAGGCCTCTGACTTAGTAAATGAAAGAAGAAAACAAGCTTCAACACATTTGTAATCACAATGTCAAAAAGGTCTTCAAAATCATTCTCAATGACATATTCTTAGAGAAACCTACCATAATCACTGCGAGAACTGGTAATTAACACAATCGTTTTCCCAGTATTCTTTAGCTGTTGAAGCCATTTTTTTCTTTTTTTTTTTTTTTTTAACAGATTCAGGACAACTGTGCAAATATCTGCCTGGATCTCTTTTTATTTCTGGAAAATATATACCACAGTTTTCCTTAAAAGCTGACATTTTGTAATTGTGTTGAATACCAGCAAATATATCCTTCCAAAAATAAAAGGGTTTTTGACCATTGTTTGGTTTTGTTAAATAGTCCACCACTCTGGCACATTAAAGAGTTACTGGAAAGTCAAAGCAGTTATCATGAAACAGTACCTTCCTGAGTGGCAAGCCATTCCAGTGTCCAACAAGAACTGCTTCCACTCCTTCTTGCCATATGCCTCTGCCAGCACCTCTGGAGTCAGCATATTGTTGCCATGGCTTACACTGAGAAGAGTGCCATTATCTGCAAATTTAATGAAATTCTCATCTTCTAACTCCAATGCCAAACCCTTGAAACAGAAAGACCAATCCTCTGGGGTCACATTGAGCATTTCCTTATCATACCCTTTCTCCTAAACTAGAAACTGGGCAAAGCTATTGTAAATGAGCAGGGTGCTTTGGGGCAGGTTGTAGTGACACAGACTGTAGTCCGAGTTTAAGCTGACAGAGTCACTGGTGGCTAGGAAAAACAGCTGAACCATGGCTGCGTGGGGAGAAATGGGGAGTGTCTCAACCTGGCAGAGTCTGAGGAGAAGACAGGTGGGACACTGCCAATCAATCCTATGATTTTTGTCCTTCATTCTGTTAAAATGACGTATATATTGCATCACATGGATAAATCCCACTTGGTCATGATGAATGGTCTTTGTAATGTATTTTTGAATTTGGTTTCCTAATATTTTCTTTAGGATTTTTGCTTCTTTATTTGTCAGAGATATTAGCCTGTAGTTTTCTTTTATTCACGTGTCTTTGTCTGATTTTGTTATAAGGGCAATACCAGCCTCATAGATGAGTTTGGAAATATTCTCTCCTCCTCTATTTTTCAGAATAGTTAAAGTAAAATTGCTATTTATTCTTTAAATGTTTGATAGAATTCAGCATTGAAGCCATTGGGCCCCAGATTTTTATTTATTTATTTATTTATTTATTTTTTACTGAAAGACTTTTTAGCATGGCTTCAATCTCATTACTTGTTATTGGTCTGTTCAGGTTTTGGATTTCTTCCTGATTCAGTCTTGGTAGCATGTATGGGTCTAAGAAGTTGTCCATTTTTCTAGATTTTCCAATTTATTGGCACATAGTTGCTTACAGTAGCCATTAATGATCCTTTGAATTTCTTCAGTACCAGTCGTAATGTCTTCTTTTTCATTTCTGATTTTACTTATTTGTATCCTCTCTCTTAGTCTGGGTAAATGTTTGTCAATTTTGTTTAAATTTCAAACAAGCAACTTCTTGTTTTATTGATCTCTTGTATTGTTATTTATAATTTCAATTTTATTTCTCCACTTATTATTTCTTTTGCACTACTAATTTTGGGTTTGGTTTGCTCTTGCTTTTCTAATTCTTTAACATGCATCATTACATTTTTTATTTGATGTTTTCCTTCGTGTTTGATGTAGGCACTTATAGCTATAAACTTCCCTCTTAGTACTGCTTTTGCTGTATATCATAGGTTTGGGTATGTTTTCTTTCCACTATCATCTATATCAATAATTTTTAAGTTTTTTCTTATTTTTTTTATTGACCCCCTGGTCATCCCAGGAGCATATTGTTCAATTTCCATGTATTTGTATAGTTTCCAAAATTTCTCTTCTAATTGATTTTTGGTTCTATTCCAATGTGGTCAGAGAAGATGCTTGATATTATTTCAATATTTTGAATGTTTTCACACTTGTTTTATGACCTAACATATGGTCTATCCTTAAGAATAATCTGTGTGCTGAGAAAAAGAATGTGTATTCTGCATTCATTGGATGAAATGTTCTGTAAATATCTATTGATTTATTTGGTCTATAATGACGATTAAATTCCATGTTTTCCTGTTGATTTTCTGTCAGGATGATCTGTCTATAGGTGAAAGTGGGGTGTTGAAGTGTCCAGCTATTGAAGACTCCAGAGATTGGAATCTATCTCTCTCTTTAGCTCTAATAATATTTGCTGTGTATATCTGTGTGCTCCAATATTAGGTACACATATATTTAAAATTGTTATATATTCTTGCTGCATTGATACCTTTACAATTATATAGTGTCCTTCTTTATTTTTATAGTTTTTGTCTTGAAATCTGTTTTGTCTGACACAAGTTTAGCTACTGCAGCCCTTTTTTGGTTTCCAATGACATGGAATATCTATTTCCATATTTTAAATTTTCAATCTCTGTTTTTTTATAGGTGACGTATGTTTCTTGTAGGCAATAAATCAATGGGTCTTGCTATTTTTTATCTATTCAGCCATTCTGTGTTCATTTGCATTCCTTTTAGTGAAGGTTATTTTCTCTGGTGATATGATTTAATTTCTTCCTTTTTATTTTTGATGTATTTATTGTATTTTCTTGGTTTGATGATACCAGGAGCCTTGCTATTAATATCTTATAAGCCATTATTTTAAGGTGAAAATAACCTAACACTTTTTGCATGAATAAACAAAAAACAAACACAAATAAAATTAATAAACACTCTCTGTCTTAATTTCGTCCTGTCACTTTATAACTTGTTGTTACAATTTGTACCTTATTGTGCTACTGTGTCTTGAAAAGTTGTTGAAGTTATTATTTTTTATTGGTTCAATATTTAATCTTTCTACTTAACAGTAGTTTACCCACCACACTGATGGTGTTATATTTTGAGTTTTTCTGTGTATCTTCTATTACCAGTAATCTTTTACCTTCAAATGATTTCTTATTGCTCATTAACATTATATTCTTCCTGAATGATGTACTCCATTTAGTATTACTTGTAGGACATATCTTGTGTTGATAAAAATGCCTCGGTTTTGTTTGTCTGGGAAAGTCTTTCTTCTCTTTAATGTTTGAAGAATAATTTCACCAGATATACTACTCTAGGGTGAAAGTTTTTCCTTCAGCATTTTCAATATGTCATGCCACTCTCTCATAGCCTGTAAGGTTTCTACTAAAAAGATCTGCTGCCAGACATATTGATGCACCATTGTGTGTTATTTTTTTTTCTCATGCTTCTTTTAGAATCCTTTCTCTATACTTGACCTTTGGAGTTTTGTTATTACATGCCTTGAGGAAGTCGTCTTTGGGTTAAATCTGCATGGTGTGCCATTACCTTCTTGTACTTGAATATTAGTAACTTTCTCTAGGTTTGGAAAGGTCTCTGCTTTTATCATTTTGAATAAACTTGCTACTTCTATCTCTTTCTGTGCCTCACCTTTAAGGCCAATAACTCATAGATTTGCCCTTTGGAGGACCTTTTCCAGATCTCCCTGGTGTGCCTCACTGTTTTTTGTTCTTTTTTTTTTTCTTGTCTCCTCTGACTATTACCAAATTGCCTGTCTTCATGCTCACTAATTCTTCTCTTCACAATTTTGCTATTAAAAGCCTCTGATGGACCTCAGAAATAACACTACGCATATACAACCATCTGGTCTTCGAGAAACCTGACAAGAACAAGCAATGGGGAAAAAATTATTTATTTAATAAATGGTGCTGGGAAAACTGGCTAGCCATATGCAGAAAACTGAATCCGGACCCTTTCCTTACACCTTATACAAAAATTAGTCCAAGATGGATTAAAGACTTAAATGTAAAACCCAAAATCACAAAAACCCTAGAAGAAAACCTGGGCAATACCATTCAGGACACTGGCATGGACAAAGACTTCACGACTAAAACACCAAAAGCAATAGCAACAAAAGCCAAAATTGACAAATGTGATCTAATCAAACTAAAGAGCTTCTGCACAGCAAAAGAAACTATTATCAGAATAAATAGGAAACCTACAGAATGGGAGAAAAATTTTGCAAGCTACCCATCTGACAAAGGTCTAATATCCAGAATCTACAAGAAACTTGAACAAATTTACAAGAAAAAAACAAACAACCCCATTAAAAGGTGGGTGAAGGATATGAACTGACACTTCTCAAAACAAGACATTTATGCAGCCAACAAACATATGAAAAAAAGCTCATCATCACTGGTCATTAGAGAAAAGCAAATCAAAACCACAATGAGATACCATGTCACACCAGTTAGAATGGCAATCATTAAAAAGTCAGGAAGGCCGGGTGTGGTGGCTCACGCCTATAATCCCAGCACTTTGGGAGGCCGAGGAGGGTGGATCACAAGGTCAAGAGATGGAGAACATCCTGACCAACATGGTAAAACCCTGTCTCTATTAAAAATACAAAAATTAGCTGGGCGTGGTGGCACGTGCCTGTAGTCCCAGCTACTCGGGAGGCTGAGGCAGGAGAATCGCTTGAACCCAGGAGGTGGAGGTTGCAGTGAGCCGAGATCATGCCACTGCACTCCAGCCAGGCAACAGAGACTCCATCACCCCCCTCAAAAAAAGAAAAAAAAAAAGTCAGGGAACAACAGATGCTGGTGAGGCTGTGGAGAAATAGGAATGCTTTTACACTGTTGGTGGGAAAGTAAATTAGTTCAACCATTGTGGAAGACAGCGTGGTGATTCCTCAAAGATCTAGAACCAGAAATACCATTTGACCCAGCAATCCTATTACTGGATATATATCCAAAGGATTATAAATCATTCTACTATAAAGACACATGCACACGTATATTTATTGCCCTACTATTTACAATAGCAAAGACTTACAATCAACCCAAATGCCCATCAATGATAGACTGGATAAAGAAAATGCGGCACATATACACCACGGAATACTATGCAGTCATAAAAAGGAATGAGTTCAAGCATTTTGCAGGGACATGGGTGAAGCTGGAAACCATCATTCTCAGCAAACTAACACAGGAACAGAAAACCAAACACCGCATGTTCTCACTCATAAGTAGGAGTTGAACAATGAGAACACATGGACACAGGGAGGGGAGCATCGCACACCAGGGCCTGTCGGGGGATGAGAGGCAAGGGGAGGGAGAAGATTAGGACAAATACCTAATGCATGTGGGGCTTAAAACCTAGATGACAGGTAGATAGGTAAAGCAAATCACAATGGCACATGTATACCTATGTAACAACCCTGCACGTTCTGCACATGTATCCCAGAAATTAAAGCAAAAATTTTTTAAAAAGCCTCTGATGCAACCTGCAGTATGCCAACTGCATTTTTTAACTCCAGAATTTCTGCTTGACTCTTTTTAATTATTTCAATCTGCTTGTTAAATTTATCTGAAAAAATTCTCAATTCATTTTATGTGTTATCATGAATTTCTTTGAGTTTCCTCAAGACAGCTACTTTGAATTCTCTGTCTGAAATTTGACATATCTACGTTTCCCCAGAATTTATCCCTGGTGCCTTATTTAGTTCATTTGTTGAGGTTATGTTTCCCTGGATTGTTTTGATACTTGTATATTGTTTTTTGTGTGTGTCTGGGCATTGAAGATTTATGTATTTATTGTAATCTTAATATGCTGGGCTTGTTTGTACCTGTCCTTCTTGTGAAGGCTTTCCAGATATTCAAAGAACCTTGAATGTTGTATCTAGGCTATATCTGTTTTTAGGGGGAGCCCAAACCTAGTAATGCTGTTGTTCTTACAGACCCATAGAGGTAGAAGGTCTGGAAGAATTCTCTGGATAACCAGTCAGACTCTTGTTCTTTTCCCTTACTTTCTCCAATACAAAGGGAGTCTTTCTGTCACTCTCTTTTCTGAGCCACCTGGAGCTGGAGATGAAGTGACACAAGCATCCCTGCTGCCACCACCCACAGGACTGTGCTAGGTCAGACCAGAAGCCAGCAAAGCAATGAGTCTCGCCTAACCACTTCCTTGGTACCACCTAAGTTTACTCAAAGCACTGAGGCTTTAGAATCAACAGGTGCGAAAGCCAGCCAGACCAATGTCCTTTCCTTCAGGGTAGTGAGTTTTCCTAGGCCGTGGGTGGGTCCAGAGGAGCCATCTGAGAGCAAGAGACTACAGTCAAAAACCTTAGATATTTACATGGCATTCTATTGTACTGGAGCTGAGCTGACACGCAAATCATAAGACACAGTCTTTCTCACTCTTTCCTCCTTTTTTTTTAAAAGGCAGAGGAGCCTCATTTTATGGCCACTGCCCCCTCAGGCCCATGGTTAGTACTGTCAGACTACTACCACCAATGATTCCTTAAAGCCCAAGGGCTCTTCAGTCAGCTCGTGGTGAAGTGAATGCTGTCTGGCCTACGAGTAACCCTTCAGAGTATTGGGTCCCCTGTGGCCCAGGAAATGTCCAGAAATGCTGTCTAAAGAGCCAAATCCTGGAATTGAAGAACCCAAGAGCCCACTTGGTGCTCTACCCGCCTGTGGCTGAGCTGGTACCTAAGGTGCGAGACAAAGTCCTCATTAGTTTTCTTTCTACTTTTCTGAAACTTATGGATTCTCATCCAATAGCCACCACAGCTAGGATGAGTCTCATCTGAAGCTAGAAATTCTGAGTCTCACCTACAGCCCTCAACATAGTACGTGGGTATTGCTTCTGGTTACTTAGGGCCCAGGTGTTCTTCAGTTAGCAGGTGATGAATCCTGCCAGGACTGGGTCCTTTGCTTCAAGGCATCATGTTTCTTTCTGGCCCAGGGTGTGAACAGAAATGTATAGGAGCTAGGGCCTGAAAAGGGGTCCTCACAACTCTGAGCAGTGCCCTATTCTGCTGTGGCTGAGCTGGCATCCAAGATGCAAGACAAAGTCCTCCTCAGTCTTCCCTCTTGTCTACTCAAACGGAAGGAAAGGGCCTCTTTTGGAGCCAGGAGCTATGCAGCCTGGGGTTAGGGGAAGAATTATGCCAATACTCCCCTGGATGCCCCAGCTGGTGTCTCAGTATGTCACTTGCCCTCCCAATCCACTGTCTCTGGGCCCAGTTCAGCCCTAGGTTTCGCCTAGGTGTTGCGGTTCTTGTGACTTTAACTGCCTTTTAAGTTTATTTGGGTCCCCAGAGCCCTGTAACACGTGGGGGTGATTCTTACAGGAAGTCAAATTCTGACCACTGGGATCAGTGATTGCCCTCTGGCTGGGACTGGTTTAAATGCCTTTTCTGTGGGTAGGCATCAGCTGGATTTGGTTTGGCTTTCCTTTCTGCTCTAATAGGACAGCACTGAGTTCCTTGTCTAATAATTGCTGTGATCTCGCTCCCCCAGCACCCAGAGATGCTCTTCACAGCGTGCCGCTGGTAATGGGGGATGGGGGATGAATGGCGCCAGGGGTTCAAGCCTTTTTTTAAACCCCTTTAGTGCCTTTTTCAGTAATATGATATTACAACCAGGTACTGTGAGTGTTCACTGCATTTTTGTTCTTACAAAGGTGCTTTTAATTGTATGTAGATAGTTGTTAAATTGGTATGCTTGTCGCGGGGATGATTAGTGGAGCCTTGTATTCCTCCATTTTGCTCGACCCCCTCCTTTCTCTGTTGTTTTGAGTAAGCAACCTCACATTTTCCTTTGGCACTGAGCCATAAAAATTATGTAGCCAATCCTGAACACAATTCCTCGGATATAGTAGCATTCAATAACATGTAGCTTTTATAAATATATATATAAAGAGTAGATAAATAATAAAAGTTTTTTTAAGTTTTAAAAGAATAGCCAGTTTCATTTTATCCAAGCTATAATTTATTTAAAGATAGAATAATGCTGGTAATAATGGTATGTATGATGAAAATTATGGAAACATAAATATGTATAGATAGAAAAAGATTGATATGAAACAAAAACACAGTGGTTGTGTAAAGTTATTTTTATTGTGCACAATTATTTTCTCTATTTTAAAAAATGGTATGCCATATTTCTCTGTTTTATGGGACTGAAAATGCTCACTAGTTAAGTAAATATTGACCAAGCACAATAATTTTATATGTAGCTTCACCTGATAGAAAAGGGCTAACTTAGTACCTGCAATGACATCAAGAAATTATGATGTTAAGAAATCAAAGCAAATTAGTTTCTTATCACTTGTTTGGGCTACTTATAAATCATGTATTTTTAATTTCAGAACGATTTAATAGAGATTTAAATATTTAGCAGTTCAAATGTTTCTCAATATGAAGAGATTTAGAAATAAAGAAACAAGGTCTGTCCACTTTGATAGATGTTCTACGAAGTGGTAAAATGCACAAACCTAGACCTTAGACTTGCCAAAACTTGCCTCTTGAGGTAAAAGTGGAAAATTGAAATCTGTGATTTAATCTTGTATCCCATTTAGGCTGAGATAAAAATCAAATTGAATTAAAAGTGGAATGACATTGATAGTATAAAACTGTGCATTCATATTTCACTCATTTTAAACATAAAGCATGCACTTTTCTGCGTTTGTTTCCCAAAGTCAAACTGGAGGAAAGTTCTTTTTGCAACAGTGCTCAGATTTTCTCTCAGATTTCAAGCTGTACCAAGTATATTAAGGCCCTTATATGCTTGCTGAATTTAAAAAGTGGTTGCATGTATAATGACAAAATGCCTGTGCTTTGAAATCATCTCTGGGTTCTAATTTCCACTCAAATCATTGTAGGAAAAATTAAAAGGAGGCTGGGCACGGTGGCTCACACCTGTAATCCCAGCACTTTGGGAGGCCAAGGCGGGTGGATCACGAGGTCAGGAATTCGAGACCAGCCTGACCAACATGGTGAAACCCCGTCTCTATGAAAAAATACAAAAATTAGCCAGAAGTGGTGGTGCACACCTATAATCTCAGCTACTCAGGAGGCTGAGGCAGGAGAATCACTTGACCACAGGAGGCAGAGGTTGCAGTGAGCCAAGATCGTGCCACTGCACTCCAGCCTGGGTGACAGAGTGAGACTTTGTCTCAAAAAGAAATAAAAATAAAAATAAAAAAATTAAATGGAATAGTGCAAATACAACTGTTACTACAGTGCCTCGTCCACTGTTGGTATAACAATAGATGCAGATGTAGATAAATAAAAATAAATAAATATTCTTATACAGAAATGTTCATGTTCTTCTACTTCTTGTATAAATTCACTGGAAATTTTCTTTTGTAGGTTTACTGTTTATTTGGATCCAGTTAGCTATTAAGTAAAATAATTAACTCAGCAATCGTACCTTATATGGCAAATCGTACCATATATGTCATACAAAGAAATATAGTTTATTATGTATTCTGCTCTGTTACAAATTTTTATATTACACACATAAGAATTATATTTAAAAAAAATAGCCTACTTTGTAAGTTCATTAATACTAGTAGATGGTTTAATGAATTATATTTTTAATGCATTTAAACTTACTTATGTAATATTCCATTTTTTAAATAATATTAATGTATTTTAATGCCTGTATATGATGAGGCTAGCAATAAGGCAAAAATATGTCTGTTAACATAAGAAATGGATGTTGTACTTTTACTTCGAAATGCCAAATTAGTAAATTACCCTAAGCTTACAGTAAGAGGTTGTATTCATAGGCAATATTATCTTATTTCAGTCTCAAGTTCTTAGAATTCTCACCTGTAATGAATCCTTTCATGATTGGATTTTCCCTTTCCTGAATACTGATAATGATCATCTATTTTATACAAAGTGAATTCAAAGTTATAAACTGCTGTTAATTCAAAGCAAGGCCCTATTAATGGCAGATGCACTAAGCAGTATATACTGTACAAATAGGTATTGTCATCTGTCCAAAGACAGCATTCCCAATAATGTCAATTTTATTGATATTATTTCCTCTTAGGAGCTTAAATTCTAACCATTAAAAATCACTTCTGGGTTTCAGATACTAAAAATGGATAATAAACGGAGTTATCTTTAAAAGATTAATGTTGAAAACTGTTCATATATAAGAGGAGAGGAAAAATTCTGAAGTTCCTTACATTAGCATGGTGTACTTAATGGGATTAGCAATATTTTCCTATTGGTAAATACAGAAAGAACCAGGTTCTGAGAGGCTGGGATGCAGAATCTCAGAATAGTTTTGAATGCTGAATTATGCTTTTATAAACTTGTTCTGAAAAAAAAAAGGAGTTTTCTGATTAAAATATTTCTGTAAAATGAGTTAATAACTAGTCTTATATACACCTGTGACTTAAAATCTTACTGCCAGAATGATGCAGTGATTATAACCTATTACTCCCTGTTAGCAGTAAAGCTAAATTTGCAGCCCTGCGTTAATTGTTTTGTTTTAATAGGAAAAAACACTCTTTAAGGTTGACTCTGTGAAACTAAGGAGATAAAGTATAAGTAAATGGCATGCAAAGTAAATGAATACAGCATAAAGTCCAAGGTAGAGTATCATTTTTTTTTTTTTTTGGTGGAGGAAGAGAAATAATGGCCAGGACATAATTACCCTAGGGATTTTTCTCAGACTTCACATATTCTCCAGCAGTTTAGGATGCAGTACAATGGTACAATCAGAAAATTCACCAACCACCATAGAATTTTAGCTTAAGAGGAAATTTCCATGTGATAAATTTTTATGTAGCAAGGATACTAACCCTTCATGTGGCCTATATGTTGGAATTATTTTCCTGGCTTGTCATTTCTTTTAACACTATTATACACATACACATACAATATATATAGTATGTGTAAAAATATATGTGTATATATATATATGTGTATACAGGTATACTTACATTTTTGTGAAAGAAAATATAATTTTATATTCTCAAACGTTTGTTTTTTACTTTAAAGCTTCTGAATTTCACATCACACTTAGAAATGCCTTCTTGTAGGTAAAACTAAAACATTCCCATACATTTTTGTTTACAAGTTTTGCTTATACATTGAAAGCCTAAATATCCTGAAATGTATTCTTATTTCAAAGTTAAGAGTTTTAACTAATTTATTTTCAAATAGCTAATTATGTTTAAAATATATATTGAAAAACACATCCTTTCATTACTAATTTGAAATGTCAATTTTATTATTTGCTATGGGAATTAACCTTGTTTTGTGTTTCCCTTTTATTCCATTGATGTATATGTTTATTCCTCTTTTAGTACCCAAATACTGTAACTGTTATACATTTACATTATGTTATATAACTGCTAGGGCAAGACCTATGTCCTCATTATTCCAATTAATTTTAAATGACTAATCTTACACAATTTTTCTTTCAAGTAAAATCTAGGATTAATTTATCAAGTTCTGAACAAAAATCCCACTAGTTGTCTGATTTGCACTGAAGTTCAATTTATGAATCAAATTGAAGAAACTTATATTTTGCAGTATTGAGTTATTACATTCAAAAAGTAGTTTTGACATCTAAAGTCAGCTACTGCGAGTGGTCCTGAGTTCATTTTTGTCTGCTCTCCTTAAAATGGTCTAGTGCCATAGTGCTACTAGCTTGGCTTGGATGTTTGTCGCCTCTAAATTTTATGTCAAAATGTAATCCCCAGTGTTGGAGGTGGGGACTGGTGAGAGGTGTTTAGATCATGGGGGTAGATCCCTCATGAATGGCTTAGCACCACTTTTTTTTTTTTTTTTTTTTTTTGTAATGAGTGAGTTCTCATTACGAGTTCACACAAGATCTGGTTCTGTAAAAATGTGTGGTACATCTCCTTTCTCTCTCTTGTTCCTGCTCTCACCATGTGATTAATTTGCTCCCCCTTCATCTTCTGCCATGATTAAGAGCTTCCTGAGGCCTCTCCAGAAACTGAGCAGATGCTGGCACCATGCTTCCTGTAAAGCCTGCAGAACCTTGAACCATTTAAATCTCTACTCTTTGTAAATTACTCAGTCTCAGGTATTTCTTAATAGCAATACAAAAATGGCCTAATGCAGATAATTGGTAACAAGGAGTGAGGTGTTGCTATAAAGATACCTGAAAACGTGGAAGCAGTTTGGAAATGGGTAAAGAGCAGAGGTTGGAAGAGTTCAAAAAGCCCAGAAGACAGGAAGAGAAGGGCAACTTTGAAACTGCTTAGGGTCTTGTTAAGTGGTTGTGACAAAAATGTTGATAGAAATATGGACACTGAAGGTCAGGATGATGAGGTCTTAGATGAAGATAAGGAACTTTTGGGGAATTCAAGTAAAGTTTACCTAGGTTACATCTAGCAAAGAGCTTGGCTGCATTTTGTTCACATCCTACAGCTTTGTGTAAGGTTTAACGTAAGGGTGATGACTTAGGGTATCTGGTAAAAGAAATTTCTAAACAGCAAGACATGCCAGAGTGGCATGGCTGCTCCTAATAACCTTTCATCAGATATGAGAGCAAATAAATGACTTAACATTGGAACTTATATTTAAAAGGGAAGCAGAGCATAAAAATTGGGACAATTCACAACCTGGACATGTCGTAGAGAAGGAAATTCAATTTTAAGTGGAAGAATTTAAAAGGGCTATGAACCTTTCATAATATTAACATGACTAAAAGGGAGCCAAGTGGTGATACACAAGCTAAGGAGAAAAAGGCCTTGAGGCATTTCAGAGACCTACTAGGCCACCATTCTCATCATAGGCTCAGAGGCCAAAGAGGAACAAATGATTTCAGGGGCCAAGCCCAGGGTGCTACTTCTCTGCTCAGCCTCAAGACACCACTCCCTGTATTTCAGCTACTCTAGCTCTATCTGTGGCTCAAAAAGCCCTAGGAACAGCTTGGGCTGTCACTCTAGAAAGTGCAAGACACTGTTAGCCTCGGTAGTTTCTATGTGGTGTTAAATCTGCAGGCAAACAGAATACAAGCATGAAAGAGGCTTGGCAGCTTCCCCCTATATTTCAGAGAATGTATAAGAAAGCCTGGTTATCCAGGAAGAATCCTGCCTCAGGGATGGAGCCTTCACAGAGAGACTCAACTAGGGAAGTGCAGAGGGGAAATGTGGGGTTGGAGCCCCTATGCAAGGTCCACACCAGGGCACTGCCTGGTGGAACTGTGGGAATGGGGCTGCCACCCTCCAGACCTCAGAATGGCAGATATACCAGCAACTTGCAAAGTCAGTGTGGAAGAGCCACAGGGATGGAGCTGCCCAAGGCCATTGGAGCCTACCTCTTGCATCAGTGTGCCCAGGATATAGGACATGGAGTCAATAATTATTTTTAAGCATTAATGTTTAGTGTCTGCTGTGCTGTGTTTCAGAATTGTGTGGGGCCCATAGTCCCTTTTTTGGTCAATTTCTTCTGAAATGCTAAAGTTTACCCAATGCCTGTACCACGATTGTACCTTGGGAGTAAATAACTTGTTTTGATTATACAGGTCCATAGGTGGAAGAAGATGAGTCCCATATGAGATTAGGACTTCAAACATGATGCTGGAATGATTTAAGATGGGAGGAGGAGGTAGAAATTGGCAGGAGATAATTGTATCCTGCAATGTGAGAAGAACATGAGATACAGGAGGCCAGAGGTGGAACAATATGGTATGAATATTTGTCCCTTCCAAATCTCACAGTGAAATGTAATCCCCAGTGTTGAAGAGGGGGCCTGGTGGGAGGTGTTTTGATCATGGGAAAAGATCCCTTAAGAATGGCTTAGCATCATTCCCTTGGTGATGACTGAATTCTCACTTTGACGTTTCATGAGATCTGGTTGTTTCAAAGTATGTGGCATCTTTACACTCTCTCTTTTGTTCCTGCTCTTGCCATGTGACTCTCTACTCCCCATTCACATTCAGCCATGATTGTAAGCTTATGGGGGCCCTCACCAGAAGCAGATGCTGGCATCACACTTGCTATACACCCTGCAGAACCATGAGCCAATTAAACCTCTTTTTTATTATAAATAACACAGTTTCAGGCATTTCTTTATAGCAAAACAAAATATGGCCTAATACACCTGGTGACATAAATTAGGAGCTTTCATTTTTTTTTTCTGTGCTGTGGAACAGGTAAAATAACAGTAATTTTCTATTCCTTGAAAGTTTCTATTCCTTGAAGTCAATTGGAAAATCATTGCTTCTATTTTCTTTTGCGAGGTAAAATTTTATAATCTTATATTCTTCCACATTTTCAGCCAATTTGCATTTTATTATTTTTACCTCTCATTGCATGGATTTTTTGATACAATTTATTTTTTAAATTTTAGTTAATTAAGATTTGTAAATTTCTTGATATAGAATTTTATATTATAGTCTCTTGGTTTTTAAATTCTTCATATGCAGTTTCTCATTTCTAAATTTGCTTAAGTATTATTTTATTATTTTTCTGAGTTATATCAGTGTATTAGTCCATTCTCATGTTGTTAATAAAGGCATACCTGAAACTGGGTAATTTATAAAGGAAAGAGCTTTAATAAACTCACAGTTCCACTTGGCTGGGGAGGCCTCACAATCATGGAAGAAGGTGAAAGAGGAGAAAGGCACATCTTAAATGGCAGCAGGCAAGAGAGTGTGTTTAGGGAAACTACCCTTTATAAAACCATCAGATATCCTGAGACTTACCATCATGAGAACATCCTGGGAAAAACCCATCCCCATGATTCAATTACCTCCTACCAGGTCCTTCCCATGACATATGAGGATTATGGAAGCTACAATTTAAGATGAGATTTGGGTGGGGACACAGCCAAATCATATCATTCCATCCCTGGCCCATCCCAAATCTCATATCTCATATCTTCATATTTCAAAACCAATCATGCCTTCCCAAATGCACCCCAAATTCTTAACTCATTTCAGTATTAACTCAAAAGCCCATAGTCCAAAGTCTCACCTGAGACAAGTAAAGTTCTTTCTGCCTATGAGCCTGTAAATTCAAAAGCAAGATAGTTACTTTCTAGTTACAAATGGGTACAAGCATGGTAAATACACTCATTCCAAATGGGAGAAATTGGCCAAAACAAAAGGAGCTAAAGGCTCCAGGCAATTCCAAAATCCAGCAGGGAAGTCAAATCTCAAAGCTCCAAAATGATCTCACTTTACTCCGTATCTCACATCCAGGTCATGCTGCTGCAAGAGGTGGGCTCCTGCAGCCTTGGGCAGCTCCACCCATGTGTTCTTGCAGGGCACAGGCCCCCTCCTAGATAATTTCATGGGCTGGCATTGAGTGTCAGCAGATTTTTCAGGAAAACAGTGCAAGTGGTCAGTGGATCTACCATTCTTGGGTCTGGAAGTTGGTGGCCTTCTTCTCACAGCTCCACTAGGCACTGGCCCAGTGGCGACTCTTTGTGGGGGCTCCCACCCCACATTTCCCTTCTACACTGCCCTACCAGAGGTTCTCCATGAGAGCTCCACCCCTGCAGGAAACTTTTGCCTGGACATCCAGACATTTCCATTCACTCTCTGAAATCTAGGCAGAGGTTCCCAAACCTCAGTTCTTGTCTTCTGGGCACCTGCAGCCTCAACACCATGTGGAAGCTGCCAAGGCTTGGGGCTTCATGCTCTGAAGCCATGGCCTAAGTTGTACGTTGGCCTCTTTTAGCCATGGCTGGAGTGGTTGGGATTCAGGGCACCAAGTACCTAGCCTGCCCACAGCAGGGGGACCCTGAGCCCTCCCCGGGAAACCATTTTTTCCTCCTAGGCCTCTGGGCCTGTGATGGGAGAGGCTGCTCCAAAGGTCTCTGAAATGCCCTGGAGACATTCTCCCCATTGTCTTAGGGATTAACATTCAGTTCCCAGTTACTTACGCAAGTTTCTATAGCAGGCTTGAATTTCTCCTCAGAAAATGGGTCTTTCTTTTCTATTGCATCATCAGGCTGCAAATTTTCCAAACTTTTATTCTCTGCTTCCTCTTGAATGCTTTACTGCTTAGAAATTGCTTCTGCCAGATACCCTAAATAATCTCTCTCAAGTTCAAAGTTTCACAGATCTCTAGCGCAGGTGCAAAATGCCACTAGGCTTTTTGTGTAGCACAACAAGAGTCACCTTCACTCCAGTTCCCAACAAGTTCCTCATCTCCATCTGAGACCACCTCAGCCTGGACTTTATTGTCCATATCACTATCAGAATTTAGTTAAAAGCCATTCAACAGTCTCTAGGAAGTTCCATACTTTTCCACATTTTCCTGTCTTCGTTCGATCCCTCCAAACTGTTCCAATCTCTGCCTGTTACCCAGTTCCAAAGTCTCTTCCACATTTTTGGGTATCTTTACAGCAGTGCCCCACTACCTGGTACCAATTTACTGTATGAGTTCATTCTCAAAATGCTAATAAAGACATACCCAAGACTGGATAATTTATAAAGGAAAAAGTTTTAATGAACTCACAGTTCCACATGGCTAGGGAGGCCTCACAATTGTGGCACATGGTGAAGGAGAAGCAAAGGCACATCTTAGATGGCAGCTGGCAAGAAAGCGTGTGCAGGGGAACTGCCCTTTATAAAACTATCTGACCTCGTGAGCCTTGTTCACTCTCATGAGAACAGCATGGGAAAAACCCAACCCCTGATTCAATTACCTCCCACTGGGCCCCTCCCATGACACATGGGGATTTTGGGAGCTGCAATTCAAGATGAAATTTGGGTGGGGACATAGCAAAACCATATCAATCAGTGAAGGGTGAATTTATTTTTACAGAAACAACAATTGCTTTTGGTTTATGTATCAATTTTATAAGATTGTAACTATTTTTTTATCTGAAATAACTTGTTCCTACTTTTGTTGGTTCATTTTGTTGTTATTTTCCTAAATTCTTGAAAAAGATATTTGGTTTATTAATGTTTAAAAAATTACAGAGTGATTAAAATTATTGGTTTTATACTCAACACAGTTTTAGATACTTAAGTAAAAATTTTTTATTCCTTAAATTGCATTAATAATGACAAATATATGTAGACTGACTTTATTGAATTTACCTTGAAGCACTATGGTTATTATTAATAATAAAAACATTAATAAATAATTTTATTGAGTGCCAATTATGTTCAAGCATTACTTATTTTACTTAATCTTTTCAACAACCAGTGAGATGATTTAAATTTATCATTCCTCATTTATATGTAAATAATGAAATACTCAGAGAAATAAAGGTGCTTGCTCAAAGTCATGCAACTAGTGAGTAGCAGAGCTAAGAACCCAAGACTTTCTGACTCCAAAGCTCACAATTTTAACTAGTACTCTTTGCTGCCAAGTCTATTCAAATGACATAATTATATCAAGATGGGAGAAGGAGAGAGGGACAAATATATATTTAGAAGTTATTAGGAAACAATATGTGCTATGCATTTTCCATTTGTTGTCTTTTTAATGCAACAATATGACATGCTTGATTGACCTCATATTAATATCAGTATAGTCTTTGAAATAGTTCCTGATATCCTATTGACATTAATCTAATTTTATCAAAATATATAGGCCTTTGGAAATATTTTCAACTTGAAAGAAGAAAAATTTCTGTCTGTTACTTTATCTTCCTTTTCTCTGATTGTATTATAAATGCACAAAAATGTGTCTTAGAACAATCTGAATAAAGTCAATTTAGATGAAGCTGAGGATATGGGAATTGTGAAATATTATTTAATCTTGAGTGCTTGATAAGTGAATGTGTGTGCACCAAGGAACAGAATATCATAAATACCTTAGGAAAGCTAATTTTTAGGTAAGGCTTAAAGAATCCAGATGAAAATACTATGAAAAAAAAATACTGTAGGAAGGGAAAGTATTAAAGAAAGTGGAATTAGGCAGCTATTGGCATTCATTCCAGTAAATTCTAAGTAAATAAAAGGGTGGCAAGTACAAGGTGGTAAAATTAGAATTTAAATAAGAAGGATTATCAAGGCTCAGCACACAGAATTAATAAACTGTATCAAAGTATCTGTCAAGGACAGAACTAGGAGAAGTATATCTATAAAATAAGTAAAGACAAAGCTTAACAATGTATTAAAAATACTATACAGTACAAGGTACATTGTACCTTTGGCTAACATCCAGAGCCTTTGGGCTGTATAAAGAACAATCATAAATAATTCTGAACCTATGTTATAAAATATGAGGGCCACTAGCTACATGGGGCTATTAAACACTTAAAATGTATTAATAGCTGTCATTAATTGATGTGTGTTGAAAGTGTAACATTCACACAACATTTTGAAATCACAGTGGAAAAAAACAGGACAAAATATCTCCTTAATATTTTTATTTAATTAATGTTGAAATAATGTTTTAAATATATCGGGTTACAATGTACTGTTATATTGTTTAAAAATAATCTTTTTCACTTTTTAATATGGCAAATAGAAAATTACTTATGTTACTTGTATTACATATCTGTTGAACAACACTGTCGTAGGCCAACACACACACACACACACACACACACACACACTCAAAAGAAAGCCCCACAAAAATATTATGGATTAACTCTGATCCAGTATCTAGGCTTTATTTTCAATGATATCTACTAAAGATTCACATTTTGAAGTTTACTAAGGCTCTCAAATTACACAAATTATCTTTCTACATAGCTCAAATTGAAAATTTATTAACAATCTACTTCATTATATATGCCTATATAATAATAAACTATTTGGGAAAAAATAAAATGGAACAGATGGTTTTCACTGGTATGACTCAATAAACAAACTATATTCATCTAGAAAAATATTAAAATTTTGCTTTAGAATTATTGCATTTGATTTAATTAATGATATTTTAAAGTATGATATGTAATGATTAAATGTTTATTTAATTTGAAAT
Organism: Homo sapiens; assembly: GCF_000001405.40. Lineage (NCBI taxonomy): Eukaryota > Metazoa > Chordata > Mammalia > Primates > Hominidae > Homo > Homo sapiens. The sequence goes on from NC_000023.11 coordinate 93,407,439, forward strand.
AATTTGTCAAAGTCTTCATAATAATTGAGCCCAAATGTAACATTGTCATCAGCTCTGTTCTTTCCCTACTTTATGTTGGCCACAAAAAAAGAACATGCAACTGGAGAAACAATCAGGTTTCATTCAGTGGCCAAAGAATGGAGAAGTAGAGCTCACGCTCAAAAGGCACCTTCTCTCTAGGCAATGGCAGGGAGTTATAAAGGCAATGGGAGTTATAAAGAGTTAGATGCAGGGTGGGAGAAGTATGTAGACATGTATGGAGAGGAGTTCCAGGAACACAGGCATAGTTCATAAACATACTACTTCATACATCACATGTACACAAAATGTCAGGGGTCTTCCCTCAGGGGAGAGTTTTCAGTATTATCATGACATGTTAATGACTTAAAGGTAACTGGAAGTCACCTGCTGTCATATGCACCAGTTTTGGCTGGGTCTGGACTCCCTCCGATATGTGACAGAGGGTCATGAGGCCACGCGTGACATTCAGGCCATCTGGTTTTCTTTGGCATCTGTGGCTACAGATAAAAATACTAAAGAGAAACTGTTGAAGACCAGGCTGTCCTGATGGCAATACAATCTATTTATTTGTTAAGGGCTCAGGCATCTGTTAAGCATGTTAATGAAAGCCAGGTTTCCTCTTAAGGTAGATCACATTATGACTAACTGAAACTTCTCTTGTTGGATTTTCAGATGTATCATACAGGACCATATATCCTAGTCTTTATAAAGTGGATATTTGTCTTCACAGCATCTATTCCATCCCTCCCTCATTTTGGGGCAGCCATGCAATTTGGCTGGGATTGATGTTCATTATAGGGATGAGCACTGAGAGCTATAATCCAGTTAGGATAATCTCACTTCCTCTGCAATACCAATTAAATTATGTATAGTCAATAACCCTGACCCAAAACAATAAATGTGTAGTATTTTTCTGGGCATCATGATTCGTTCAGATTTGTTCAGAATAAAATACAGGACTTTCCTATAAGGATGTATCATGGTGATGTAAATTCTGTAACTGCTGTAGCCATTTTGCTACAATGATAAAGAACAGCCTGAAAACAATTGCAACACATGGAGAGTGGCAGCATTGAGAAAAATCACAGAAAAACTAAGCTAGAGGCCTAATAAAATTACGCCTGTAATCCTACCTCTAGGCTTTTTCAACTACATTTTGTCAATACATTTCATTCATTGTTTAAAGCAATTTGAGTTTTGAGTTTTCTGTTACTTGCAATCAAAAGCATTTAAACATGAGTATTTATCATTACTATGTGTTGGAAACATTTCAAATCCTCTCTTCTAGTTCCTATGAAATATACATTATTACTATCTATAGTCACCATGGAACTTTAGAACTTCTAACTGTATGTTTGTACCCACTAACCACCCTATCTTTATCCCCCCTTCCCACCCACTCACTCTTTCAAACCTCTGTGATAAATACCCCACATACCTTGATTTGATCATTACACATCTATACATGTAACAAATACATGTACCCCAAAAATATGTAAAATCTTACATATCGATTTAAAAAGAAATTTTAAAAACTTGTAAAAAGCATTTAAACTGAAATATCTGTAGTTTTTCCTTAATTTATTTTTATATTTTATTGTAAATATTTATCTGACTGTTTAATCTAATTTCTTCTTAGTCATTCCCAATATCAGAACTTTCTGTATTTTCTCTCTGCCTTGTCTTCTTCATTTTAATCTCCCTGTTCTTTGTAATTTGGAAGAATATTCATACAAGAATATTTGTTTGAGATTTAGTTAGAAGACCCTCAGTCAATTACCATTTGACATGACTATATTTAATCTTTAGATTCCTCTCTCTCTCAAAATTTTGGTCAGTCATGGTGGTCTGTTTGTAATTAGGCAACATTTTGCTTGAGTGAATCTTCATAACTGAAGAGTAAGATTATGATAGTTGAATTGGCTTTTTGAGATGGCAAAATACATAGTTTGATATTGTTTGCTTATTATCACATTTGATTTCTATGTTATTGGGATTCTGTGAAATTCATTTTTATGTCTAATAAAATGTTCAAAACATTAGACTTACCAAGTCTTTCTTTGAATCCAATTTTAAGCATGTAGATCCATGCTAATATAGATGTCATTCTGTCTATATGCTCATATCCTTTCTCTTGCATGCAGTCTTATATGTTCTATCTATAGCTCCAGTTCTATGCCTCCCTGAGCTATGTTTTTTTAGTCCATGCAAACTCATCTAATGCTGCTGTTACTCACAAATGACTCTTCTGTTGTCATCAGTCTCTGTTTGCTATTAGCCACATATGGATTCAAACGTAGAAGTCAGTTTTTTATAGTATATTCAATACACATTGTGAAGCATTATTTATATAACCCACATAATACTGGACAAGAATGAATAACAGTAAATACAAGAAGTATTGTATCCTAGAGGAAGTTTTGTGGCACTTTGCATTAAATGATCTGGTAACAATTTTCACACACTGCGAATGATCTCTTTTTACTTCAGACACCATTAAAATGTCACTTTACTACAGCTTAGCAGGAATCATGCACATTAAGAAAATACAGGTAAATACTTAAAGGAATCGGATCAGAGTCAGCACTGGAACATTATATAGCCATAACCCAGGTCTCCTAGATCTGCACTGTCTAATACAGTAGCCTGTATCCATATGTAGCTATTGAGCATTTGAAATATGGCTAGTCCAAATTGAGACTAGCTGAAAGTATAAAATACACACTGTATTTTATAGACTTAATATGAATAATAAAGAATGTAAAATAGCTCATTAGTACATTTTATTAATTTCAAGATAAAATGATAATATTTCAGTTACGTTGGGTTAAGTAAAATTATTAAAAATTGATTTCACTTGTTTCTTTTTGTTTAATAATGCTATTAGAAAATACAAAATTACATATGTTGTTTACATTATCTTTTTATTGGCCAGTGCTTTTCTGTGGCATATTGAAATGGCCCAAGCCTTTCAATAGATATTGACTGCTTACAACTTGAAGCCTGAAGTCTGTATATGCAACTTCTAAGTCACAGTAACAAGAATACTGAAGCAAGAAAAAATCCTAGCAAGAATCATGTGAGGCTGAGGAATCCTTTTATAAGTTCCCCAGGTTGATAGGACAGAATCAGTTTTAAGAACAACTTATCTTATAGTCATCCCCAACACACATTTTCATTTTCTTCATAGGTCTTCAAACAAAAGAACAACACTGAGGGATTGTTATAAAAGAAGCTTGTACCCAGCAGGCTCTTCCTGACTTAGAGTTGAAAACAAAACTAGTTAAGCAACCCTCCTTTACAATTATGGCTTTTTCTTTTTCTTTTTTTTTTTTTTTTTGAGACGAAGTTTCACTCTTGTTGCCCAGGCTGGAGCACAATACAATGGCGCAATCTTGGCACGATGTGACCTCCACCTCCCAGGTTCAAGCAATTCTCCTGCCTCAGCCTCCCATAACTATGGCTTTAAAAAGCACCTTGTCCATCAAGTGGGCTATAAGCAGAGAAAATTGAGGTAAATGCCCTATATTGAAGTGTACCAACCTATATATACATAGTAATACATATTGCTTTACCATCACAGATGTAGTTTAGAGCAACAAAATATTTCCCTGGAGAGATATCCTCACTCTATAACAAACTTTGCCTTAAACACAATGAGAATGGACACAGTAGACAGAAATAACAATTAACAGAAATAAAAAAATAAACTCGGAGAGAGAGCAGAGCAAGATGGCCAAATAGAAGCCTCCAATGATTGTTCCCCTACCGCAGGAACACCAAATTGAACAACTATCCACACACAAAAAAAGTTCTCTCATAAGAACCAAAAATCAGGTGAACAATCACAATACCTGGTTTAACTTCATATTAAAGAAATATGTAGGAAAACAAAGGGTAGGAAAGACAGTCTTAAATAGCCTACACCACCCTTCCACCCCTCCTATGGCAGTGGCCATGTGGTCCAGAGAGAGAATCTGTGTGCTTGGGGAAGAAATAACACAATTATTGTGAAACTTTGCATTGGAACTCAATGCTGCCCTGTTACAGTGGAAAGCAACATTGGGCAGAATTCAGTTGATATCCATGGAGGGGGCATATAGACCAGCCCTAGACAGAGCGGAATCACCCATCCCAGTGGTTGGAACCTGAGTTCTGGCAAGCCCTGCCATCAAGGGCTAAAGTACTACAGGATCCTAAATAAGTTTGAAAGGTAGTCTAGGCCACAAGAAATGCAAATGCTGGGCAAGTCCTGGTGCTGTGCTGGGCTCGGAGTCAGTGGATTTGGAGTGCATGAGACCTAGTGAGATAGGAGCCAGGATGGCTAAGGGAATGCTTGTGTCACCCCCTGCAATCCCAGCCCCAGGCAGTGCAGCTTACAGCTACAGGAGAGACTCCTCCCCTCTGCTTGAGAAGAGAGAGAACAGTAAAGTGGACTTTGTCTTTTCACTTGGATACCAGCTCAGACGCCATAGGATAAGGTGACAAGCAGAGTCCTGAGGTCCCCATTCCAGGCCCTAGCTCACAGAAGGTATTTCTAGAAACACTGTGGGCCAGAAGGGAACATGCTACCTTGAAGGGAAGACTCACCCTGGTGGGATTCATTACCTGCTGACTAAAGTATCCTTAGGCCCTGAATAATCAGCAGTGGTAGCCAGGCAATACTCGCTGTAGGTCATGGGTGATAGAGCTGTTCCAGCTTCAGGTGTTACCCAGAACATCCCTAACTGTGGTGGCTAAAGGGAGAGACTTCTTATGCTTGAGGAAAGGAGATAAATGAGTAAAGGGGACTTTGTCTTGCAGCTTGGGTACCAGCTCAGTACCCAAGCGGAGTAGAGAATAGAGCAGGCCCATTGGGTCACCAAATCCAGACCCTGGCTCTTGGACAGCATTTATAGACCTGTCCCAGGCCAAACAGTTACCCACTACCCTGAAGGGAGAGACACAGGCCAGGCAGAATTCACTGCAAACTGACTGAAGAGCACTTGGGGGTGAGTAAACATCAGCAGTTACCAGGCAGAACTTGCCATAGGCTGGGGTGGTGGTGGCTATGGGGAGAGAATCCTCTGCTTGAGAAAAGGAGAGGGAAAAATGGGAAAGACTGTCTAGTGTCTTCAGTGCCAGTTCAGCTGCAATAGAATAGAACAACAGGTAGATATCTAAGGTTCCAGACTCCAGGCCCTGACTCCTGGATGACACCTCCAGACATGCCCAGAGCTGGGGGAAACCCACTGTGCTTAAAAGAATGGCACAAGCATGGTTGGCTTTAACACTTGTAGATGGTAGAACCCTAGGGCCTTAAGAGAAGATAGGGGGTAGCCAGGCAGTGGTCACTGCAGTACTTGGGTGAGACCAAGGGTTGTGATGGCTTTGGGTCTGACCCAGTTCAGTTCCAGTTGTGATGCCCATAGAGTTGGTTGTATTACTCTTCTCCCAGCTACGGGCAGCTTAGCATAGAGAGAGAGAGACTTCATTTGTTTGAGTAAAATTAAGGGAAGAGAAGAAAAGTTTCTGCCTGGTAATCCAAGCAATTCTACCAGATCTTACCAAAGACCACCAAGGCAGTATCTCTATGAATCTGTAAGAGCCACAGTGTTGCTGGGCTTGAGGTGCTCCATAAAGTAGATATAGCTGCAGCAAACAAAGACTTAGTTCACAACATCCAAGTCCCTTTGAATACTTGGAAAGCCTTCCCAAGAAGGACAGTTACAAAGGAGCCCAGACTATAAAGACTAAAATAAATACCTAACTCTTCAATGCCCAGACACAGACAAACATCTACAAGTATCAAGATAATTCAGGAAGACACAACCTCACTAAATGGCCTAAATGGGAAACCAAGAGCCAATATTGGAGAAACAAAGATATGTGACCTTTCAAACAGATAATTAAAAATAGCCATATTGGGGAAACTCAAAGATATTTAAGACAACATGGAGAAGGAATTCAGAATTCTATTACATAAATTTAGTATAGAAATTGAAATAATTAAAAAGAATCAAGTGGAAATTCTGAGCTGAAAAATTCAACTGATAAACTGAAGAATGCATCAGAGTCTCTTAACAGCAGAATTGATCTAGCAGAAAAAAGATCAGTGAGCTTGAAGTCAGTCTATTTGAAAATAAAGAGTCAGAGGAGACAAAACGAAAAAAATTAAAACGAAGAATGAGGCATACCTAAAACATTTAGGAAGTAGCCCCAAAGGGCAAATATGAGAGTTATTGGCCTTAAAAAGGAGGTAGAGAGAGAGATCAGGGTAGAAAGTTTATTTAAAAGGATAACAGAGAACTTCACAAACCTCAAGAAACATATTAGTATTCAAGTACAAGAAGGTTTAGAACACCCAGCAGATTTAATTCAAATAAGACGATCCCAAGACATTTAATAATCAAACTTCCAAGGGTCAAGGATAAAGGAAAGATTCTAACAACAAGAGAAAAGTAACAAATAACATACAAATGAGCTCCAATGCTTTTGGCAGCAGACTTCTCGGAAGAGTCCTAGTGCTAAATTGGGCTCAGAGCCAGTGGACTTGGGGGAGCACATGACCTACTTCAACACAAGTGGGTGTGGCTGAAAGAGTGCTTTTGCCACCCCTCACCCAATTCCAAGCAGCGCAGCTTGTGGATTCAAAAGACCCTTTCCTTCCACTTGAGGAGAAGAGAAAGAAGAGTAAACAGGCTTTGCTTTGAATCTTAGATACGACCTGAACCATAGCAGTGTAGTAAAGTCATGAGGCCCCCTTTTTAGGCACTAGCTCCCAGATGACATTTCTAGACATGCCCTGGTCCAGAAGGAAACCCACTGCCTTGAAAGAAAGAAACCAGTCCTAGAAGGATCCATCACCTCCTCACTAAAGTGACCTTGAGCCCTGAAAACCCAGTAGCAATACCCAGGTATTATGTCATGGCCCTGGGTGAGACTCTGAGACTTGCTGGCTTCATATGAGACTCAGCACATTCCCAGCTGGGATAACTATGGAAAGAGACTACTTCTGCTTCAGCAAAGCAGAGGCAAATGTAAAAGGAATTTTGTCATTCACCTTAGGTACCAGCTCAGTCAAAAAGGTATAGAACACCAAGTGCCTTTCTTCTTAGAAGGCATTTATAGACTTGCCCTAGGCCAGAGTGGAGCCCACTGTCCTGAAAAGCCAGTCCCAGGCCAGGCAGCATTCACCACAAGCTGACTGAAGAGACCCTGGGCTTTAAGGCAATATTGGCAGTAGACAAGTAGTACTCACCATGGGCCACTGGTGGTGGTGGCCATGGGGTGAGGCTTCTCTTCCTGTGGAAAGTCGAGGAAAGAGTGGGAAGTACTGAGTTTTGTGGCTTAAGTACCTGCTCAGATTCAGTACAATAAAACACCAGGTAGATTTCTAAGGTTTTTAACTCCAGTCCCTGGACCCTGATCACACCTCTGGATTCCCCCAGGGCCTGGAGGAACTCATCATTCTGAAGTAAAAGACAAATACCTGGCTTGCATCATCATGTGCTGATTGTAGAGCCCAAGGGCCTTGGGTAAACATAGGGAGTAACCAGTTAGTGGTTACAGTGGGCCTTGGGAGAGACCCAGTACTGTGCTGGCTTCAGGTCTGGCACAGTGAAGTCCTGGGGGTGGTGGCCACAGGAGTGTTACTCTGTCCCCAGGTCTAGGTAGCTAAGAAGAGAAGGTGAGACTCCTCTTGTTTGGGAGAAAGAGAACAAAAGATTCTGCCTGATAATCCAAATAGTTATTTGCATCTTATCAAAGATTATCAAGGTAGTGCCTCTAAGACTTTATAAAAACACTTTTTTACTCAGCTTGGGGTGTCCGCTAGTGCAGATATGGCCTAGATCACAAAGCGCAAGTCCTTTTGAATACCTGAACAGCCTTCCCAAGAAGAACATGTACTAACACAAACAGCACAGACTGCAAAGACTACAATAAATACTTAACTCTTCAATACCCAGACACAGATGAAATCATAGGCATCAAGAAACCATGACCAGGAAAATATGACCTCATCAACTGACCAAAATAAAGAGATAATATTGGAGAAACAGAGATATGTGACCTTTTGGACAGAAAATTCAAAATAGCTGTGTTGAGAAAAATCAAAGAAATTTAAGATAACACAGCAAAGGAACTCAAAATTCTATTAGATATATTTAACAAAGATACTAAAATAATTTTTTAAAAAAATCAAGCAGAAAATCTGAAGTTCAGAAATGAATCTGAAATAATAAAGCATGTATCAGAGGATCTTAATAGCAGAAACAATCAAGCAGAATAAAGAATGAGTAAGCAGAAGAAAGAATGAGTAAGACAGGCTATTTGAAAGTACAGTCAGAGGACACAAAATAAAAAAAGAATAAAAAACAATGAAGAACACATACAGGATCTATAAAACAGCCTCCAAAGGAAAAAATCTAAGAGTTATTGGCCTTAAAGAGGATGTAGAGAAAGAGATAGGAGTAGAAAGTTTATTCAAAGGGATACTAACAGAGAACTTCCCAAACTTAGATAAAGATATCAATATCCTAGTACAAGAAGGTTATAGAACACAAAGCAGATCAAACTACAAAGACAACTACCTAAAGGCATATAATAATCAAACTCCCAAAGATCAAGAATAAAGAAAGGATACTAAAAGCAACAAGAGAAGAGAGTCAAATAACACACAATGGCACTCCACTATTTCTGGCAGCAGATTATTTAGTGGAAACTTTACAGGACATGAGAGAGTGGCATGGCGTATTCACAATGCTGAGAGAGAAAACTTTTACCCTAGAACAGTCTATCCAGTGAAAATATGTTTACAACATGAAGGAGAAATAAACAACGTCCCAGACAAAGTAACGCTGAAGGATTTCATCAACATCAGATCTGTCCCACAAGAAATGCTAAAGATAGTAGCTCAACCAGAAAGCAAAGGATATTGTGAGCCGTAAGAAATTATCTGAAGGTTCAAAATTCATCGGTAATGTTAAGAAAACAGAAAGACACAGAATATTACACAAGTGCATCCATGGTATGTAAACTACTGTTATCTTAAATAGAAAGACTAAATGATGAACCAATAAAAATAACTACAACAACTTTTCAAGACATAGACAGTACAATAAGATATAAATAGTTACAACAAAAAGTTTAACAACAGGGAGACAAAGTTTTTATTTGTTTTGTTTTTTGCTTGCTTTTTATGAAAACAGTGATAAGTTGTAATCAGCTTAAAATAATGAGTCACAAAATATTAATAGCAAACATTATGGTAAACTCTAATCAATAAACACAAAATGGGGGCACAAAAGGTAAAAAGCAAGAAATAAAAGCATACCACCAGAGAAAATCACTTTCACTAGAAGGAAGGCACAAAATAAGTAAAGAGGGAAGAAAAAACCATAAAACAACCAAAAAAAAATAGCAGGAGTAAGTGGTTAGTATAAATAATAACATTGAATGCAAATAAACTAAAGTTTTCAATAAAAAGAGATAGAGTGGCTGAATGGATGAAAAAGCAAGACCCTTTGATCTGTTGCCTGTAAGAAATATATTTCATTTATAAAGACACACATAGTCTGAAAATAAAGAAATGAAAAATGATATTCCATGCCAATGGAAACCAAAAAAAAGTGGGAGCAGCTTTACTTGTATCACACAAAGTACATTTAGACACAAAAACTACAAGAGCAGATGAAGGAAGTCACTATGTAATGATAAAAAAGTGAATTCAGCTAGAAGATGTAACAATTTTAAATATATATGAACCAAACATTTGAGGCCAAGGTGGGTGGATTGCTTGAGCCTAGGAGTTTGAGAGCTAGGGGAACATGGAGAAACCCCCCTCTACAAAAAAAAGTATTTTTTATATATATATATATACGTATATATATACACGTGTATATATATATATATATATATATATATATATATATATATATATATATTTAGCTAAATGTTATATCACACATCTGTAGTCCAAGCTACTTGGGAGGCTGAGGTGGGATGATTGCTTGAGCCCAGGAGTTGGAGGCTGAAGTGAGCTATGATCATGTGAATGAACTCCAGCCTGGGTGACAAAGTGAGACCCTGGCTCAAAAAATATATATATTAGAATCTTATTTTTCCTTAGAATAAAGCCAACTGACAAACACAGATGTCCTAAGACCCACCCTCAAAGTCCTCCAGTGCTTTTCTACTAGCTATCCTCAATGCTTAAAAACCTTTCCCATCCTTTTTTTGTAGCAGTCAAGTTCAGACTGAGTTCTGACCTCTCTTCATTATTGTAATATTCTTGAATAAAGTCTTCCTTACCTGTTTTATCCAGTGCAATTTCTGCTTTGACACTAATTAATATAATTGTTGAGAAGAATAAATGAGATAATACACATAAGGCATTCAGTACAGTGCTTGGTCAACATTAAGTGCTCAGTAAATACCAGTTAAATACTATAATTGATTTAACTACTCACATATTGGCTGACATTTTTATTATCTGTAAAAATGTTTTCATTTTACAGTACTGAATTAGCACTCATTCACAATTGCACATGTATTTATGTAGGTTTTTTTCTAGAATGTAGTATACTTATATTTTAAAATTTAGTATAGATTCGGGAAGTGGATTTCAAACTTCCTGAAGAAGGTCTCTTCAATGAGAAGAAACCTCAACAACTGGTCTTAGAGAGTGGATTGAGTGAAGAAGTTATAAAGGATTCAAACTAAATTCCCAAACTTCTGCTTGAACAAGTTCAGCTCTACTTTTGTTTGTTTTGTTAGCAGTGGCAGAGATCTGAGTTACCCCAAGTTACTGGCAGTGAATCCATACACATCTGCAGCAACTTGAATTCTTGATTCCTCAGAAGAAAGAATTTGACTGAAGGGCATATATCATAAAAAGAGACCAAGGCAAGTTTCCTAGCAGAAGTGGAAGTTTATTTAAAAGGTTTTAGAGCAGGAAAGAAAGGAAAGTTCACTTGGAAGAAATCCAAGAGGGTGCATGAAAGTTAAAGAGAGAGAGGGTCAAGTGCCCCATTTAACGATGATCCTAGGACTTTAATTAGCTCACCTCTTTCCCATGATTCTTCCCTAAGGGTGGGCTGCCCGCATGCACAGAGCCCACCTTACCTTTGTGAAATGAGCATGTGCAGTGTGTTTATGAAGTTGCATGCATGCCCATCTGAGGATTTCTTCCCTTTTCCAGTGGAGTGTATCCAGAATATCATACTTTGCCATTTTTGTCTCTTAATGTGCATGCCCAGAAAGTTTCTTCTCCCTGGGGTCTGCCTGTAGTTAACACTTTAATGTTAGTATCTGTGGACCATCAGGAAATGGTCTCTCCCTGGTGCTGGCTGCCAATTTATTACTTTTAGAGAGGCAATGCAATAATTGCTGAACCAACACCTGACATTTCTAGTGGGTAGGGGGAAGAAGAGCCCTCTCCTGCCCGACTCATGCCTAACTACCTTTAACCTTTTACCCCTCAAGAGCCAAGACCCCTGAATCTTTAGGGGAGAATGAATGAAGGTCTATTTTCCATAACTGCTTCCCACAGACAAAGGGGCAGTAGTGGTCCTGTGGGTCTCAGTCTCTCTAGCTGTCAGGGCAAGAGGGTGACTCCATGCATAGGTGAAAGCAGTATCCAGCCAGTTGCAAGGGAGACAGGGGAAGGATTTTGGCTCCTTCCTGTAAAAGGATGCCTCTTGATTATTGAGGGAATAGTATCCCTCACTGAGGATTATCTGGAGCTTGATGGCCTGAAGGTGAGACGAGACAAACCAGCTTATTAGATTAGAAGACATGGACCAAAAGTTGTTCACTGAGGGGCAGGGAATACAGGAATTTTTTACGATTTCTACAACTGGTTTGCACAGAGTGGAAAGCCAGAAGTCAGACTGGTAGAAATTTTAATCTTTTATTTTGGAGGGAGGGGATGTCATTTGCCCCACCTGACAGGCTTATCCCCGTAGTCCTTATTCTACTCTTGGTTACAAAAGACTTAAGAGGCTAATCTGAGGACCTCCCGCACAGGGGTACTGGATTCTAAGACAGACTCTTGCAATTTCCTCCGAGTTTATTTTTAAGCCAAGCAGTTTAAGATTTAGGGAAATTAAACTTTTCCCAGTTTTAGGAAATGCATCTGAGGGCCATGTCCTGCAGTATGAAGATGCAATTACCCATCTCCCACTGTGAAGAGAGAACATAGGAGATAAAAGAGGGAAAATGAAAAAGAAGGTGTCACCTCTTTCTTCCTATTATTGTTGATGGGGTATTCCTCATCATCCTGAATTCCAAGCTCAACCAGTCTTACTGTGTACCCTTGGTCTCATTTCACCACAATTACCTACTTGAGAACAGAGGAGATCCTGTTATCCCTGTTCCCATGGTAATCTGCTAGCCTGGGACAACACTTGCATATGCAACAACTCTCTTGCATATGTGAGCTTGGGCAAGCCTTGTCTCCAAGACCTTATAGTAACCCTCACTTGAAGTATTTTAGTAATAAAATGATCATCACTTTTCTTAGAAGCTTGTTTCTCTGTTAACTGCCACAGGGGCTGGACTTCCCTCCCTTAGAATATGACTTTGAAGGCCTCGTTGCCTGTTGAAATGGGTGTGGAACAAATTAGAGAAATGGAGGCTATAGGAGAAGGTGGGAGGAAGCAAGAAGAATGCTCATGAAAAGCCTTCATATGCTCGCAAAAACAGCAGCCCTTGGATTCAAGAGAGAAACGTTTGTTTGCCCTCCAGAACAAAAAGTCAAATGAAGCAGTAACCCTCAAAGTCTTAGGGCTTAGGTTTCAAATTTCTCCTCTTCCCAAAGCCCTACCAGCTTAAAAAGCAAGGGGGTGGAGTCCTTAAAGGGCCAGAGTGAAGACCTATGCAGGTGGACAACCTGCTTTTCAAAAGCTATCAGAAAACTTAGCACTGTGGCATAATAGGAATGAAAAGCACATGGTGAGTTATAAAAACTGGCAGGGCCAGAGTTCCAATTTGGTTCTGTCCTGGAAAAGAGGTGATTTTAGTTGAAAGAAAAAGCAGGGAAGAATTAAAGTTCACTTGAGCTGGTAGAAACAAATATAAACCTCAGGGAATATCTACAAGGGAGCCCACACCTTTACTGCCACACAAACTCATAGAACTGTGGTGAGCAAATAACATAGAATGTGTGTTTAAGAAGTCTAGTGGCATGCAAAGTGAAAACAAAGAGGCAGACTTGCCCTCAAGGTGGTAGGTCCGGCAACCAGTGTGCAAACCCATTTCAGAACACAGATAGAGAAAGCAAGAGACAGAGAGAGAGAAAACATTCATGGGGGTCAGACGCCTCCAGCCAAATAAGATGAGGGATAGAAATCTCTTACCACTAGGAAGGTATCCAAGTCACGTGCACCAAATATGTTAGCAGTGGCAGAGATCCAAGTTACCCACAGTTACCACTGGGAATCCATACACGTCGACAGCAATTTCAATTCTTGCCTCCTTAGAAGAAAGAATTCGACTGAGGAGAATAAAGCAGAAAAAAGAGACTGATGCAAGGTTTAGAGCAGGAGTGAAAGTTTATTTAAAAGGCCTTAGAACAGAAAAGAAAGGAAAGTTCACTTGGAAGAGATCCAAGACAGTGCAAGAACGTTGAAGAGAGAGAGGGTCAAGTGCTCCATTTAATCATGATCCTAGGACATTTATTGGTTCGCCTCTTTCCCATGATTCTTCCCTTGGGGTGAGCTGCCCACATGCACAGAGCCCACCTTATCTTTGGGAAGTGAGCACGTGCAGTGTGTTTATGAAATTGCATGCGTGCCCATCTGAGGTTTTCTTCCCTTTTCCGATGGAGTGTACTCAGAAGATTATACTTTGCCATTCTTGTCTCTTAATGTGGATGCTCAGGAAGTTTCTTCTCCCTGGGGTCTGCCTTATTTGACATTTTAATGTTAACAGGTATGGACCATCAGGAAATGGTCTCTCCCCAGTGCCAGCTGCCAATTTATCACTTTTAGACAGGCAATGCAATAATTGCATTAGTGATAACCACTAAATAACATATTTAGTGGTTGAGGGGAAGAGCCCGCTCCTTCCCAACTCATGCCTAACTACCTGTAACCATTTTATATATTGGAGTTCAAAGTACATTTTTCTGGAGGACAAAAGTACTAAGAGTTTCTGCTACTAAACATCAACCTGCACAAACATTTGTTAGGGGATGAGAATCCAAGGATTTATGCTTTTAATAATTTTTCCAGGGATTCTGATGAATAGTAAATTGGATAATTGTTAGAAAACTTAGGAACATGGACTTGGAATCAGATGCATCTGGGATCCCTAAGTTCAAATCTACCCACTTAAAAGCTGTAGAGTACCTTTCAGCCCATCATGTGTATCATTGCCAATGACCTGCTTTTATACAATTTACGTTCAGTTGCACATGGTAAATCAGATATCCATACTCCCTTAGTGTTACTGATCCCACTTCCCTACAGCTATCTTTGCGGATATGACTATTGGGAACCAGTTCATTTTCCCTTCTCCCTATCCCAAGTCTGCTGCTCTGATATGGCTGACAATCTTTCTGCTAATTGCTTTAGACATATTGATATTCCTCTAATTTAGTAGTTCCCAAACTTTCATGCACATTAGAATCTCCTGAGGATGTTTTAGAAGTATTGACTCCCAGGTTACACTCTATACCAATTAAATTAGAATGTCTGGTGGTGGATGTCCAGGTAGCAGGAGTTTTAAAATACCCCTAGGTAACTCCAATTTACACAACAATTGGAAACAACTGCCCTGATTGGGGGCCTGATGTGGTTTATTTTCCAAATGTTTCAGTCAGCTACTAGTCCTTGAGCTAATTTTAATTCGAGTCAACAAGCAGCTGGAAAACTTAAGAACTTCAGTGCAAAAAAAAAAAAAAAAAAGTTACAGCCCACCTTTCAACAGAATCTCAGCAGTCCCATCACAGTGTCCCTGAGATGCCCCTGCCCTAGTACTGAGAACTCTCCATATTCCATTCCTTGCATCAAGAGCAATAATTCGTTAGTGGAGAAAGTGTCTCTGGAAAGACATCAAAGAGAAGATGACATTTGGAGTAGCCTGGAAGGAGGAAAAAGATTTTCACAGGTGCAGATATAGAAGAAAAGAGCCTTATAAAAATTGGCAACAGCCAGAGAAAAGGTATGAAGCTATTGTAGTGAAGAGCACAATGCTACATGTTTTTATATTTTATCAGTATTTCTCAGAGTAAATCTGAAGGACTACCCCTGCGGGTAGAAAACAGACATCTGCATTTCTACCAAAGTCCGAAGATCATTCTGGAGTTTGACCTTTACCTAAGAGACAGTTGGATACCCTCCTCAATGGGAAAATACGTTTGGAGTTTACCTTCCTTTGCACTCTTTTTCTCCCTCCTGCAGGCTTGCTAGCTGCTACGTAACCCCGACGTCAGTTTTTTCTGCCCCCTTGTGGATAGAGTTAGGAACTGTCCTTTACTTTCCCATTCAATTCACTGTGAATGGCCTTGGAAAGCACATTACCTGGAGTCTTATGCCCAGCAAGCAAGATCAGAAACATTAGAGACATTCTTGGAACATCTCTCTTTTGTCTTTCTGTATTCTTTTAAAAATAAATCTTTTCTTAGCTGTATCCAGGGAGTCTGATTCCACAGCCTCCTTGAATTACATTCCTGTGGTAGAGGATGGGGGATTTTGAATGGTAGGCCACACATAATGTTTTTTAGGAGTGGAGATGTTTTGCTGGAGAGTTAACTTGCTGGAAGCAGGATTTTGATGAGATGAACATGAAAGAGGCACACAGGGTGGATTGGATGAGAGAAAAACAAGATAGAGACAGGACCCTCCAGGATAGAGACAGAATAATGTGGGGAGGTGGAGGGCAGACAGATAAATAAAGAGGAGCAGTTGTGGGGAAGAGTAAAAGAAGAGAGGGAAAGATGGTGGAGGGATCTTAGGAAGATGAAAGATGATCAAAGAAGACTGTATAGGTGGATAGGTGAAAAAGAAATATGTTGCAACACCCATTGATTCCATATTTGTACATAGCTGGCTATTAGTAAGAATTCTTTCTGGTAATGAACCATGTTTTTATGTCTTTCCCATGTATTATGAAACTAAGGAATAATACAACAAATGCTTATCCTGTGATACTAAACCATTTGTGTCTTACAGGATTGCCCTGAAGCTGGTAGAGAGAAACACAGTGCTTTAGTAAATAACGAATTAATTAGATTATCTAACGGTAAGATATGGAAAACATCCTACAGCTTTAAGGTTACTAAAATGCCATTTCTTCTTATCTGACACACCAAAGATGATACCACAAGGACAATTTTTATCACAGGTTGTAGGTGGTATAAAAATGAATATTTTTTAGTTCAGTAGATGAATCAGAAATAATCCTTTTTTAAAGCAAAATTTAATTAAGGAAATTTATTGTACGTCTGTAAATAGTTGAATAGAATTCTCTCCTCCCCAAAAGATTTCATAGCCTTAATGTCCAATACAAATCACATTTAACATTCTACATTTGGATTTTTCCCCACATGACTGAAAAAATCTATTGCAGATATTTGTCCAAAGTGTGGTATACGACCATCTGCATTTCTCCTTTTTATTTCACTCCCAAGAAAATTTGTCCTTAGAAGTAAAATGTCTATCAGCAAACATGATTTTAGGTGTCTTTTTCAGGATGTTGAAAATGAGACATCCTCAATTCTGCCTTTTCAACTATCATTAATGAAGCTTTGATGTCATTTGATACCCAAATCAAATAACGTCATTAATGAAGCTTTGGTATCCTTTGGCACTAAAGTCAAATGGTGTCGTTAATGAAGGTTTGGTGTCATTATCCACTTTTCATGGATAATTGAGTTAATTGTATAATGATTAATTTTTTGATAGCAGAAGTCATGATAAATCTCATATTACCTACAAAGCATAGATGTCATTGGTGGGTTAATGGCAGTTTTAAAAAATGTGGACTGCAAGATAAAATCATTGGTACTTAAGCTTCAAGGGAATAATGATTGCTAAGAAAGCTCAAGGTTAATTCTCTAGATAAATGGCTATCATATAGTATCGTATAGTATTTACTATGTGGCAAACATTGTTCTAAGAGCTTTATACATTTTTACTTATTTAATCATCGTAATAACAACAAGACATTGGTATTCATATTATTTTCCCTTGCACAGATAAGAACACTGAGGCAAAGGGAAGTTAAGCAATTTGCCCTATGTCAAGCAGCTACTAATTGGCAGAGGTGGAATTTGAACCCAGACAATCAGATTCTAGAATCCATGCTATTAACCACTACATTGTATCACGTCTTATATAAAAGTACCTGGAAAAGAAAGCTGTTGGAATAGGGGTGGAATGCTAATTAGGATTTTGTTTTTGTCCCTTCACAAATATTACAGTGGCTTTTTTTCCTACAGAGAATGTGTTTTCTTGCAATGTGGTATAACTACAATTCCTGCTAGAGCTGACTCTGATATTATCTATACATAATTCTAAGCCTTCTGAACATTATTATGTGACCTGGTGCTGAGTATGTAGGATGGTATCATTTAAATTCTGGGTTCCTTAACCTATGTTCTTTTCTTGCCCTTTCTAAGCTGTTGGGAGTCATACAACTCCATAGCACTCAAAGTGAAAATTCTATGTTACATGTTCATTAGAATACACTCAATTGTTTAAGTACTAAAGTTTAAATATTATGAGTCAGGGTCATCCTCTTATATATTTGTTGCAATATTAAGTGTGTGGCAGACATGAATGCCCACATACTGTTGTAGTTAATTTCTTAAAGAGCTAAAAAGCCATAATACAATTGTTTTTGCCTTAGCTAAGATAACAAGGAATAATCTGTTAGTGTTGGTATGAAATGCACACTAGATAATGTTTTCCTTGTTGATGATTCTTAATACCCATTATTATAGTTCAACCTGAGTATAGATCTCATTTGCTGAATTAAGAAGGATAATTTTAAATAAAACTCTAAAACTGGAACACTTAGTCAACATGACTGTTTCTGAATAGTATGTTTTGAAGAAATATACAAAAGAAAATCAGAGGATAACAATATCAAGGATTCATGTTTAAAATATTTTCAGTGTATGTTTTGGACTCATTCCAGACATTGTTCAATTTTCTACATTTAACTTGTGCTAAACAAATCTTAAAAAAAAACTTTAGTCATTTTGTCTTAAGGGCACACAAATGCTTTCTGGCTATGCTTTGCATCCCACTCAGGCTTCTTCATCTACCTTCCTTCCAAAATGTTCTTCTTCCCATCACATCAAATTTCTTAAGCAGCAGGTTCACCTGACCTCAGCTTAGCTGTTAGGAGGAAAAAACTGGTCAATTAAATGTATTCATTAAGGTGTGGTCAATGACTGAAATGCTTGAATATGTTAGCTTTCCCATAAGTATTCGCATTTTAAAAGAATTTCATTTTAACTTAAAGCAATCTCTAATACTAGAATTGCTACAAAAATCTATTTGTCAAGGACAATTTTTCTGGTGCACTACAAATTAAGTCTCCAGGAAAGTAGCTCAAAGGTTGTTTCTCTTGTAAAGCAAAACTGGATATTAAGAGAGACCACTTTTTTCAAGATTTTTCAAGAAACATGTATAGATGCTAAAACCCTTGAGTTGTTACACATTTGAGAATGTTTCCTTTACCTTTGAAATAAACATCATTCTAGATGGATACAGAATTATTGGGCTACAGCATTTTATATTGATTTGTTCTACTGTTTGCTTGAATCCATTCCCAATGAGATTTTTGAGACCAGCCATGGGGTTTCATTTTGTAAGTCATCTATTTCCTTTGTTGAAATAATTGTTTCTTTCTTTGTCCTTGAAGTTCAAAGATTTTATAAGAATATATCTTGTTCTTAATGAAACACATGGACACAGGGTAGGGAACATCACACACCGGGGGCCTGTCGGGGGGTCCAGGACTAGGGAAGGGATAGCATTAGGAGAAATACCTAATGTAGATGACGGGTTAATGGGTGCAGCAAACCATCATGGCACGTATATACCTATGTAACAAACCTGCACGTTCTGCACTCGTATCCCAGAAGTGTAATTTAAAAAAAAAAAAAAAAAGAATATATCTTGTTCTTAAGCATTTCCTAACAATTTTTCCAAGTACCCTTTTGATCTACAATGTCTAAGTTTCCTTTATTTCAGAAAAGTTTGCTTTTATTATGTCTTTCAATTTGGGGGTAATTTCTGCTTCATATTTCAAAAATACCAGTTATTACATGTTAGATCGCCATCATCTGTCTTCTATATAAATCATCTTCTTTTGCTTCTTTTGTATCTAGATTCAAGTTCCAGTTCTGCCACTGACTAGCTATGTGGCCTTAGACCAGTTTCATACCCCCTCTGAGCCACTTGTAAAATGTAGCTAATAATAGTATCTGCCTTATTGTTTCGTTGTGAGGTTTGAATGACATAATTGTGTAAACCACTTAGCACCATGGCCTATAGCTGATATTTATATTAGCAATTATTATCCAAGACTTCAAACACAACATTGAGATAATTGGATATTTACTCTATTAGATTTATTATTAGGGGAGGTTAGAGACCTCTCATTGTGAAAAATATCTCAACACAAAATATTTTCTTTAACCTTCCAATAAATAGAGCAATCAACAAGAAAGTCTCATTTTCTAAGCAGTTTGGTTAGTCTTTATTTAAATAAACTTTATTTTAATATATTGCCTTTCTTAACATGATTTCCTCACCCTGTTTTACTTCCCCTTGCTTTGTGAACTCTTTAGGGGCCCTGAGATTAAACACTTAGAAGGAGATGTAAATGCCCTAACATATTGAGACACTAAGCATCGTTAGTCACAACTAGTCACATAAGTTTAGAGTGAGATGGCAGTCCTTGAAGCTTGAGAAAAGTGTTAGTGAACCCCAGAGCATAATGCATAATTTAGATGGTATTTTAAACCCAGATCCAAATTAATGTGGATAGCTAGAGTACCGTGTAAAGTCCTCAGTCTTTTTTTCCTTCCTTCAAACAGTTTCTTGAGTAATTGCCTTCTTGGTTGTACAACTGCAAATCTGGTGTAGGCGACAAACATCCTATTGAGCTTAAGTTCTGGGAGTGAAAGTTGACAATAGCCTGCCAAGAACTTCATTGGGAGGGAATGCTCAGTGTTGTTGTAGCAAGGGAGTCCATGAACAGGACCATTTACAGATTAAATGCCAGAGAAGAATTAAAGCAACAATGCATAGGTGACTGCTCCAATGGCTATAATCAGGGACTTTTCTTTATTGCTGGCATGGGCTCTTGACTCTACTAATTACTCTTATTCTTTTTTTTTTTTTTCCCCTTCTGTAGTCTCTACTTTTACTTATATATTTACCTCTGAAATTATTTGGGAGTGATGGTGGAAGTTGTGCTGAGAAAAGATTTCATTTTTTCTCTGCTGATTAAATTTCTTAGATCTGTCTCAGATTGACCACTATAAAATCTAAAAATTATAATCTCCATAAGGACAGGGACCATATCTACTATATTTACATTTAATACCCAGCACTGTGCCTGGCATCTGGTATACACTCAATAAATATTCTCTGAATGAATGAATGAATGAGTGAATAAAAAAACAAAGACTTCCTTAGCTATGTGCTTATCAGCCTTATGTGTCATTTGTATACAATCCCTATTGTTATCTATCTTGAATAAATGTGTTCTCTCCCTGATACAGTATCTTTTCTTCAAAAAAAAAGGTAGATAAATTAGAAATTTCTTTTAGTGGGCATCGCTTAAATGTTTCTTATTGTATTGTAATCACCAAGCTGTGATAAACATTTGGAGTTTGTCTAAACATAATTAATAAATGTATATAATGTCTTCGCCTCAGTTTCCCTAAAATAAAAGCCAGAGGGAATAGCTTATTTTAAACAATGATCCAGGGAACAGGAATGAGGGATGGAGTTTGTGAAACAGGGAAGGAGGGAAAGCCAATTACAATCCTTACGAAAAGTGGCCACTCCTAGAGGTGATTGGTTGCTCGCTGTTGCTTAACTTTGTGAGAAGGCTTAGGAAATGCTTCTCAGAATGATCTATTCATGGGAAGATATAAGAAAGCATTTATCCATAGAATTTCATTTCTCATCGGTCAAGGCTTAATCTGTGAAGCATTAACTTCCTCTGCACTTTCAGTTTGCATTTGTCCGAGTAGTGAGCAAGTTCGCATCATGGCCTGTGCTGTGGTTTCAGAGAAGCACAAGGCAGGAAGCAAGAGGCATTTAGCACAGGCTCATGGTGAGATGCTGTCAGGTATCACCTACATTAAGTTTGTCAAAGTCCCTGGGGAACTGGTTACTGCAAAGATGGCTGAAATAAGAGGTAAGGCTGAGAGATTTGAAGTAGTGAATCAGAGATTTTCCATGAAAATAGTAAAATGACTAATCACTTCTAAATATGTCTTGAATAATATCTTTTAGATACCATCATTGAACTCTAAAATAATACTTTGGCTACAATTTGATCTCTGAATTCCATAGCTGTCTCTAAATCACACACAATTTACTCTGGTGTTTTGACATTAGCAAAGTCTCAAGATTGATTTGCAAGATGATAGTCAATTAAATTGTATTTTAAGGGAGAAAAATTGTGAAAACAAACTAGATGTAAAGCAAAACAGAATTTAAAGAAGATTAGGGGCCGGGCATGGTGTCTTACACCTGTAATTCCAGCATTTTGGGAGGCCGAGGTTGGCGGATCACCTGAGGTCAGGAGTTCGAGACCAGCCTTGCCAATAGGGTGAAACCCCGTCTCTACTAAAAGTACAAAAATTAGCCAGGTGTAGTGGTGGGCACCTGTAATCCCAGCTACTCAGGAGGCTGAGGCAAGAGAATCATTTGAACCAGGAGGCAGAGGTTGCAGTGAGCCAAGGTTGTGCCATTGCACTCCAGCCTTGGTGACAAGAGCTAGACTCCATCTGAAAAAAAAAAAAAAAAAAAGAAAAAAAGAAAAAAAGATGAGGACACACTGCTCTCCTAACAAAAGTGAAACAACTTTTTGAGGATTGGCCTATTTGTAGGTATTTAATTGAAATTAGATTTTATCTGGAAATATTTATATTTCACATAATAATTAAATTGTATCTCAAACAACATTTAGACACGCCAGTGTACGTGCAAAATAAAGTCAATCTTACTAACATTTAAAGGCAAATCCACTATGGTATGAGACCACCACTTCTCCTGTTGTCTTTTTTAGTTTCTCCCCAACCTCCCCTTTTCCCTAGTTTATAAGACAGGAGAAAAGGGAGAAAGCAAAAAGTTGGAAAGAAACAGAAGTAAGATAAATAGCTAGACGACCTTGGTGCCACCACCTGGCCCTGGTGGTTGAAATAATAATAATATTAACCCCTGACCAAAACTACTGGTGCTATCTGTAAATTCCAGACATTGTATGAGAAAGCACTGTAAAACTTTTTGTTCTGTTAGCTGATGTATGTAGCCCCCAGTCACGTTCCTCATGCTTGCTTGATCCATTATGACTCTTTCACGTAGACCCCTTAGAGTTGTAAGCCCTTAAAAGGGCCAGGAATTTCTTTTTTGGGGAGCTGGGCTCTTAAGACACGAGTCTGCCGATGCTCCCAGCTGAATAAAGAAACCTCTTCCTTCTTTAATTCGGTGTCTGAGGAGTTTTGTCTGCGACTCGTCCTGCTACATTTCTTGGTTCCCTGACTGGGAAGCGAGGTAATTGATAGACAGTCGAGGCAGCCCCTTAGGCGGCTTAGGCCTGCCCTGTGGAGCATCCCTGCAGGGGACTCTAGCCAGCTTGAGCGACGCGGATCCTGAGAGCGCTCCCAGGTAGGCAATTGCCTCGGTGGAATGCCTCGTCAGAGCAGTGTGTGGCAGGCCCCCGTGGAGGATCAACGCAGTGGCTGAACACCGGGAAGGAACTGGCACTTGGAGTCTGGACATTTGAAACTTGGTAAGACTGGTCTTTGGAACTTGCCCACTCCATTTGAGTGGAAGCGTGGCCTGAGCACCCATGGTGTGCCTGTACTGGCACTTTGGTTTTTGTTTTTGACTTGACTTAAATTGCTTGATACTTTGGTTTTGGTTTGACCTGGCTTGGATTTCTGGATACTCTGATTTTGGTTTTGATTCTGGTTTGGTGAAAACTGAAAAAGTGTGTGTGTGCCCTTTTTACCTATTCTTTGTTCTGTGGTGTGCGTGTGGTGTGAGCTCGGTGTTTTGTCTTAAGGAAACATGGGTCAGACACAAAGTAAGCTTACTCCGCTAGGAACTATGTTGAAAAATTTTAAGAAGGGATTTAATGGAGACTATGGGGTTACTATGACACCAGGAAAACTTAGAACTTTGTGTGAAATAGATTGGCCAACATTAGAAGTGGATTGGCCATCAGAAGGAAGCCTGGACAGGTCCCTTGTTTCTAAGGTATGGCACAAGGTAACTGGTAAGTCAGGACACTCAGACCAGTTTCCATACATAGACACTTGGTTACATCTGGTAGACCCCCCGCAGTGGCTAAGAGGGCAGGCAGCAGCAGTGCTAGTAGCAAAGGGACAGATAGCCAAGGAAGGATCCCGCTCCACCCGCCGAGGGAAATCAACTCCTGAAGTTCTGTTCGACCCAACATCAGAAGATCCATTGCAGGAGATGGCACCAGTGATCCCAGTGGTGCCCTCCCGTTACCAGGGAGAGAGGCTCACCACTTTTGAGTCCACGGGGCTTGCACCTCCACAAGACAAACATCCCTAGGCCACCCAGAGTAGGCAAGAGAGGAGGTGAAGCCTCGGGAGAAACCCCTCCCTTGGCAGCTGGTTTAAGACCCAAAACGGGGATACAAATGCCCCTGAGAGAGCAGTGGTATACTGGAATAGATGAGGATGGGCACATGGTGGAGAGGCGTGTTTTTGTGTACCAGCCCTTCTTCTCTGCCGACCTCCTCAACTGGAAAAACAATACCCCATCCTATACTGAAAAGCCGCAAGCTCTAATTGATTTGCTCCAAACTATTATCCAGACCCATAACCCCACTTGGGCTGATTGCCACCAGTTGCTCATGTTCCTCTTTAACACAGATGAAAGGCGGAGAGTGCTCCAAGCAGCAACTAAGTGGCTAGAGGAACATGCACCGGCTGATTACCAAAACCCCCAAGAGTATGTAAGGACCCAGTTACCGGGAACCGACCCCCAGTGGGACCCAAATGAAAGAGAGGATATGCAAAGGCTAAACCGATACAGGGAAGCTCTCTTGGAAGGATTAAAGAGGGGAGCCCAGAAGGCCACAAACGTGGCCATTCAGGGAAAAGAAGAAAGTCCAGCACAATTCTACGAGAGGCTGTGTGAGGCCTATTGTATGTATACTCCCTTTGATCCCAATAGTCCTGAAAATCAGCGCATGATTAACATGGCTTTAGTTAGTCAAAGTGCAGAAGACATTAGAAGAAAACTGCAGAAACAGGCTGGGTTTGCAGGGATGAACACATCACAGTTATTAGAAATAGCTAACCAGGTGTTTGTAAACAGGGATGCAGTAAGCCCTAAGGAAAACCGCAGAGAGAATGAACATCAGGTCCGGCGAAATGCCGACCTGTTAGCTGCAGCAATCACAGGGGTCCCCCCAAAGAGGCAAGGGAAGGGGGGCCCCGGGAAAGAAATTCAGCCTGGTTGTCAGAGCTTGCAGCGTAATCAGTGTGCTTATTGTAAAGAAATAGGACATTGGAAGAACAAATGCCCTCAGCTAAAAGGAAAACAAGGTGACTCGGAGCAGGAGGATCCAGACAAGGAGGAAGGGGCCCTGCTCAACCTGGCAGAAAGGTTATTGGACTGAGGGGGACCGGGCTCAAGGACCCCCAAAGAGCCTATGGTCAGGATGACAGTTGGGGGTAAAGACATTGATTTTCTTGTAGATACCGGTGCTGAACATTCGGTAGTAACCACCCCGGTCAGCCCCTTATCCAAAAAGACTATTGACATAATTGGAGCCACAGGAGTTTCAGCAAAACAAGCTTTCTGCTTGCCCCGGACTTGTACTGTAGGAGGACATAAAGTGATTCATCAGTTTTTGTACATGCCTGATTGTCCCTTGCCCTTGTTGGGAAGGGACTTGCTTAGCAAACTGAGAGCCACTATCTATTTTACAGAGCATGGCTCTTTGCTGCTAAAGTTACCCGGAACGGGAGTCATTATGACCCTTATGGTACCCCGAGAGGAGGAATGGAAACTTTTCTTAACTGAGTCGGGCCAAGAGATAAGACCAGCTCTGGCTAAGTGGTGGCCAAGAGTGTGGGCAGAAGACAACCCTCCAGGGTTGGCAGTCAACCAAGCCCCCGTACTTATAGAAGTTAAGCCTAGGGCCCAGCCGGTTAGGCAAAAACAGTACCCGGTCCCCAGAGAAGCTCTTCAAGGTATCCAGGTCCATCTCAAGTGCCTAAGAACCTTTGGAATTATAGTTCCTTGTCAGTCTCCATGGAACACTCCCCTCCTGCCTGTTCCCAAGCCTGGGACCAAGGACTACAGGCCGGTACAGGATTTGCGCTTGGTTAATCAGGCTACAGTGACTTTACACCCAACAGTACCTAACTGGTACACATTGCTGGGGTTGCTGCCAGCTGAGGACAGCTGGTTCACCTGCTTGGACCTGAAAGATGCTTTCTTTAGCATCAGATTAGCCCCTGAGAGCCAGAAGCTGTTTGCCTTTCAGTGGGAAGATCCGGAGTCAGGTGTCACTACTCAGTACACTTGGATCCGGCTTCCCAAAGGGTTCAAGAACTCCCCCACCATCTTCGGGGAGGCATTGGCTCAAGACCTCCAGAAGTTTCCCACCAGAGACCTAGGCTGCATGTTGCTCCAGTACGTTGATGACCTTTTTCTGGGACACCCTACGGCAGTCAGGTGCGCCAAGGGAACAGATGCTCTACTCCGGCACCTGGAGGACTGTGGGTATAAGGTGTTCAAGAAAAAAGT
The DNA here is from genome assembly GCF_000001405.40 of Homo sapiens. Lineage (NCBI taxonomy): Eukaryota > Metazoa > Chordata > Mammalia > Primates > Hominidae > Homo > Homo sapiens. Next base: position 93,433,436 of record NC_000023.11, read on the forward strand.
TCAGATCTGCCGACAGCAGGTACGTTACTTGGGATTTACTATCCGGCAGGGGGAGTGCAGCCTGGGATCAAAAAGAAAGCAAGTCATTTGTAATCTACCGGAGCCTAAGACCAGAAGGCAGGTGAGAGAATTCTTAGGGGCAGTGGGGTTTTGCAGACTGTGGGTCCCAAACTTTGCAGTATTAGCTAAGCCTTTGTATGAGGTCACAAAGGTGGGGGACTGGGAACATTTTGAATGGGGATCCCAGTAACAGCAAGCCTTTCATGAGTTAAAGGAAAGACTTATGTCAGCCCCAGCCCTGGGGCTACCCGATCTGACAAAGCCTTTTATATTATATGTGTCAGAGAAAGAAAAGATGGCAGTTGGAGTTTTAACCCATACTGTGGGGCCCTGGCCGAGGCCAGTGGCCTACCTCTCTAAACAACTAGATGGGGTTTCTAAAGGATGACCCCCATGTTTGAGGGCCTTGGCAGCAACTGCCCTGCTAGTACAAGAAGCAGATAAGCTGACTCTTGGGCAAAACCTGAACATAAAGGCCCCCCATACTGTGGTGACTTTAATGAATACTAAAGGACATCATTGGCTAATGAATGCTAGACTCACTAAGTACCAAAGTTTGCTCTGTGAAAATCCCCATATAACCATTGAAGTTTGTAACACCCTGAACCCCGCTACCTTGCTCCTGGTATCAGAGAGCCCTGTCAAGCATGACTGTGTAGAAGTGTTGGACTCAGTTTACTCTAGCAGACCTGACCTCCGGGACCAGCCTTGGGCATCAGTAGACTGGGTACTATACGTGGATGGGAGCAGCTTCATCAACCCACAAGGAGAGAGATGTGCAGGGTATGCGGTGGTAACTCTGGACACTGTTGTTGAAGCCCGATCGTTGCCCCAGGGCACTTCAGCTCAGAAAACTGAACTCATTGCTTTAATTTGGGCCTTAGAACTCAGTGAAGGTAAGACTGTAAACATTTACACTGACTGTCGATATGCCTTTTTAACCCTTCAAGTGCATGGAGCATTATATAAAGAAAAGGGTCTATTGAACTCTGGGGGAAAGGACATAAAATATCAACAAGAAATCTTGCAATTATTAGAAGCAGTATAGAAACCACACAAGGTGGCAGTTATGCATTGCAGAGGACACCAGTGGGCTTCCACCTTGGTGGGTTTGGGGAATTCCCACGCTGACTTAGAGGCTCGAAAAGCAGCATCTGCCCCCTTCCGGGCATCAGTCACAGCCCCCCTGCTCCCTCAAGCACCTGATCTTGTACCTACTTATTCTAAAGAAGAAAATGACTTTCTCCAGGCAGAGGGAGGACAAGTGATGGAGGAAGGATTGATTCGGTTACCAGATGGGAGAGTAGCTGTGCCACAGCTGCTAGGAGCTGCAGTTGTACTGGCTGTCCATGAAACCACCCATCTAGGTCAGGAATCACTTGAAAAGTTGTTAGGCTGGTATTTCTACATCTCGCATTTGTCAGCCCTTGCCAAAACGGTGACCCAGCGGTGTGTTACCTGCCGACAGCATAATGCGAGGCAAGGTCTAGCTGTTCCACCTGGCATACAAGCTTATGGAGAAGCCCCCTTTGAAGATCTGGATCCAGGTGGACTTCACAGAGATGCCAAAGTGTGGAGGTAACAAGTATTTACTAGTTCTTGTGTGTACCTACTCTGGGTGGGTGGAGGCTTATCCAACACGAACTGAGAAAGCTCGTGAAGTAACTCGTGTGCTTCTTTGAGATCTTATTCCTAGATTTGGACTGCCTTTATGGATCGGCTCAGATAACGGGCCGGCATTTGTGGCTGACTTGGTACAGAAGATGGCAAAGGTATTGGGGATCACATGGAAACTGCATGCTGCCTACCGGCCTCAGAGTTCCGGAAAGGTGGAGCGGATGAATCGGACTATCAAAAATAGTTTAGGGAAAGTATGTCAGGAAACAGGATTAAAATGGATACAGGCTCTCCCTATGGTATTATTTAAAATTAGATATACCCCTTCTAAAAGAACAGGATATTCCCCTTATGAAATATTATATCATAGGCCCCCTCCTATATTGCGGGGACTTCCAGGCACTCCCTGAGAGTTAGGTGAAATTGAGTTACAGTGACAGCTACAGGCTTTAGGAAAAATTACACAAACAATCTCAGCCTGGGTAAATGAGAAATGCCCTGTTAGCTTATTCTCCCCAGTTCACCCTTTCTCCCCAGGTGATCGAGTGTGGATCAAGGACTGGAACGTAGCCTTTTTGTGTCCACGGTGGAAAGGACCCCAGACTGTCGTCCTGACCACTCCCACCACTGTGAAGGTAGAGGGAATCCCAGCCTGGATCCACCACAGCCATGGAAAACCTACAGCACCTGAAACCTGGGAGGCAAGACCAAGCCCAGACAACCCTTGCAGAGTGACCCTGAAGAAGACGACAAGCCCTGCTCCAGTCACACCTGGAAGCTGACTGGTCCACACATGGCTGAAGCATGAGGAAGCTCATCATGGGATTCATTTTTCTTAAATTTTGGACTTATACAGTAAGGGCTTCAACTGACCTTACTCAAACTGGGGACTGTTCCCAGTGTATTCATCAGGTCACCGAGGTAGGACAGCAAACTAAAACAATCTTTCTGTTCTATAGTTATTATGAATGTATGGGAACATTAAAAGAAACTTGTTTGTATAATGCCACTCAGTACAAGGTATGTAGCCTGGGAAATGACTGACCTGATGTGTGTTATAACCCATCTGAGCCCCTTGCAACCATCGTTTTTAAAATAAGATTAAGAAATGGCCTTTTCCTAGGTGATACAAGGAAAATAATAACTAGAACAGAAGAAAAAAGGAATCCCCAAACAAATAACTTTAAGATGTGATGCTTGTGCAGCCATTAATAGTAAAAAGCTAGGAATAGGATGTGGTTCTCTTAACTGGGAAAGGAGCTACAGAGTAGAAAATAAATATGTTTGTCATGAGTCAGGGGTTTATGAAAATTGTGCCTGTTGGCCATGTGTTATTTGAGCTACTTGGAAAAAGAACAAAAAGGACCCAGTTTATCTTCAGAAGGGGGAAGCCAACCCCTCCTGTGCTGCCGGTCACTGTAACCCACTAGAACTAATAATTACCAATCCCCTAGATCCCCGTTGGAAAAACGGAGAACGTGTAACCCTGGGGATTGATGGGACAGGGTTAAACCCCCAAGTTGCCATTTTAATTAGAGGGGAGGTCCCCAAGCGCTCTCCCAAACCAGTATTTCAAACCTTTTATGAGGAGCTGAATCTGCCAGCACCAGAACTTCCAAAAAAGACAAAAAATTTGTTTCTCCAATTAGCAGAAAATGTAGCTCATTCCCTTAATGTTACTTCTTGTTATGTATGCGGGGGAACCACTATCGGAGACCGATGGCCTTGGGAAGCCCGAGAGTTGGTGCCTACTGATCCAGCTCCTGACATAATTCCAGTTCAGAAGGCCCAAGCTAGCAACTTCTGGGTCTTAAAAACCTCAATTATTGGACAATACTGTATAGCTAGAGAAGGGAAAGACTTTATCATCCCTGTAGGAAAGCTTAATTGTATAGGTCAGAAGTTGTATAACAGCACAACAAAGACAATTACTTGTTGGGGCCTAAACCACACTGAAAAGAAGCCATTTAGTAAATTTTCTAAGTTAAAAACTGCTTGGGCTCATCCAGAATCTCATCAGGACTGGATGGCTCCCGCTGGACTATACTGGATATGTGGGCACAGAGCCTATATTCGGTTACCTGATAAATGGGCAGGCAGTTGTGTTATTGGCACTATTAAGCTGTGCTTTTTCTTATTACCCATAAAAACGGGTGAGCTCCTAGGTTTCCCCATCTATGCCTCCCAAGAAAAGAGAGGCATAGTTATAGGAAACTGGAAAGATAATGAGTGGCCCCCTGAAAGGATCATACAGTATTATGGGCCTGCCACATGGGCACAAGACGGCTCATGGGGATACCGAACCCCCATCTACATGCTCAATCGGATCATACGGTTGCAGGCCATCTTAAAAATAATTACTAATGAAACTGGCAGAGCTTTGACTGTTTTGGCTTGGCAAGAAACCCAAATGAGGAATGCTATCTATCAGAATAGACTGGCCTTGGACTACTTGCTAGCAGCTGAAGGAGGAGTTTGTGGAAACTTTAACTTAACCAATTGCTGCCTACAAATAGATGATCAAGGACAGGTGGTTGAAAACATAGTCAGGGACATGACAAAGGTGGCACATGTGCCTGTACAGATTAAACTGTACACGAGTTTAATCCTGAGTCTTTATTTGGAAAATGGTTTCCAGCTATGGGAGGATTTAAAACCCTCATTGTAGGTGTATTGCTAGTAATAGGAACTTGCTTGCTGCTCCCCTGTGTATTACCCTTGCTTTTTCAAATAATAAAAGGTTTTGTTGCTATTTTGGTTCATCAGAAAACTTCAGCACAGGTGTATTATATGAATCACTATCGCTCTATCTCGCAAAGAGACTCAAAAAGTGAGGATGAGAGTGAGAACTCCCACTAAAAAGTGAAAATTCTCAAAGGGGGGAAATGTGGTATGAGACCACCACTTCTCCTGTTGTCCTTCCCAGTTTCTCCCCTACCTCCCCTTTTCCCTAATTTATAAGACAGGAGAAAAGGGAGAAAGCAAAAAGTTGGAAAGAAACAGAAGATAAATAGCTAGATGACCTTGGCGCCACCACCTGGCCCTGGTGGTTAAAATAATAATAATATTAACCCCTGACCAAAACTACTGGTGTTATCTGTAAATTCCAGACATTGTATGAGAAAGCACTGTAAAACTTTTTATTCTGTTAGCTAATGTATGTAGCCCCCAGTCATGTTCCTCACGCTTACTTAATCTATTATAACTCTTTCACGTAAACCCCTTAGAGTTATAAGCCCTTAAAAGGGCTAGGAATTTCTTTTTCGGGGAGCTCGGCTCTTAAGACATGAGTCTGCTGACGCTCCCAGCTGAATAAAAAAACCTCTTCCTTCTTTAATTCAGTGTCTGAGGAGTTTTGTCTGCGACTCGTCCTGCTACACCACGAGGAAGATGACTTCATTCTTCTATCTCTAGATAAGGTTGCCCATAGAAACCTTACGCCTGTCATGCCAAACTTTGATAGAATAATGAATATAATCACATCATAATGACGAATAGAGAAACTTAGCCCGAGCATTGCTACCGGAGGTCATGATCAGAATGGCTGTGCTCTCTAACACATTTATTCATTAGAGTCAGATCTAGATGAGTTATAATCACATCGCTTTTCTCATGTAACCCCAGTCTGTTGACATAAACTTTATTTTTAAATGTTGATCCTAAACCAATTCCAGGAGCACAAAATACCTTAATTTTCATTTTACTTCTCAGCATGTCCTTTAAGGTACATCCAAGCTATAGGAGAAGAGTATATAATTCAGCTGAATATCAAAATGTCATATTATACTTCAAGGAAAACACAAGCGTTCCTGTAGACAGTGACTACTTTTACATCAGAACTTACTAGTGAGTTGTCAATTAGCTGAAGACCAACTTCCATCATAAGCTGCACACTGACACATCCAGACCCCAGGAACGTGGCAAAATACATGTACCCTGTGAGTGCCATTGAGCTTGCAAGTGGAGTAGGAAGTCGGATTCCCAGACAAATATGTATTTCTCTCTCCTGGCTGCTCTCAGATCAAGTTCATGACATAAAATGATTTTCTAGAAAACGGCAGAAAGATGGCTGACTAGATGCAGCTAGTACACACCTCCTCCATGGAGAGGAACCAAAATTACAAGTAGATGTTAACGCTTTAAATAGACTGTCTAAGACAGAACACTGGGATTCAACAGTGACGTAAAGAGAAGCCCTGAAAGCAAGTAAGGAGAGGAAAGTGAGGCAGCCTGCTGGGCCAGGATAGGCTGGGAGCCAGGAGAAGCTCCCAGATGTGGCGAAAGTGTAAGAGAGAAACCTCCAGGACTTCAAATTCCTGCCATGATCTTTTACAATCTTAGTCATGGGGGAACTCCTTAACCTACAGGGACCTTGAGACTACATAGGGAGCTGTCTAGAAACTGCACTGAGGCATTGCTTCAAACAGGGAACTCACACAGAGTCTCACAGTCATCTAAGCCCTGAGCAATTGCAGGTTGGAACCATTCTGAAAGCCGCCTCTAAAGGACTGTATACTGCCTTGCCATGCTGCCACTGTCATGCTGCCACTGCCACCACCAGGCCAAGGAGGGAGAGTAGAAGTGGACACTTTCACTTGCTTTGAGGACAAATCCCACCACTGTTGCAGTTGGTTGCTGTGGGGAAAAGGCACAAACTGCACTCTCCACAGCTACTTGCCTATGCTGCTCCAGCTGAGAGTTACCCTGTCTCCCTAGTGCCAAGCCCACGGTCAGCACTATTCTGAAAGCCTAGCCTCCAAATGTCTGTGTCCTGCCTGGGGCTGGGGCTGATGCTGTCTCAGCCAGGTCAAGGAGTGAGAGGGGAGCCTAGGTACTTTCATGTGCTTCCCACTGACAAATCCCACTGCTCCTGTGGGTGCTGCTGTGGGACGAAGACATGAGCAAAGTGCACTCCCCCTAGCTACCTGCCTCTGTTGTTCTAACTGAAAGGGGCTCCACATTCCCTGGTAGCAGGCCCACAAGGCAACTGATACTGCCCACACGTGAGCATTTCACCAGCAGGCTGGGGCCATTCTGCCCATGCCTATTATAGCCAGAGCTTAAACATACTACCAGGAAAACTGAGGACAGGTCCTCCAGTACTCAAACATGCCATTCAGGGGCCTGGAAACTGCCCAGTCTAGTTTATACCACTGGTACCTAAACACTCCTCCTGGAATCTGATGTTGGGCCAACCAAACCTGCTGATACCACCACAGCTATCACACACCCACATGTGCCACAAGCAGGCCAGGGGACTGGCCTAATCAACCTGTCACAGCCACTGCCAACACCAGCACAGACCGCTTGGGTTCCAGTGGATTGCTCCACCACTGCTACTGCCATCACCCACATCACACCAGCTTCCCAGGGGCCTGGGAACTTTCACACATACCTGGCCCACTGCTGTCATTACCAGCATCCAAGCAAACCACCTGGAGTCCCAAGAATTGGCCACCATGGGATACAGCAAAGCAATGCTAAGAGGAAAGTTTATTGCAACATATGCATACATAAAATAAGTTAAAAAATTATGAATTAACAATCTCACAATACACCTCAAGGAACTAGAAAAGCAAGAACAAACCAAACCCCAAATTAGCAGCAGAAAAGAAATGATAATGATTAGAGCAGAAATAAATGAATGGTGACTAAAAAAAATACAACGGATTAATAAAATAAAAAGTTGGTTCTTTGAAAAGATAAACCAAGTTAATAAACTCTAGCTAGACTAACCAAATAAAGAAGTGGGAAGACCCAAATAAGCAAAATCAGGAATGCAAAAGTAGACATTACAACTAATACCACAGAAACTTAAAAAGATTATCAAAGACTATTGTGAACAACTATATATTAACAAACTGGAAAACCTAAAGGAAATTGATAAGTTCCCAGAAAAGAACAACCTACCAAGGTTGAATCAGGAAGAAGTAGAAAACCTAAACAGACTAATAATGAGTAGCAAGATTGAATCAGCAACAAAGATTCTCCCAATAAAGGAAAGCCAGGGACCAAACAGATTCACAGCCAAATTCTACCAAACCTACAAAGAAGAACTAATACTAATCTTCCCGAGAACTATTCCAAAAAAAAATTGAGGGGGAAGAAATTATCTATAACTCATTCTATCCGGCCAGCATTTCCCTGACACCAAAACCAGACAAGGGCACAACGAGAAAAATGATAACTACAGGCCAATATCCCAAATGAACACAGACACAAAAATCCTCAACAAAATACCAGCAAACTGAATCCAACAGCACATTAGAGAGATATACACCATCATCAAGTGAAACTTACATCAGGGATGCAAAAGTGGTTCAACATATGCAAATAAATACATATAATATATCACATTAAGAGAATGAAGGACAAAAACCATAAGATCATCTCAATAGATGCAGAAAAAACATTAGATAAAATTCAATATTTCTTCATAAAAACCCCCAACAAATAAGGCATAGAAGGAACATACCTCAAAATAATAAAGTCCATTGGTGTAGTTTGGATATCTGTGTCCTTAAAACCTCATGTTGAAATTTGTTCCCTAATGTTGGAGGAGGAATTTGATGGCAAGTGTTTAGGTCATGAGGTTTTATGCCTCATGAATGACTTGGTGCCATCCCCAAGGTAATGAGTGGGTTCTTGATCTATTAGTTTACACCACCACAACTGGCTGGTTAAATGAGTGTGGCTCCCCTTCCCTCTTTATCTGTTTCTTACCCTCTTGCCATATGATGTCTGCTCCTCTTCCTCTTCCACCATGATTGGAAGCTACTTAAGGTCCTCACCAGAAGCAGATGCTGTTGTCATGCTTCATATACAACCTGCAGAACAATAAGCCAAATAAACCTTTTTTTCTTTATAAATTTTCCATCCTTGGGTATTTATCTATAGCTATCCAAAATGAACTAAGACAGTCCTATGTGACAAACCCCCCATTAACATCACACTGAATGGGAGAAAGTTGAAATCTTTTCCTTTAAAAACTGGATCAAGGTAAGGATGCCAACTTTTACCACTCTTATTCAACATAGTTCTAGAAGTCCTAGACACAGCAATTAGACAAGAGAAATAAATAAAAGTCATCCAAATTGAAAAGGAGTAAGTCAAATTGTCCCTCTTTGGTGATGATATGATCTTATATCTAGAAAAAAACTAAAGACTTAATACTAAAGAACTCACATTTAATAAAGAATTCAGTAAAGTTGCAGGAAGCAAAATCAAAATACAAAGTCAGTAGCATTTCTGTACACCAAATGATCTAGCAGAGAAAGAAATCAAGAATTCAATACCATTTACAATAGCTATAAAAATAAAATACCTAGGAAAAATTTAGCAAAGGAAGTGAAATATCTCTACAAAGAAAAATACAAAAAACTGATGAAAGTAATTGAAGATGACACACACAAATGGACAAACAGCCCATGTTCATGGATTGGAAGAATTGATATCATTAAAGTGGCCATGTTGCCCAAAGCACTCTACAGATTCAATGTAATCCCTATCAAAATACCAAGGCATTCTTTCACATAATTAAAAACAAACAATTCTAAAATTTACATAGAACCAAAAAAGGGCACAAACAGACAAGGCAATCCTGAGCAATAAGACAAAAGTGGAGGCACCATTTTATCTGACTTCAAAATATATTACAAAGCTAGAGTAACCAGAACAGCATAGTATTGATATGAAAAATAGACATATAGGCTAATGTAACAGGATAGAGAGCCCAGAAATGAAACCACATGTTTACAGTCAACTGATCTTCAACAAAGGGGACAATAATTCACACTGGATAAGGAAACCCTCTTCAATAAATGGTGTGGGGAAAATTGGATAGACACATGTGAAAGAATGAAACTGGACCTCTACCTTTCACAATATACAAAAATTAACTCAAAATGAATTAAAGACTTAACTGTAAGACCTGAAACTATAAAAATACTAGAAGAAATCCCAAGGAAAACTCTTCTGGACATCGGTCTAGGGAGATAGTTTATGACTAAGACCTCAAAAGCACACACACACACACACACAAAAATCCAAATGAGACTTAACTATAAAGCTTCTGCATAGCAAAATAAATAAATCAACAGGGTGAAGAAGTAGGTGTTGAGTGGAAAGAAACACTTGCAAACTGGCTCTGACAAATGACTAATATCCAGAATCGACAAGAAACTCAAACAACCCAACAAGAAAAAAGTAAGTAACTCTGTTAAAAAGTGGGCAAAGAACATGAAGAAATACTTCCCCAAAGAAGACATACAAGTGGCCAACAAACATATTTAAAAAAATGGTAAACATCACTAATAATCAGATAAATTAAAATTAAAACTACAATGATAGAGAATCTTACTCAAGTCAGAATGGCTATTGTTAAAAAGACAAAAAGGAAATGATATTGTCAAGGATGCAGGAAAAAAGGGCACTCTTTTACACTGTTCATGGAAATGTAAACTAGTAAAACTATTATGGAGAGAAGTATGGAGATTTCCCCAAACACTAAAAATAGAATTACCATTTGATCTAGCAATCTCACTACTGGCTATCTACCCAAAAATACAGAGATTAATATACTAAAGGCATACCTGCAGTTACATGTTTATTGCAGCACTATTCACAATAGCAAAGATATGGAATTGACCTAAGTATCTATCAAAGCATGGATAAAAAAAGAATGTGGTATATATACATAGTGGAATATAGTTTAGTCATGAAAAAGAATGAAATTATGTCATTTTCAGCAGTATGGATAGAACTGGAGGTCATTATCTTAAGTGAAATAACACAAGCACAAAAAGACAAATATCACAAGTTCTCACATATATGTGGGAGCTAATGTATTTTATCACATGGAGGTAGGGAATGGAAAGACAGACAGATAAACACTGGGAAGGATGAGTTGGGGAATAGGGTGGATGAAAAGAAGTTGGTTAATAGGTACAATTGAATAAAACATTGAATAAATTTAGTGTTTGATAGCAGAGTAGGGTGATTATATTGAACAAAAATGTACTGTACTCAGGTGATGGACATACCAAATACCCTGCCTTAATCACTATGTGTTATATACAAGTAACAAAATTTTTCATGTACTCCCATAAATTTGTGCAAATTAAAAAAAATGATTTTGTGTGTATGCATTTGCAATAGATTCTGTACATGGAAGTTGATTTCCTTCATGGCACTGTGATTTCCCTCAGCTTAATTGAAGAAATCCATGTGGAGACTTCCCTGCCTCTCATCATTCTACTTAAGAAATGAAATTAATAAGAAGCCAGTGTTTGTGGCAAAAAAAAATGGAAAAGAAGGAACAATTATGTGGTGCATTTTGGCTATATAAAAGCAAATTCAGAAAGGTGGAGGAAATAATACAGAATATAGAGCAAAAATGTGTAGGCTCTCTGTCAATTCAAACAGGCTAAGTTGTTATAAGAACAAACTCCAAAATCTCAGTGGCTTAAATAAAATAGCAAAGGCTTATTTCTTACTGCTGTTACTTATCCACTATAGATTAACCACAGATATGTTGGGAAACCAAAAGTTGAGGAATTCTGTCTGCTCCACATAATCATCACTCAGGCTTATGAAAGCTCCATCAAGTCAAAATGCTTTCAGCTCAATACAAAATTCCAGAATCCATTGCAACATCAGAAGACAGGGCTGGGAAGTTGAGCATGAGCATTTCCATGCTTTGTCCTGAAAGAGATATGTCACTTTTGATCTTTTTACATTAGGCAAAACTAGCCATATGGTCTCTTCTAACCTCAAGGAGGTGTGAAAGTGTAATTCTTCATGTACCTGGAAGAAAAAGAGAACTGAATATATTGGTGGGTGCTAATATTGGCTCCCACAGTTTTCATCATGACTACCACTTCTGGCTGTACATTCTTGGGAAAATTACTAAACCCTTTTGAGTCTCAGATTCCTCATTGTAAAATGGGTATAATAATTTTATCTTGTAGTAATTTATAAGTTTGAAATGAGATAAATCTTTAAAGAATTGGACAGAGAGTCCCACACATAGTATTTATTCAATTAACAATGGTCATTTTAGTTCAGAGGGAAAAAGTCAGCTCTTACCATCTAGTCTTGAATTACCCAGGTTTATTATCTATATAGACAAGAATCAATACCCTTAAGCCAAATATTCCCATCACTGTATATTTGGCCTGAAAATATTGGTTTTTATAATGGTTTCTCTCTAGACCTTCTAGACCTGAGAAAAGAGAATTTATGATCAATCAAAATACTACTACTATTGGCATAACTATTGTTATATGTTAAACATAGCAAAAAACTTGTAGAACAACTGTTCAGATTAGTAAAAAAAAAACTTTTTAACATATGGCATATTTGTAGTTACTATGTATATATGTTTTTGCTGCTTTGGGGATATAGAGGTTTGATTAATTATATCTTTAGTAGCTTTTATGGGGTGGTTAATATTCCATGTTTTAGGTTTACCTTGTATTTGTCACAATCTGTGCATGGTATCTTGCCTACCACTTCCTTTATTATTGCCTCAGACCATGTAAGATGGTGATCTGTATATGACAGGGATCGAATGAATGTACATTGACTACTGGTGGCGTGGCTTCTGTAGTTCTGATTAATAAAACTGACACAATTATTAAGCATTAAGACTCAAATCATTTTGGATTGATACATTTCTAAAATGTGCATATATCTCTACCTTTTAAACAGGAAAATGAAAATAACCTTTGATGATCTTTTGCATTTCCTCAAATTTAAACAACTCAAATTTATCTACCATATTCTTATGATCCAAGACAACTATTCAGCCTTTGTTTTTTTTTTTTTTTTTTTTGAGCCCCAGATATATACAAACAGGGCATCTTTATCAGACTATCTCTATCTTCTGTTTCCTCCAGTTCAACATGGACAAAGATGAAGTCATTATCTTCCCTCCCAAACCAAGTCCAGTTGTTCTTCCTCCAGTTTTCTCTACCTACATTACAATCTAGAAGACTTACATTCCTAACATCTTCTGTCCTATTCCATACACTCAATCAGTAATCTCATCCTATTGATACTACTTTCTGAATGTGGTTTACGTCTCTCCTTCTACTGGTTTAGTTAATCTACTCTTGCTGTAGTAGCCATAATACTGCCTCCTAACCAGACCGCCATTATTCTTTCCCTTTTCAAATCATCTTTTCTGCTGCTACTAGAAGCATTCTGATTTTTTTTCTGATAGTATTTTTTATGATACTTTTACAAAGCATTTAGGACATAAACGTGTGTGCCTTCTCAAATTGCATCAAAACCTTTCTTTCCAAACGTGTTCACCCAACTCCTAGCCTGCACGGCCACCCCTTTTGTAGAGTGCACTGAGTTAGCCACAATCCAAGTTAAAGCTTCAGTCTTGTGTACCTATCACATCCCTCACTCCAAGTGTGATTGCAGTAATCCATTCTTCCATTAATGAACATGAAGGAAATGTGACACCATACTGCATGATTTGGCTTCCTGGGTGGCCTCTGAGTGGCTGGATGATGCAGTCTGCAAATATGGGGTGTTATTTCTGCATAAGGTGAACTTGACAAATAAAAGAGTAAGAAAGAATAACCCTTCCTCCCCTCTCCCCTTCCCTTCTGAGGACTACTCAGAGAAGCAAGCTGCCTTTTTAAGCTTTCCAGAGAAATCCAGCAACAGCAGTGCCAAAAATACACACCTGCTGAGAGCAACCTGCTGTGCCTCCTCACAACAAGTGGTGAAGCAGAAGCCAGCTCAGAAATTCATTGCCTCACGCTGCTTCTTACATTGCTTTGCCTTTGTCCCCTTTTATTCTTCACCCTCAAATCCCTGGACTTGCCCTCCAAAATAAAGTGTCAACACATTAATCTGGCCTCAAGCTCTGCTTACACAGAACCATGGCTAACATATATGGTAAAAAATAAACTCAAGCAGTACAAAGATTAAACAGTAAAATGTAACTTTTCACCCAAAAACCAAAAGTTGTTCCCTGGATCCTCATTTTCCTTCCCCAGAGTTATCCACTATTACCAGTTTGTGTGTGCCCCTCTACAGATAGCATATAATCATATACATAAATATTATATAATGGTATCTATATAAATATATATGAATATACCATGTTACACAAATAAAAATAGAATATGCTCATCACACCTTGCATTTTTGCCAGAGTGAAGTTTGTAAAATATTAATCTGATTATGTCAATCTCAAAAGGTTCAGGTGGCTTCTTATTATCCTCAAATAAAATTCAAATTCCCAGATTTGAAGGTCCTCCATGCTCTGGCTTCAATTGATGACTATCTGCATTCTCTTCTAGTTTCTTGTCCTCATGTGCCCTTCGCTTAGCCACGCCTAGTGCCTTGCTATTCCCCATACAAGCAATGCTCTCAATTATCCATATATTTATGCATGCATTCCATGTGCATAAAATATTCTTTCAATATATATGCATTTATTGATTGAATGAATCATCATGGTCAACTAATGACTGCAGTTTGATGTTCTTTCTAAAATTTAGTTTCCTTCCTCTCTCTTCTATGCAGTTAACTATCAATTTTCATAGCTATAGATGTGTCTGTTTTGGACAGCATCCACTGATACCACTAAAATACCTATGTACTTGAAGGTAAGGTAGGTATAATGTTTTCAGAGGAAAGCAAGTAGCCAAACTAAGTAACCAGGATAACTTCAATTTTCTATTTAGTTCTGCTCATCTAAGAATATAAACCCAGACACTAAAACAGCTAGTTTCTTCACCACTCTCTATTTTTAAGTGATTCATTTAATTCTGGCTTTCACTTACGCTCTGGGTTGCTGTTTCTGCTAGAAGTCTGATAGGAAGATAAGTAGAGTGTTACTGCTCCTTATATTTTTCAAAAGTCTAATATACAGCACACATACACAGCAGAGAGGAAGGAAGTGAGCATTCAAACAAAGTACCTTTTCTCCAGTCTGCATGCTGAAATACTGTTACACATTCAAAATCTTAAGACTAAATTAACATCCTGGACATTCTGTACAAAGAACTACAGTTAAATGTACAGAGCTGATTACTAGGACTTTGAAGAAAAGATTATCTGATGTTTATACAAACTTGTTAAAAGAAAATGAAGTTTTCAGTAAGAATTGTTGAGTTGTTTCAACTTTGTTCAGATGAAGAAGAAAACAAGGCTTTGAGCTTCTTGAAAAAGTTATATATACATGAAGTATTGATCTATCTTTTTTGATCCAGGTCTGCCAGAATACCACATTGTATAATGCATCTCCATTTGTTCATAATGCATTAAAGGGCATTTTATATTTTTTCTCATACCTGAGGGCACTTCGAAATGAAGTCTTCTCCAAATAATACAACCTTCTTAGAAAACATGTTATTTAATTTCAGGTTTTAGTTTAGATTTTGGGGGTACATGTGCAGGTTTGTTACAAGGGTATATTTTGTGATCCTGAGGTTTGTGCTTCTACTGATCCCATCACTCAGAAAGTGAAGGTAATACCCAATAAGAGGTTTTTTAGCCCTTTCTTGCCCCCAACTCCTTTTGGGGCCCCTAGTGTCTCATGTTCTTATGTTTATGTCCGTGTGCAACTAATGTTTAGCTCCCACTTATAAGTGAGAACATGCAATATTTGGTTTTTGGTTTCTATGTTAACTTGCTTGGGATAATGGACTCCAGCTACAGCCATGCTGCTGCAGGGATATGATTTCATTCTTGTTTATGGCTGTGTAGTATTTTGTGATATGTACCACATTTTATTTATCCAATCCACTGTTGATGGGCACCTGGGTTGATTCCATGTCTTTGCTATTGTGTATAGTGCTGCAATGAACATAAGAGTGCATGTGTCCTTCTGGTAGAATCATTTATTTTCCTTTGGGTATATACCCACTTGTGGGATTGCCTAGTTGAATGGTAGTTCTATTTTTAGTTCTTTGAGAAATCGCCAAACTGCTTTCCACAGTGGCTGCACTAACTTACATTCTTACAGTATGTAAACATCCCCTTTTCTCTGCAGCCTCAACAACATTAGTTATATTTTGACTTTTAAATGATAACTGTTCTGACAGGACTGAGATCATATCTCATTGTGGTTTTGTTTTGCATCTCTCTGATGATTAGTGATATTAAGCATTTCTTCATATGTTTATTGGATGTTTGTATATCTTCTTCTGAGAAGTGACTGCTTATGTTGTTTGCCAGATTTTTATATGGGGTTGTTTTTCTTGTTGATTTATTTAAGTTCCTTATAGATTCTGGATATGAGTTCTTTGCTAGATGCATACCTTGTAAATATTTTTTACCATTCTGCACACTCTTTGTTACTCTATTGATAATATCTTTTGCTGTGCAGAAGCTCTTTATTTTATTTGGTCCCATTTATCAATTTTTTGTTGCAATTTCTTTTGAGGACTTAGTCATAAATGATTTGCCAAAGTCTATGTCCTGAAGGGTATTTTCTAAGTTTTCTTTTAGGAATTTTATAGTTTGAGAACTTACATTTAAGTTGTTAATCCAGCTTGAGTTAACTTTTTTATATGGAGATAGGAAGGGTTCCAGTTTCATTATTTTGCCCATGGTTAGCCAGTTTTCCCAGCATCATTTATTGAACATGGGTTCCTTTACCCATTGCTTATATTTGTCAACTTTATAAAAGATCATTTGGTTGTAGGTGTGTGGCTGTATTTATGAGTTTTCTATTCCATTTCCTTGGTCTATATGTCTATTTTTGTACCAATATCATGCTGTTTTGGTTACTGTAACTTTGTAGTATAATTTCAAGTTAGGTAATGTGATGTCTCCAGCTTTATTTTTACTTAGGATTGCTTTAGATATCAGGGGTCTTGTTTCATTTCATATAAATTTTAAAATAGTTTTTTTTTCTAATCCTGTAAAAAATGGCATTGGTAATTTGATAGGAATAGTATTTAATCGTTGAGTGCTTCAGGCCATATGGTCATTTAAATTATAGTGATTCTTCCAATCCATGAGCATGGAATGTTTTTCCACTTGTTTCTGCCATGTATGATTTCATTTGGCAGTGTTTTGTAGTTCTCCTCGTAGAGCTAGTTCACCTTCTTGGTTAGGTGAATTCCTAAGATTTTTGTGTGTGTCTATTGTAAATGAAATTGCATTCTTGAGTTGGCTCTCAGGTTGAACATTATTGGTGTGTAGAAATGCTACTGATTTTTGCATGTTGACTTTTGTATCCTGAAACTTTAATGAAGTTATTTATCAGGTCTAGGATACTTTCATCAGAGTCCTTAAGGTTTTATATGTGTAGAATCATATCCTCAGTGAAGAGAAATAACATGACTTTCTCTTTCCTATTTGGATGCCTTTTATTTATTTCTCTTGCTTGATTCCTTTGGGTAGGACTTCCAGTAATATGTTGAATAGGAGTGGTGAGAGTGGGCATACTTGTCTTATTCTGGTTCTCAAGGGGAATGCTCCCAACTCTTGCCTATTCAATATGATATTGGCTATGGATTTGTCATAGATGGCACTTCCCATTTTGAAATATGTTCCTTCAATGCCTAATTTGTTGAGGGTTTTTATCATGAAAGAATGTTGCTATTTATCAGAAGTTTTTCTGCACCAATCAAGATGATCATACGTTTTTAAAAATTTTAATTCTATTCATGTGATGAATCACATTTATTTATTTGCATATGTTGAACCAACCTTGCATCCTAGGAATAAAGTCTACTTGATTGTGGTGAATTAATTTTTTGTTGTGCTGCTGGATTCAGTTTGCTAGTATTTAGTTGAGGATTTTTGCCTCTACATGCATACGGGATATTGGCCTGTAGTTTTCTTTTTCCCTGTGTCTTTGCCAGATATTTGTATCAGGTTGATACTGGTTTAATAGAATGAATTAAGGCAAAATCCCTTCTCTTCAATTTTTTTCGATAGTTTCAGTAAGATTGCTACTAGCTCTACTTTGCACATCTGGTAGAATTTGACTGTGAGTAATTTTGATCTAGGGCTCTTTTTTTTTTTGGTAAGTTTTTATTACTTACTCAATTTCAGAACTCATTATTGGTCTCTGCAGTGTCACAATTTCTTACTGAATCAATCATGGGAAATTGTGCGTTTCTAGAAATTTATTGATTTCCTCTAATTTTTCTAGTTTGTAAGCATAGAGGTGTTCATTACAGTCTTTGAAGATCTTTTGTATTTCTGTGGGATCAGTTGTAACGTCATCTTTGTCATTTCTGATTGTGCTTGTTTGGATCTTCTCCCTTGTTTTTTCATTGTTTTTCTAGTTAGCAGTCAATTGGTCTTATTTATCCTTTAAAAGAACCAACTTTTTGTTTTGTGGATCCTTTGTATGGGTTTTCAAATCTCAATTTCATTTAGATTTGATCTGATTTTAGTTATTTCTTTTTTTCTGCTACCTTGGGGCTAGTTTATTCTTGTTTCTCTAGTTTCTTTAAGTACGGTATTAGATTGTTCATTTGAGATTTTTCAGTCTTTTTGATATAGGTGCTTAGTGCTATAAGCTTTCCTCTTAACACTGCTTTTGCCACATTCCAGAAATTTTGGTATGTTGTGTTTCTGTTTTCACTTGTTTCAAATGTTTTGGTTTATGCCTTAATTTTGTTGTTTATTCTAAAGCCATGAAGAAGCAAGTTGTTTAGTTTTCATGTAATTGTGTGATTTGAGGAGTTCCTCATGGTATTTATTTATATTTTTATTCCATTGTGATCCAAAGGTATGTTTGGTATAATTTCATTTTTTAAAAATGTATTAAGACTTGACTTATTGGTGAGCATGTGGTTGATCTTAAATATGTTCCTTGTGCAGATGAGAAGAACATATATTCTATGGCTGCTATGTGGCATATTCTATAGATGTCTCTTAGGTCCAATTGGTCTTGTCAAATTTAAGTCCAGAATATCTTTACTAGTTTACTGCCTCACTGATCTATCTAACACCTTCAGTGGGGTGTTGAAGGCCCCCATATTATTGTGTGGGTGTGCAAGTCTTTTCCTATATCAATAAGTATTTGTTTTATAAATTTTGGGTGCTCCAGTATTGGGTGTGTATATATATATATATATATATATATATATATATATTTAGGATATTTAAGTCTTCTTGTTTAATTGAACCCTTTGTCATTATGCAATTACATTCTTTGTCTTTTATTTACTATTGCTGGCTTAAAATCTAGAAAAAGAAAGGCTCTTGTCTGCTTTTCTCTACCACTACTTTCTATGCTGGGAATCTACTGAAGACATACAAAGACTTCTTTGCATCTCTATAGTTATAATGGATTGTGTATATGCAATGCAGCTTCTGTGGAAACTAGGTATTAACAGATTGTCATGCTTACACCTCTTCTTAAAGAAGTATAAAACAACTACAGTTATTGACCCAAACTAAAATGTCAATACTCTTTGAATTGAGCCTATAAGAAGTTGCAATTTTAAGTTATCTGCATTATATATTGATATGGTTTGGATCTGTGTCCCCCCACTCGAATCTCATGTTTGATTGTAATCCCTAATGTTAGAGGTGGGGCCTGGTGGAAGATGATTGAATCATGGTGGTGGATTTCTCATGAATGATCTAGTACCTTCCCCTTGGTCCTGCCCTTGCAATAGTGAATGAGTTCTCACAAAATTTTATCTTTTAAAAGTTTGTGGCATCTCCCTCCTCTCTCTCTTGCTCCTGCTTTCACCATGTAACATGACTGCACCCCATTTCCCTTCTGCTATGAATGGGAGCTTTCTTGAGACCTCCGCAGAAGCAGATGCCACTACGCTTCCTGTACAATCTGCAGAAACTGTGAGCAAGTTCAACTTCTTTTCTTATAAATTACCCATTCTCAGGCATTTCTTTAAAGCAATACGAGGACAAATTAATACAGATATAAATGAAACAATAAGTATGAGAGATGCTCAGAGTTTAAGAAAATAACTCATTAGTTGAACAGTGATGAAGCAGAGCAAATTTAAATAAGGGAAAGATAGTAGGTCAATTCTGCTCATGTGATATCACAATAACTAATCTTGATAATTTGTGAAGAGGCTAAGTATATTTGGGCATGTTTACCAGCAGGCTGGTTTATTACATACTTATGGATCTGACATAGATGTATTTAGTACATTTAGTTTTAGATTATTATAGGTTTCTACCAAATACCTCATGCACAAAGTGCCTCATCTCCATGGGCTATGTGTGAAATGGTATTGCCTCATTGTTTTCATAAAACTTGGCCTTTTTTTTTAGGGCAGATGAGTACGAAAAACAGACCAGTGAAAAATTAAGAGGTGACATGTTTAGAGTAAGAATTAATTGTAACTACAGGGTCTCCCAAATGGATATTACAGTCTTGAGATAAACACATGTATATTTGTGGTCATAAGAAAAATCGGTATTAAAAGCTGCCCACACTTTTCCTGGAAAAGTGGATATGGTAACTGGGCCTTAAAATATTTTTTAAAAAATGGTAACTTTTGGTTACTACTAAAGGAACAGACAGGATAATTAACCACTGGCACTAACATTTTTCCTCATGCCAAAATTTAGGGGTTACAGTGAAGGAAATAGAGAAACTTAGGGGAAATCTATTAGAAATAAAATAAGCAACTATACTAAATGCTATAAAAGTACTGACAAAGTTAAGCTCATTAAAGATGTTCTTGTCAGGTACCAACTAGTTCCATACGTTTCAATAGGTTTTGCACCACAAATGTCCTTAATAGCTAGAAAAATTCATATGAAGACATTCTCTTCGAATTTCTCATGTTAAAAGGATTCTATCTGTTTTCTATAATTAAACTTAATGATAATAATTAATATTGACGGAGTGCTTATTGTACACCAGGAATTATGTGAAACCTTTTACATGTAGCATCTCATTAAATCCTTATAACCACTCTATGATATGAGTACAGTGAATGATGCACACTTCACAGATGTAAAAACAGAGGCTCAGAAAGGGTACATAATCTGCCTGAGGTCAAAAGTCTAGTAAGTGGCACAGCTGGAATTTGAACATATATATTTGTGTGACTCCAAAGACTGTGAACTAACCACTAACCACTTTCATCAGTTTGAGACCAGTTATATATTGAATGCTGTATCTTCATGCATATACTATTGGGTTAGGCAGGAAACAAATACGACCAGATGTGAATGTTGGTTTCTTTATGGCAAAACTGATTGATCCCACATTTACTGAGCTTCTATTTATCACAATCAAGCATTAGGCATTATATGCCAAAGCATGAGACACAGAAAGATACCTATGATATGGTGTGACTCTCAGTTATTTGCAGTTTAGCTGGGGGAAAGCAGATAAAGAGTGGTATGAGCTATGGAGTATAAGCACAGGGTGCTACAGGGGCAGAGAGGAGGAGCATCAAACTGAGTTTGGTGGTGTTCAGAGAAGGTATCTTCAAAGTCAAAGTGAGACTTTAGATGGAAAGAGTTAGATTTAAAAAAGGAGGTGGGTATAGTAGAAAAACTGGCCTTGGAGGCAGAGGGAGCATGATGCATAGCAGCCTGGAGAGTGGATAGAGTACAGAACATTTGCAAAATTACAAGTAGTTCTGTAAAAGTACTATGAAAAAACTGTTTAGCTAAGCATATTGTTTGAACTCACCTGTTCCATGCCAAGGAGTGGGTCTCTAGCCTCAGTGACCCACTGAAAAGTGTCCTAAAGATAACTGAATTATGCTTTTGGAGTACGTTTCATTCCTACATTTCTTCAGTGGTGAGAACAATATTTAACATCTAAAGCCTGTCTACTTTCAACTGTCCTTTGGTTTCAAGGAAAGTAGAGACTGAAAATTATTTAGTATCTTGAATAAAATGTTGGTACCTTAGCTGTTTGGTAGGATATGTAGAAACAATTTGAAACCCTATACCCAAAGCATTTCTAATAAACCAGCCATAACCGTCTCTGAGTTAGTACACAGCAAACAAAATGCATTAAGGTTGTGTAGGCACTACTATTAGAAAGCCAGACTCAGAACAAATTGTCATACTACATATGTGAATATCTGATCCAATTTGGATAATGAGGAAAGTATGCTCACATGGCATATATTTGAATTGGCAGACAGTTTGTAGCATGCTAGGCAGATGATTGAAAAAATGTGGACAAAGCATCTACGTTAAATGACATCATATCCCTTCCACTGCGCTTTTCTATAGTAGTGTAGGCGAACTCTAGGCAAAAATTACTTTTAGTATTATGGCTTTCTACTACATAACCATGCAAACCAATTCTTGAGCATGGAATCTTGCAAGATTTTTCTGCCCAATTTAACATATACTTATTGATCAACTACTACATGCTAGATACTCTGTTCTTTCTAGCAAAGGACCTAAAAATAGATTGCAATATAGTAAAGGGGAAGAAACTAGTACATAATTAACTTAAAATACTGAGGCAGCCACACATGGCGGCTCATGACTGTAATCTCAGCATCTTGAGAGGCTCAGGTGGGAGGATTACATGAGGCCAGTGTTGCAGCCGAAAGAATGAGGGTCGTGATCAACTCAGTATACCACTGGAGGCTATATGAGTAAAGAGCAAACTGTTCTCATGAAAGCAGGATGTTGGCAAACTGATAAACTACATCTGCTGCCCAAAAGGAATGCAGAGGGCAGTCACGACCCAGGCACAAGTGTTTCTTGTGATTAGGCAAATCTGAAGCCTGTTAGCAATAATGTGAACCTGTGATCAATCAAGCAGCTGACCAATCGTTACCGCCTCCTCCCTGCTCTTTCTACCCAATAAATACGAAGGGCTATGGAAGCTCAGGGCAGCTGCTGCCTTTGCTCACTAGAAGCTGGAGCCCTCTTGTTCTTCCCCGGCCCCTTCTTTAAAACAGTTTAAGTTTCCATTTCTGCGTTATTCCTCCTTCGTTCAGTCTCGTAATGATGGTCTCAAGTAGTAACAGTAGTAACTGTTGTTATGATGGTCTCAAGTAACAGTAGTAACTGTCGTAGTGACTGTCTCAAGTAGTAATTGTGGCAGTCTGCCACAGGCCACGAGTTCAAGACCAGCCTGAGCAACATACCAAGATCCCATCTCTACAAAAAAATACAAAAATTAGCTGGGTGTGGTGGCACATGCCTGAAATCCAAGCTATTCGGGAGGCTCAGGCAGGAGGAATGCTTGGGCCCAGGAGTTTGAGGATTCAGTGAGCCATGAACATACCACTGCACTCCAGCATGGGCAACAGAGCAAGACCCTGTTTCAAAAAAAAAAAAAAAAAAAAATCCTGAGGCAGTGTTTAATAATCTATGGGGAAATTTCCAAAGGCTTAATGAAGGAGGTGGTATTTTAGCTGTTCTTTAACAGGAACATGAAATATCAAAAATTGAAATTAGCAAGAAAAATATTCTGGGCTGTGAAAAGAATAAAATGTACTGCTTGCTGAGAGCTAATTATTTGTCAGGAACTTTTAAAAACATTTCATATGTTTAGCTCATTTCATTTTTATAGCAACCTGTGTAACAGGTATTACCATTACCTACCTTATATTGGTAGACAATGATTTATGGAAAAATCAGAAAAGTGAAATAACCTGCCCAAGGCCACACAACTGGCAAGTATTAAAGATTCAAACTAAAACAATCTAACCACAAAGCCCATAACCTTAACGGCTCTCTCTTACTATACAAGTAAAGTATATTTTTTGGCAGAAACAGAAAAATATAACAATGTGTTTGGAGCATGTTAAGTATTCTAGAGCTGATGGGGCACAGTATGTGATACAATTAATTGTAAATAATGGAGTAAGCAACTAAGAGAATAGTTAATAATCAAAAACTTTAAAACTCATTCTAAGAAATGTTTAGTTCATTACAAATTAATGATTGGAATCAGATTAAGGAGAAATAATGACTTTTGTGGAGGTGAGTGACATAATGCAACCTACATTGGGAATAAAAGGGTAACAACACTATGAAGAATACATTTGGAGATAAAGGCATCCAGGCAAGAGAGACAAGAAGGGAAGGCAATGAAAACACTCTATGTCTCTTCTATTAGAGGTGCTGCCTTAGATAAGTGGAGAGATAGACAATGAATGACACACTCGAATTTTGGTGTTAGAATGGACTGCACTAATAGGAATGAAACACTTCAAAGCCCACAGCCCAATTAAACTCCCTAACCATAATATCATCTATAGTGTAACTGTTTCTGAATTTTCCCAACAAAAAGACACCAGAAAGGTTTTCTCATGTCATGACAAAAATGACTAATCGCAATTAAAATAATGCTTAGGAAACTGTCTTGTGCATGTCAAAAAGTTAACACTGTGAGGATTTGACAAAGCAGCCAGTATCGTGATGACTTTTGCTTCAGGACTATATGCATTATTTTATAGGCTTATATTTCCTACACTGCCTTCAAGGACACTTTTTAATACATTACACATTACTTTGGCATAAATCAAATATATCTGAATGGTCAAAGCTATTCATTTATCTCCGAAAGTCTAAATTCCTATAAGAGAATGACTTAAATATGGAAAATATCTGGCTGAATTAGTTGCTAATTTCTTAAGAGGACTGAATGTCAAATTCGAAGTGCAAGTTACTGCCATCGAAAATATTGTGTACTTGAAAGAAGGAATTCATTTTGTTCTTAGATTCCAAGAGGGAGTATAATGTAATGGTTAAACGTGCAGTTTTTGGATAACACTACTTGGACTCAAATTTCAGTTCCATCACTAACTGGGTTGACTTTTTCTCCAGGGACCCCCTCCTACCTGGCTGCCTCATTCCTCTCTCTAAAGAAGTACATCTAACTGTCCTAAGAATAAAGATAAGGATGAAGACCAATCTGAACTGCTTACTGCTGACAGAGGGGGCTGTTTTGGGGAAATGGCAGTCAGAACTCCCTCAGAGGCCTATCTAAAGGTTCCCAGCAGAAGAAGCCATCGTCCAAAGCTCCGGTTGAATGACTGTTTGGAGTTTGATGGCCTGAAGGCAAGAACAGACAAACTGGGCTATTAGAAAACATGTATCAAAATGCAACAAGGGAAGAGTTAAGGACTGCTAAAAAATTCTGAGTCCTTTTACTAGTTCGCACAGGGAGAGGGAGGCCAGAAGGCCTACTGGTAAAACTTTACCCTTTTGCTGGCATATTGGGCTTCTTGATTTCCTTCCCCTGAGCCCAATCCTAAGCCAACCAGTTTAAGGTTTGGGAAATTAACCTTTCCCAGTTTGGAGGATGCATCTGAGGGGAGTGTCCCATAGTACAGAGACACAATTACCTAACTGTGAAGAGAGGACTGAGGAGGAGAAAGGAAAAAAGAAGATACCTTTTAAAGCAGTCCCAGGGGTTCAGGATACAGACTGAAGATGAATGGCTACTCATCTAGAAAGAGGGGAGCAGGCATCCCTGGTTCCCTTCTCTTCCTACCAGATACCCGGGGTACATGAGGGAGAGAATGAATAGCATCCTTTTTCTCTCTTCTGTCTTGCATCCTCGAGTCCCAGCGACTTTGGCAAGTGCAGCCATGAGTCCAAAAGCAGCTTGCACCCATGAGGCAGGGGGGTCTAGAGAATGGGACTCATGTGCTCTTATCCACGTATGCCCTATCTCCCCTCTGTCAGTAGCCTTGAATTCCCTAGACCTCATTTATGCCATGGATACGAATGCAGCCTTTATCCACAAAACAGGAAGCTAGGGGTTGCTTAATCAGCAGGAATCAGCCATGCTTACCTGCACTGTGCCTTTTAATTTTCATTATCAGTTGCCTCTGCATCCCTCAGATCCAGTTATTCTTTTTAGGGCTTTGACCCAAACCTTGGAATTGAGTTTGGGACAAAAATATGTATTGAGGTGGAGGGGGTTGCATGGACTCCTTATCATAAGCCCAGTGCTAAAGTGAAGCTGTGGAATTGAATCCTCCTCCAACAAGGGAGAGTAAAGGATGTATTGTGACACACCCAGATAACTGGTAGCTATAATTATGCTTGCTGGAATTTGGGTGCATCATGCCTGGCTTTGCTCATCTCCCTTGGTCTTACTTTCCCAAAATGAAACCTCCGAGTGATGGGCATCCTATTTATGCTCATCACCTGGCAGGATTTGCAGGATAATTTCTCAGAACTAGAATATTGATCCAGATTTTTACATTACCCATCCCTCTTATTATTTCTGAGCTGCAGCTAGAGATTGCTGGTTGGTTCACAGGAACAAGCAGGATTAGTCCAAAAATACAGGTGAAAACTTAAAAATAACTAGTGAGTTTAGAATTTAATTACAAATACATGATAAGTTTTGAAACATTATTTCTCTCTCTCCGGTCCTCATGTTTGTTAAGAAACAAATCATCATAGGACTGAGTGGTTTGCAAAGTAGACTTTAGTCTTATACTTGGTCTGACTATTTGCATAAAGTGCAGCAAGAATAATTATTTCTACATAGGCCTTTTGGATTGGCTTTGGTGGAACTCTGTTCTCCAAAGAATCTCAGAAAAGATCTTTTAAAGCAGAGCCCAGCCATGAGTTTATCCTCAAATACCTGTGAGTTGGGTGATCCTCTCCTCTTAAGTTTCCAAGATAACCTTGGAGCTCCTGGACCTATTAAAAAGTGACATTCTTTACTGACCATAGGACAGAAACCCTGTACAGAGACTGCAAAGATGAGAATATGAGGCCAATCACCCCATTGAGCTTTTATCGACTCTGCAAGTTGAGACTGATTCTTTTAAATGAAGCGTAATTTTCCAGTCAAAGCCTTGGTAAAATGACCAGTTTTTCCAATTGCATTCTGTTGCCAAAAAGAAAAAAGAAAAAAATTGGATTCTTACTGTACTGATGCAAACAACTATATTGCCATAAGTTAAGAATACTCACAGATAGGTTCTAAATTCTAGAGGAACCAGGCAGAGTGAAACAAACATGCTCCAAATTTGGTCACAGGAGTATACCTTACTCAATTATTAAAGGCCATAAATAGTTCAAAATAAGTTTCTTTGACTCTGAAAAACAAAACATGGATCAGCAGTATTCCAAGCAAAAGTCAAGGAGGTTGCTGCAGCTTTCTGAGTTCAGTCCATTTAGTTAACTCTGGTTTTTCTTGATATTTGTGAACATTATAGCTCTTCATGAGTCCTGAACATTTTACTTTATTCCAATGGTACAATCTCTAAAGTTATCAGAATCCTGTATTTGGGAGCACCTGTTACAGTTCTATAGCTTATTATAAACCATCTTTTGAAAAGGATTAAAATAAGACAGCAACTGTCTATGAATAACAAAATGTCCAGAGTAGTTACAATTAGAAACACAATTGACAAAGAAGTTTGGTTATCTCCATGGTTTACAATAACTTAACATAACAACCTTAATTATGATTGACAGCATATACTTAGACATTTTAGAAATCCCATACAATTTTGGAATTATATATTAGTATTATTTACTAACATATAACGTAAAGAAGATTGAATGTTATTTTAGCAATCCCATGTACCTAAACATGTCAGATAATCCTGTTTATCTCTCTTTTCTGGATATTCCAGGGGCCCTCTGGAATATCAGAAAAGCCAGGTGTTAGGAAAGACAACTTTGAAACTGAAGTTTGCTTTTTGGAAGCCTTTTTAATATGTTTAAAGCATTTGTTTGAACGTTCAGCTTTTTCCTAATTTAAAACAATCCTTTAGCCCCAGGCAAAAATTTACATTCCCATGCCTTCTTATAACCTTTTACGAAGCAAACAGACAAACAAAAAACACACATTTTACTGTTCTTACACACCTTGTATGTAAATCTATTTCCAGTAGTTTCAATTACATGTTATAATGGCAATTCCTGGCAATTTTTAACTTTAATGTAAAACCTAGTAAGTCATTTTTTTGTGTGTGCTACGTACAGCCAATGTTTTATTCCCAGCATAATTAAGGGTGTGGTTAGTTCCATATGTCCCAAGGCCTTACTAATTGCGAAGCTGGCAAATTAAATAGGTCAAATTAATTAGAGCTGTTTTTACAGACATCACACACAGTACACACACAGACAGGCAGAAGAAAACCCAGTCACTGGGTGGGCCATTTAACAAACAGGGCTAGGAAAACACACAGATATGCAACCAGAAAGAAACTTATTCCCTAAGGCAGGATTGCTAAACAAAGCCTTGCCACCAGAGTTACAAGCCATGCCTGCAGAATGTAAAACAAGATGGAGGCTTGATTTCACAACCGAAACTTTGCAGAGAATATAAATAAATAGTGATCGTTGTTGGGCCTGGCCTAGTAAAAACATCTTCTAAAAGGAAAAAAAAAATTAAAGGTTAACTGCTGACGGGGTAGAGAAGGGGAAGAAAAGAAACAGTTTTAAAATGCCTAGGGAAGAACCTCTTATTCTTAGGCAAGTGGTTCCTCCACCAGGGAGACAAGTTTAATTGCTGTGAGTAAAAGCTGGTCTCCCTGGCCTGGGGAGAAGGAGACGCTGGGTGCCTGGCAGAAAATGCCAGCCAGCCACCTATGGCTCTTTGGGCCACGTATCCCAGTCCCAGCCCTGGCGAAGAGGGCAGGGTGAAGGGGGGCTAATGCTCATCAGTCCCTCCGAAAAAGGAAAGAAAAGGCCACTGAAAGGCTGGGTTGGTTCCCCACCCCCGGGAGCAACAGGGGGTAGGGGTGTGGTTTCCCATAAGCTCAGAAGTCTGAGGATGAAAAACGACAGTGAGAGGTTTTGAGCCCCCATTTCATTCACCACTTCTGGAGACCCCACTTTGCACGCCAAAAATGTTGCAGGACTTTTCCTTAGTCCAGCTAAAGGCAGGGTCCTTGTTATACAGCCATGAAAATTTAGGCTCACAAACAATTTGAGCCGGGCGCGGTGGCTCACATCTGTAATCCCAGCACTTTGGGAAGCAGAGGCGGGCGGATCACGAGGTCAGGAGATCGAGACCATCCTGGCTAACACAGTGAAACCCCGTCTCTACTAAAAATACAAAAAATTAGCTGGACGTGGTGGCGGGCGCCTGTAGTCCCAGCTACTCAGGAGGCTGAGGCAGGAGAATGGCGTGAACCCGGGAGGCGGAGCTTGCAGTGAGCCGAGATCGCGCCACTGCACTCCAGCCCGGGCGACAGAGCGAGACTCCATCTCAAAAAAAAAAAAAAAAAAAAAAAAAAATTTGAATGGTGAGTGAAGCAGAGTTTTATTGGGTGAAAAGGAAAAAAAAAGGGTCGGGGGGAAACAGGGACTCTGCAAGGCCAGAGTTCATGGTAGAGCACTTCCTGCCCGCAGCTTGAATCCCGTTCCACGTAAGAAGAGGAGGGACCCTGCTCCTCCCTGCTGCAAATGGTGCAAACTTCCCGAGGTTCAACCCCAGAGTCCAGGCTGCTTGTAGTTTCTCCAGGGACCCCCTCCTAACTGGCTGTCTCCAAATTTCACAGTCTGTACAGGAAGCATGACTGGACAGGTCGCAGGAACCTTACAAGTATGGCAGAAAGCAGAAGGGAAGCAGGCATGGCTTACATGACCAGAGATGGAGAAAGAAGGTGAAGAGGGAGGTGCCACACACTTTTAAACAACCAGATCTCATGAGAACTCATTATCACGAGGACAGCAAGGGAAAAATCCTCCCCCATGATCCAATCACCTCCCACCACGCCATTCCTCCAAATTTGGGGAATAAAATTAGACATAAGATTTGGGCAGGGATGCAAATCCAAACCATATCACTAGGTGAGTTAATATATGCAAATCCAAAGCTCTTAGAATATTGCCTGGAGCATGCAGAATTCAATAAATGGCAGCTTTAACTCTAAGATTGTATAGAGATTTTACATCAAGAACTATGATTATCATATTATTTTCCTATTAAGTCAGTGGGTTGTCTTTGTGTTAATAAGAAGAGCCAACATAAAAACTTTACCCATAATGACTGCTTACCTTTAATAAAAAAATTCAATTTGCTTTGTGTAAGAACTAGGAGCAGTGTTAAATACCCTATGTGTTGTCAGAGTAAATAAAATCTTGGCTTCATCATTAGTGATGGGAAAATGGCTGATTAGAAATTTCCATGCAGAATTCACTGGCATTTCTCTAATTCTGAACATTCATTGTATATGTCTGTGACAAATGCTGTTGCTGATTAGCTTGTATGTAGGAAATGAGTTAACAAACTGCATTAAAGCATCCAGGAAAAAATCATAATAGAGGAGGGAAAACTAAAAGGATTGATTTCTTTCTTTATTGAAAGCTGATAGGCATTTCATAATTATTTCTGGTCTGCAGATTGATTCCAATAAGCTTCTCCTTGGACATTTTTGACAGGGGATCAACATTTTTTCCTTCCTCTGTGAAAGGCGATGTATGTTTGGACACCTTCAAAGAGTGATGAAATTGAACAACATGCTTCAATGTCATAGGTTTATTCCCCTATGATCAGAGTTCCAATTATCTAACACCTTCCTTGTAATGCTCATTGCAAAGAGTGTAGGAATGAAAGGTGGAGAATGTGGCAAGATATGCAATGGGAAATGATCTTTGATCCCAGCAAGGGAGTAGACATTGCTGTATAAAGTAAGAACAGATATATATTGACAGATCTGGTTTGGTAGATTTATAGTGATTAAGCCAAAACACGACCCCTTAAGCTCATGATAACCTACTTGGATATTCAGTGGAAATGTGTGCCTTTAGTGTTGTCTCTTTATTTCAGCAAACATCAAAATGTGAGCCAAAAAGGAGAAAGAGGGAGGAAAAATGAGTTATTGATTTTCTCATGTTGTCTTAACCTGGAGCCTAACTGAAGGTCAGTATATGTATGCATCTCAAAGACTGACTTTTGGATAAGCTCATGGTTTCCTGAAACCACATCAAAGAAAGGCTAATTAATATTCTACAGATGCTATAGAAAAGAAAAAGAAAATATTTCAGCTGATGCAAACGTTCTCTTAGGAAAATCAGACCCAGAAAACTAAACTGCAAAATAATTTGACTGCTTATCAGTAGCCCAGATAAAAGAGGGAATATCTCAATTGGGTCAGTGGGTTGGATACAGGGCAGAGATGGAGACTTTGAGCATTTTGTTCATCATTAATCTACAGAAGAACCTAAAAAACTCATATTTATATGTCAGGGGAGTAACATACTTCTCTCTTCAGTTCTTCCTGTTCTGTATCAATAAATGTGTATGTTATCTTTGTCTTTTCTATACTGCATCATGGTAAAACTCATGAGAAGAAAAGCCTGACTTATTATGGGATACACAGAATAACTAGATGGAAAAAAAAAATACAATTCCCTGATTCACTGCAGTGGTACTGTCTCTCCAATTCTTTCCTGCCTCTCGTCCACAGCTTCCTCTGCTTTTATGTTGTGTATTCAGGTACATAATTACTGTCCATACAGCTTCTGTCTTCCAATATCTCAAGAAAAAGACTTGGAGAACTGCTTTGTAAAAAAAGGAATGAGAAAAACGTGGTTCATGCCTGGCTTGTGTGCCTAGTATATAATCCAAGTTTCTGATCAGAGAATTAAGAAGAATTCACAAAGAAAATGGAGTGTGATTAAAAACATCCACAATATTTCCTTTGGGGATGATGGAAATCTTCTAAAATTAGATATTGCTTATGGGTGCACAACACTGTAAATATTCTAAAATTATTAAAATGTACACTTAAATTAGGCAGATTTTATTGTTTATATAATATATCTCAATACACTATTAAAAATAATGCGCAAGAAATTATCTTAGGACAAATTCATATAGTGTGAAAAACTTCTATGAAAATAGAAAAGTAGATATATTTAGATGTCATATCTACAACAGAAATGCTCATTTTTTTTTTTGGTTTGTCAACCACTCTTGTGGGAAAAAAGGCCCTCATGCCCTACTCCATTCAATCCTAATTTACTATGGTAAGGAAAGCTACACCAAGATCCCTCCCTGAAGACTGGGGAACTTTCAGCTATAGGAAACAGCTGCTTGATTCTTTCACAGGAGACTTAACTTAAAACTTTTAGCAGTAAAGTGTCTCAGAAGTTCTTTTTTTTTTTCTCTTTTCTACTCCTGAACTTGCCCTAGATTCAAATACCTCTTGCCTGAGCTTTTGGACTGGCCTCCTGTCCAGCTGAAAATCATTGAATATTATAGTCTACTTATTACAGTACACAAAATGTTTCATAGTTTGCAAACAACCACTATTCCAACTATATTTTTAAAAATATTTTGCTTAAGGCCAAAGGTCTGTCTTCCTTTGTATCCTTGAAGCTAGTAATTGCTCTGACCAAGAAGGGTACACAATAAATAAGACTTTCACTTCACCTTAGATAAAAAATAGTTTCTAACATTTGACCAAGACTGTTTAAAAAACACTCGAAAGGGAAACCACTGACAAATTGATATAGACATGAGAGAATGAAGTTAGTCTTGCAAGTGGCCCCTCAATGGTACTCTGCCCTATATCAAGTGAGGCTAATTGAGTTCCACAATTTGTTGAAGATTATCTCACGACTTCATCTTACCTTCCAGAATTCATGTATTGTTCAGCTTTAATAAGATGATTCCATTTGCTTTATATATTTAAGAAATTTGAAAGTGGCTCTTTAAGTTTCATTCATCACACTTCAGAGTCTTTTGTATAATTCTATGTAATTTAAGGCTGAAATAATTTACCCTTGTAATCTGAGGCAGAAATATTTCTTGGCTTTGAATTCAAAATCCCTAATGTATCCTTTTTCCTGATACATTTGCAGCCTCATAGCTAAAGGTTTTAGGAAGCCCCAAATATTTCCCTGCTCTAACCTGTCTCCCACATTTAAGACCCAGCCAAAACTCTCCTCCTCTAATAAGTCTTTTCTGATTGCTTCACTTGTCTTTCATATAAAAATACAAATTCTACTGTTAGCAATTATATCCCAGAGATTTGATTAGTCAGTTAGTGCCAAACTAGAGTGATTTCTCCTTAAGGGATTTCTCCTTGAGGGCAAATCATGTTGTATTTTCATAACTTCACAAAGATTACAACATGATGATGATACCAGTAACTACATGTGAATAAATGGTTGCTGATTTGAAACATACATGAATTGATCGATGTTAACTGCCTTAGTTGTTCATTTGGATGTATCTGAAATGATATGTTCTGTATTTTATTGTTTGTATTCTAATAGAACTACAGTCAACCCTTTACATCCATGGGTTCTGCATTCATGGATTCAATCAACCTTGGATTGAAAGTATTTGAAAAAATAATTGCATCTACTAAACACAGACTTATTTTTCTTATCATTATTTTGTAAATACTATAGAATAACTATTTACATAGTGTTTACATTATATTAGGTATTATAACTAATCTAGAGATTATTTAAAGTATATGGATGGCTACACATAGGTTATATGCAAATATTATACCATTTTATATTAGAGACTTGAGCATCCGTGGGTTTTCACATCCAAGGGAGTTCCTAGAACCAATACTCTATGAGTAAGAACAACACTCCACTTCTAAGATGACATAGATGAAAACTTTATGGGATTTAGAAGCATTCCAAAGTATCAAGTCATTACATTTTATTATTGTAAGACCAGGGATACAGATTACATAAAAAGATAGGATATATAATGTTGAAATTTTGAAATTAGATACCAAACATTATAAATATATTTAAAGTGTTGCTTTAAATATATATATATATATATATATATTTTACTTTGCTCAATGCACCTATGTTTAATTAACTTTATTTTAATTAGTCTTACCTAGCAATATTTTCTGAGCTTGTTGTTAGACTTAATTATCTTTAATTCTAAAATCCTTTAGACTTGGCCAAGTGCAGTGGCTCATGCCTGTATTCTCAGCACTTTGGGAGACCAAGGCAGAAAGTTCACTTCAGGCCACAAGCTCCGGTCTAGTCTGGGAGACACAACAAGACCTCATCTCCACAAAAAAATAATAAAATAATTAGCAGCATATGATGGCATATGCCTGTAGTCCTTAGCTACTTGGGAGGTTGGGGCAGAAAGATCTCTTGAGCTCTGGGGTTTGAGTTTACATTGAATTATGATCATGCCACAACACTTCATCCAGCCTGGGAAACAGAAAGAGACCCTGTCACCAAAATAAATAAATACATAAATAAAATAAAATATCATATCATAAACTCAAAAAAAGCAACCATACTTGAATAGTTTATAAATCTATAAGTCTCCAACCTACACTCTCTCTACAGCCCTATGTAATGGAAATGAAGGATATACTTTTTAAATTATTTCCTACTCATATAGAGAACCTTTTCCCTAGACCACCACAAGACATGAGAATGATTTATAATGCTATTATTTGATGAAAGATGTCAGTCACAGTACCCACAACCATCCAAAATCTACCTTTCAGAAGCACCAAGATGGCTGACTAAAGCATCTAGTGTGTGCTGCTCTCACAGAGAGGAAACAGAGTAGGATGTAAACACTAGCTCTTTAAGTGACTCTTCTAGGAGGCCACATTGGGGTTCATAAAGGAAGCCATGGTAACCCATGGAGAACAGAGAGGAGCGAGGCAGGACAGTCACCCAACCAGGATTGGCATAGGGAGGGGAAAGGGTGAGTGAGAGTCCCCAGAGACCCACAGTTTTGCCATGGACCTTTGCAATCCTGGGCACAGGGAATCCCTTCTGACTCCACAGTCACCATACTGACACAGAGAGCTATCTCTAGTCTAGATAAAACCACTGCTTAAGCCCATGAAGGGCCGCATGGGCCTTGGATCCCTGAGAACCCCTGGGCCAGCTGCCACAGCCCTGCCAACAAGGGAGGTCAAGCTCTTTTGTGAATCTCTAGGATAGAAGCCACATCCACAGTGCTCAGGGGCAGATTGTCTGTAGTCCTTGCCTCCACTGTACATTGCCAGGCAAGGTCCAATGGCCTGGCCACCCCCACCCCAACCTAAGCACTCCTGCTGGTCCTAGCCCTCCATTTCTCTGGGACAGAGCTCCCAGAGATGGTTGACAGGGCTGCTGCTCTTACCATTGCTGCAGTCCCCACCCCTGCTGTCTTCAGGCTGGGGAGGGAGGGAAGAGCACAAGAACTGTCCTCGTAGGCCTCAAGCACAAGAACTGTCATGGGCATGCAGCATGCTGCCGCTTCCATGTGGAAAATCAGCCAGACTGTTTTCCAGGCAGGTCTCGGCCTGTGCTACTCTTCACAGGGCAGGGCCTCATGGTGTGGTCATGCTGTTGTCACCAGCACAGCCACCTCACCCCCACGGGATCACTTCAGTCAGTGACAGCCCTGTATTTTGCTGAGGTAAGACTCCCAGAGACAACCCACAGGGTCTCTGCCATTGGGACTGCAGTAGTACCTGCCCTTGCTCCCCCAAGGCTATGGAGGAAACAAAGAGCCTGATTGTTTTTGCATGCCTATAGCACCCAATAGCTGTCCAACAGATAGGAGGCCAAACTGTATTCCCAGCAAGACCCTGATGCCCTTGTTCTTTGCTAGGCAGGGCCTCCTGGCTTTGACCTGCAGCATAGTCACCCTACCTTTGGCTAATCACTCTGATCAGCTATGGCTCTGTTTCTCTGGGGTGGAAATCACAAAAACAACTGACAGGCCCTCTGCCACCGCTGCCATTTTTGCTGTCCTGGGGCTTGGAAAGAAACAAAGAGCCTATTTACTTTGCTCACACCTCTAGCATCCTGAAGCTACCCTATGGAGAAGAGGCCAGACTGTGTTCCCCATGATCCCCCACTACCCCGCTCTTCATCAGGCAAGGCCTCTGGCTTTAGCAAACTGTGCAACTGCCCCAACGCTAGCTGATCACTCCAATTGGCCATGGCTCTGTTTTTCTGTAGGATAAAATCCCACAGTCAACTAACAGGTACTCTGCCATTGCTGCCAAGGTCCCTGCCTCTGCTGCCTACAAGCTGGGGTGGGAAAAAAGAAAAGCCTGAGCTCACCCCAGGACTATGGTGAACA
The DNA here is from genome assembly GCF_000001405.40 of Homo sapiens. NCBI lineage: Eukaryota > Metazoa > Chordata > Mammalia > Primates > Hominidae > Homo > Homo sapiens. The sequence goes on from NC_000023.11 coordinate 93,469,035, forward strand.
GTTTGGGTGTACCGAGCCAGATCTGTGGCAAGAATTTTAGCAGAAATGCAACCCACACTCTCAGGACACTAAGAGGGATGAGTTTATGGGCTCATGGGCTGCCACAGGAGTATGGCATGCCTCCCTCAACAGGGCATCAGGGAAAAGGTGTGGCTTATCTCTCAGCCACAGCCTCTGCCCAGGGGAGCTCCACAGACTGGAACAGTTAACCAAATAAATGTAGGTGCAGTGCCAGTGATTGGAGGGGGCTACCCTAAGGCCCAGGTGTGGACCTGGTGAAGCGGTGACCTCTCTCCTCACTACACCGCACAGCATAGCTACAAAACTGAGGAATGTCAAAGGAGCCATGCAGCTGAGAAATAGCCTGTCTCCCAGCCATTACTCTTAAGCATCATCCATCGGATCACAGCACAAACTAGGACCTCAAAAATGCTTTGCTAACATACACCTCTGTGAGACCAAGAGAAAAAAATTCAGCCACAAATAAAGGCCTTACACAGAGCCCTGGACCTTTTAAAACATCCAGAAATGAGCCCAACTGATTATACTCAACTTATACCACAATTAAAGGAACACCAGTCCTCCCAGAAGAGAGTCAGCCCAAGAACTCTGGCAATTGAAAATGCCAGATGTCTCTATACGTCCAAATGAGTCCAATAGCTCTGCAGCAATAGTTTTTAACCAGTCAGAAAATACTAAAATGACTGACATAGAATTTAGAATCTTGATGGCAATAATCTCCATGTGATTCATGAGAAAGTTGAAACCTAATCCAAGGAATCCAGTAAAACAATCCAAGAGCTGAAATACAAAATAGTCATTTTAAGAAAGAACCAAACATAATGCCCAGAGCTGAAAAATTTACTACAAGAATTTTATAATATAATCTGAAGTATTAACAACAGAGTAGACCAAGCTGAGGAAAGAAACTCTGAGCTTGAAGATCAGTTCTTCAAATCAACTTAGACAAAAATAAAGATAAATGAATTTTAAAATATGAACAAAACATCTGAGTAATTTGGAATTATGCAAAGAGACCAAATCTACAATACGTTGGCATTCCTGAGGAGAATAAATACCTTGGAAAATATATTTCAGGATATAGTCCAGGAAAATTTTCCTAATCTTGCTACAGAGAGATTCACAGGCAAATCTAAGAAATACAGAAAACCCCAGCTAGATACTAGATACAAGATGACTATCCCGAAAACAGTCATCAGATTCACCATGATCAACACAAAAGAAAAATTATTAAAGGCAGCTAGAGAACAGTGTGAAATCACGTAGAGGGAACCCCATTCAGGCCAGCAGCAGACTTCTCAGCAGAAAACATACAAGCCAGAGGAGATTGTGAGTGTATTTTCAGCATTGTTAAGAAAAAAAATTCTAACCAAGAACTGCACTGCACTAAACTAAACTTCATAAGTGAGAGAAAAGTAAAATATTTTTCAGACAAGCAAACACAGAGGAAATTTATTTTAACAAGACCAGCCTTACAACAGGTTCTTAGGGAGTGCTAATCATGGAACTGAAATAATGACACCTGCTACCATAAAAACACACTTAAGCACATAGCCCACAGATGCTATAAAACAATCACACAATCAAGTCTACATAACAACCAGCTAACGACATGATGACAAGATCAAAATCTCACATATCAATAGTAACCCTGAATGAAAATAGACTAAAGGCAACGTTCAAAAGGCACAGCATGGAAATCTGAATAGGAGGATAAAACTCAACCATCTGCTGTCTTCAAGAGACCCATCTCACATGTAATGACACTGACAGGCACAAAGTAAAAAGATACAGTAAGACCTACCATGCAAATGAAAAACAAAAATAGAGAAAAAGTTGCTCTTCTTATATCAGATAAAACAGATTTTAAACCAATAAAAATTCAGAAGGACAAAGAAGGACATTACATAATAATACATGGTGCATCACAACAGGAAGACTTTACTATCCTAAATATATATGTACCAAACACTGGAGCATGAAAATTATAAAAGAAGTATTCTAGATTCTAGAAAAAGATTTGCACAGTGACAAAATAATATTAGGAGATATCAACACCCCACTGAGAGTGTTAGACAGATCAGCGAGGCAGAAAACTAACAAAGAAACTCTGGACTTAACCTTAACACTTGATCAACTGCACCTAATAGACACCTACCAAAGACTCTACCTAACAACCTCAGAATATACATTCTTCTCATCTGCATATGGAATATATTCTAAGATCGACCACATGTTCAGCCACAAGGTCAGTCTCTATAAATTAAAACAAATTCAAATCATACCAAATACACTCTTGGACCACAGTGCAATAAAAATAAAAATCAATATCATGAAGATATTCTAAAACTATACAGATGTATGGAAATTAACTTCCTTCTGAATAACTCCTGTGTGAACATTGTAATCAAGGGACAAATCAAAATTCTTTGAAAATAATGAATATAGGGACAAAATGTACCAACATCTCTGGGATGCAGCTAAAGAAGTGTTTACAGCAAAGTTTATAGTGCTAAACACCTTCATCAAAAAGTTAGATATAACTCATATTAACAATCTAACTATGCACCTAATGGAACTAAAAAAGAATGAATCAATAGTGATTCCGAAGATTACTGCAGAAGAAAAGCAGTAAATAAAATTAGAGAAGAACTTAATGAAATTGAGATGCAAAAATACATACAAAGATCAATGAAACCAAGAGTTGCGTTCTTCAAAATAAAAACCTAGATTGATAGACTGCTAGATAGATTAACAAAGAAAAAAATATAGAAGATCCAAATAAGTAAAATAAGAAATGACAAAGGTGAAATAAAAACTAATCCCATAGTAATACACAAGATCCTCAGAGAACACTACAAAGGACTCTATGCACAAAAATTATAAAATATAGAGGAAATTGATACATTCCAGCTGACAATCTCCCAAGATTGAATCAGGAGGAGCATGAAACCCTGAATAAACAAATATAAAGTTCTAAAATTGAAAAGGTAATTTTGAAAAAAATTACTAATAAAAAAGCCCTGGACCACATGGATTCAAAGCTGAATTCTACCAGACATACAAAGAAGAACTGGTACCAGTCATACCAAAACTATTCCAATAATTTTAGAAGGAAGGGATTCTCTCTAATTCATTCCATGAAACCAGTATAAGCCTAACACCAAAATCTGGCAGTGACAGAGTGAAAAGAGAAAATTTCAGGCGAAATATCCCTGATGAACACAGAGGCAAAAATCCTCAACAAAATACTAGCAAACCAAATTCAGCAGGACATCAAAAAGTTAATGCAATACAATCGCATAGACTTTATTCCTGGGATGCAAGCCTTATTCAACATATGCAAATCAATAAATGTGATTCAAGACATAAACAGAATTAAAACTAAAAACAATATGATTATCTCAATAGGCACAGAAAAGGCTTTTGTTAAATTCCAACATCTTTTAATAATAAAAACTCTTAGCAGACTTGGCATCAAAGAAACATACCCGAAAGTTATAAGAGCCATCTATGAAAAACCCACAGCCAACATATCATACTGCATGGGCAAAAGTTGGAGGCATTCTCCTTGAAAACTGGAGCAAGACAAGGACGCCCCCTCTAACCACTCCTATTCAATATAGTACTGGGAGTCCTAGCCAGAGAAAGCAGGCAAGAGAATGAAAGAAACAAAGAAACAAATAAAAAAAAAAAGAGAAAGTCATATTATTTCTCTTCACTGAGGATATGATTCTATACTTAGAAAACCCTAAAGATTCTACTGAAAGATACTTAGACCTGATAAATGGCTTCAACAATATTTCAGAGTATAAAATCAATATGCAAAAATCAGTAGCATTCTATACACCAATAACATTTTAACTGAGAGCAAAATAAGCAATACCATCCCATCTACAAAAGCCACACAAAAAATAAAACAAAATATCTGTGAATACATATAACCAAGAAGGTGAACTATCTCTACAAATAGAACTAAAAACACTGCTGAAATAAATCATAGATGACATAAACAAAAATAATTTCCAGGTTCATGGATTGAAAAAATTATCATTAAAATAACCATACTACCAAAAGCATTCTACAGATTCAGTGCTATCCCTGTCAAATTACCAAGATCATTTTTCACAGAATTAGAAAAAAAAAAGTATTTTAAAAGTCATGGGGAACCGAAACAGATTCTAAATAGCCAAAGCATTTCTAAGCAAAAAGAACAACACCAGCAGCATCTCATTACCCAACTTCAAACTATACTGCAAGGCTACAGTAACCAAAATAGCATGGCACTGGTACACAAACAGACAATACACCAAGAAAACAGAATAGAAAACTCAGAAATAAAGCCACATCTATAACCAACAGATATTTGACAAAGTTGACAAACATAAGCAATGGTAAAGAAATTTCTGTTCAATAAATGGTGCTGGGAAAACTGGCTAACCATATGCAGAAGGATAAAACTGGAACCCTACCTATCACCATATACAAAAATTAACTCAACATAGACTAATAAATTTAAGACCTCACACAATAAAAATCCTAGAAAAGAAAACCTAGCAAATACCCTTTTGGACATTGACCTTGGCAAAGAAATTATTATGACTATGACCTCAAAAGCAATTGCAATGAAAACAAAAATTGACAAGTGGGACTTATTTAAAGAGCTTCTGCACAGCAAAAGAAACTATCAACAGAGTAAAAAAAAAAACCTACAGAGTGGTAGGAAATATTCACAAAGTATGTATCCAACAAAGGACTAATATTCCAAATCTATAAGGAACTTAAATAAATAAACAAGAACAAAACCAAACCCATAAAAAGGTTGTCAAAGAAAATGAGCAGACACTTCTCCAAATAAGACATACAAGCAGCCAACAAATATATGGGAAAAAAGATGCCTAACATCACCAATCATCAGAGAGATGCAAATCAAAACCACAGTGTGATACCACCTCACAGCAGTAAGAATAACTATTATTTAAAAGTCAAAATATACATGTTGGTGAGGCTGTAGAGCAAGGAGGATGCTTATACACTGTTGTGGGAATTTAAATTAGTTCAGTCACTGTGGAAAACAGTTTGAGTTTAGTTCTCAAAGAACTAAAAGTTGAACTAGGGTTTCACCCAGCATTCCAACTAGTGGGTATATACCCAAATGAAGATAAATCAATCTACCAAAATGACACTTGCACTCATATGTTCATCACAGCTATTCACAATAGCTAAAACAAGGAATCAACCCAGGTGCCTAACAACAGCTGATAGGATTAAAAAAAAAAAAAAAAAGACGGTACATATACAACATGCAATACTACAAGCCATAAAAAGAATGAAATCTTATATCTTGCAGCAGCATAGATTTAGCTAGAAACTATTATTCAAAGTGAAATAACACAGGAACTGAAAACCAAATAACTCACATTCTCACTTTTAATTAGGAGCTCACCATTGAGCACACACGGACATAAACATAGGAACAACAGACACTGTAGATGACTAGCAGGTGAAGATAGGGAGGGAGACATAGGTTGAAAACCTACCTGTTGGGTACTATGTCACCTACCTGGGTGAAAAATTCCCATGTAACAGATCTGCTTATGTACCCCTGTATCTAAAACATGAGTTTAATTCTTTAAAAATCCACTCTTCATTGATTCTGATTAAATCTTTGGGCATAAGAAGTCAATATAATTTTTGAAATAGGAGGGTAAGTAACAAATCAACTGTAACTGAAAAATAAATTTCAGCCACCATTATGCTTTTTATTTATTCATTCACTCATCCATTCATTCACTTATTTACCTTTTAAATGCATTACATAGGTACTTTACATGCTTTTTTCTTGAAAAATAATTAGGCTTGCACAACTTGACAGAATTGAAGTGAGGAATATATTCAACAATAATCGTTGTAGACTTCAATATCCCACTTTCAGAAATGGATAGAACTACATAGGAGATCAAAAATGAAATATAAGCCTTGAAGAAAACTATAAACCATGTAGACTTAGCAGAAACCTGTAGTTCCACTCAACAACAGGACACAAATTCTTAAGTACAAATGGAATATTCTGTAAGTATTTTTGGTGTAAAATAGTCTTCTATAAATTAAAAAAATTAAATCATAAAAAATATATTCCTTAATGTTTAATTTTTTAAGAATATACATTAAAAAGTATATTCATGTGCAATTAAATTTGAAATCAGTTATTGAAAGAAATTTAATATACTCATAAATATGTGTAAGTTAACCAAGGTACTCCTGAATATCTAATGGCTAAATAAATCATAAGGGATATTGGAAAATATTTTGAGATGTATAAAAATAAAAGCAAATTTGAATAGCGTTTATTTCTTTCTCTTGCCTAATTGCCCTGGCCAGACTTTCCAATACTATGTTGAATAGGAGTGGTGAGAGAGGGCATCCTTGTCTTGTACCAGTTTTCAAAGGGAATGCTTCTAGCTTTTGCCCATTCAATATGATATTGGCTGTGGGTTTGTCATGAATAGCTCTTATTATTTTGAAATATGTTCCATCAATACCTAGTTTATTGAGAGTTTCAGGCAAGAGAAAGAAATAAAGCGTATTCAAATAGGAAGAGAAAAAGTCAGATTGTCTCTATTTGCAGACGACATGATTTTATATTTAGAAAACCCCATCCTCTGAGCCCTAAAAGTCCTTAAGCTGATAAACCACTTCAGCAAAATCTCAGGGTACAAAATCAATGATCAATATGCAAAAAACACAAGCATTCCTATACACCAACGTTAGACAAGTAAACAGCCAAATCATGAACGAACTCCCATTCACAATCACTACAAAGAGCAACAAATGCCTAGGAATACAGCTAACAAGGGATGTGAAGGACCACTTCAAGGAAAACTACAAACCACATATCAAGGAAAGAAGAGAGGACATGAACAAATGAAAAAACATTCCATCCTCATGGATAGGAACCATCAATATTGTGAAAATGGCCATACTGCACAAAGACATTTATCGATTCATTGCTATTCACATCCAACTACCATTGACATTCTTCACAGAATTAGAAAAAGCTACTTTAAGTTTCATGTGGAATCAAAGAAGACCCTGTATAGCCAAGACAATCCTAAGCAAAAAGAACAAAGCTGGAGGCATCATGCTACCTGACTTCAAACTACACTACAAGGCTACAGTAACCAAAACAGCATGGTACTGGTACCAAAACAGACAAATAGACCCATGGAACAGAACAGATGCCTCAGAAATAACACCACACATCTACAACCATCTGATCTTTGATAAGCCTGACAAAAACAAGCAATGGAGAAAGGATCTCCTATTCAATAAATGGTGCTGGGGAAACTGGCTAGCCATATGCAAAAAACTGAAACTGGACCCCTTCCTTACACCTGATACAAAAAATTAACTCAAGATGGATTAACGACTTAAATGTAAAACCCAACACATAAAAATACCAGAAGAAAACCTAGGCAATACCATTAAGGACATAGGCATGGGCAAAGACTTCATGACTAAAACACCAAAAGCAATTGCAACAAAAGCCAAAATTGACAAATGGGATCTAATTAAAATAAAGAGCTTCTGCACAGCAAAAGAAACTATGATCAGAGTGAACAGGCAACCTACAGAATGGATGAAAATTTTTGCAATCTACCCATCTGACAAAGGTCTAATATCCAGAATCTATAAGGAACTTAAACAAATTTACAAGAAAAGAAAACAAATGACCCCATCAAAAAGTGGGCAAAGGATATGAACAGACACTTCTCAAAGGAAGACATTTACATGGCCAACAAACATATGAAAAAAGCTCAACATCACTGGTCATCAGAGCATTGCAAATCAAACCCACAATGAGAAACCATCTCACGTCAGTCAGAATAGGAATTATTAAAAAAGTCAAGAAATAATAGAAGTTGGTGAGGCTGTGGAGAAACAGGAATGCTTTCACGTTGTTTGTGGGAATGTAAATTAGTTCAACCATTGTGGAAGACAGTATGGTGATTCCTCAAGGATCTAAAACCAGAAATACCATTTGACCCAGCAATCCCATTACTGGGTATATACCCAAAAGAATATAAATTATTCTACTACAAAGACACATGCACACGTATGTTTATTGCCGTACTATTTACAATAGCAAAGTCATGGAACCAAATCAAATGCCCATCAATGATAGACTGGATAAAGAAAATGTGGTACATATACACCATGGAATACTACACAGCCATGTAAAGGAATGAGATAATGTTCTTTGCAGGGACATGGATGAATCAGGAAACCATCATCTTCAACAAACTAACACACGAATAGAAAACCAAACACCGCATGTTCTCACTCATAAGTGGGAGTTGAACAATGAGAACACATGGACACAGGGAGGGGAACAACACACACCAGGGCCTGTTGGGAGTTGGGTGGCGAGTGGAGGGAACTTAGAGTATGGGTCAATAGGTGCAGCAAACCACCATGGCACACGTATACCTATGTAACAAACCTACACATCCTGCACATGCATTCCAGAACTTAAAGTAAAATAAATAAATAAATAGAACAAAATGTATAGAATACAGCTAAAGCAATGCATACACAGAAATTTATAGCTGTAAATGCCTACATTAAAAAATAAGAAGGGGCCGGGCACGGTGGCTCACGCCTGTAATGCCAGCAGTTTGAGAGGCCAAGGCGGGTGGATCACCTGAGGTCAGGAGTTTGAGACCAGCCTGGCCAACATGGTGAAATCTCGTCTCAACTAAAAATACAAAAATTAGCCGGCCATGGTGGCAGGCGTTATCCCAGCTACTCAGGGGGCCGAGGCAGGAGAATCGCTTGAACCCAGGAGACGGAGGTTGCAGTGAGCTGAGATCGCACCATCGCACTCCAGCCTGGGGGACAAAAGTGAGACTTCATCTCAAAAAAAAAAAAAAAAGGATCTCAAATCAATAATGTACTCTTCCACCTTAGGAAACTAGAAATAGAAAAGCAAACTAAATCCAAAGCAAACAGAAGGAAGAAAATAATACAGATTATGGTGGAAATTAATAAAATAGAGAAAGGAAAACAATAAAGAAAATCAATGAAATAAAAAACTGGTTTTATAACAAGATTTAAAAAATTGACAAACCTTTACCTAGAGTGTTCCTCAAAAAAAGACAGAGTAAGGGGACTCAAACTACTAGAATCAGGACAGAAAGGTGGGACATTACTATTGACTTATAGAAAGAATAGAACTATAACAGAATACTATAAAAAGCAGTATTTCAAGAAATTATCAAACTCAGTTCAAAAACAAATAGACAATCTTCATAGAACTGTAATAAGTAAAGAGATGCAATTAGTAATAAAAAAAAATTTTTTATAAAAAGAACAGCCCCACATGGCTTCACTGATGAATTCTAGCAGACATTTAAAGAATTGCCATCAATCCTGCACAAATTCTTCCAAACATTAAGAGAAGGGAACACTTTCTAACCCATTTAATGAAGCCAATACCCTCATATCAAAAGCAGAAAAAAAATCAAAAGGAAATGAGACAAAAACATCTAAGTATAGATGCAAAAATCTGAACAAAATATTAGCAAAACAAATGTAGCAACATAGAAAAACGATTATATACAATGGCAAAGTGGAATTTATCCCAGGAATGACAGGTTGGGTTAATATCAAAAAACTGATCGATATTAATATCATAAAGAATATGTTAAAATAATAAAAACACACATTTATTTTTAATGGAGAAAAGACAGTCTTTCCAGCAAGTGGTCCTGAAACAATTGGACATCTACATGCAAATAAATGAATTTAGATAGAGCTTATATCTTTTACAAAAATGGATATGCAGTTGTTCATAGGCCTAAATGGAAAATGTAAAACACTGGAGGAAAACATAAGAAAAAAATCAATGACTTGGATTTGGCAATGACTTTTGGGTCTGGCAATTACTTTTTAGATATGGCACTAAAAACACTAAAAATGAAAGAGAAAAGATAATAAGTTAGACTTCATTAAAATAAAAAATTTCCCCTCTAGGAAAGACACTAATAGAATGAAAAGAAATGCCACAGTTTGGGAGAAAATATTTACAAAACACATATCTAATAACGTTTGCGTTGCACACTTACTATTACAATGGCTAAAATCCAAAACACAGGCAACACCGAATGCTGGAGAAGATGTGAAGCAAATAGAAACTTTCATTCATTTCTGGGGCAACACAAATAATATAGACCCTTCGGAAGACAGTTTGACAGTTTCTTGTAAAGCTAAACATAGGCTTATCATAGAATCCAGCAACAATATTCCTTGGTATATAACCAAATGAGTTGAAAAATTATGCCCAGAAATTTCCGCATACTGTGTTCATGTCAGCTTTATTATTGCTAAAACTTGGAACAACCAAGATGTCCTCCAACAAGTGATCAGATAAACTGTGGTTCATCAATAAAATAAGCTATTATTCATTAATTAAAAGAAATGTGCTAACAAGTCTTGAAAATACATGAAGGAAAGGTAAAAGCATATTGCTAACTGAGAGAAGCCAGTCTAAAAAAGATACATACTGTATGATTCCAACAATATGTCATTTTAGAAAATACAAAACTATAGAGACAGTTAAAAAAAATCATGGTTGAGAACAGAAGGAGAGGAGGGTAGGATGAATAAATAGGTGGAGCATATGAATTATTTATGGTAGTGAAAGTATTCTGTATGATGCTATAATGATAAATACATGACATTATGCATTTGTCATAACCCATAGAAATGTACAATACAAAAATGAGCCCCAATGTAAACTATGAACTTTATTTAATAATAGTATATCAGTAGTGGTTTATCAATTGTAACAAATGTACCAACTTAATGCAAGATGTTAATAATAGCTGAAACTATGTATGGAGGGACGGGGAATATATGGGAATGCGTTGTATTTTCTTACAAATGTCCCGTAACCTAAAAATACTCTTAAAATAGTATATTAAAAATGTATTATTATCTCAACAGACTCAGAAGAAATTGACAAAATTCAACAGGCTTTTATGTGTAAAACACTCAACAAGTTAGAACAAAATGTTCTTCAACTTGATAAAGGGCACTTATGAAAAATGAACAGACAACATTATATTTAATATGAAAGACTGATGGCTTTCCCCTAAGATCAGAAAGAAGGCAAGGATGTCTGCTTTCACCACTTCTAGTCAGTATTTTAGTGGTTGTATTATCCAGAGAAATTCAGCAAGAAAAATAAATAAAAGGCACCCTGACTGTAAAGGAAAATGTAAAACTATCTCTTTTATTTGAATGACACAATTTTGTATATAGAAAGTCATAAGTAATCTGTTAAAAAAAATTAGAGGTAGTAAGTGAGTTCAGCGAGATTTTAGGAAAAAAGATCAACATACAAAAATGAATTGTTTCTATACACTAACAATGAATGTCCCCAAAATGAAACTTTAAAAATTCCATTTACAGTAGCATAAGAAATAAAATATTTGGGAACAAATTTAACAATGCAAATGCAAAACATATATTTTGAGAACTATAAAATATGTTGAAAGAAATGAAAGAATATACAAATTAATAAGACATCCCATATGTGTATATAACAGAAGTCGGTATTGTTAAATGGCAACATTACCCAAAATAATCTACAAATTCAATGCCATCCCAGAGAGACTCCCAACATAATATATTTTGCAAAAATTGACAACCCAATCCTAAAATTCATATGGAAATGCAAGTAACACAGAATAGTCAAGATCCTTTAAACTTGAAAAAGAATAATCAAGTTGAAGGACTTGCACTTGTCAATTTCAAAATGAAATTGGATTCCTATGTCACACCATATACAAAAATCAACACAAAATGGGTCATATATCTAACTATAACAGCAAAAACTATTAGAAAAAAATGTAAGTGTAAATCTTCATAACCTTGGATTAGGGAACAGTTTCTGAGATAGGATGACAAAAGCACAAGCGATAGAACAAATAATAGATAACTTGGACTTATTCCAAATGCAAAATTTCTGTGTGCCAAATGATGCCATCAAGAAAGTGAAAAGACAATGTATAGAATGAAAAATAAAATTGGAAATCATATATTTGATAAAGGTTAGTGTCCAGAATATGCAGAACTCTTATAGCATACAACAACAACAACAAAACACAACTCAGTTTTTAAAATAGGCATTGGACTTGAATAGACATTTAAGATACACAAATAAGCAATTTGTGTATTGCTCAAAAATATATTCAACATCACTAGCCATCAGGGAAATGCAAATCAAAACCACAATGAGATCCCACTTCACATCCACTAGTTGGCTATCACGAAAAAAAAGACAGATATTAACACGAATTAATGAGAATGTGTAGAAAGTCAAGCCCTCATACATTTATACATTTCTGGTGGGGATGTAAAATGCTTCAGCCACTGTGGAAAGTTAAACATAGAATTACCATAGGACCCAGCAATTCCCAAGAGTTTTGAAAACACATCTCCAAACAAAAACTTGTACATGAATGTTCATACCACCATTATTCATAATAGCCAGAGGTGTGAACAACCCAAATGTCCATCAACTGATGTACAAATTTTAAAAATCCAAACAACAGAATATTAGCAGAAAGAAGGAAAGATATACTGATATGTGCCACAATATGGATGAACCTTGAAAATATTATACTTAGTGAAAGATGTCAGTCATAAAAGGCCCCATGTTGTATGATTGTATTTATATAAAATTTCCAGGATAGGTACATATCCCATATACACAGAAAGTAGATCGTGGTTTCTAGGGTCTGGCCGAAGAGGAGAATGGAGAGTGACAGCTAATGAGTATGACATTTGTTTTGGGGGCTATGAAAATGTACTGGATTGCACAACTCTTTAAATATACTAAAAAACACTGAATTGTTTATTTTAAAGGTTACATTTTATTGTTTATAAATTATATCTCAATAATTTGTATTCAAAAAGAAATAATGGTAGTTCTCAATACATAAAATGAAAGAGGCACACAGAGAAAAACTTATTTGGTAAACTCAGAATTCCAAAGGACATGCCGAAAAGGAGGAGACATTTATGGTCAAAGATAACTCAAAATGGCAACCTATAAAACAATAAAATAATTGACACCTATAATTGAATTTTTAACCACTACAAAAAATAGCCCTCTTAAATCTGCAAGCTGGTTTACAAGACTGACACAAAGCACAAATGTGTACTACAAACTCCTTGTGGGTAGGGATTATTTCTAAATTTCTTTTGACTCTGATAACTTTATTTGAGGACATGTTTATTCATTTTTAATGACTGATTCTCAATTATATAAAATCAAATGAAAACAAAGATGTTCTGAAACTAATGTGTTGTATCAATTAAAATAGCATCTGGCTATTTAACCTCAAGCGTTGTTTATAGGGAAACAACATTATACATTCCACAAGGGCAAGAAGAATTACTAGAAAAGTAAAGAGAAGTATAGTTTATTTAAAAAACAATAGCTTTTATTTTCTAAGCAAGCAGATATCCTATGAAATTTGTTTTTAAGAGATTTCACCAAATATTATGTAATGGCATCTTTGTACAGCCAATCTTTTTTTTAAGTTCAGTTATACTTCATGTAATATCGTGTAAATAACTGTAAGAAATGCTTCTATTTTAAGAAACCTGTTAATTAGCCTTAAGGTCAGAAAGGAATTTCCCCATCCTATTGATAAATGTGTTATATTTGGTTAACTGAATTCTAATTTTTTCAATATGAACTCCTAGTTATGACTGTGCTTGGTCCATTCTCTTCCTTAATAAGGCATAACATGGACCTCTGCTGACTGAGGTTATTGAAAGATTTGATGGGTGAATAGTCTGAATTGGTATACTGAATCTAAATAATTACAATAACTAAAATAATTATTATGTAACATTTAATAAATAAGACTGAGAGAAGTATTTCTATTTCATTAGGTTAAAAGAGCACAAGCATGTCATTGAGAAAACATTGAGAAGTTTTATAGCCACATTGTTGAAACAAATGTTAAAGGGGAAATAATCAAATTTTAGTTCTCATTTAGACTCTATTGCATTGCTACCTACTTGCTGTCATTCCTTCCTTCCTTCCTTTGCTCCATATTTCCATCCATTCTTCCTTCATTTTCTCCTTTCATAAACATGTATCAAGCATATGTCTACTCTGAAGCAAGGAAATACTTTCATTTTACTTTCTCTAAACTGGCCTGCATACATTGCTGTAAATAGAAAGGCAGGGTAGACTAGGAAAGAGCAGCACATTGTGCAAGGCCCAGTCTCACTGCCTAATTCCCATTTGATATACACATCTGTCCCTGTGTTTATTTTCATAAATCTATCAACAGCTAAAGCCTTATTTAAGAATCAGGCTTTTCATAGACGTGACATAATTTGTGGGCAACCAAAGCAGTAACATATGATTTGGATTTGTTTTTCTTCAATTAGTGACACTTCACATTATTTTAATAGTAAAAACATCAAGTAAAAGTAAGGTTCCTTGGTATTATTTTGATTAGCCATTAAATATTTCCTTGGCCAATTTATGTCACTTTTAACTTCACATTTCAGCTTTTAAATCTAGAGGTAAAATCTGAGTGAAGGGCATAAAGATCTCTTACCTCTCTTACCTGCAATTCATCAGTAAATAGTGAATATATCCTAATGTGCTCCTTTCTATTTCCTTAGATGCTACCACATCTCTTTTGCTTTATTGGGAAAAAAGTCCAAACCAAGAGTTATTGTTTCTTCTAGGACTCAGAGAGAGAGTCAAACCAGCCAGAGAATCTAAAATGTGATGTTTTCCTAATCCCTGCTCTCCTGCAAATACCTTTTAGAATCAGACAGATAACTAATAGCTGACATGGGTTACACTTCTATAAAACTTATATGTAAGAGCATTTTCCTTCTACAAGTATGCTATCATCCTCTCTTATCAATCATACTAATTCTATCTTTCCATTTCTAACTTCTTACCATTGAGTTTTTTTTTTTGTTTAGTTTTAGTTTTAGTTTTTTGTTTTTTTTTTCTGTAGTAAAGGTGAATGTGCTAGATTTGGAAAAAGACTTTAGTTAGTGAGTCAAATTTAGGCACCAAAGAAATGCCTGTCTTCTCCACTATACAGCCTGACCTCCTTGCCATAAGAGAAATTCTTTTTAGTTAAGGTGGTATCTTAAGGAAGTCCCAATTTAAGTAAAAATATATTGCATACAAAGAATAAAACTATGAGCAGTTAAATGTCTATACAGGTTATCTAGGAATGGCAATCAAAAACGAAAAGCTTGGAAAGAGGAGAAAATATACATTTTGATGAGAGAGAAGAAACAAAGATTTTACTGAGCAAGGAAAGTAGATTCATATTGAAATCTGTGAGAGTCTCTGGGTAATATGAGGACACAGTTGCCTAGATAAGACAAGTAAAAGTAAACAGTGATATCTATGTAAATAGGAGGGAGAAAGGAGCCAAAGTTAGCCCTCAAAACTTAGCTTGGATTCAGCTTTGGCCTACACAATAGGAAACAACAACACGAAAGTCAAAAAAAAATGGGAATGATGTGTGTGTTTATGTGTTTGTGTGTGCACATATGCCTGCATGTGTGAATATGTGTATGAATGTATGATTTTCCATGTATTTAAAAATGTTCTGCACTGAAAATAATGCAGCATATAAATACTAATAATTGGCACCAAGATTTTAAAATAAGACAATCTTTGGAACCAAGCTAAAAACAAAGGAGGCCTGTAAGTGAACAATATAATTTCATCTATTACGGGCTTGAAGAAAATGCTAGGACAATCTACAGAAAAAAAAATTAAAGGGTGCCTTAACACCTGTATGACTGTTCCTGGCTCTGCCAAATGTCAACAGCTCCAATTTTGGACTGGGACCTTTAATAGTCTAAAAGATGGGTCTATCATGACCTTCAGTGGCAAAAAAAAAAAAAAAAAAAAAGTGTTCAACTATATTTCTTGCAACAAAAATATTTTTTATCATTTTTTTGAACTGTTAACTGTGGTACATAATTTATCCTCTGGTCCATGAGAATTATAGTCATTAGGTAGAAAGAATTAATTGAATAGCATTTCTAGAAGTAAATCAGAATCAGCCAGGTGGACTAAAGAATAAGTAAACCGCTTTTCCAACCAGAAAAGGCAGAACAAAAATTGAGGAGAGGAAATTGAAATCAAATTATCAAGGAGGTTACTGCAATAGAGCGCTGAGTTCATCTTACCTAAGTTTAAATCCCTAAGCTCAAGTAATTTGCATCCTGTTCAAGAAAGAAGGAGATGAAATTACCAAGGTTTAACTAACAGAAATATATATAAAATCAGTACCTAGGCAAACAAAACTACTTAATAGTATAGGATATTGCTATAGACTGAATTGTGTCCCCCCAAAAAGAATCCATATGTTGAAACCCTAACTCTCATTGTGATGGCCTTTGGGAGGTAATTAGGCTTTGATGAGGTCATGAGCATGGATCCCTCATTGTGGGATTATGGAGTCTTCCTCTTGTACAAAGAGATACCAGAAAGCTTGAGGTCTCTCTCTCTCTCTCTGCCATGTGAGAGCACAGTGAGAAGGCAGCCATTTATATGTCAGAAAGAGAGCCCTCACCAGAAACCAAATATGCTGGTACCTTGACCTTGGACTTCTATCCTTCAAAACTGTGAGAAAATAAATTTCTGTTGTTGAAACCAAAATGATCTAGGTGTTTTAGTTTACTAAAAGACTGAGTGACTTGTATTATAATGTAAAGCTGCTGTCAAGAAGTGAATGCTGAGTTATGCTGCAGTAACAAAAGTGTAGATTCCACTACCAGTACAATCACAACAACAACATGATAATGTCCCTTTACTCTGGTGAGCCACTTCTTGAATGTTACACTAAATTCAGGCTAATGCATTTTAAGGGGGAATGTGTGACAAAGCAATACCCAAAAAATGACAGCCAGTGTTATAAGAGGGGCTTAAAAATAAAGCATAATGTAGTGGAGACTGGGAATCAGGTCTACTATGTTGCATAATGCCAGGGTGGCACCATTTGCATTGCAACCTGAGCAACTTTACATGGCAGCCCTGCTAGAAATCCAGAGAGGTGACTTCTAGTTCTGATTTTTCCCCTAAGTATAATCATTGTGTATCTTTAGGCAACAGAGGGTGGGAGACTATACAATCTCCAAGGTTCTTTCTAGTCTACATACTACACTTCTATAAATGTGCTACTGCATGAAGTAGTGAGATTTTGAATTCAAGCTGGCTTAACTACCTGTCAGGAATATTGTAGACAACTTCCCCACAGTGGGTTATAAGTTGGACTATGTAACTTCTAAAGTCTCTTCTCATTCTAAGAATCTGTAATTTTTGAATCCAGAGCCTAAGACCACCATCTAAGTACCTCACCCTGACATTTCTAGCATTGTGTTTCATGATCTGTGCAGTACAACTAGGATATACGTCTAGGTTGAGAAGACTGAGGAGAGCTGTAAATCACATAGTTAAGACATCTAACACAGTATTTTGAGTTCAAATTGATACCGTTTCATTGGCTGCAAAACATTAAGCAGTGCTATGATGGCCTTGACCAACAGAACTCAGTAGAAAGAACAAGGGACTTGGAGCTATATCTAGGTTCAAATTTCAGATTTAGTAGTTATTAGCTATGTCATTTTAGGCAAACTTAATCACCACCACAATTTCCATCATTGTGATGAAAACAACAATAATTGATGCTATTAAATAGCATTTATTAAGTTTTAGGTACCTGCTATTCACTATTTTATTAATTTGCATAAAAACAATATGAGGTAGGTATAATGGCCCACATTTTACATGAGTTTACGCAAAGTTATACAGTCAGTAAATTGTGAAGCTGGGCTTTCAGCCTTAGTTGACTATATCATCTATACTTCTAACCTCTTTAATATACTACCCTGTTTTCTGAACTTCAGTTTTTTCATCAGTATAATGAGGAAAGTCTATTTAAATGTTGTGGTAAAATCAGAAATATCTTAAAGCTTCTAACATATATTAATGGCTCTATAAATTGTAGCTACAATTATTATTATAATTTATTCATAACCCTACCCTTTTAGGCACATATCAGGGGATAAGGCAGTAAGAATTTTTATACATTCAAGAAGATGCATCCCTTGGCTGTTTCTACAGGAACCATCTTTAAGGTTAGAGAATTTACCCAAAGTTTAATATCCTGGTGGGTTATAATAATGATTAACAAGATACTAAAAAAATAAAACTTAACTTTTGTCTATCACACGTTCCAACAGCAAAAAATATTATATATGGGTGCATATACACACACACACACACACACACACACACGTATTCCAGCTCTGAATAAGGTGCAGAGAAAATACATTGCTGGCACTAGAGTTAAATCAAATAATGTTACCAAAGGGCAATGTGGCTTTATATATCAAAACCTTAAAATTGCCTGTAACTGTAACCTAGTAATTTTTCTTCTAAAAATGTATCCTCAGGAACTAAGCATTTGAAGATAAAAATGTGTATAACATGGAACTTCACTGTAGTACTATTTATAATGCTGATAAGTTAAAAACAACCTAAATTGGCCCAGCACAGTGGCTCACGCCTATAATCCCAGCACTTTGGGAGGCCGAGGCAGGTGGATCACGAGGTCAGGAGCTCAAGACCATCCTGGCCAACATGGTGAAACCCCATCTCTACTAAAAATACAAAAATTAGCTGGGCGTGGTGGTGTGCGCCTGTAGTTCCAGCTACTCCCGAGGCTGAGGCAGGAGAATCGCTTGAACCCGGGAGGCAGAGGTTGCAGTGAGCCGAGATCGTACCACTGCACTCCAGCCTGGCGACAGAGTGAGACTCCGTCTAAAAACATAAAAAATAAAAAAAAATGCCTAAATCTCCAACAATAAAAGAGTGGATAAAGTATGGTGAATAAATATTATGCAGCTGTGAAAAACATGTTTGCCTGTGCCATGGAAAAATCTTTATGATATATTCTTAAATGAAAATACCAGGATACAAACATACCTAGACTATGATTCCATTATTTGTTAAACTCTAATATATATTCATGTGCACATACAACATACGAATAGAAAAAAATATGGAAAGAAGTAAGCCAAGGCTTTTACAGTTATCACATGATGAATAGTAAGATTATGTTTTTATTTTATTGTTTTAATTTTAATTTTATTTATTTGTATCTTAAAGTTCTGGGATACATGTGCTGAACATGCAGGTTTGCTACATAGGTTTACATGTGCCGTGGTGGTTTGCTGCACCTATCAACCCGTCATCTAGGTTTTAAGCCCCGCAAGCATTAGGTATTTGTCCTAATGTTCTCCCTCCCCTTTCCCCCGACCCCCCAACAGGCCCCAGTGTATGATGTCTCCCTCCCTGTGTCCATGTGTGTTTTGTTCAACTCCCACTTATGAGTGAGAACATGCAGTGTTTGGTTTTCTGTTCCTGTGTTAGTTTGCTGAGGATGATGGTTTCCAGCTTCATCCATGTCCCTACAAAGGACATGAACTCATTCTTTATGTTTTTAAAATGTTCCTGCTTACAATTTTAAAAATTATTTTTAGAACGTATCAACTTGCAGTTAGCAACTCTTATAAAAAATACATGGACAATCATGATTGAGGGTATGTTGTCACAGATTAACAATTGAAATGTAGAGGAAATTATTATTTGAAAGTTGCTGCTTTTAGTATTTGTGATGTCAGGATATCATACCTCATCATGGTCTTCCAATTTAACAAATAATTTTCTTTTCCAAAGAAAGAAGATGTGTGAGGACCATGAAGAGACAATTATTTTGCCTCAGGTTTCAAGTCATCTGATCTTGTGTCTTGCCCTCAGGTAAGTGATTAAATGTAGTTGTGGACACTGGTATTTCTCTTCTTGAGTAATTTTAGCAATAAAACCTATACATTAATCCTTTGAAGCAAAACAATGAGAAAAATTGTCGTAACCATTTTTTAAGCCCAATTTTCTTAATCCTTGTATTTCGGGTATACAGAGTTCAACCTTAATCAACTCTCTGTTGGCAAAGTAATATTTGTTATTTCCCTTACCCTTTTGTTATATTTCAAGCTCTCTTTCTGACAATATAAATTCTTCCCTAGGGAGTTAAGAAATTATATTTCTAGCAACCCAAATCCTACTATTCTGAGTCTATGGCTAATTTATAATTTGGTTTAGTAGTGAACAACTTAAAATAGCAATATTTAATGTCAATATTCAGTATATTGAATCTTATATGAATTGGCTAATACATTTTGAATTGACTGGCTCATTGATTAGCATCTACTTTGAAAGCCCAGGCACTGTTATGTTTATGTAGGTTATTGTGTTTAAGTTAAATAAGATGAGAGTTTCTGTTTCCCATTTAGGAAATTTCTGGAAGAACCAGTACCATTCCAGACATATGCCAATTTGATATCCTCTTTCTGTGGTTAAGAGCTATCTAAAATACTTACACACTTTTGGCAGTACAATCCTTGGTATTTACAGAAATGAAACAAGATAATTATGTAGACTAAATGTTAGCAGATTCTTGTTTCCCCAATGACTACTAAGGATGTTTCACTCAATCTCTGCTTCTAGTAACCAAATTTCTCAGAATAACACTACAACACTTGGAAATGAAAAGTACAGATCCCAAGCCGTTATAGATCCCCAAGTTGCGAAGGAATTCTGACAATTTAAGTTACACATTTGTTTCATTCTTGATCCAAAACTAACCGACACTTAATCAGACCTCAAAATCCAAATCTATGTAAATTGAAATATTGAACCTTACTGTTAAATGTATTCTGAGTAGACACCTGAATATGATAATTTGGAACAAATAAAAATGTCTCTTCAACTCTGCTTTGTTGAACCAACTTGGGAAATTAGAAAATATTAACAACTAATGGGTAAACAAGCAAAATGCATATGAAATGTAAATTGTATTAAGGGAGGAAACCACCCCTCATATTGTCTTATGCCCAATTTCTGCCTCCAAAGAAAGAAAAAGTAAAAACTAAAAGGCAGAAAAGAAATCCACAGGCAGACAGCCCGGCGCCACACCCTGGGCCTGGTAGTTAAAGATCGACCCCTGACCTAATCGGTTATGTTATCTATAGATTACAGACATTGTATAGAAAAGCACTGTGAAAATCCCTTTCCTATTTTGTTCTGATCTAATTACCAGTGGATGCAGCCGCCAGTCACGTACCCCCTGCTTACTCAATCAATCACGACCCTCTCACGCACAACCCCTTAGAGTTGTGAGCCCTTAAAAGGGACAGGAATTGCTCGCTCAGGGAGCTCGGCTCTTGAGACAGGAGTCTTGCCAATGCCCGCAGCCGAATAAACCCCTTCCTTCTTTAACTCGGTGTCTGAGGAGTTTTGTCTGCGGCTCGTCATGCTACAGTATAAGTTATTTCTATTTATATTGAAAAGATATGCAGGACCAATCTTAGTGCATGAGAATAGATCTTACAAAATTTTAAATAGGGAACCTTTATATTTAGAAGTATCATCAGAAGAAATGGGCAGGGATATTTGCCTTGTGTTTTCATGAGGAGCAAGGATGAGGATGCCCGTCATAATCATAGCTGGTGGGATCTGGGTCTCAGATTATGGAAGGGCTCAGAAGCATAAATCCAATATAGAAGATAATAGAGACTCCAACAACTCAGTGTCTCCCAAAAGTCTTGTTATATAGCTCATTTTACCATAAAGAACTAGCATTTTTTTGACAGAATCTATGGTATATTCATGGATAATAGAACATGCATAAGGAAATAAGACTCTTCCAGACTATAATAATCAACAACTGAGAAGAGGTTTTCTTCTCTGTCTAGAGGAGGAAGAGGAAAAAGGGAGAAATCACTGATGAGGGAGTACGTAATATCTTCTAGTCAAAAAATCACAATGTGCTGCATATGCCTAACTGCACAATGGAATACCATACAAACAAGTACAATGAGCTAGGATTCAGATTTTAGTCTAGATTTTAATGTTTATAAGTGGTAAGACCATGGACAAATCGCTTGACCTCCCTGGACTTAAGTATCTCTAAAATAGAGGCTTTGGCCTAAACCATGTGGTCACAAACTCAAATGCATGAAAAAGCCAGGCAGGCTATGTAAATCAGATTATTTAAATGTGTCAATTGAGAGAAAAGCAATTGTCCAAGCAGGAGGTTATGGCAGCTGACTTCCTGCATTAGAACCAGGGAAACTGTAGGGAGTGGTAAGAATTGAGGTAAACTGAAGAGCCCCAGCTGGATTTAATGATGGCAGCCACTACTGAGCTCCAACAATCAATGCTTTTTGAGAATATAGGTCCCATTCTGCCAAATCTTCTGATTCTTCAAGACAAACTGGATATACAGATTTGTATGCAACATCTCCCCACCTTTTTAATGTTAGCAACCAGTTTATTTGGAAACATTATGCAGGCTCGAAAAAACATACCTTGGATAGATCTGTCCTGCAAACAGCCAGTTTCTAACCTCTGGCTTAGATAATCTATAAAATTCGACTGTGACATTAATAAGATCCAATTAGAGTTGTTTTAGAATTCAGGCCTTAGCTTTGGCTGATGGCACTTCCTTATCCCATCTCTGCTCCTTACCTATACCATAGCCTTTTCCACTCACCTGACTTCTTGTGACCAACATACTCTCTACATCTTTAGCAAGCCCTCATCCTCTTACATATGAAGGCCCAACCACGCCTCCCATTCATGACCCTCCAGCCATGGCCCTGTCACTTCTGTAACCGAACCATGCCTCCCCAACACACACTACCCGTGCTGGCCAGGTTTTAAAACACCTTGTATTAGTCAATTTGTGCCTATTTGACTGTGAACCATATTCACTTAGTAGAGTATAATGTGACCTTAAATGGAGGGAGCAACTAATTCTTATCTGGGAATATTTTCTGACAAGTGAGATTGAATGGTACGCATCTATCACTGGTATCAGATAACAACTTTAACTTATGTTTCATTTGAATATATATTCTGTGAATGAATGGGTAAGCAAACAAACCAAATCTGGGTCTGAAAGTTGTTTATAAAGAATCTGCATAAAAGTAAAGCATAATTATTGGGGGATAATAAACATTCTAAAATTTTACAATATTAAATTGACAAAGATTTTATATATTCAAAGTACAGAGCACAATAAATTGATGTACATAAACATTGTGTAATAATTACAAAAATCAAATGAACACACCCATCACCACCTGCCTGAGTGAGTTTATTGTTGCCTTTTAATAGAATACCTGAAATGAGGCAATTTTTTTTTTAATTTATTTGTTACTGTTATGGAGACTGAGAAGTCCAAGGTTGAGGGGCTGCATCTGGTGAGAAACTTCTTGCTGTTGAGGACTTTGTACAGAATCTCAAGTTGATACACTGTATCAGATAATGAGATGGCCAAGCATATTAACATGCTTGCTCAGGTCTCTATTCCTCTTCTTATAAAGCCACAGGTTCCTCTCCCATGATAACCCATTAATCCATTAACTCATTAATCCATTAATTCATTAATGGGCTAACCAATTAATGAGAGCAGAGCTCTTATGATCCAATCATGTCTTCAACGCCCTACTTTTCAAAAATGGCACAATGAGGGTTATGTTTCCAATGCATAAAATCTGGAGGACACATTCAAATCATATCACCACCTATGCTATACCTTAGATACCCAGAAATTCTTTATCTTACAAATTAAAGTTTGTACCCTTTTAATCACTCAAATCCATTCAATTACACAGAAATTATAAAATCTACTCCTGACTGACTTTTGAGTAAATAATGAAATTAAACCAGAAATCAAAAATTTTTTTGAAACTAATGAGAACAAAGATACAACATACTAGAATCTCTGGGACAAAAGTAAGTCCGTGTTAAGAACGAAATTTATAGCGTGAAATTTCCACCTAAAAATATTACACAGATTTCAAATTAACAACCTAATATCAACACCAAAAGAAAGGAAGAAGCAAGAGCAAACCAATCCCAAACCTAGCAAAAGACAAGAAATAACCAAAATTAGTGCTAAACTAAAGGAAATCAAGACACAAAAAAAAATTCAAAACATCAACAAATCCAAGAGTTGGTTTCTTGAAAAATTAATGAGAGAGATAGGCTGCTATTGAGACTAATAAAGAAGAAAGAGAGAAGATCCAAATAAACACAATAAAAAATGACAAAAGGAATGTTATTACTGAGGCCACAAAAATAAAAATAGCTGTCTGCCTGCGGGGTTGTGGGGTCCCGGCAGCTCAGAGGGGTGCTAAGTAAGCATCCTTCAGGGCAAGCCCAGCCAACGCAAAACCAGATTCCAGGCAGGGACACAGGCCATGTTAGAATAAAAGTAACAGAAATCATAAAGCCCCAGTTCAGATGGGAGTTCCCCACGTGACAGCACAGTTAATGGCCACTCATAGGCAAAGAAACTTCAGTAACATCTAGGTGGCATACATGAATGCTTAAACTGGTGTGTCTCGCCACAGCAAGAACTCCAGGTCTTGTCTTCATTGCTCTTCATCCTCTGCTTCTAGAAGCAGAGCCTTTGTGACCTTGTGACCTGCAGGTATTGGGAGATCCACAGCGAGGATGCAAGGACCCCTGGAAGCCTAGAAATGGTATTGCTGTCTCTAAGCAAGACCTGATCACCTGTCTGGAGCAAGGAAAAGAGCCTTGGAGCAATTCCCCACAGTGCAGCACAGCAGCTGGGACAGTTCGAGGTCAGACTGCTTCTTTAATCGGTACCCCAACCAATTCCTCCTCACTGGATGGGGCCTCCCTGTGGGATTTTCGGCATCCCCAACCAAGGGTTTATGGACAGAACTCTGATCTCTCTGAGAGGAGCCCCTATGAGGAGGGGTGGCCATGGTATCATAAATAAACGATCTTAGTCATTTCTGCCTGCTGGTCCTGGAGAGTCAGGGCAGCCCGGATGAGGGGGATTCACCCCAGCACACCACACCCACTCCACCAAGGGGCATCCAGACTGCTTATTTAAGCAGGTCCCTGATCCCGTTCCTCCTAACTGGGTGAGACATCCCAACAGGGGTCTCCAGACACCTTGTGGAGGAGCGTTCCAGCCAGCATCAGGTTGGTGTCCCTCTGGGACAGAGCTCCCAGAGAAGGGAACAGTTGCCATCTTTGCTGTTCTGCAGCCTCCACTGATGATACCTTCAGGTGTGGGAGGAACCCAGATGAATAGGGTCTGGAGTGGACCCCCAGCAAACCACAGCAGCCCTATGGAAGAGGGGCCTGAGTGCTAAAAGAAGAACAAACAAAGTAACAACAACATCATCAATGAAAAAGACCCAACAAAAACCCCATCCCAAGGTCAGCAGCCTCAAAGATCAAAGGTAGATAAACCCATAAAGATGAGAAAGAATCAATGCAAAAACAC
The DNA here is from genome assembly GCF_000001405.40 of Homo sapiens. Taxonomy (NCBI): domain Eukaryota; kingdom Metazoa; phylum Chordata; class Mammalia; order Primates; family Hominidae; genus Homo; species Homo sapiens. The sequence goes on from NC_000023.11 coordinate 93,494,525, forward strand.
TAAAAACTCAAGAAGCCAGAGTGCCTCTTCTACTCCAAATTATCGCAACATGTCTCCAGCAAGGGCACAAAACTGGGCTGAGGCTGAGATGGATGAATTGACAGAAATAGGCTTCAGAAAATGGGTAATAACAAACTTCACTGAACTAAAAGAGTGCACAATGTTCTAATGCATTGCAAAGAAGCTAAGAACCGTGATAAAACATTACAGGATTTGTTAACCAGAATAACCAGTTCAGAGAGGAATATAAATGACCTTATGGAGCTGAAAAATGCAACACGAGAACTTCACAATGCAAACACAAGTATCAATAGCCCAATACACTAAGCAGAAGAAAGGATATCAGAGCTTGAAGACTGTCTTGCTGAAATAAGGCAGGCAGACAAGATTAGGGGAAAAGGAATGAAAATGAACAAACAAAATCTGAGAGAACTATGGGGTTACGTAAAAAGACTGAACCTACGACTGATAGGGGTACCTGAAAGAAATGGGGAGAACAGAAGCAAGTTGGAAAACACATTTCAGGATATCATCCAGGAGAACTTCCCCAACCTAGCAAGACAGGCCAACATTCAAATTCAGGAAATCCAGAGAACTCCAGTAAGATACTCCATGGGAAGATCAACCCCAAGACACATAATTATCAAACTCTCCAAGGTAGAAATGAAGTAAAAAATATTAAGGGCAGCCAGAGAGAAAGGCCAGGTCACCTATAAAGGGAAGCCCATCAGAATTACAGCAGACATCTCAGTGGAAACCCTACAATCCAGAAGAGATTTGGGGCCAATATTCAACATTCATAAAGAAAAAATATTCCAACCTAGAATTTTATTTCTGGCCAAACTAAGCTTCGTAAGTGAAGGAGAAATGAAATATTTTTCAGACAAGCAAATGCTGAGAGAATTTGTCACCACTAGGCCTGCCTTGCAAGAGCTGCTGAAGGAAGCACTGAATATGGAAAGTAAAAATGATTACCAGCCACTACAAAAACACACTAAAGTACACAGACCAGTGACACTATGAAGCAACCACATAAACAAGTCTGCAAAATAACCGGTTGGCATCATGATGACAGGATCAAATTCATACATAACAATATTAACCTTAAATGTAAATGAGCTAAATGCCCCAATTAAAAGACACAGAATGTCAAGCTGGATAAAGAGTAAAACTCTGTTGATGTGCTGTATGCAAAAGACCCATCTCACATGCAAAGACACACACAGACTCAAAATAAAGTGGTGGAAAATAATTTACCAAGCAAATGGAAAATAGAAAAAGCAGGGGTTGCAATCAGAGTTTCTGACAAAATAGACTTTAAGACAACAAAGATTAAAAAAAAAAAAAAAAAAAAAAGGCCAGGCACGGTGGTTCATGCCTGTAATCCCTGCACTTTGGGAGGCTGAGGCAGGCAGATCATGAGGTCAGGAGATCGAGACCATTCTGGATAACACGGTGAAACCCCACCTCTACTAAAAATACAAAAAATTAGCCGGGTGTGGTGGCGGGCACCTGTAGTCCCAGCTACTTGGGAGGCTGAGGCAGGAGAATGGTGTGAACCCAGGAGGCGGAGCTTGCAGTGAGCCGAGATCGCGCCACTGCACTCCAGCCTGGGCGACAGAGCGAGACTCGGTCTCAAAAAAAAAAAAAAAAAAAAAAAAAAAAAAAAAAAAAGAAGGGCATCACATAATGGTAATGGGGTCCATTCAACAAGAAGAGCTAACTATCCTAAATATATATGCACCCAATGCAGGAGCACCCAGATTCATAAAACAAGTTCTTACAGACCTACAAAGAGACTTAGACTCCCACACAATAATAGTGGGAGAATTTAACACCCCACTGTCAATATTAGACAGATCACTGAGACAGAAAATTAACAGACATTCAGGACTTGAACTCAGCTCTGGATCAAGTGGGCCTGATAGATATCTACAGGACTCTCTACCCCCAAACAACAGAATATACATTCTTGGTGTCACATGAAACTTACTCTAAAATTGATCACATATTTGGAAGTAAACCACTCCTCAGAAAGTGCAAAAGAACTGAAATCATAACAAACAGTCTCTCAGACCACAGCACAGTCAAATTAGAACTCAAGATCATTATTATTATTATTATTATTATTATTTTGAGACAGAGTTTTGCTCTTGTCACCCAGGCTGGAGTGCAATGGTGCGATCTCGATTCACTGCAACCTCCGCCTCCTGGGTTCAAGCAATTCTCCTGCCTCAGACTCCTGAGTAGCTGGGACAACAGGTGCCCACCACCACACCCAGCTAATTTTTTTGTATTTTTAATAGAGACTGGAGTTTCACCATATTGGCCAGGCTGGTCTCAAACTCCTGACCTCAGGTAATCCTTCCACCTCGGCCTCCCAAAGTGCTGGGATTACAAGTGTGAGCCACCGTGCCTCGCTCAAAATGACACAGCTACATGAAAATTGAATAAACTGCTCTTGAATGACTTCTGGGTAAATAACAACATTAAGGCAGAAATCAATAAGTTCTTTGAAACTAATGAGAACAAAGAAATGACCTACCAGAATCTCTGGGACACAGCGAAAGCAGTGTTAAGAGGGAAATTTGTAACACTAAATACCCACATCAAAAACCTAGAAACATCTCAAATCTACATCATAACATCACAATTAAAGGAACTAGAGAACCAAGAGAAAAAAAAATTAAAAACCCAAAGCTATCAGAAGACAAGAAATAACCAAGCTCAGAGTGGAACTGAAGGAGATAGACACACAAAAATTTCCTCCAAAAAAATCAATGAATCCAGAAGCTGGTTTTTGAAAAAATTAATGAAATAAATAGACCACTAGCTAGACTAATAAAGAGGAAAAAAGAGAAGACTCAAATAAGCAAAATAAAAAATGATAAAGGGGACATCACCACTGAACCCACAGAAATACAAACAACCATCAGAGAATACTATAAACACTTCTATGCAAATAAGCTAGAAAATCTACAAGAAAAGGATAAATTCCTGGACCTATACACCCTCTCAAGACTGAACCAGGAAAAAGTTGAATCTCTGAATAGACCAATAACGAGTTCTGAAATTGAGGCAGCAATGAATAGCCTACCAGCCAAAAAAAAGTCCAGGATCAGATGGATTCACAGCTGAATTATACCAGTGGTAGAAAGATGAGCTGATACCTTTTCTTCTGAAACTATTTCAAACAACTAAAAAGGAAGGACTCCTCCCTAACTCATTTTATGAGGCCAGAATTATCCTGATATGAAAACCTAGCAGAGATGCAATGAAATGAAAAACAAAAAACAAACAAACAAACAAATAACTGCAGGCCAATATCCCCAATGAACATCAATGCAAAAATTCTCAATAAAATACTGGCAAACCAAATCCAGCAACACATCAAAAAGCTTTTCCACCATGATCATGTTGGCTTTACCTCCAGGATGCAATGCTGGTTCAACATACACAAATCAATAAACGTAATTCATCACAAAAACAGAACGAAAGACAAAAAACACATGATTATATCGATAGATACAGAAAAGGCCTTCAATACAATTCAACACCCCTTCATGTTAAAAACTCTCAATAAACTAGGTATTGAAGGAACATACTTCAAAATAATAAGAGCCATTTATAGCAAACCCAGAGCCAGTATCATGCTGAATGGGCAAAAGCTGTAAGCATTCCCCTTGAAAACTGGCAGAAGACAAGGACTCCTATTCACCACTCCTATTCAACATAATATTGGAAGTTCTGGCCAGTGCAATCAAGCAAAAGAAAGAAATAAAGCATATTCAAATAGGAAGAGAGGAAGTCAAACTGTCTTTCTTTGCAGATAATATGATCCTATATCTAGAAAACCCCATCATCTCAGCCCAAAAGCTTCTTAAGCTGATAAGCAACTTCAGCAATGTATCAGGATACAAAATCAATGTGCAACAGTCACAAGCATTTCTATACACAAAAAGCAGACAAGGAGAGAGCCATATCATGAATGAACTTCCATTCACAATTGCTACAAAGGGAATCAAATACCTGGGAATACAGCTAACAAGGGATATGGAGGACCTCTTCAAGGAGGACTACAAACCACTGCTCAAAGAAGTCAGATAAGACACAAACAAATGGAGAAACATTCCATGCTCATTGATAGGAAAAATCAATATTATGAAAATGGCCACACTGCCCAAAATAATTTATAGATTCAATGCTATTCCCATTAAACTACCATTGACATTCTTTGCAGAATTAAAAAAAAAAAAACGATTTTAAATCTCATATGGATCCAAAAAAAAGCTTGTATACCCAACACAATTCTAAGCAAAAAGAAAAAAGCTGGTGGCATCATGCTATCCAACTTCAAACTATACTACAATGCTACAGTAACCAAAACATCGTGGTACTGGTACAAACACTGATACCTAAACCAATGGAACAGAATAGAGACCTCAGAAATCAGACTGCACATCTACAACCATCTGATCTTGAACAAACCTGACAAAAACAAGCAATGGGGAAAGCATTCTCTATTTAATAAATGGTGTGCTAAGATAACTGGCTAGAAATAGGCAGAAAATTAAAACTGGACCCCTTCCTTACACCTTATACAAAAATTAATTCAAGATGGATTAAAAACCTAAATACAAAATTCCAAACTATAAAAATCCTAGAAGAAAATCTAAGCAATACCGTTCAGGACATAGGCATGGGCAAAGATTTCATAATGAAATCATCAAAAGCAATTGCAACAAAAGCAAAAATTGACAAATGGGAACTAGTTAAGCTAAAGAGCTTCTGCACAGCAAAAGAAACTATCATCAGAGTGGACAGGCCACCTACAGAATGGGAGAAAATGTTTGCAATCTACCCATCTGACAAGGGTCTAATATCCAGAATCTACAAGGAACTTAAACAAATTTATAAGAAAAAAAAGACAACCCCATTAAAAAGTCAGTAAAATACATGAACAGACAATTTTCAAAAGAAGACATTCACGCAGCCAACAAACATATGAAAAAAAAGCTCAACATCACTGATCATTAGAGAAATGCAAATCAAAACCACAATAAGATACCAACTTATGCCAGTCAGAATGGTGATTATTAAAAAGTCAAGAATCAACAGATGCTTGTGAGGTTGCAGATAAATATGAACACTTTACACTGTTGGCAGAAATATAATTAGTTCAACCATTGTGGAAGACAGTGCAGTGATTCCTCAAAGTTCTAGAGCCAGAAATACCATTTGACCCAACAATCCTATTACTAGGTATATACTCAAAGGAATATAAATCATTCTATTACAAAGATACATGCACACATACATTCATTATAGCACTATTTACAATAGCAAAGACTTGGAATCAACCCAAATGCCCATCAGTGATAGACTGGATAAAAAAAACATGGTACATATACACAATGGAATACTATGCAGCCATAAAAGGGAACGAGATCATGTCCTTTGCAGGGACATAGATGGAGCTGGAAAACATTATCCTTAGTAAACTAACGCAGAAACAGAAAACCAGACACCACATGCTCTTGCTTATAAGTGGGAGCTGAACAATGAGATCACACAGACACAGGGAGGGAAACAACTCACACTGGGGCCTCTTGGGGGTGTGGTGGGAGGAGGGAGAGCATTAGGAAAAATAGCTAATGCATGCTGGGCTTAATAGCTAGGTGACGGATTGATAGGTGCAACAAACCACAATGACACACGTTTACCTATATAACAAACCTGTACATCCTGCACATGCACCTGAGAACTGAAAATAGAAATAAAAAGTAATTAAAAAAATAAAAACAAACATCAGAAACTACCATGAACACCTCTATGCAAGCAAACTAGAAAACTCAGAATAGACAGATAAATTCCTGGACCTGTATATCCTCAAAGACTGAACCAGGAAGAAACTGAATTCTTGAATAGACCAAAATGAGCTCCAAAATTGAATCAGTATTAAATAGCCTACCAACCAAAATAAATAAATAAATAAAGCCCAGGACCAAATGGATTTACAGCAGAATTCAACCAGATGTACAAAGAAGAGTTGATACCATTCCTACTAAAACTATTCCCCAAAAAATTTAGGAGTAGGGACTTCTCCCCAACTCATTCTATGAGGCCAGCATCATCCTGATACCAAAACTTAGCCAAGATACAACAATAACAACAAAAACCTCCAGGCATATATGCTTGATGAACATTGGTGCAAAAATCCTCAACAAAATTATTGCAAACTGAACCGAGCAGCACATCAAAAAGCTAATCCACCATAATCAAATAGGCTTCCTACCTAGGATGCAAGATTGGTTCAGCATTCACAAATCAATAAATGTGATTCATCGCACAAACAGAACTAAAGACAGAAACCACATGATTATCTCAATAGATGAAGAACATGATTTCAATACAATTCAACATCCTTTCATGTTAAAAACTCTCAAAAAACTAGGTACTGAAGGAACATTCCTCAAAACCGTAAGAGCCATCTATCACAAACCCACAGCCAACATCATACTGAATGGACAAAAGCTGGAATTATTACCCTTGAAAACAGTCACAAGACAAGGATGCCCTCTCTTACCACTTCTATTCGACATAGTATTGGAAGTCTTAACAAGAGCAATCAGGCAAGAGAGAGAAATAAAGTGCTTCCAAATGTGAAGAGAGGAGATCAAACTATCCCTGTTTGCAGATAACTTAATTCTATATCTAGAAAACCCCATAGTCTTAGTAAAAAAGCTCCTTCAGCTGAAAAACAACTTCAGCAAAATTTTAGGATACAAAGTCAACATACAGAAATCACTAACATTTGTATACAATAACAACAGCCGAGCTGAGAGCCAAATCAGGAATGCAATCCCACTCACAATTGCCACAAAAAGAATAAAATACTTAGAAATACAGCTATCCAGGGAGGTGAAAGAGCTCTAAAATGAGAATTACAAAACACTGCTCAAATAAATTAGACATGACACAAAGAAATGAAAAAAAAATTCCATGCTCATGGATAAGAAGAATCAATATTATTAAAATGGCCATACTGTCCCAAACAATTTACAGATTCAATGGTATTTCTATCAAACTACAAATGACATTCTTCACAGAACTAGAAAAAGAAATTATTTTAAAATTCATATGGAACCAAAAAAGAGCCTGAATAGCTAAGACAATCTTAAGCAAAAAGAACAAAGCTGGAGACTTCACGTTACCCAATTTCAAACTATACTACACAGCTTCAGTAACCAAAAGAGCATGGTACTTGTACAAAAACAGACACATAGACCAGTGAAACAAAATAGCCCAGAAATACGGCTGCGCACCTACAACCATCTGATCATCAACAAAGCTGACAAAAATGAGCAACGGGGAAGGACTCCCTATTCAATAAATGGTGCTCGGATAACCGGTTAGCCAAATGCAGAATATTGAAACTGGACCCCTTTCTTACATCATATATGAAAATCAACTAAAGATAGATTAAAGACTTAAATGTAAAACCCCAAACTGTGAAAATCCTGGAAGACAATCTAGGCAATACCATTCTGGACATAAGAATGGGCAAAGATTTCATGACAAAGACGTCAAAAGCAATTGCAGCATAAGCAAAAATGACAAATGGCATCTAATTATACTAAAGAACTTCTGCACAGCAAAAGAAAGTATCAACAGAGTAAACAGACAACCTTTGGAATGGGAGAAAATATTTGCAAACTATACATCTGACAAAGGTCTAAGATCTAGCATGTATAATGAACTTAAACAAATTTATTAAAAAAAGGAAAAGGGCATGAACAGGCACATCTCAAAATAAGGCATACACATAGCCAACAAGCATATTAATATAAATCAAGCATAGGAATAGAAACCATTCTACCATAAAACCCCATGCACACAAATGTTCATTGATTGCAGCACTCTTCACAATAGCAAAGATATGAAATCCACCTAAATGCCCATTAATGACAGATTAGATAAAGAAATTGTGGATATACACCATGGAATACTGTGCAGGCATGAAAAAAGAACAAGAACATGAATTGTGTGGGAACATGGATGGAGCTGGAGACCATTGTCCTTAGCAAACTAACACAGGAACAGAAAACCAAATATCACATGTTCTCACTTATAAGTGGAAGCTTATAAGTGAAATGATGAGAACTCAAGGACACAAAGAGGGGGAAAACAGACATTGGGGCCTACTTGAGAGTGGAGGGTGGGAAGAAATAAACTAATTAAAATAAAAGTAATAACTATTTGTACTTGGCTTAGCACTTGGGTGATAACATAATCTGTACAACAAAACCCCATGACATGAGTTTACCTATGAACCTGCACATGTACCCCAGAACCTAAAATAATAGTTTTTTTTTTAAGCTTCTACCCCTTTAGCCAACATCTCCTCATTTCCTCCTCTCCTCATCCCCTGGTGAACATCATTCTACTCTCTGCTGCTATGAATTTGACTTGCTTAGATTCCACATATAAGTGAGATCATACAGTATCTGTCTTTCTCCATCTTGCTTCTTTCACTTAACATAATGTCCATTCTATTGAATTCTCTCTTAGTAGCTTGCATGTTTTTCTTCATTGAGCTTATCAAACTATATTATTATGTATTGTTTTATTTCATTTTGTGTTTCTATATCAGAAAACCTGAAATTGAGTAATCATAAAGAACAGAAATTTATTTCATGCGGTTTTGGATGCTGGGAAGTTTAAGGTTGAGGGACCTGAATCTAGCAAGGGCCTTCTTGATCCATCATCCCTTGTTGGAAGCCACAAGGTTAAAGGTGCACGTATGAGAATAGGGTTGGGGAGGGCAATCTCATCCTTTTATTAGAAACCTTCTTCAATGATAACCAACCCCCTTTTGCAATAGGACAATTAATCCATTTACGAGGCAAAGTCATCATTACCTAATCACCTGTTAAATGTCCCACTGCTCAATGTCATTGCATTGGGGATTAAATTTCCAACACATGAACTTTGGGAGATACATTGAAACTACAGGATGTATATTTTGTAAGGTTCACGTCTGTCTGTCTGTTTCCCCCTGTGAACCGTAAACTCCATAATGGCAGAAACTGTTTCCATGTTCCCAGCTCCTAGCAGAGTGTCTGATGCAATTCTGTTATTCAATATTGAATAAATGTATGAATGTAGATGTAAGACTTAATTTAAAAATACTCCTAGAAGACATAAACAACTTCATTTAAGTTGACACTAAGATCTAAATAACTAGTGTTTATTCTCTCCTGAAAGTACCTTTGAATGGGTGAGGACAGAGCACCAGAAACATAGGTGACTGAGAGGAAGAGGAAAAGGTGAAAAATGGGGTAGTAGAAGCCAGATATAATACAAGCTAGGCCTCTGTCCCACCAGGCCACGGCCACCAGCCTGCCCTGATTGACTGAGCCGCTGGATGGGCTACCATCTCACGAGGTGCCATCTTTTCATTTGTGAATCTATTTCACATGAGCACACAATACAGATGTTAAAGTCTGAGAGTTGAAGGTTTCAAAATTTGTTTTCACAAAACTGTCAGCTAGCTTCACTTTTCTCTTCTGAGGCTTATAAACTGACAAGACTGACAAGCATGCTGCCTTCCATCTTTGAAATGGACATATAGAGTTGGGGGAAAGTATACTGAATATATTTACACAGGTGACATCTTTTTTTAAGCCAAAGTAAATAGCCATCAATTAGTTCTTATTGACAGCCTTCTCTCCCTGAACCGCAAGCACACAGTGGAATTTCCTGGCACAGTTATCACACATTCAGTCACTTAGCGATGACATGTGAGGGTGGGGCGTGTACCACCCCTGCCTGGATTTGTGCTTGCAAAAAGTTTTTGCTTTCTCACAGAAAGGTTGATGTTTTCAACTTTTAAGGCTTGCCATTTTATTTTTTTTCCTAGACCTGTTATTTTTTTTCTTCAACTTTTATTTGAAGTTCTGGGGTACGTGTGAGTAATATGCAGGATTGCTACATAGGTAAATGTTTGCCATGGTGGTTTGCTGCAAAGATCAACCCAGGCCTGTGATATTTTATTGAAGCATTTTAGGCTTTAAGAAAATAATCTTGTTATAGAACTGGACTGCTTGGAGAGAGTGGTAATAAGCTTGGTGGACTTTGGATTTAGGGACTAACAAATATTGAGTCTTTAATATGTCCCAAGCACTTTATATATATCGTCTCATTTACGCTCCAAAAGTGCCCTAGAGACAGATATCTTTCACATTTTGGAGTTTAAAAAGTAAAGTTCATAGAGGTTTCCAACCCAATATTACACATCCAGCAAGTAGCAAAGAATCATTCAAACCCAAGTCTATCTGACTGTAAACCTCAGGGACTTTTCATTGTACTACACTACTTCTTAGATATATAAACAATGAAGAATTATACCTATAAAAATTAAAACAATATCAATTATGCCACCCAGCTATTTTTGTCTAAAACACATCTGTTCTTCTCATCTCATAGAATTAATCAATTTGGAATTATGCCAATATTTTATTTCCATTTTAATCACTGTACAAATGTAGAAACAGAGGTAGCATCAAGGTATTGAGGAAAGCAATACTGAAAGATTATTTGAGGTTAGGACTATTATCATTTACCTCTTAGTATCCCCAATACCAAGCATATGTCCCAACTCACGATAAAGGTTCAACAATATTTGAGTGAGAAAAAAAAACATTTTGATCTAAGAACTACTCTTAGTAGCAAGAACCCTTGAAACCTTAGAGAATTTGGTCTACATTCTGCTGAGAGAGGGATCACTGCACTTCCAGATAAATAAACTGTGAATAGACCCAAATATGGATGGATGCTCTCACATTCCCAATACACAAACTTATAATGACAATAAAATCAATTACCAGGTAATAAAGCTTAGAGAATTGCACAAGTACTGTTTCTCTCATACCTAACTTCTCAGGAAAGGACACCACCATTCTTTGGTCTCCCAAGCAGGCATTTATTAAGCATCTATTAGCAGTAGTCACTATGCTAGTCACTGAAAATACAATAACGAATGAACCTAGAATGCTACATCCAGAGAACTCACAACCTAGTTGGTAAGTTATGCCCATAAGCATTATTATTTTTCAAGAAATGTAACAAAGAGTAATGGTAGACTTATACGCAGATTATTTTAGAAAACTAGAGAAAGGACATCTGACCAACCTGGAGTATGAGGGAAGACTTCCTGGAGGAGCTGACACCTAAAATAAATGTAGATGGATCTATGCCAAGAAAGACATAGATTTGTAAGTGATCACTATGCAATTAGGGGTCAAAATTGTGAAACTAGATGAGAACTCTAATGAAAATTAATAGGATAAGAATGATCTTGGGCTTAGAATGTAAACCTAGAAAATGGCAACATTTGAGAAATAAACACATCAAAAAAGAGACTATAAGGAAACAGAGGAGAAGCAGAGACAGGAGAACTAAAAGAGCATAGTGCTACTTGAATGTTCGTAGCAGCTTTATTTGTAGTAGCCAAAGACTGGAAACAACTCAAACGTACAACAGCAGGTGAATGGCTAAACAAACTCTGGTACATCCATACAATAAAACACTGATCATCAATCAAAAGGAATGAACTGCTTATATATAAAACAACAAGAATGAGTTGCAAAAACATTATAGTAATTGAAAAAAGCCAGACACAAAGGAGTAAAACTGTATGGTTTCTTTTGTTGTAAATATTTTAAAGGACAAATCTGATCTATAGTGACAGAAAGCAGATCAGCAATTTCCTGGAGCTGGATGGTGGGAGGGGTGCAGGGGAGGACTGATTGCAAAGGTGCAAGAGGGATCTTTTTGAGATGAAGAAAATGTTCTATATCTTGATTGTAATGGTGACTACAGGAATATGCATATTTGTCAAACTCAATGAACTGTACACTTAAAATGGGAAGTTCATTTCCTCTTGCTTCTACTCCCCTTACCCCCACAGCCACTTCTGCCGTTCATCACACAGTGGGGTGCTCATCATCACAGTGGGGTACCTGGGTCCCTAGATACCTGCCAGATATTGAAATGTAAAGACTTTACAGATAGTCATCAGCCAAAGTAGAATAGAGGGGAAGGTTACTGAATTTGAGGAGGTAAAGAATCTTTGAGGGAAAACATGTCTTATATGTAATACATGCTTCATAAATGACTACCAGATACATAAAAAGAGAGATAATTATGGATTCTGCAGATGGCCTGAGAATGATAAGAATTCATTCTGGAAAAAAATCCTGGAAAGGGTAGACTTTGAAATAAGAATGACTAAACAAAGAAAAATTATTATGGCCAAGAGAATATGGGTAGCCTTCAGCATACCTTCGTTCCTTGAAGACTATGTTGATTTGAATACTCACAAGACATTGGGACTGTAAGCCAGGTGCCATAGTTCTTTCTGTTATAACGTGGTAGGGGAGAATTTTAAGTAAAAAAGGAAGCCATTTTAGTGTTATTATTTAAGCATATTCACTTAAAGTGACTATTAACATATGTATATACTATATATCGAGTGAATCTATATGTCTGATTAATTTACTCCTCATAACATTATAAAATAGGTACTATTATCATTCCTGTTTTACAGAGGAGGAAAAAGAGCCTGAGAGAGGTTAAGTAACTTACCCAGAGTCACACAGAGTAAGTAATAGAATTGGGATTCTAAAGTAGGATAATAAAGACTCTTTAGCGCTTCTCATGTGAACCTGTCTTTAAAGCTCCTTTGTAAATGTTGGATATTTTCTCCTTCCCATATCCAAGGAAGTATGGTTACAAACTGTAAAATTCAATAAGAAATGAAAGGTTTAACCTATCCTATAGTCCACCAGATGGTTTCTCTTCCTTGTACCAGGTCCATAACTGAAAACCTAGAGCTAGCAAGTAAACAGATGCATGATACTATTAAAAGCTGACACATTGATATTTAACACATCCAAATCCAATCTATGACTATTATATGAGCTATATATATTAGTTTTATAATTGAAAAATAAATTAAAAAATTAATAAATAAAATGGAAGGACAAATTCTTTGAAAACCACAAACTACCCAAAGGTGATTAAGACGAAATAGACGATCTGAATAGTCCTATACCTTTAAAAAATTTAAACTCATAGTTAGAAGATCCTCCAAAAAGAAATTTCAAGGCCCAGATAGTTTCACTGAAGAATTCTACTAAACATTTAAATAAACATTGACACCAATTGTGCAAAGTCTCTTCGAGAAAACAGATGAGACAGGAACACTTCTCAACTCTTTCTACAAGACCAGTGTTACCCTGATACCAAAACCGCACAGATGGCACAGGAGAAGAAAACTACAGAGCAATATTTCCCATGAACTTAGATGCAAAATTCCTTCAACAAAATACTAGCAAACTGAATGCTGCATCATATAAAAAGGATGACACACCATAACCAAGTGGAATGTATTCCAGTTTTGCAAGGATAGGTCAACTTCAGAAAATCAATTAATGTAATGCATCATATCAATAGAATATAAAGCAAAAACTACATGATCATTTCAATAGATTCGGAAAAAAACTTTTATCAAAATCCAATACCCTTTCATGATAAAAAGTCCTCATCAAACTAGGAATAGAGGGGAACTTCCTCAACCTGATAAAGAGTATTTACCAAAACCCTATAGGCAACAACATGATACTTAATACTCAAATACCAGCTGCTTTTCCTCTGAGATCAGAATCAAGACAAGGATGTCCTTCTTATTCATCAGACTATTGAAAGCTTTAGACCTTGCAATAAAGCAAGAAAATGAAATAAAAGGTACACAGATCAGAGCTGAACATGGTGGCACGTGCATGTAATTCCAAGTACTTGTGAGACTGGGGCAGGAGGATCCCTTAAGCCAGGAGCTCATGCCCAACCTGGGCAACATAGTGAGAGACCCTACGTCATCAAAAAATATAGAAATTGGAAAGGAATAAATAAACCTTTCCCTATTTGACGATGACAAGAAAATCTTAAGGAATCTAAACACACACATACGCGCACACACACACACACACACACACACACACACACACACATCCCTTCTGAAAACCAAAAATGAGTTCAGCTATATCACAGTATAAAATATCAACCCAGCAAAAAGCTAATTTGAAGAACTATGTAGTAACAATAAACATGTTAAAACTAAAATTAAAACATAACACCATTTATAATCAATCCAAATAAAATAGCATACTTAGGTATAAACTTAAGAAACTACATATGATCTGTATGCTACAAATTGAAAAATGCTGATGAAATAAATTAAATATCTAAAGAAATAAAGAGGCATACTATATTCATCGATTGGAAGACTCAACACCATTGTCAATTCTCCCAAAATTGACCAATAGGATTTTAATGTAATCCCTTTCCAAATCCCAGCAAGGATTTTGTAGATATAAACAAGGTTGTTCTTAAATTTATATAAAAATTCACAGGCCCTAGAATAGCTAAAACAGTATTAAAAAAGAAGAATCAAGTGGGATATTAAGGCCCATTATATATCAATAGTATTAAAAACAGTGTGATATTGGCAGAGAAATTGACACATAGATTGACCGAATGGAATAGAGGACCCAGAAATAGACCCACACAAATATGCCCAACTGATTTTTGAAAAAGAGACAAAAAGAAATTTAACGGAGGAAAGATACAGCCTTTTCAACAAATGTTTCTGGAGTAATTGGACAAGAAAAAGAAGAATGAAAAAAGAGGAGGAAGGAAGAGGCAGGTGAAGGAGTAAATAGAGAGGACAAGGTGAATGGAGTAGGAAGAGAAAGGAGAATCAGAGGGGAGTAATAGGAGGAACAAGGAGGAGGAAGGAGAAGGGAGAAGAAGGAGCAGAAGAAGATTCCCCTAAACCTCATATCTTATTTAGAAAGGAACAAATTAACTTAAAATAGATCACGAGCTTAAATATAAAGCATAAAACTATAAAACATTTAGGAAATAAATAGGAGAAACTGTCATTATTTACAATTAGTCAAAGAGTTCTTATGCTGACACCAAAAACAAAAACAATATTCATAAAAAAATTATAAACCTGACTTTAACTTAAAACTCTCGCTGTGTGAAAGATCCTCTTTATAGAATGCAAAGACACTGTACAGAGTGGGAGAAACATGCACATATCCAACAACAGGATTTGTATCTAGAATATATAAATAACTTAAAAAATTCAACAGTAAGAAAACAATGTAATTTGAAAACGGGCTAAAGACATGCATAGACAGTTCACCAAAGAGGATATACGGATGGCAAATAAACACAGAACAAGATGTTCAACGTCAACAGCCATTAGGGAAATGCAAATTAAAACCACAATGGGAAATCATTACACATCTATCAGAATAGCTAAAATTAAAAATAATGAAAACAACAAATGCTAACTAGGATGCAGATAAACTGGATCAGTGATACATTGTTGGTGGGAAAGTAAAATGGTACAGCCACTCTGGAAAATAAATTGGCAATTTCTTATAAAACTACATACACGGCTGGGTGTGGTGGCTCACGCCTGTAATCCCAGCACTTTGGGAGGCCAAGGTGGGCGGATCACCTGAGGTCTGGAGTTCGAGACCAGCCTGACCAACGTGTCAAAACCCCATCTCTATTAAAAATACAAAATTAGCTAGGCATGGTGGTGCGCACCTGTAATCCCAGCTACTCAGGAGGCTGAGGCAGGAGAATAGCTTGAACCCAGGAGGGGGAGGTTGCAGTGAGCTGAGGTCATGCCATTGCACTCCAGCCTGGGCAACAAGACTGAAACTCTGTCTCAAAAAAAAAAAGAATGTTCAAGCAACTTATTTATAGTAGGCAAATTATTTATTTAATCAATTAAATAATTAATAGGCAAATTAACTGTTTACTTATAATAGGCAAATTTATTATTTATAATAGGCAAAAAACTAGAACAGCTCAGGTGTCCTTCAAATGGTGAATGATTAAACAATTGTTATATATCTATATCACGAAATACTACTCAGCAATAAAAAAGAACAAATTTGATACAATCAACAATTGGATGATCTTTATGGAATTGTGTTGAGTGTAAAATCCAGTGCTGAAAGGTTACCCTACTATATGATTTAATTTACATAGTATTTTCAAATTGATGAAATTATAGAAATGGTGAACAGATTTTTGGTTGTCAGAGGTTAAGGACATAGAATATGTAGGGATATTGGCATGGCTATAAAAGGCCAACGTGAAGGATCGTTATGGTAAAGAAAGTGTTCCATATCTTGACTTTGGTTATAGATGCATAAACCTAAAGATATGATAAGTTGTGTTGGATCAAGTATACATACATACACCAATAAGTAGAAATAAAACTGGAAAATCTGAGTAATCTTATCTTGTGAATGGCATCATGTCAGTATATTGGTTAGGATATTGTAATACAGTTTTATAGGATTTCACCATTGAAGGGTACTGGGTATAGGCTAACACAGGATCTCCCTGGATTGTTTCTTACCAGTGGATGTGAATCTCCAATTATCTGAAAATTAAAAGCTTAATTAAAAAAACAAAATTTTATAAACAGTAAAATATTTATTTTTTAACATTTATTTTAGGTTCAAGGGTACATGTGCAAGTTTGTTATGTAGGTAAATTGTGAGTCACAGGGGTCTGGTGTACAGATAATTTTATCACCTAGGTTATAGGCATAGTACTCAATAGGTGGTATTTTGATCCTAACCTTCCTCCCACCCTCCACCCTCAAGTAGGCCTTGGTTTCTGTTTTTCCCTTCCTTATGTCTTTATAAACTCAATGATTAGCTTCCACTTACAAGTGAGAACATGCGGTATTTGGTTTTCTATTCCTGCATTAGTTTGCTTAGGATAATGGCCTCCAGCCCTACCT
This sequence comes from Homo sapiens, assembly GCF_000001405.40. Lineage (NCBI taxonomy): Eukaryota > Metazoa > Chordata > Mammalia > Primates > Hominidae > Homo > Homo sapiens. The sequence continues at coordinate 93,511,428 of NC_000023.11, forward strand.
ATGTTGCAGCAAAGAACATGATCTCATTCTTTTTTCTGGCTATATAGTATGCCATGGTGTATGTGTACCACATTTTTTTTTTAATTCAGTCCACCACTGATGGGCATTTAGGTTGATTCCACGTCTTTGCTATTATAAATAGTGCTGTAATGAACATTTGCATGCATGTGTCTTTATGGTAGAATGATTTATATTCCTTTGGGTATATACCCAATAATGGGATTGTTGGGTCAAATGGTAATTCTTTTTTAAGTTCTTTGAGAAATTGCCAAACTGCTTTCCACAATGGCTTAACTCATTCACATTCCCACAAGCAGTGCACAAGTATCCCCTTTTCTCCACAATCTCGCCAATATCTGTTATTTTGTGAATTTTTAATAATAGTCTTTCTGACTGGTGTGAGATGGTATATCACTGTGCTTTTGATTTGCATTTCTCTAATAATTAGTGAGGTTGTGCATTTAGAAAATAAAATATTTTAAAAGCTCATTTGAAGGAGCTGCCATTTTATATTCAACAACCTTATTTTTTCAGTTTAAAATCTTCCAACACATTTTTGAAATCATAGTTTTACTACAGGTAATTTGAGACATCAATAATAAAAACTAAGATTTATTGTTATTATGACCAAAACATTGTTAAGCAGTTTATGGATATCATGTTATTGAATTGAATTCTTACATCTTACTTAATGTCAGTGAGATTGATATTATTACTATCATATTTTACAGATAACAGGCTACAGATTTAGTGGCTGAGATATATTTGAACCCAAGTCTGTATGATTCCAAGGCTTAAACACTTCAAGTACTGTATATAGGCAGTATACTAAAGTACATCCCAACATAGAATGAGGGTGAGTTTGATATTATGGGCTTCTGAGACCTGATACCAAAGAAAGTTGGAGTCACCTAGAGCATAATATAATCTTACTGTAATTACCCTTGGGAATAAATAAATAAATACAGTAAGCAGCAATTCACTGGGATGTCTCTAGTAATTATCTCCTATTGCGATGCCTATTCTAAGACACTCCTGCAAAGAAACATACCATCTCTTATTGCCATGTCACAATTTATGAGAATCCAGTCCACAGCTATGAAAACAAGTACTTTGAAAGAGCATGTGACTTTAAGACTGCTGACTTGAGAGACACAAAAGGTAATCTTAAGTAAATACTAAGAGGAAGAGCAGTCTCAAATACTGAACTCCCTCAGGTCCTGATTCTGACCTGTATAAAAAGGATACAGCCCTCCAAATCCAGTCACTCTCAGTTGCCTCAGTATAAGAGGTACAGATGGTCTCTCAGGTATGATGCAGTGTTATTAGCAGTTTCTCTATTAATAAATTGGTCTTGTTAAAAGACACATAGCTAGGTCTGTTTGTGGATGAGGGTCAGAAGTCAGGGAGTACTTCTGCTATTTCTCTTTGATCAGGCTGGAGGATGTTTTCTCCAGTTGCAGTTGTCTGGGGAAGCTCACTAGGCTTGACAATCTGATTTGATTTGAATAATTTATTAATAATTTGGGAAAACCCTAATTAAATTTGTGTATAAATCTAAAGTTAGAGCAGCTACAGGGACCCAGATGGAATATAAGTACAAGTGGAAACACTTCAAAATATTCTGAGCCTGAATTTCCCCAGCCCCACTTTCCCTCTAATATGTGCACTTATGTGCTCTCTCTCTCTTCTCGTCTTCTCACTCTGTTTACCCATTTATTTCTGTCTCTCTGACTATCTCTGTATCTTTTTCTCTTGACACACACACACACACACACACACACACAACCATGGCTACCGCTACTACCATTACCACTACTGATCAGAGTTGGCAAGTGGGAATAACCCTCTTGGGAGAAGAAGAGTCGCCCACCATCATTTCCCTAGAAACTAACTCAGAGAGCTATTCATGCTCTCATACTCACCTACTCACTCTTGCTTTCTGGACTCATGCTCCCTTTTTTCTTCTTAATCCAGAAATCATAAACTGTCAGGATTAGAAAGTACCTTAGAGATCTGACTCCCTCAGTTTATAGAAGAGGAAACCAAGAGAGCAGGGTCATGAGGGACTTGCCCATGGGCACAGAGTTAGTTAGTGGCAGAGCCAGGCCTAGAATCCAGGTAGCAAGGTATAAATATGAGGAGTAAGAATGAAAAGAACACACAGTGGCTTTTCTCCTGATGTACTTCATTCAAAAGTCTTTTGCTGGCCCCTACAGTGATCATGCTTCTGCCTCTGCCCCATTATTTGCTCTGTCCCCAAGATCTGTGGTGGTTTATTAGAATTCAGTATGTATAACTAGGAATTGACTGTGTTGGTGGTGGCAGCGGTACTAGCAGTTTGAAATTGTTGATGCTGCCTTTTAAATCACTCGGTCCTCAAATCTATTTCTTTCTGATGTTTCAAAATAGAATCCAAACCCACGGATCCCAGACTAATAAGTAAGGTTGAATTTCCTTAACTGGTTCCTTCCAGCCTGTGTGTTCGTGAAAATCTGAGAGCTCTCAATTTTAAATAAGGCCTCTAGGACAAGTTAGCAACGTATGTGTCTACCTCTGCAATTCTTTTCTCTTAAACTACCAAGACCCAATGAGAACTTAAATGCCAATTCAAGTATGCTGATCCATGCTGTATGATGTGCTTGTCCTAATCAACATAAACATACACCATCATCTTGCTTTTCTTGGGGTAACTTGATACAAGGGACTTGATACTTGGGATGACAGATATATTTATCACGCCTATTCCTTTCTCTTTCCCTCCATTGCAAATCTGAGAAATAACTGTCTGATTGTAAGCAAATAGACCAATTACGAAGTTCAATCTGAATGCAAACTTTGGTTCCTCATCCAATCTCTTCTTTTCACCAAAGAAAGCTATTAGAATGTGCCTTTTTAGGATCAGTTCTCCAGAATACACACTGCTCAGTAAGGTAGGTCATAATAATAATAGCAGTTATCACAGAGAGTACTTACCATGTGCCTGACACTGTGTTAAACCTGGATTAACTCAGTTAATTTCCATAAAGAAGACTCTACTATTAAAACCTCTATGGAAATGGAGACACTGAGCCCTCCAAAAATTAAGAACTTTACCTAAGGCCACATAATTAATAAGTGGAAGTATCAAGATTTGAACCCAGTTTTGTCAGCTTCTAAAATAGTAATCTGTACTTTTAAGCAGTATGCTACACCACTTTAAAGTCTTGGTGGACTTTTGTGAATGGCGACAGCATCAAAGAAATACAGTTAATGGAGCCTTACCACTTAAAGCCGTAAAAGCTCTTTCCTCTATGCCCAATTTACTACCAAAAAGTAGGCCTAAGGGAAATTCCAGCTTAATACACATTGAAAAATCATAATAAAAACTAGTTTTAATTTTAGAATATCTATAAATAAAAATGAAGCACAGTTAGGTTTTAAAAAATCTTTAAAATGGTTATTATTGCCCAGTTTTCTTAATAATGAGACTGAGTAGTGAGATTAAAGTTATTTAAACCTAAATAAGATTTTTTTCTGCACACATTTCTTACTTGCTGAAGCAGTCGAATTTTATAAGGCAGTAGCTAAAAGCATACTAAAGTAAATGAAAACTATAAATATTAAAATGCAAAACTATTATGGCAACAGTACAAACTTTTCTCTATGAACCACTTGCCTTTAAAATCTGTACCAACTGAATTTTCCTATTAAATTTTATTTTAAGAAAAAGTCAAATCCCATTCAGTATGAACACAAGTCTTACAGTAACATCCTGTCTCTCACAATTAATTGCTACTTATCTCTTTGGATATAATCATTTGCATAACTATGATTCTTTTCAATTACAAAAAAGGATTACATAATCTTGGAGAAGCAAACATCATAAAAATTAAATTTACAGGAAATTAAAGGAATAAATGTTCCATGGTAACAGATCTATTAATATCTACCAAAAGATTAAATTATTTAATCTTAAAGTCTATGTAGTAACAGAAAATCACTTGAGCCTACACTACTCTCCAAATATCATCCAAAATTAAAATTTTAGATCTCATTTTGAAATTACAGTATTGAAAAGAAGATCAGTAGTACCAGCCATAAGATAATGTTTATAATAAGTAAAAGCAGAGGGTAGAAAGCAGAAATATCAGTGTAATTTTGCCACAGTAAAGTACAAAGGTAAAATGGAAGCTACAGTCCACTTAAATGAAAGTTGGGCTATGTTAATACATGACCTCCTTATCTATCTATTATGTTGTCTTTGCCCTCTGCACTTCTGAGACTAAAATCCTGCACCCAATGGCCAAAATCTCCCTTGGTTCCCCACTCTCTCCAATGATTGAGACTGGCCCAGATGCTTTGCCAAGCCAGCACTGAGGAGTGCCATGACTGTGTGACTGCTGCCAGCCTGCTCCTAAGGAAATTCTTGGGGATGATGTCAGTCATTTTGCTGTGCCCCTGGCAAAACTGACCACCAAGTCACCACACACTGTGCTCCTAAGTCCATTGCTAAACCAGAGTCGGCAGACATTTTCCTCTCTGCATTATCCATCCAACTCCCACCTGTGACATCACCTGGGTATGATTTTCCTGTGAAGAATCACTTGCTTTCAAGTCACAAAATCTGGCTAATGTATATAAATTTGGGCAAACAATAGGGAAAATATGTCACCTAAAAATTAGTTTGATTATAGTATTTTACAAAGCCTCTTCTTCCCCACAGCCTAAAAGTAGACCAGGATAACAAAACTGTCCAAGCCAAATGAGATGAGTATTGTAGTACTGTAGACTATGAGGTACATGAAGGCAGAAACTGTGCTAATTTTGCCGATTTTGCTAGAGCCTAGCATTGCAAGTTCTAGATAATTGGAATAAAGCTTCAGAAAAATAAACATATGAAGAAATTATACCTAAACCTTCAGGTTTTTAAAGCACAGAAACATTAGAATTGTGTATCTTAACATATGAAGACTTAGAGCATAGTGGTTTAGAGTGCAGGCTTTGAGGTAGAAAAGACTTGAATGGTGTTACAGCAAGTCACTTAAACTAGTAACCTTAGGGAAGCCACTTAAACTCTCTGACCCTTTGTTTTCTACATACAGTGGGAATAACAGGAGTATATGCATTACAAGGTTACTGACAGGATTAAGTAAGATACTATATGTAAACTTCTTGGTATAGTGCCTGATACAGAAACTGTTGGCATTATTATTCAATATTATCTTTATTACTATTGATTTGTAGTGCCAACATATGATTTAGGATACAGGTGCCAAAGTCATGAAATTCCTTTCAAAAACTGTACAGACAAGATTAAAATCGCCATTCCTTTTCTACTTTATATAAACTGCCATTCACGGAAACTCATTAAGTCCAATTGCCATTCATTTGTACAGATATATCTTTTTGCTTCTGTGATGATGAATATAAAAGCTTTATACATATTCACATGATTATTTTGCGATTATTTGCCCTGTTTGCCATCTTGACCCTGAACATATATGCTTTGGGGAAAACAGCAGAATGTGTTCCTGTAACTCTCTGAGGAAATGGATTAATCATGAAATATAAACATGTAAAAGATTCAGCTGAGACTCATGTATGTAAATTTCATTGATTTGAGAAGAAAATTGATCTCAAAGCCATGTCTGCATGGGCCACAGAAAGTACTATATTTCTAACAAGAAGAAATTATGTGGCCTCTTTTCACGCAGCCATTATTTTTCTTTTCAAACAAAGCTATGCATTGACAATAGCTTCAATTTGTCACTTTAAATGCATCAGTTATTGGGTAAAATCACAAAATATCGGAGATATTAGGAAGAATATTATTCCACAATCTTTTAGTTTCCCTGAGGAGGGATTATATCTCTAGGCCTCCTGCCCCATCACTTACTCCTCTCCACTTGGGTACAGTGAGTTACCTGGTGGATGGGTTTTAGCCATTGGACTAAAATTATATTAGTGTGCAAATAATCTAAAACAGTAAGCATTCTCCTTCTTTCTTCACATCGAACCAGTGTGAGGCAGCAACTCTGGGTAAAATGTATGCTGTGCAGATCCAAATTTACCCTCAGGTGCACAGTTCCAAGATTGTGGGGGAGTGGAGAAAAGTAAGCCACTGCCTGAAGTATAACTTAGTGATAAATGTCATGATTTGGTATTCTGGCCACAATGTTTATTATTTAATTGGTGAATAATATGTGGTTTCTTTGTTTCAGCTAGACATCTGGAACCTTCCTTCTTGAAGTGAGACTCGGTCTGATTTCTTCTCCATGTGTAGGACAGAGTATGCAACATTCATATAAGATGCTGAGGGAAGTAGCTAGTGTGATGAAGAGCATGGGCTTTAGAGGAAGACAGAGCCAAATTTTAATCCTGCTCTGAAACTTTCCACCCTTTTGAATTAGGACAAACTCCTCTTGGCTTCGGTTCCCTTATTTGTTAAAATAAGACTAATAATATTAACTCAAAATGTTTACAAACCTAAAAGTGCTTATGAATGTCTTGTACCTGGTCAACTCTCAACAAATGCTGCTTTCATAGGAATATTTATTAATTTTTGTCACCACATCATCATCAAAACATTATTTTAGAATATGCCCTCTGTAGGTTCTCATGCCCCCATCCATGACTCAAGCACATGCATGATACCTTATGCAAACCCAGGTAAGTAGTTCAGCTCTGAAGTGGTGCAGAATCCAGTGCCTGTAGCCGATACGATGTCCCTTCTCCAGAATTTTTTAACACTCTTTCAGGAAAAGGAAAGTAAATGTATTATGGCTCTACATGATTTCAGAGGCCCTTGGCTCCACATGAGTAATGTCTTTAGAGATAAAATTTAGGACAAGGAGAAACATTTTAAAAGTTGGTATCTGTGTCTTACCAAGGATGGCTCTGTCTGACTCCAGAGGCCACACTCTTAAATGCCATATTGCCTTTTCCTGGTGTATTTCCAGAAAGAATAGTTCCTGATTTTCAAAATATGTTATAGGAAAGATTTTTCTATTTTCAAAGGGTGATAAGATCTCAGTTCTCCAAAGACTAGTTATATAAGCCTTGCTCTACTGTAATAAGCACACATATTTAAAGTTATGCAAATAGAACAAAATCATATTTCAGATCAAAGGAGTAGCCTCTGAATAACCATCATCAAATGGACAAAAGCAAGAAGTGCCAGAGACATAAAGATACCAACTAATACATGATTAATCAATGTACTACACCGTATGAACAGTATTCTATTGGCTGCTGATTTATATAAAATATCTGCCTAAGACTTTTATATGCAAAAAAAAAGAAAGAAGGAAATATTAGAGAATCAAGTAAAGAAGCAAATGCAAATTATAGTGGCATTCATTTGTTGTACCTCCCTATGGATAGATAAAATAAGAGCTCATATCACAGTCTTTTTTTAAATAAAAAAAGAAGTCGTACAGCATTACTGGGGTCATTACACCATCTAGCCTGTAACCAAAACTATATTTTCAGGTCTAAAACAATGATTATGAGCAATTAATAAAATATTAGATGACAGGATAGCATGCTTTATGAGGTGGGAAAACAGTGTATCACTGTTGTAAACTGGAAATAGCAGAAGCAGCAAATATCAAAAAGAAGATAGCCAACAACAGAGATAAGGACAATTCTGCTTGGCACTGTGGTTAGGGATGCAACAATAGTTGTTGCCTAAATACAATGCCTCAGAAAACTTGGCATCTCTATGGGCACAGCTGAGCTAAATTAGAATAAGGAATACACTTTAACCAATATCTTCTGCACAAGCAACACAACAAAAAAAGGTGCATTATAGAAATCGCCAAATAATATCTCTTTAATGAAAGTCAAGGGGCAGAACTATGAAAATGTTCTGAGGAGAAAGGAAAAGCAACTAAAAAAGCACATAAAATAATTATGGACCTGAATAATATTCATAAGAAGAGCCAACATTTATTATTTCCTAGGTGTTAAACACACCGTTAAGTGTTTTATTACAAAATATTTTTTGATGCAGCAATCCTGAAAGTGAAATCATATTAATATTATTATACACATTTTACAGAAGAAGAAACTGAATTTTAGTAAAGTTAAGTAACTTACACCTAGCTCTGCCTGACTCTAGAGTTTACAGCTTTAAATATTATGTAGTCTCTTCTCAGTGTCTTCCCCAGGAGTAATGTTTGATTTTTAAAATAGATTTTGAATCATTAAAACTCAGAATATTTAAATTAGAAGACCAAGGCCATATCCTGTGAGAGTGGTTCTTATAAGGCCTCTTATTTTTGTCTCAGTGCTTATTGAGAAGGTGAAAGATTTTTATTAGGCAGTATATTTGACCTAACTGTGTGACTTTTCAGAAGGATGACTTTGACATTTCAAAGTGAGGTGGAGCATGAGAAGGCTACATATATTTGGTATAAAAAAAGAAAGCAATTTATGATGCTGCAAAAGAACAGATTTTTTTCCCAGGAAAAAAAAGCCTCCTTCTCTGAAAATCACTTGAATAGATTATATATTTGAACTGCTGAGAAAAATGAACAGATGTGACAATAGTTGCTAACTCTAAATTTTGTAAGCACCTCTCAATAAATAATCTACACAATCCCAGCTACATGCAGAAACACCCACACTCACACACACACACACACACACACACAATTTAACTTTTAGTCACATAAGGATGGACAGGCAATTCTTCCTGTGCCGGTCTAAATCAGAGCTTGGCTGGAGGTGAACCGGGCCAGGGATGACATAGTCTTATTGAAAATACGGAGAGGCCCCAGCAAAAATATTCTGCAATATAATCCTAGGGGAAATAAAGTGCTATTGAAAATAGGCAGTAGTCAAAGATTCAACAAAGCAAACCTTTAACTTCAGTCAGACAAGTCTATAAACAACCGATAGGGGTTAGGATTTGAAAACTGCACTTAAGACAAAGACTCCAACCTCAGGAAGGATTCTAAGAGAGCAAGCTGGGGTGTTGTTCCCCAGGATCCCACTTTTAGAGGCTTAAAACATCAATTTAAAACCCAGGCAAGGTTTTCACAGTGGCTTGGGTGAGCAATTTTGAAACTATCTTCTGTATATTCCAGGCTTGAGAAAATAAATAAATATATTGAGGATGATGGGAGCTAAATTTCTCACTATTGAGGGACTTACAAATATAGAAACAGAAGATACAAAAATATACCCCGTGGAGCTGAATTAAAGAATTGGGAGTATAAGTAAGAACTAATATGGGGTAGATTTAGAAATGATATATAATCTCTGTGTGTGTGTGTGTGTGTGTGTGTGTGTGTGTGTGTGTGTGTGTGTGTATTTGCTACAGTAAAGGGTCCCGATTCAGGCCCCAAGAGAGGGTTCTTGAATCTTACACAAGAAAGAATTCAGGGAGAGACCGTAGTGCAAAGAAAAAGCAAATTTATTAAGAAAGTAAAGTGATGAAAAAACAGCTACTCCATAGACAGAGTAGGCCATTCCCAAAAGTAAGAGGAGAAAGGTGACCACCCTAGTTACAATGCTTGTATATATATAGGATAGAAATAGATCTTGGGGAGATGTGCTCTGCTACAAGGGTTGGCGATAAAGGATTAATTTTCTTAATTACCATATTTTGCAAGAAATGATATTATTATCTTTAAAGCAAAATTAGGAATGCCCTTGTTTTCCAGATATCGGGATATCTGAACACTCGCAAGTCTGAGTCTGTTTCCGTAAACATCATTAATTTGTTCCCTTAACCATAAACATCTAGAGGTGAGGAATGCCTAATGTTCTGGGAATGCAGCCCAGCAAGTCTCAGCCTCATTTTTCTAGCCCTCACTCAAAATGGAGTCCCTCTGGTTCGAACACTTCTGACATATTCATCCCTCGGTATCCACAGAAGATGGGTTTCAGATATCAAAATCCACATATGCCCTAGTCTGATATAAAATGGCATAGTTTTTGCATATAACCTATGCACATCACCCCATATACTTTAAATAATCTCCAGATTACGTATAATACCTAATATGATGTAAATGCTATGTAAATAGTTGTTATACTGTATTGTTTAGGGAAGAATGAGAAGGAAAAGTCTACATGTTCAGTACAGATGCAACCATCCTTTCTTTTTTAGAATTTTTTTTTTAACTGCAGCTGGTTGAATCCACAGATGGGGAAACCACGGATATGAAGGGCCAACTCTGTGTGTGTGTGTGTGTGTGTGTGTGTGTGTGTGTAGAGAGAGAGAGAGAGAAGCATAATATAAATAATTGATGAATCTGGGTAAAGGATATATGAGAGTTTCTTATACTATGCTTGCAAGTTTTCTGTAAAGATTATTTTCCAACAAAACAAATGTTTAAAACAAACAAAAAATACCTCATGAAAGATCCTTGGGATTCCGTCTTGGGGGTTTGAATAGTTTTCAGCATCAGTGTTATGAAGGCATTGAATCTAGAATTTAGGTAGGGGCTGAGACATGCAGTGGATAATAAAGAAACCAAGTTTTTGGCAACAGAGTATAAAATAAAGACTACTCAGCAAGACACAAGGCAAGAACTCAGTTGACAAACCCATAGTGTAAAGTCAAAAAAGAACCAACAGCATAGTTAATTCAGTGCTGAACAGGTAATGTTACTAGTATAAGGTTTTGCATCGTCCTCCTGCTTACTGACAGGTTTACCATCTGAGATGCTGAACATATATGTTCAGAAGGAGCCCTGTAAAGCTAAGAAGGCCGCATGGGCCGGGAAACAAGCACGTTATTACAGTAGATTGGGGGAAGTACTATGCAGCCGCACAACATAACAGTCTGAATAAGCTAGGACCAGTTGGGACATACATCTTTAAGCTTATTTCTGTAACCCTCCAAGAAAGAAAATGTGGAAAATGTAATCATCGCAGAGTTTTAAAAATCATCACACTTTGACTCTTGCTAACAAAGCATAAGTCAATGTATGGGTAGACAGAAACATTTTATTTTTATTTTGCTTCATTATCTTTCATATCCTTCAGAATCAGAAGGTAAAGAAACGATCTATATTTATACTCATGGTTCTTAATCAGAGCTAAACTATGAAATCACCTGGAAGGCTTTATAAAATAATAATGCCTGTGCCTCACTCCTACAGATCACTGGTCTGGGATAGGGACCAAACATGATTTTCTTAATCTCTCAGATGATCTAATGTGCATCCAAGGCTGAAAACTGCCAGTCTAGACATTGCTTCTCAGTATGTTATCTCTGGACCACCTTTATCAGAATCATCTGGAATATTTACGAAAAATGCAAAATCCTGGATCCAAACCCACACTTACTAAATCAGGATTTTGAGGGTGGGACATTTTTAGCAAATTTTCAAGGAATAGATTTGCTCACTGAAAACTACTTTTTTGGATATTTGCACAGTTCACTATGAAAAGGCAAGGTTAGTTCTCCAGGGCATATATATTTATATATACATATTAATCACATCTCTTGTTTCCAGGATGTTACCTCACTGATCCTATGAAACTGGGTCCTCTTCATAATGTGATATATTATGACAGATTAAATGTCTTGGGAAAGTTGATCCATTATGTAAGGATGATGCAAGGCTTTCATTCTGATCTTCACAGAGAAGTGAGACACTTTAATATTTCTTTGCTTAGAATTCTATTAGAAGTCAAATATTATGGAAGGCTTGGAAAACATTGAAGCACTGTATTTCACCAGCAGGGCTGTTGTCATCTGATAATAATGACAAAGAATTTGTCACCCTTGAGATATACTTTATACCCTCTATCAAAGAACAATTTCACGAAATGATAATGGCTAATTTCCTAACATGCTGGTAGTAAATAATGCAAGTAAGAGAATTACATATGAGCTGATTGAGGTCCATGATCTGTGCCGTAAAGGGTAAAGAAGTAAGATATAGTGTTCTGAATCCTGCAAGTCAAAAATAAATGATAGAAACAGTGAAGATGATTTTATGGAGAATAAAAATATACTTCTTGATTTTAGCATTCAATCCATTAATTGTGCATAAAGATAGCCATATCATATTGCTCAAGACATTCATTTGTTGTACCTAAAAGCTCATATCAGAGTCCTTAAAAAAAAAAAAGGAGTCCTACAGAATCACTGAGGTCATTAACCACCTAAATTTTAACAAAAACTACATTTTCAAGTCTGAAACAGTGATACTGAGCCATCAATGAAAGATTAGATGACAGGATAACATACTTTATAAGGTGAGAAAAGAACATATCACATTTTAGGGAACTTCCACAAAATGAAATCAGTTAAAGAAGTTCTGGCACTTAGCCAGAGAACTACTGCTACAGGGATATCTATGCTATGCAAAATGTCTTGTCCTCCTTAGTTCTGTGGGTAAAAATTCCACAAACTGTGTGATGAGAACATACTGAGATTAACTGTCCTTCCTATTACCAAGCAATCATTCCCTTTGCTGAATTTGACTACATTAATGTGTCCTAAGAAACCAATTCTTTTAACGCATTAATATACTAAAGAGTTAAGCAGCATATAAAGATATTAACATTCTCCCCATGTATTTGAGATCTGTATAACTGCATCTGGGAATTGTCACAGAGAAAAAAGAACAAGTTTGCAATAATTAGATTTCTATTACTGCAACTTTTTTAATTTTTAAACTTTGTGAGTACATGGTAGGTATATATACTTATGGGGTACATGAGATATTTTGACACAGGTATGCAATGCGTAACAATCACATCAGAGAAAATGGGGTATGCATCCCCTCAAGCATTTATCCTTTGTGTTATAAATATTCCAGTTACTCTTTTTAGACATTTTCAAATGTGCAATTAAATTATTTTGTCTATAGTTGCCCTGTTGTGCTATCAAATACTAGATCTTATTCATTCTTTCTAACTATTTTTTTATACCCATTAACCATCCCCACCTCCCCGCCCGCCACCCCCTCAACTACCCTTCCCAGCCTCTGGTAACCATCCTTCTACTCTGGCTCCGTGTGTTCAATTATTTTAATTTTTGGATCCCACAAATAAGTGAGAACATGTGATGTTTGTCTTTCTGTGCCTGAATATTTCACTCAATATAATGACCTTCAGTTCCATCCACGTTGTTGCAAATGACAGTCTCATTTTTTGTATGGCTGAATAGTATTCCATAGTGTATAAGTACCACATTGTTTTTATCCATTCATCTGTTGATGAACACTTAGGTTGCTTCCAAATCTTAGCTATTGTAAACAGTGCTGCAACCAACACAGGAGTGCATCTGTCTTTTTGATATACTGGAAATGGAACCAGCATACATCCTCAGTATGTCCTTTCTTTTGGAATATAACCAGAAGTGATATTGCTGGATCTTATGGTAGCTCAATATTTCGTTTTTTGAGGAACCTCCAAACTGTTCTCCATAGGGGTTGTACTAATTCACGTTCTCACTAACAGTGTACAAGGGTTCCCTTTTCCGCACATCCTTGCCAGCATATGATACTGCCTGATTTTGGGATAAAAGCCATTTTAACTGGGGTGAAATGATATTTCATTGTAGTTTTTATTTGCATTTCTCTGATGATCAATGATGTTGTGCACCTTTTCATATGCCTGTTTGCCACGTGTATGTTTTTGAGTAATTTTTTTCAAATATTTTACCCAGTTTTTATTGGATTACTACATTTGTTCCTAAGACTTGTTTGAACTCTTTATGTATTCTGGTCATTAATCCCTTGTGAGATGGAGAGTTTGCAAATATTTTTTTTTCCCATTTTGTGGGTTGTCTCTTCCCTTGGTATCCTTTGCTGTGCAGAAGTTTTTAACTTGATGTGAACCCATTGGTTCACTTTTGCTTTGGTTTCTGGTACTTGTGGGGTATTACTCAAGAAATGTTTGCCCAGGCAAATGTCTTGTAGAGATTCCCCAATGTTTTCATAGTAGTTTCATAGTTTGAAGTCTAGTGAGAAAATTGAAAAAAATAAGCAGTGAGTCAGAATGAGAAGAATGGTTTGCTCCACAGCTTCTATAACACTATTTTAATTAAGTATTGGTCACTCCATAGAACCAAGGCTAGATAATGAATATAGAAAATATACTAAAAACATTCTTAAAACTTGTGTCAAAAATATTTGGAATGTTTTCAAAGAAAGTCCAGAAACTTTAAGTGGCATTTCCACTAATAATTTAGGCACAGACACTGTTTATGATTATTACTAGATGCTACCAGTTTGCTTTAATCAGAAATCATCCAGTTTGGGGTATTGCCCTAAAATCGGAAGATAGCCTTCATTTTCATTAATTTGTCAAGTAATGTTTAAGCATCTACTATTTGACTGACATTTGGTAATCACTGGCATCACAGCCATGAACAAAGCGGAAGAGAAGTTAAGAGGCATCTGAGAAACATAACCTGGATGTTCAAAGCCTCATTCCAGTTAAAGAAACATGGCTACCATATTCATTTGATTCCTAAGAGCGTTAAGAGAGTAAAGAAATCAGCTGAAACAAGGAAAATACCAGATAGTTTTTAGAGTTAAAAGGTAGTTTCATGTGATGTTGATTTTTTTTAAAGTCACTAGCTGTACCTAGAATACTGTGCCCTATAATGTGATTTATGTACATTTTGCATTATGTTTTGTTTGCCACTTAATGAAATCGTATATTAACCATTATTTCATATATGAGGCATTAAACTCTCCATTTGTATACATTAGATCCATAGGTCCTGTCTAGAAGTATCTACTTGAATGTGGAAGCTAATCATTCACTAGCTGCAAACTTCTGCTAGGTCAACTTTACTTCAGTGACACCAGCATTACATAAGACCACTTGATTAAAGCTGGGACAAGGAACATTGAGAAGGAAAAGATACTGACTTGGAATACTGATAGAGCCAGGGTGAAATTAGCAAATGAAATTTGATATGATGAGGATCCAGACAGAAAAATTTGGGCTGGAAATGATAACCATGGATGATAAACAAAGATGTCCAGAAACACGATTTCTATAAGAAACCTTCTTATGTTTACACGGTAATATAATATATACCTGTGATTTATCACTTGTTCAGAGGTCCTTTGCACTACTTAAATAAATCCCTAGAACCTATAAATGTTGCCTTACATGGAAAAAGGGTTTTTGCAAATGTGATTAAGTTAAAGATCTTAAGAAGAAGAGAGTATCCCAGATTATCTGAATGGGTTCTAAATACAATCACATGTGTATTCACAAGAAAGAGACAGAGGAGATAACAAACCCACACACAGGAGAGAGTAACATGAAGACAGACAGAGATTGGAGTGACATAGCCACAAACCAAGGAATGCCAGCAGCCACCAGAAGCTAGAAGGGGCAAGGAACATATACCCCCTCCAGATCCTGTAAAAGAGTGTGGCCCTCACCTGCTCACACCTTACTTTTGGCCCAGTGATACTGAGTTTGGACTTTTGGTCTCCAGAACTATGAGAGAATAAATTCCCTTTATTTTAAGCTGTGAAGTTTGTGATAATTTGTTACAACAGCATGGGAAACTTTATACAAAAACTTTACATGATCAGCAGCTGGTTTGAGTGCTAAGTCCCTACTGAGAGATACAAACAAAAAGGAGCCAAAGCTGAGTCCCTAAAGTCATAACTCTAAAACAGCACCTCCTTAAATCTCTGGTGGTGGTAACAGAAGAAACTAGGATGCCATGAACTTTTGGTATAGTTCCCAAGAGTTATTATAAAATTTTCATAAAAGCATCTTAAAGCCAGAATGAAAAAATATCTATTCATTCTTCCCATTTCCATGGCTTTCAGTGTTTTTTATTTTACTTTGTTATGTTTTTTCTTTCTGACAGAGTCTTTTACATACATAAATACTTTAATAAAATCTCTCAGTTGTGGCTATTAAAATAACATTTTTTGTGACAGTTTTGCAAGAGAAAAATGGGTTATAGCTTTTAAAAATTTAATGGTAGACACAAAGTAAAGCAGAAAATCAAGGGGTAACCTAAGTTGATTGAGAGAAACATAAAGTATTTAGACCTAACATTGGTTAAAGATGTTACTCTGGAACTCACACCAGGGCACCAATAGCCATGGCCCCAAGGGTGATATAATTAGAAATAAGAGACACAGTTTGTTTGTCTGGGGTTAGAACCTTGAATTATTTTCTTGACAATGACACCTAAAACCCAAGTAAAAGTTGTAAACATTTACAAAGGCTTATATGAGTCATGTCTATCTCCACAGTACCCCATTCCTTCCAAATTCATCAGCCTCATCAAACACTGACCCACGCATATTAGAATTGTACAATTAACCTTGAGCAGCTGATTATAATTTTATACCTTTTTTCGGATTCTTGGTATCTTGTGATGCAGTACCCACCTATTAGAAATGGACAAGCTGCTAGATCAGTGGTGTTCAACATAGGTTGTATATGGGAATCACTGGGTGAAGTCCTACAAGCACTATGTCTCAGACCGAGCCTTAGAGATTCTAGTTTATGGTGTATTCTGGACATTAGGATTTTTTAAAATCACTTTAGATGTTTCTGAAGTGCAGATGAGGTTGGGAACCATCTGGGCACCAAAGATATTGCTTAATCCAGAGATTCTCAAACTGTAATGTGCATATGAATCACCTGAGGAAAACTGTGAAAATATAGATTCTGATTCATTATATGGGAAATTAGGCCCTGCATTTTTCACATGCCCCCAGATGATGATGATGCTGGTTGTTGAGGGCTACACTTTGGGTAGCAAGAGCCAAGATCATCGCTTTTCCATTTATAGAAAGTGATAATATTAGTAAAGCACAGTGAAGACTGTATATAAGACTGCTCTTAACAAGGAACAGGGGCTCTGGTTGGTCTGCGGACTTCAATGGCTCTGGCTACCTCAGGCACTACCCACTTATCCCACGACCAGGATCAAGGGAAATGATGTCCTGGCTCATCTGTGACCCATTTTCCTGAACATCACTGGCACATTAGTTGCATATCTTTGCCTCAGACCCACAATTTCATTACCAATATCCAATACCCATAGATAAGACAAATACCAGAATTACATACATAGAAGAATATACACACTATGTGTGCATTGCCAAAAGGGATGCAGGTTATCATCAGGTAGCTCTGTCCATAAGTAAGGATATTTAGGCTACTCAAGAGCTAAAGAACCATAGTCAGCGTAAACAAACACAAGAGGAAAAGATCAAAGGAAATTTGAAAAAGTTGCTGAATTCAAACAATTGCCCCTTAAGCTGGCTTCCCAGTACTGTTGAAACCAGTTTGTGATCTCCATTTAGAAACCTACCTTATTTAAAAATACCCAGCTATTTAGAGACCAGCACAAAAGAGCTAACCAGGAAAGAAAAAACTTTAGCAACTCTGCATCTTTGAAAGGTTCACCAATATGTGTATACTCTGGAGCTAGAAGAGAGATGTAAATGGTTATACTATTGTTTGCAGCATGTACACAGTGGAATTTATTTTATTACTTGTTAACTCTCACAGTTTAAAGTGTGGTTCAACATGATGGAGAAGGAAAAATGTTTTACTATATAGTTAATAAGTTTTTCCAACTAATTGCCTATAAATATTTTGCTTACTTTATTTTTCTGAAAGGGAAAATTAAATTACTGCTGCCGCCAACAGGGTATTTTAATTTTCATTTGAACAAGATACAGGTGAAATGCTACAGATAAAATTTAAAATAAACAGTGACTCATTCTAGGAGTTACTGGGCATTCCCCAAATGCTATGCTTGTAAAATGGCTTGGATAGAAATAAAGCCATATAGAGATATTGTATCTTTTGTGCAGACCCAGTTTTAATGCCATGAAATTAATCTGACACAGGTAGAAGATATGCGTCTCCAAATTCCCATGGGCCACTTTTAGCAATAATTAAATCGTATAATTTTTTCTCCTTGTTTATATTCACTGTGTCTCACAGTGAGTAAAATCATAGAATTAGTATGCTCAAAATGGAAAAGAATCTTAAAGAACTCAGCTCCCATATTTTATATATATATATATATATATATATATATATATATATATATATATATATGGAAACAAATTCAAAGATCTTAAGTAGTTGGCCCGAGATTATAGAACTCAATAATAACATAACCAAGACTAAAATCAAGTTCTCTTGATTTCTTGTTCACTGCTCTCCATATCACGCATTAATATATGTCAGCTAAGTTTGAGAAGATAATTATAGAGATTGATGAGATGGTAAAATAGACATGCTGTGTGTCAAAGCTATTCCTTGGACAGTACCATTAGAATGTTGCCATTGTTCTTCAGGCATCCCAAAAGGCAGCTAAGCCTAGTACTACATTATTTGTAGTGTATTTTTATACTACAAATATGGGTATTTGTAAAGTATTTCACAGGTATTTTTAAATCCCTATGTGAGCCACTGTAGGTAACTTTTTAGGAATGAGACTATCTTCTTGAATCATCTATAAACTTGAAAAGCCTTAAAAGGGGTAACTGATGAATGAGTAGAAATGGATATTGACTTAAGTTTTACTGAAAAAATTTCCCCATTTTAGTTGATGATTAATGTGGTAAAATTCTCTTTTTCTGATTTCTCTGCCTATCAGCTCATTTCTACAATGGTCACCACTGAATGAGTTAACATCATTTGGTTGACAATTTCTAAGAGTATCAAATTGTGTTGCTCACATCTTGTCACATAGAAGAAAAATGTTTTCTCTATTATCATTTAAAAAATTGAGTTTCAATCCTTCAGAAATTTAAGTACGTCTATGAAATTATTTGATTTCTTATATCACTCCCTCAAATATATTCTATATGTTTATTTTTACAGAATTTGGAAGACTATATTTGTTTATAAACTGCAGTATTGTAAAATTATTCTTTAAAATTATCTCCATTAAACATTAAATATCCCTTCAACATTAGAAGGATTTCACCTTTTACATAAGGAAGCCTGAGAATATCAGTGATCAATGGCATGATGTTTTTCAACCAAATGTATCCTTATTGTATGTTATTTACCTGTGAAAATATGTAAAATTTCTATACAAGTCAAAGTTCAAATTATAATTTCATAGTGACCAGAATTCCAGTATCAACATTTATTTGAATCTTCTGAGTATTTTATCTACAGGAGACTGTATTTTTCAGATATTTTTCTAAATAGTAAGGCTAAATTTGGAATTTGTTCTTTTGGATTTTTTTCTTTCAATAGATTTAGGGGTACAACTGGTGTTTTGTTATAAGGATGAATTGTATAGTGGTGAATTCTGGGCTTTTTGGGTACCTATCACCCTAATAGTGTACACTGCACTCAATAGGTAATTTTTTTTTTTTTTTTTTTGAGACGGAGTCTTGCTCTGTCGTCCAGGCTGGAGTGCAGTGGCGCGATCTCGGTTCACTGCAAGCTCCGCCTCCCGGGTTCACGCCATTCTCCTGCCTCAGCCTCCTGAGTAGCTGGGACTACAGGCACCTGCCACCATGCCCGGCTAATCTTTTTGAATTTTTAGTAGAGACGGGGTTTCACCATGTTAGCCAGGATGGTCTGGATCTCCTGACCTCGTGAACCGCCCGCCTTGGCCTCCCAAAGTGCTGGGATTACAGGCGTGAGCCACTGCTCCCGGCCCAATAGGTAATTTTTATCATAGAAAATTTTATGCTGAAATATCTACGTTAACAATTTCATTGGAACATATTTTATCTACCAGAAACTGCATATATGTAAATGTGTGCGATTTGATGAGTTTTGATAGATGTCCACCCTTGTTTTCACCACCCCACAGACAAGATATTGGATATTCTCAACACCCTTCAGGGTTTCTTCATGCCTCTTTATCCCAGTGGGATGTTTCAGAATAAAGCTCTCATTAACATTTGTGTACAATTATTGGTTTGGGTATGTGCTTCAATTCGTTTTGGGTAACTGTTTCAGAGTGGAAGTGTCATGTCATATTTTAAGTACATGTTTAACTTTTTAAGAAGCTACCAAACTGTTTCTCAAAGTGATTGTAGCATTTTTACATTTCCCTCAGCAGTGTATAATAGTCTTACTTTCTCCTTGTTTTGATACATATATACAATGTGTAATGGTCAAATCAGTATATTTAGCATTTCGATCATCTAAAACATTCATTCTTTATGGCAAGAATATTTAAAATCCTCTCTTCAAGCTATTTTGAAATATATCAATAGATCATTTTTGAGTAGTGATTGTAAAGGCAACTATAAAATTTATTCCTCACTCAAATTTTTCATCCTATTCTCTGGCATAGTCTTAAGGTCTCTGGGTAGGTTCCCTACCCAGGTTCTGAATGATTAAAAATAAAACAAAGGAGAGGGAGGTAGAGAACCAAAAATATCACCTTTATTATTGATGAAGTATAAGCTGAAGGGCGTAGCTTTATTTCTGTTAATCAGGTGAACTTGTTAAAACCAAATTCTGGAATCAGATACTATAACTCACTGATTCATAGAAGCACTGAACCAAGACAGGCCTCCTTCCCTGTTGGGGGCAGAGAACAATATGTCTCCCTATAGGCAGCCCTATTCTCAAAATGGACAAAAATCGAGCTGAGCCAAGCCTGCCAGTTGTTTATCAATCACATAACTAATTCCAACTCTCCTGGGACAGAGTGATTAAAAGAGTGTAGAGCTTCCAGGGATGTGTTGGAAACATTCTCTCCTCATGGAATCTATAGAAGTTTAGAAAATGTATCATTCCCTTTTAACATAAACTATGTAAAATTTGACCCAAGCCTTATTAAAGTTATTTGTCTCCCTCTACATGTCACACTGTCATCACTTTCTTCTGCTCTTTTACCACTTCCCCTGTTGATATGGTTTGGCTGTGTCCCCATTCACATCTCAACTTGAATTATAGCTCCCAGAATTCCCACGTGTTGTGGGAGGGACCCAGGGGCAGGTTATTGAATCATGGGGGCCAGTCTTTCTGTGCTATTCTCATGACAGTGAATAAGTCTCACGAGATCTGATGGGTTTATCAGGGTTTCCGTTATTGCCCTCTCCTCATTCTCTCTTGCCGCCATCATGTAAGAAGTGTCTTTCACCCTCTGCCATTATTCTGAGGCCTCCCCAGACATGTGCAACTGTAAATCCAATTAAATCTCTTTATCTTCCCAGTCTTGGGTATGTCTTTATCAGCAGTGTGAATATGGACTAATACACCCATGCTCCCTAGCCATTTACCCTAAGGCAAATAGGGATCGGCCTTTTTCTGGTTCAGGTGTATAACATGATGGATGGTACTTAATGGAGTTCTTGAATAGCTGAATTGATGGAGGCCGGGTCCCCATTCTTTAACAAAAATAGTCATAGAATTGAATGGAGAAGTTCATGGTACCAACACATATTCATGGTAAGAAATATATTTTAGTGAGGGACAGAAAGAGGTACATCCAGCAGGAGCCAGAACACATGAGTAAGTCCTGATAGTAGCACTGATATTCTATAATTCTGAGAGGTGAAGCCAGCTGGACTTCTGGGTCGGATGGGGACTTGGAGAACTTTTCTGTCTTACAACATGATTATAAAATGCACCAATCAGCACTCTGTAGGTAGGATTGTAAAATACACCAATCAGCGCTCTGTGGCTAGCTAGAGGTTTGTAAAATGCGCCAATAAGTGCTCTGTAAAAACGCACCAATCAGCACTCTGTGGGTAGCTAGAGGTTTGTAAAATGAACAAATCAGCACTCTGTAAAATGGACCAATCAGCACTCTGTAAAATGGACCAGTTGGCAGGATGTGGGTGGGGACAAATAACGGAATAAAAGCTGGCCACCCCAGCCAGCAGTGGCAACCTGCTCAGGTTCCCTTCCATGCTGTGGAAGCTTTGTTCTTTCGCTCTTCACAATAAATCTTGCTGCTGCTCACTCTTTGGGTCTGTGCCATCTTTAAGAGCTGTAACACTCACTGCAAAGGTCCGCAACTCCATTCTTGAAGTCAGTGAGACCATGAACCCACCAGAAGGAACCAACTCCAGAAACAATTCTAGCATTTTCTACACATGTAAAATAATATCTTGACTTTGTCCTAGTCACTGTTTGTCTCCCATGAAATTAGTTACACCATGTGGCCAATAAAAATCGGAGATTCTCCTAGACAAGAACAGCTACACCATCAACAAACCGACTTTGGCTAAAAGACGTATTATTTACATGGGTAAAAATAATTCTCATTTTTTATATATAAATAAAAGGAATATAATAAATTGACTATAAGTATCTCCATTGGGTTCATAAACATGCTACTTCGGAGGTAAAATTTTTATTTTATTTTTAAAGAGAGAGTCTTTCCATGTTGCCTAGCCTGGTCTTGAACTACTGGCTTCAAGCAATCCTCCCACCTCAGCCTCCCAAGAAGCTAGGATTACATACACAAGGCTCCATGCCAAGCTAAAAATCTTATTTTTGACAACTGTCATTACTAAGAAAGCGTCTATGTTCCAAAAGCTTTGCACTTTCAGAAGCTGGTTCATAGTATTGGTGCTTTATTGATGCGAGTAAAATGTCTAATTTAAGATAAAGATACAGGGAGATAAAAAACAAAACAGTAGTTCAACTTTTCACAGCTCTATTCTTCTGTCATAAGGCAGCAAACATCTGTCAATAGCCCTTGTGTGCCAAAGGACATTTGAGAAATATTACTTTATATACCATGGTTTTATGGTAATTTGCCATGTGGTAATCCTTTCTTTATCTGAGAAAGTAGATGGACTTGATAAAATGTCGGTAAAGGGAGCTTGGTACATAGGCTATTTCACCCACAATTGACAATTTAATGTTATAACCATGAAAGCAATAAATGTAACATGGTATTCAAAATCTTAATAACTTGTTCTAGGTTCTGAGAACATTTGCCTACTTTCTACTTTGTAATATTCTCTAGAGACAATAGGAAGCCCACAGTTCTGTACACCAAGTGAGAAAGAGGGTGCTATTAATACCTAATATCACTGTCAATTCACTCAAGCAAAAAATAATAAAAATAAAATAAAATAAAATAAAAAGGAGAGCAGATGACCTTGCTCTCTGCAAAGCAGTGATATGTTGTGTCCACAGATGATATTCCAACCTAAAATGAGAGGGTGGAGTATAGTGGAGATATCTTCAGTGTTTGAACTTGTGAAGTAATTCAAATAAAGATAGATTACTAGGAGAAAACTGAGAAACTCGAACAGACATTACCTGATTAATATTGATTATTATCTTGAGTAGAAAGCTCAAGTGCCTTCTTTGAAAAAAATCATTTGACTTATATCTGTTTCTTGGAGTTTTAAATCTTTCACCTTCTGCCTTATAAATAAAAGAGTCAGTTATTTAATATAGAACTGGGCCAAGAGAAGTGAGTCTCCCATCAAACACTCCTTCTCTGTCTTGAACATTTGACTCTAACCCACTTAGTTCGCACATATGCTGTTTTAACTTAGATATTATAAAATCCTCACAACTGCCCTATAAAGTGTGTAAAAATTGTTCTTTTAACTCACTAATTTATTACTAATAAAGATGCTTCTAGAGGTTTACCTCTAGGCTTTCTGACTAGAACTGTAATTTCTGGACATACATAATATTATAATGAAATTACACTATAAAATCATTTGGACAGCCCAAAAGTTTGCCCTATATATTTATTCTTTTGGAGCTTACTAGTGTTGTCTTTCAGAGAACCATTAATATAAATATGCATAGCCCAAAATGATATTCACTAAATGATTGTATTTCTTAATGTTCTGTTACGTTTTTTTCTAATAATCAGCCAGAAGCTTAGGTATTCTTAAACAGATCTTTAATGATGTTTAAGATCAATACTGAAAGTTATTTCTAAAGCATCTTCCCTTTAGTAGAGAGCCTCGACCTTTGCTGACTCACATGTATTCCTAGTTGTAAACTTTGGATTTTTCAACCTTCTCTAAATTAGATTGGTTGGCCTAATGGCTACCTTACACTCCAGTAAACAAATATGATGTAATTTTAGTTTACATAAGTCTATCTCCATTAAATTTATGCAAGAAGTGTGCATTAAGTTACTGGGTTAAAAGATGTTTGCAATGGAGTCAAACTAGAAAACATTAATGATATTCTAACTTACTCTGAATTTCCAATAACCCAGACTAGGTTGGTAGTTGCTTAACAGAGTGGGGAGAATATTGGAAGGCTTTTTAAGAATAATTTGCAAAGTTAAATGTATTAAATTATGTGATATTATCTATTTAAAAATATATGCTTTCTTTGGAAAATAACTGAGATTTTTTTTCTGGCTATCTACCTGCTATTATTCACATTTTTGTTCCCAAAAATAATCATGATACTTAAAACATCTATTATATACTATGTACAAGGGACATCACCTTGCATAAGTTTTATAGAATCCTCACATCTGCCCTTCATATGAGAAGAGTTAATGTCCTCTACTTTATAGCTAAGGGTATAGAGGTGCAGTAATTTAGCTAAGTTCACAGCTAACAAATAGCATCCACTATTTAAACATAGTGTGATATGAGAAGAGTTAATGTCCTCTACTTTATAGCTAAGGGTATAGAGGTGCAGTAATTTAGCTAAGTTCACAGCTAACAAATAGCATCCACTATTTAAACATAGTGTGATATGAGACTCGACTCTACCACTTGCACCTTTAACCATTGTTTCCTTTATCGCATGCATGCGTGCACATGTGCGCAAAATTTAAAAGATACCATGGCAACAAATAAGCCATGTTCTTTTTTCCCCTAATGCTAAGGCAAAATAAAATGCCTAGTTAATATAGTGTAGTAGTTAAAAGCATAGAGTCTGGATTGACAAGGTTGGAATCCAGTTTCTTCCATCTTTTACCTTTATATAGCTAACCAAGTCACTTAACCTGTTGAGCCTCCACTTCCCCAGATATAATGTAATAATAATAATACTTCCCTCATGAAGCTATTTGAAAGGAAAGTAACAGCAAGTGCAGGAAAGAAACATCATTTATTGAATGTCTATATGCCAGTTACTACAGTAGGTATTTAGGTTCATTGAGTCCTCTTGGAAAAGCTATAAGTATCAATATTCTATTTTACCAATGAAGAAACTACAATTCAGAGGTAAGTGATGTACTCAAGCATATAAGGTAGTAAATGGCCAATCCAGGATTAGAATCCAACCGGGGCCCATTTGGTCACAAAGTCTATGTACCTTCCCACTATGCTAATTTGTTTTTTAGGTGAAGAGAAATGAGTATTGATAGGAAAGATGGAGTGGCAAAGACCAATTTGACCAAATTCCCCATTTCTATTTTTGAGTATGTTTGGGGGCGACATGTGTTCCATAAATATCTATTGTGCACAAAGTAAGTTTATTTTGTTCTGCCTCAACTAGCAATGGACCACTCATACATTTTCCCTTCTCAAGGGAAAAATAGATTTGATGGGGGAGTGTACTATTTTTCATATATTTACCCATTAATTTGTCAGGCATTTACTGAGCTACTTTTATGTTCCAGGCATTGTGTTAGATGCTGAGAATACAGAACTTTAGAAAAGAAAAGAAGGAAAAAAAATGAAAAAAGAACCCAAACGATAAACACAAAACAAAACAAAATCATAAATAGCCCCTGCCCTCAAAGAGCTACTTGCATTAGCACATATGTGGAAGAGGTTGTTAAAGGGAAGCCATTTATACACAAGATACTTCTTTTTTTCTTTCTGGCTCCCAAAATAGAATCTTACCCCTAGGAATTGGTACGAGAAGATGAAGGAAACCAGCAAAAATAGTTACTCCAATCTATCTCAATTCTGCTTTTAAAGTTAATCTCCCAATATTTATGGCCTGTAAGATGGGGTATATACCCAGCACTTTGGGAGGCAGAGGCGGGCAGATCATGAGGTCAGGAGTTCGAGACCAGCCTGGCCAACATAGTGAAACCCCGTCTCTACTAAAAATACAAAAATTAGCCAACCATGGTGGCACGCACCTGTAGTCCCAGCTACTCGGGAGGCTGAGGCAGGAGAATCGCTTGAACCCAGGAGGCGGAGTTTGTGGTGAGCCAAGATTGCACCACCGCACTCCAGCCTGGGCAACAGAGCGAGACTCCATCAAAAAAATAATAAATAAAGAAAAAGAAAATAAAGAAAAAGAAAAAAGAAAAAGATTGGGAATATAAAAACATAGGGAGTCTTAACATTCTGATGTGTCTTTTCAAAACTGAATGGCATGTTCCTTTTAAACAATGCCTTCATATAAAGAAATAGAATGAGTGTATCTTTAGACATTTAAGAAAGTTCAACAGTTATTTAAGTTGTTTTAACTTTTTTTCCTCTCATCCCAACTTTTCCAGACACAGCAGAAAAAAAAGAACAGGAGCTATTTCAAAAGTCATAGCAAAAAAGGGGGACTCTGTTATAGCCACAAGATTATAGAACCAAAATAATTACAAAGTGGTTTTTAAGCTAAGGCTAAATTTCCATCAGTATTCCTTATGAATGAGGTTTTATTGTTTTTTGTGATTTGTTTTTTCTTTTTTTAGTGTTAATAGCTAATTGTATGCATCTGCAGCATGAAGTATGCTTTGTTCGGATTCTTTTCTATTAAATGGCATCACTACAAAGAATATGGGCAAGAAACAAATTTCAAGACTATGTATCCCATTCCATCTTATTGATTACGTATTTCTGTGAATTAGCCTGAATCTCATCCACAAAGCTGACTGGTTAAAGGAGGATTACAAGTGAATAAGAAATTCATGGAGAAGGAAAGATGATGTAAAATATATTGAAAATAATGGCAAAAACCTCATTTACTTTTTCATGAACCTAATAAATGGGGGCACATCTGACTCTAGAAAAACTTATATCCAAAATCATAAAGAAAAGTTAAGATGTCCTACTGAAATGGATGAATAAGTTAAACATTTTCCTACCTGTATCTTTTAGCTTCTAAGTCATTTCTTTCGATATCAAAGCTGCCAAGGTCATCTTTGACTCTGTGTGTGTGTGTATGTGTGTGTGTGTGCACGCGTGTGCGTGCACGCGTGCACGTATGTTCATTTGATAGTTACACATTTTGAAAGCTCAACGTATTTCAAGTTGCTAAAATTCCAAACAGAGCTGTAAATAAAATAATCCTGGTTGCAAAGTTAAACGACACAGTACAGAGGATTTCAGTACTGACTAGTACTACCGTTAATTTTTGAAGGAAAATGTACGTGTCCTCATATATTGGAATTTTTCTCTGGAAAAAAATAATTTTCCCTTATATTGCTAAAAAATAATAAGATTAAAATGCACCATTCATTTTTTTTTTAATTTCTGTATTTTCTTTGCTTGGGTTATTTTCCATAATTTTGTTGTTGTTCTTTGGCTGCTAGCTCATCTTCCTTATCTTATAGTGCCACCTATTGGTATATCAGAAATAGTGAGGATTTTAAAATGGACAAAAGTATAGAAATGTGCCTAAATAAAGCTCACTTCGCTTCAGTAGTCAAGTTCTGATAGAGGAGCGGGATCTATGCTTTTGCCCTTATAATTATTTGTTCCTAGGGAAAAAGCAATATTCAACCATTTTCACTATTCTTTCCTCCAGGGTATTTGATCTAGGTGGTCTTGTTAGCAGTTATGTAGTAAATCCATTTCCCCAAATCTGGCGAACCACAGTAAAAATAAAACTGGATGATTTGGGCTTCTATATTAGAGCTTGATATTTTAGGAAATGAGGTAAGACTTCTTTCTTCTTTATGCATGAAAAGAAAGCTTCTAGAAGGCAACCATGTCCTTCTCAAGGACATAGCAAATTAGCACGTATTTTTAGAGAGCTACATTTGATAAGTTTTACATATAGCCTGTGGTGAAGCTGAAGAAGTGGATAAAGGGGCTATCAGGTGGTTATTACAGAGATTTTATTCAAGAATTCTCTATAACCCTCATCTCTGTAGGGGTAACTCTTTTACCTTGCACCTGAGTGCAGGACTGGGCCCCAACCCTGGCATCCGGATAATTTGAATGTGGATCTCTGGAGGTTTGCTCCCCTTCACTAGGATTGTAAGACATGGGCTGGAATAGGAATAACTTCAAAGAACTATACCCTCACCATGGTGATAAGGGGCTCATTGCTTGCCCTTTGCTGATTTCAAAACAGTGAATAAAGCCTAAATTGCCTGTTCTAAATGAGTGACAAAGAGCAATAGAGAGAAAAAAGTCTGTATCAGGACTCTTCCTATCTGTGCCAAACATTATGTCCAAATTGAAAATAAACTGGGAAAGAGGATGAATATAGGAGAAATTCCTGACTATAAGAACTCTAGGAATATTCCACTTATTGACAAGCTTGTCCTATTCCAATGTTACTAATCCCATTATTGATGGATTAATAATGAACTATTGTAAAATAATAAGAATCTATTAATTACTTTAGAAAGGTAACAATGCTACCTGTGTGTGCCAATGGGCCTCCTATTCTCTAGCATTGAACTACATAATTATACTTAGAAAAGAAATGTTGGATAATAAACAATCAAAAGACTTATAATGATGTGGTCTTCAGAAGGCTGAAAGCATAAGATAATTTTAGTAATTCAGTGTCACCATTAAAGTTACTTTTTACCTGGATATTGAAAATAACTAGCATATTGGGAATATGTCCTTAACTTTTAGCAAGCAGAGTGCATCCTTTAAAAACAAAAATCCCTTCCGTTGTAGATCTCTTAAAGTAAGACAAACATCCTCAACTCTTTCAGGTACAGGCATTCTCTGAGTGGTGATCAACCAAATGGACTCTAAAGATTCAGTCGACAGAGCCTCTGTGGATTTACTTAAGGACAGGAAAATCATGTTTTAAGGAACAGACAAGCCAGGAAATGCACCAAGGCAATCAACTCAGTGAAGTATTCTAGTACCCCTGCATAAGAAAAAAAGAATTCCTTTCTTATTTAAATGTCTCTATAATGGGAGATACGATGGTGAGAGCCCCTCCTAATATGAGTTAAATATAATAATTATATCTTTATAAAAGCTTATTCAAAGTTATTCTCACTCAGTTTCACTGAACATCTTCCAAAATAACCTAAATGAAAATTCCAGTGGTATTAAGAAAAAGAGATATTAACTCTATTTGTCACTCAAAAGATAAGATTCCTTTCATTCATTTTTAAACGGTGTATGCTACAAAGGAGAAGAAACTTGTTTCTCAGACCTTAGAGTCGAATGGTTTACTTTAGACTCTGAGAGGTGGTCTCTATTAAGTGAAGCAATAACAATGGTAGCTAGCATTTATTAAGCACATACTACATTCTAAGGGCTATGCTAAAAGATTTTGATCCTAATAACATAGGAAAAGTACTATTATTCTTATGTAACTTGCCCAAGGTTACTCCTCTAATAAGTAGCAGAGCAGATACTAAAACCTAGGCCATTCTAACAAGTCAATATGCCATAGTACCTCATCATATAAAGGTAAGCAGAAGGGCCTATGGATGAACAGTTTTGGAGAGATCTGCAAGACTTCCCAGAAGAGATGATCATCCAAGATGAAACCTAAAGGAGAAACAGAAATTACTCAAGCAAAGCAGAAATAAGAATGTTTTAGGCTAAAGAAAAAGTGTAAGAAGGCATAAAAAGAAAAAATAAGGTTTGTTTCATGAACTGCATGAAACAAACTCCTCTCACTGTGTGAGAGGAGTAGTAAGGAGAAATCATCATGAAAAGATTAGAAGATCATGGAAAACCTTACATGACAGGTGAGAGAATTTGAAATTCATCAAGAGGCATTGAAAGACCCATTTTAAGAAGGGGAGTGCCATGATCAGATTTATGTTTTTGAAAAAATAAGTCAACTCTGGATCAAGAGTACAAAACACATTGGACAGAAGCAAGACTAGAAATAAGAATAGTTAGGAGGCTGTTTCAATGATCCATGAAAGAAATTATAATGGCCTGAAGTAAAAGAGTTGCTGAGGAGATGGAGAGAGAGGAACAAAGTTGAGAGATATTTTAGACATAGAAATAAGAAGACATAAAGACTGAATGTTGTCAGTGAAGAACAGAGAGGACTCAAGTATGACTTTTAGGTCTCTGGCTCAGACCCCTGGTGGATACAAAAATTGAGACTGAGAGAAAGATTTTAGAGCTTATGGATTTATACATGCCTGCTGTAATCCCCTCCGATGAATTGTTAGCCTTTTTAAAAGATTCCAGGGGAAAACTCAAAAGTCTCCTACAGAGCTAGAATATTGAAACATCTTCTTCATTTGATTAGTATTCACAGGGTGCATTGTGCCAGTATGGTGTTAGGCACTGGGGAAGGATGACAAAAAGAAGTATAAGTTATGGCATCTCCCCTCTAACAGTGAAGACAAAACATACAAACCTAAAAATACATGACAGTACAGAAGTGACTGCCAGAATAGGTGAAGATATAGCAAAATCAGCTAACAATTTGATAGTATAGTAATACATTAGTACATACACAGGTCGAGCATCCCTAATCCAAAAACCCAAAATCCAAAATGCTCCAAAATTTAAAACTCTTTGAGTGGCAATATGATGTCCTAAGTGAAACATTCCACACCTGCCCTCATGTGATTAATCACAGTCAAAACTCTGTTTCATGCACAAAACTTTTTAAAAATAATGTATAAAATAACCCTCAGTCCATGTGTTTAAGATGTATATAAAACATAAATGAATTATGTGTTTAGACTTGGGTACTATCCCCAATATATTTTATTAGGTATATGCAAATTTCCCCAAATCTGAGAAATCCAAAATCTGAAACACTTCTCATCCCAAGCATTACAGATAAGGGCTACTCAGCCTGTATTATTAGTCTAGATAGGATAGTTGATGCTGTGATGTAAATTAACAAAGGCCTATTGTATGTGTAGTAATATCTTCAGAACACATGTCCTCAATAAGGTGGCTAGAATTTGACAATGACTTTCTCAGGGTACTTTCTCTTTCCAGGTAGTTTCTCTTCCCCATTTCTTTCTCTTTCCCAGGAAGAGAAAGTCAGGAGGTTAACTTTAAAGTTTTGGTGGTGTGGACAACAGCAGAGAACAGTGATGCTTCTGTATGCCCCAAAATAGAAAAGAATAAAACATTGGTGAACAGTTGTAATATATACAATGCTACATGCCAAGTACCAAGCTAAGTCTTTTCACATATTAATTTATTTAACCCTTACAAAAAAATGAGTCAGACACTATTATTAGCCCTGTTTTATAGGCACAGAAACACACATGGTGAGGTTAAATAACTTGTCCCATGTCAAATGCCTAGTAAATGGTATAATTAGAATATAAACCCCAGGGATTCTGGCTCAAGAATTCTATATCATAAGTGTTCTGCTATGCCAATACACATGACAACTCTTATGCTTATTCACCAGGTAGAAGAAATAAATATAAGAAACTATTTTGTCTTGTCTTGTACTTTGAGTGAGCATGGTGTGTTTGGGGAACAGAAAAGGAGAATGGCATCTCTGAAACAAGGGTATTGTCTTGGGAAATGTATTTGTCTGTCTCGCATTGCTACAGACTACCTGAGACTGGGTAACTTATGAAGAAAAGAGGCTTAATTGACTCACAGTTCTGCAGGCTGTACAGGAAGCATGACTTGGGAGGCCTCAGGAAACTTGCAATCATGGTGGAAGGTGAAGGGGAGGCAGACACACCTTCATATGGAAGAGGAGGAGACAGAGAGAAGAGGGAAGTGCTACACACTCTTAAAACAACCAAATCTCGTGAGAACTCACTATCTTGAGAACAGCAAGGGGGAAGTCCGCCCCTGTGATCCAATCACCTCTCACCAGTCCCCTCCTCCAACATGGAGGATTACAATTAGACATGAGATTTGGATGGGACCACAGAGCGAAATCATATCATTCCACATTTGGACCCTCCCAGATCTCATGTCTTTCTCACATTGCAAAATACAATCATGCCTTCTCAACAGTCCCTCAATGTCTTAATTCATTTTAGCATTCATTCAAAAGCCCAAGTCCAAAGTCTCATCTGAGACAAGGCAAGTCCCTTTTGCCTATGAGCTTGTAAAATCACAAACAAGCTATTTACTTCCAAGACACAATGGGTGTATAGGTATTGGGTAAATGCTCCTGTTCCAAAAAAGAGAAATTGGCCAAAACAAAGGGCCCCATGCAGTTCAAAACAGCAGGGCAGTCATTATATCTTAAAACTCCAAAATAATCTCCTTTGACTCCATGTCTCACATCCAGGGCACATCAATGCAAGGGGTGGACTCCCAAGGCCTTGGGCATCTCTGCTCCTTTGGCTCTGCAGGGTACAGCCCCCTTGGTTGTTTTCACTGGCTGGAGTAGAGTGCCTGTGGATTGTCCAGGTACATGGTGCAAGCTGTTGGTGGATCTACCATTTTGGGTTCTGAAGGATGGTGGCCCTCTTCTTGCAGCTTCATTGGGCAGTGCTCCAGTGGAGACACTGTGTGGGGGCTCCAACTCCATATTTACCCTTTGCATTGCACTAGTAGAGGTTCTCCATGAGGGCTCTGCCCCTGCACCAGACTTCTGCTTGAACATCCAGGTGTTTCCATACATCCTCTAAAATCTTGATGAAGGCTCCTAAGCTTCAACTTTTGCCCTCTGTGGACCCACAGGCTTAACACTATGTGGAAACCACCAAGGTTTGTGGCTTGCTTCCTCTGAAACAGCCGTCTGAGATGTATTTGAGGCCCTTTTAGCCACAGCTGGAGCTGGAGCAGCTGCGATATAGGGAGCAGTATCCCGAGGTTACACAGGGCAGCCGGGCTCTT
This sequence comes from Homo sapiens, assembly GCF_000001405.40. NCBI lineage: Eukaryota > Metazoa > Chordata > Mammalia > Primates > Hominidae > Homo > Homo sapiens. The sequence continues at coordinate 93,544,157 of NC_000023.11, forward strand.
GGCCCACAAAACCATTCTTCCTTTCAAGGCCTCTAGGCCTGTGATTAGAGGGGCTACCACAAGTCTCTGAAACACCTTCAAGGCATTTTCCCCATTGTCTTAGCTATTAACATTCAGCTCCTATTTACTTATGCAAATTTCTGCAGCCAGCTTGAATTCCTCCCCAGAAAATGAAATTCTCTTTTCTACCAATCGTCAGGCTGCAAATTTTCTAAACTTTTATGCTCTGCTTCCCTTTTAAATATAAGTTATAGTTTCAGATCATCTCTTTGCTCCCACATATGACCATATGCTGAAATTTCTTCTGCCAGATAACCTAAATCATCACTCTCAAGTACAAAGTTCCACAGACCTCTAGATTGAGATACATCCCCAGTTTTTTTTGCTAAATCATAGCAAGAATGACCTATACTCCAGTTCCCAATAAGTTTCTTATCTCCATCTGAGACCACCTCAGCCTGCACTTCATTGTCCATATCACTAGTGCATTTTGGTCACAACAATTTAACAAGCCTCTAAGAAGTTCCAAACTTTCCCTCATCTTCATGTCTTTTTCTGAGCCCTCTATATTGTTCCAGCTTCTGCCCATTACCTAGTTCCAAAGTTGCTTTCACATTTTCAGGTATCTTTATAGCAATGCCCTACTTCTCTGGTACCAATTTTCTGTATTAGTCCTTTCTTGCATTGCTATAAAGAATTACCTGGGTAATTTATGTAGAAAACAGTTTTAATTGACTCACAGTTCTGCAGGCTGTACAGGAAGCATGGCTTGGGAGGCCTCAGGAAACTTACAATCATGGAAGAAAGCGAAGGGGAAGTAGGCTCATCTTCACATGGCAGAGCAGGGGAGAGAGAGAGAAGGGGGAAGTGCTACACACTTTTAAACAACCAGATCTCATGAGAACTCAGTCACTAACAGCAGAAGAGCAAGGAGGAGATCCACCCCTATGATGCAATCTTCTACCAGGTCTCTCCTCCAACACTGAGGATTGCAATTTGACATGAGATTTGAGTGGGAACACAGAGCCAAACTGCATTCAGAAAATAACAGAAACTAGAGTTATCTAATATCATATTCATCTGAAAATAATTCAGAACAGTGCTGGAGTGGACATGGAGAACCTATATATCTTGCTGGCCTTTCACAAGCAGTGCTGCAAGAGCTGTATACTGTAGCCTGCCCAAACCAAATATGGGTACATGTTCACATACCTAATGCTTTAACGTACTGAAGCCACAAAGACATAATTAGAAGTAAGTATCTTTGTGCTCAGGGCAGTTGATCAATTAATAAATATTTATTGAGCCCTCTATGTGGCAGTCACAGTTCTAGTGACCAAGTTAGAGACACTGTGCTAGTGACACCACAGCAAACCCCAAATAAAGAACCAGTCCCTTCAATTTATAATCTAGCCATTATACTCTGATATCAGTTGCAGTTATTTAATAACAAAAAATTACTTTGGGTAATTTAAGCTAAACATAAGTTTTTTTAAAAAAAAAAGAGAGAGAGAGAGAAGAGGAGCTCACAAAATCAACAGGAAACTGAAAATGTAGTTATGGAAAGAATTGGGAACAAAGGTAGATCTTGAGAGCTTGGAAGCAAACTGCAGAAACAACCTAATCAGCGCCTCACCACTGTTAGGAGTGAAGAAATGTCAACTGACTTACTTTTCTGTTATCCTGTATTCAAAATTCAGGTTCCAGGAAGAAACTTTTAACTTGTCTAGCTTGGTTTATATGGCCACCCTTTAGTTAGAAAAAGTGCGGCCCAATTAGAGTACCATCAGATGGTATTCAGTAAAGAAGAGATTATTTCTCAAAATGAAATTGGGGTGCTTTTACAAAGAGAATGGATCCTGGGTACTCAAAAATCAACTATAAAACGTGTTAAATTTCAGATCTTTGACACATTTTTTTCCATCATACACTGTTAATAGTAAAGAAAACTAAACATCTATCTCTAGGAATCTAACTAGTGTAGCCTAAAATAGTAAGCCATATCACACTACTATGTCACAGGGCTAGAGTAACCAAAACAGCATGGTACTGGTTAAAAAAAAAAAAAAAAGAAAAGAAAAAAACAGACACACAGAACAATGGAATGGAATGGAGAGCCCAGAAATAAGGCCACACACCTATAACCATCTGCTCTTCAGCAAAGTTGACAAAAACAAGCAATGGGGAAAGGAATCCCCATTCAATAAATTGTGCTTGGATAACTGGCTAGCCATATGCAGAAGACTGAAACTGGACCTTTTCTTTTTATCATATATAAAAATCAATCCAAGATTAATTAAAGATTTAAATGTTGTATTATTCAGGGTTCTGGAGAGGGACAGAATAGAATATGTGTATATATGAAATGGAGCTTATTAGGGAGAATTGGCTCACACAATCATAAGGCGAAGTCCCACGATAGGCCATCTGCAAGCTGGGGAAGAGAGAAGCCGCCAGTGGCTCAGTCTGAGTTTGAAAGCATCAAAACCAGGGAAGCCAACAGTGCAACCTTCAATCTGTGGCCAAAAGCCTGAGAGCCTCTGGCCATTCACTGGTGCAAGTACCAGAGTTTAAAGGCCAAAGAACCTGGAGTCTGATGTCCAATGGCAGAAAGAGTGAAAGCAAGCATCCAGTATGGGAAGATTAAAGAAACCGAAGACTCAGCAAGCAAAGCTATTCCACCTTCTTCCACCTGCTTTGTTCTAGCTGTGCTGGCAGCTGATTGGATGGTGCCCACCCACACTGAAGATGAGTCTGCCTCTCCCAGTGCACTGACTCTAACGTCAATCTCCTCTTGGAATGCCCTCAAAGACACACCCAGAAACAATACTTTACCAGCCATCTAGGCAACCCTTAATCCAGTTAAGTTGACATCTAATATTAACTATCACAAGTTGAAACTGTACCCCTTCCTTTCACCATATAAAAAAATCAACTCCAGATTGATTAAATATTTAAATGTAAAACCTAAAAATATAAAAAAAACCTAGAAGAAAACCTAGGAAATATGGTTCTGGACATAGGCCTTGGCAAAGATTTCATGATGAAGACTCCAAAAGCAATTGCAAGAAAAACAAAAATTGACAAGTGGGACCTAATTTAACTAAAGAGCTTCTGCACAGCAAAAGAAAATATCAACAGAGTAATCAAATTACAGAATGGGATAAAATATTTGCAAGCTATGCATCTGACAAAGCTCTAATGTTCAGGATCTATTAGAAATGTAAAATAACCAGCAAAGTACAAGTAATCCCACTAAAAATCGCAAATGACATGAACAGACACTTCTGAAATGAAGACATACACATGAACAACAAACATGAGAAAGAATACTCAATATCACTAATAATTAAAGAAATACAGATCAAAACCACAATAAGACAACATCTCACACTAGTCAGAATGGCTATTATTAAAAAGTAAAAAAATAACAGATGCTGGTAACATTGAAGAGAAAAGGGAATGCTTATACACTGATGGTGGGAAGGTAAATTAGTTCAGCCACTGTGGAAAGCAGTTTGGAGATTTCTCAAAGAACTTAAAGCAGGGTTGCCATGTGACTGAGCAATCCCATTACTGGGTACACACCCAAAGGAATATAAATTGTTTTACCATAAAGACTCATGAACACATATGTTCATTGCAGCACTTCTCACAATAGCAAAGACAAGTAATCAACCTAGATGCCCATGAGTGGTGGGCTGGATAAAGAAAATGTGGTACATATATACTATGGAATACTACACAGCTATAAAGAAGAATAAGATTATGTCCTTTGCAGCAATATGAATGTGGCTGGAGGCCATTATCCTAAGCGAATTAATGCAGTAACAGAAAACCAAATACCACATATTCTCACTTCTAAGTGGGAGCTATTGAGTATACATGGACACAAAAAAAGGAACAACAGGCACCGGGGCCTACTTGAGGGTAGAGGGTAGAGGAGTGAGGGTTGAAGAACTACCTATCAGGTACCATGAGCATTACCTGAGTAGTTAGATAATCTGTACACCAAACTCCTGCAACATGCAATTTACTCATGTAACAAACCTGCACATGTTCTCCCTGGAGCTAAAATAAAAGTTGGGAGGAAAAAATAAACATAAAAATAAAAAAAGCCATTCAAAAAAAATGAACATGCACACACACACACACACACACACACAAATACATGCACACACACACAGACACCACTTATATTTAAAACTTGTATATATTTTCCATTCTACTTAATAAACTATATACCTCTATTTAATATAAACTTGAGGAAGACAAGCAAACAAGAAACTACGGTGCTTGTACCAACATCTAAAGCTCATTGAGCTCTTAATCTGGAGCCTATTTTATATATACTGTCTCATAATATACATAATTCCATACAGTCCTTTAAAATGGAAACTAAAATAAGGAAATTGACACTGAAAGAGACTAAACAACTTTTGCATTCACCTCAGGCCTGTGCAATCTAAGGCTTGTGCTCTTCACTGCTATGCTCTGTTATGTATTTATAATTTACAAGCACTTTGGGTTTATTACAGGTAAATAGCATTTGCTTTTGTACCCACTAAGAATAGTAGTTTTACTGATTTTTTTATTATTCTAAAATTTCAAAAAAGAGTCACTTTTTCAAGCTTTCATTGCACTAGAGGCTTCTACTTTTATAGCAGTTGTCTTGATAATCTTTTATTTATGATTTTAAAAGTAATTTCTTGCTCTGATGAAATGATTTTAAAAGGTGTTTCAATAGCTTTATATATTTATAAATAACATTTAACAATTCTACTTAATAGCAGAATTGTTTATTTTCAGAGTTAAGGTGATGGTCTTTGGTTTCAACCATCTCAAAATGATAACAGAGTATCTTTTTGACAGGCCTTTCATGATAATATAAACCAAATTCTTGAAGACAATTACGAGATTTCTCTTAGGTCTTATTTAAATGTATTTCTGGAAAAATACACTTAAAAATGTCTCTTTACATTCACAAAATATCAGGAAAGACAATAATTCTGCATAGTAGCTAGTGCTAATCTTTCCTTAGCAATGAGAATCACCACAATAGTAAAAAGTGTGAATGGAAATGACATTGTGACACTTGAGCATTCCAATATTTTGAATTCTTAAGGATTTGTAAGATGAAAATGTCTCTTTCGGCCAGGCGCGGTGGCTCACGCCTGTAATCCCAGCACTTTGGGAGGCCGAGGCGGGTGGATCATGAGGTCAGGAGAGCGAGACCATCTGGCTAACATGGTGAAACCCCGTCTCTACTAAAAATACAAAAAATTAGCGGGGCATGGTGGCGGGCACCTGTGGTCCCAACTACTCGGGAGGCTGAGGCAGGAGAATGGCGTGAACCCGGGAGGTGGAGCTTGCAGTGAGCTGAGATCGAGCCACTGCACTCCAGCCTGGGCGACAGAGTGAGACTCCGTCTCAAAAAAAAAAAAAAAGAAAGAAAATGTCTCTTTCATGGTCCAAATAAATGTTTTTGACTGAAGAAGAAAGATGAGGCTATTAAAATGATCTCAGTTCTCCAGGAAAATATTTTATGACTGTGTCTACATAGTGCCAAGGCATGATCAATTTGGTGATTTCAATAAGGTTAAAGAAATCAGGCAATTTTGTGAAAAAAAAAAGAGTGATAATTTGGTTGAATGGGGCTGCTCGGCTGCCTTTAGCCATCAACTGGTATAGTTTGTGTATACAGTTACAACCTGAGTCATTTGTCTTCTCGTGTGTCGCCACTATAATCCATGTCTTCAAAAACACCAACTACAATGTCAAGTTATGAAATCAATGTTAAATAATTGTCATGAGGACACTTTCTTTTTCTGTAGGTTGTAGAAATTAAAAACTGAAATTGAAAAATTTAAAAAGCACCTTGGAGAAAAATAAAGCTATGTTTCAAAGATATGCTTCAAACCAACTAACATTATCTTTTAAATTTATTTTTACAATAAAGATATTTAAAGCTGAAAGAAGATATCCCCTCCATTCCAAAGCAGCATTATGCATTACAGGAGGAGACAGATTACATTTCTATTTTTGAAATAAATTGAAAATATTTATATTTTCCTCAATAAAACACCTACCAAAAATATAACCCCCAAAGTTATTTGAATTTATGCATTTTCTTGATTGAAAATTATAATTTATATTCTATAGACCATTACACATATCTGATTCTTTTTTATAGGAGGGATCATATTGATAAAGAATATGAATTAAGGCCGTGCACAGTGGCTCACGCCTGTAATCCCAGCACTTTGGGCGAGCGGGTCACCTGAGGTCAGGGTTTCAAGACCAGCCTGGCCAACATGGTGAAACCCTGTCTCTATTAAAAATACAAAAATTAGCTGGGCATGGTGGCAGGCACCTGTAATCCCAGCTACCCAAGAAGCTGAGGCAAGAGAATCACTTGAACCCAGGAGGCAGAGGTTGCAGTGAGCCAAGGTCATACCACTGCACTCCAGCCTGGGACCCAGAGCAAGACTCCATCTTAATTAAAAAAAAAAAAAAAAGTAGAAGAAGAATATGAATTAAACATAACAAAGCAGTAGCTGAGTATTGAAGTACTGTGAAAGGAAAAGGAGTAGCCACATAAAAGCAAATTTAAAAAAACTAAAACTGAAACAAACCCAAGCATAATAGAATAGAAAAGTTTGGGCCAAAATATCAGAATCTGTCAGCAACACGTACTTCAATTCAGTTGAATACAATCTACTTTTATCCAAATAATGTGAAAAGAGCAATCACACTATCTAGGAGAGGAGGACAGTTACCCTGTGCTGTAGGAAGCCCATGATATTTAGTATTAGGGAGGCCTCTAGCCATATTTAAAAAAAAATACATAAATGCAATGCTACACAAATACACTGAGCAGGTAATCACAATGTTTTTTTGTTTTTTTTTTTCAGAAAAATTATGTGCTATATTTATACTTCTCCATATATTCAGAGTTTGTGTAGATGTGAAAGCCATGTTTCTTCATTTTGTAAAACCAACCAAACATTGATTATGGAGCACATTTGTGGTTTATGTTGATCTTTAAGGTAATAATATTTTCTAAATCAATCTTTGCACTATCAACAAACATTTCCTGACAACTAACTGTAATGCAGAACTAGGCACTGTCAGGGGGAACACCAGCATTGACAATGGTGTATTTTTTAAGTGTAATAACAATTGAGTCCCTCCTCTTAAGAGCACAGGATCTACAACCAACTACCTTCCCTCCCTTCACCCTTTTCCTCCTTTTTCTTTACATAAATGTTTGTTGAGAGTCCATTTAGTACAGAACACTGTACTGGGTACTGTTAGGGACTCTTCATTTAACTAAAGTGTAGATAAATCAGATATATGAACCAACTTCCACAAGGAATTATTTATGACCAATTTTATAAAGTTCAATTAGGACTAAGAGAGCTTCAAAGCATTATATCTGATGAAATATCCTGGCAATATCATATCTCAGGATTGTGGTACGACTAATATGAGACTCTTTCCAGAGCATCTGTTCTAGCCTGCTCAGGTTTCTGTACCTTCTCTTATACTGTATAAAATTAATGAAGTTTACTGGATTCAATATTTGGTCTCCTACTTAGCTAACTGAGTACCAAAAGCTCATTTCTCTTAATATGATGGCAAAAGTAGTGATTACTTCTGGCTAAATGGAGAGTGGAAAAAAGACAGCTTTTTTTTTTTTTCCTTATTTCCTCAGACTGTGCCAAATTATCATGAAGGATATGGAATGGTTCTTGGTCTGTTTGTGTTCTAATCATCTACATTTCAAGTCTCAAGAGCTTGTTGTTTTCTCTACCACAATTTGCTAACTTATGAAACAGTTTTCTATACCAATTGAGAGTTTGCTCCATTGAGTTCTGGTGCACCAGAAGAGGTAAAGGTTATTTGGTTCTGACAACCCAAATTCAGTGGAAGTATTTTGAGTTGTAGTTTCCTCTTTGATTTTCAAAGAACAATCTGACAAGTTTATTAACAATAAGCACACCATCCATTTTGAATAGAAAAGAAGAAAAGAAAAAGCATAGTGTCTGCCCGTCTATGATAAATAGTGACAAAAGAACAGAACACTAGGCATTCATTGAGTGCCTAGTGTGGGCCAGGTGCTTTGCTGTCCTTATTTAGTATAAAAATTAAAACTCACAAGGCTCAAATCTATATTAGTTTGCTGGGCTACCATAAGAAAGTGCTACAGACTCAGTGGTTTCAACAACAGAAGTTTACTTTCTCAATTTTGGAGGCTAGGTAGAGTCAGAATGCCAAAGCACCCCTTTGGTTGTGGGCTGGGAGTCAGTGTATTGTGCCTGAAATCAAGAACTGTGGTTTGTCCTTTGTTCAAGTTTAGTGCAAGTTTCAGAAGGTAGCAACTGAATCATTCCACCTCCCCATTTCTTTCCTTCCATATTTAAAACTTTAAGAACAACAGAAACACACAAGACACACTGTATTTTTTGCAGAATTGTGAACATAGCACAAATACACTTGTATATCATTATAATAAAGCAAGGCATTTTTGTTCGTAATGTCGACAAAAAACATTAAACTCTGTAAAATATTTGAAGAGATTTATTCTGAGCCAAATATGGGTGAACCTGGCCCGTGAGATGCCCTAAGGTGGTCCAGAAAGGTGGGACAATTTAAAGTGGGTTGGGTCGGGGGGCTTCCAGGCTATAGGTAAATTTAAACATTTTCTGGTTGACAATTGTTTGAGATTGTCTAAAGACCTGGGATTAATAGAAAGGAAATGTTCAGATTAAGAAAAAAGATTGTGGAGACCAAGGTTCTTTTGAAGTCTCACAGTGGCTGCCCTTAGAGACAATAGATGACAAATATTTCCTATTCAGACCTTTAAAAAAGTGCTAGACTCTCAGTAAATCTCTTCAGGATTAGGAGGCCCTGGAAGAAAAAGATCTAGCTATGTTAATAGAGATTCTTTACAGATGCAAATTTTCCCCAACAAAGGACGGCTTTGCAGGGCCATTTCCAAAAGAAACATGTTTTGGGGTAAAATATTTTTATTTTCTTCTTTGTCATGTAATGTTATGCCAGAGTCAGATTGGAAAGTAGGTCACGATATATAGGGTTAAAGAAAATTCAACTGATGAGAATTCACTGTTTGTAGGGCATGACTCCCCAGACCTCTTAGATAGGAGTCTGGGCAAGATAAAACAATCAGAGCTTAGTCCTCAATAACATTAAATAGCAAAAGGTAACTAAATACTGCCAGACTACAGTGCAAAACAACACATTTTTTATATTCCAATAAATATAAATATGATTTATAAAACATTCCCTATTACGGTTTCTCTTTTTAATTTTATTTTTATAAAGTCTTTTGTTATTTTTCTTAAGCATTCTGAATATCTATGATTTAATAATAGCATCTATGAAATAACCAAGTATTAAAGATCAGCAATATTTTACCCAATTGCATCCCATTTTTTAACTTACCATCATTATTATTGGGAGAATCATAATTCATTATCCCTGCTTGATACAACTGAATAGAACTTTACAAGAATGTTTGCTGCACACACATTCTTTGAGTTTTGTTAAAGAGCAGAAGGTTTAAACAGCAAAGAGGAAGGTCAAGAAGGCAAAGTAAAAGTTCCTATTTCATGGAATTACTTGATTTACTTATCGTTTTCCTTGAGGTCTGACAGACATACTGGTGGTTAACTTAACTCCTTCAGATAGATTTAAATGCTCTGGGAAATGTTTATTTGACCTACCCTTGGAGATGTTTTGATATAAGTTCTTTATTGTTTAATAATTTGGTAATTCTAAAAGGTCTTAAGAAATGACCAAGAGCAGAAATAAACATTAACCATTATATATTCCAGTGGTGGATTAAGCTGATAGAAAGGGGTGGGGGTTTCAAGGAGTGGTGATAATGCTTTAAAGGGTTTTACTTGTTGTTTTATAACTGCTGAATCTCATAATCTTCCTGGTTTACCCTAGATGTGTATCATCTGTAAGCTTTCCTTTTTGGCATATTAGATTTATCCTGTCCTTTTCTAGTCTGTAGTGAAGCTCAATAAAAAGGCCAGGTGTTTCATAGTAGATAGCCAAATACAATGTTAATGACAATAGACTGCAGAATAACAGGCATAAAAGCTTTATACACAGAATACAGTAAATATATGTTAGAGTACAATTTCCTTAATTTGCCCCATCAGTCAAAGCTGAAAAGTCTCCTGAAGGTATTGCACCTCTCCCTCCATCTTATTATCTAAGTGCCTTATTTGTTGACTATGTTACATTTTTTTTTCCTCAGGTTTCGTTGAGAAAATAGACTTCTCCCATCTTCTTATGTAGTGTTTAAACAGCTTTACCGAAAAATAAAAATAGGTCAGTAAACTGGGTGGAAAAATTGATGAGACCTCCATTTCAACCCTTACACCCCAACTTTAATAATCAAGACTTCAGTTGATATAAAAAAGTCATATTACCCAGTCTCCTGACACTTTTTGCCCCCCAAACCTAATCCCTTCATCAAAGTGATAGATTTTAGTTTCAAAATTACAGTTCTATTTGTATAGTCCATCTTTTTCTAACAACATCACAAATCCAAGCTACTCTTTTAAAGGCCGCATTGAGAGTAAGCCCTCAACAGGTCTGATTGATTTTACCCGTCTCCTACTCTCTCATATTGAAATCAATATTACCTGTGTGTACGTGGTGATGAGAGATTGCTACATGGATAAAACATCTAGTTTTCTCATGCATATTCTTTTGAAAAATCTAAAGGTCATAGCCGGACTAGAAGTTATAAAATGCAAATAAAATAAAGTTTTCAATTTTTCAAAGATTCATTTCCCACAACAGCACAGTATGAAGAGAAAGGCAGTATGAAGTGCTTTCGGTGTGTGGGAATCATGATTTCAACATTACACTCTTGTAAACCAAAAGGTATCTGAGACAGGTCTCAATCAATTCAAAGTTTATTTTGCCAAGGCTTGGGACATGCCCAGAAGGAAATAAACAAACACACACAGAATCACAGAAATAGTCTGTGGTCTGTGATGAATTTGAGGGCTTCAATATTTAAGGGGGAAAAATGGGCTAGAGGGGAAAAAGGGAGGGTACGGTAATTCACATGTTGCAAGAGAAAAGGAGGAGGTGGGGGAATAGTCAATTATGTATTTGTCTCCTGCTCAGTAAATTGGCACTTTACATAAGATAAGGTGAACATACAGTAGCTACCTATAGAGTAGAAACTGCTCTGACATTGGCAACCACAGGATACTGGAAGGACCCTGGGAAGCTGTGGGATCCCCTGGAGATCTAGCATTCAGCATCGGCTGCCCCTATGAGAAGGGAGAGTGCAGCCCATCAAAGTGCCCTTTGGAAAAAGGGAAATGCGGTGAGGTACCATTCTCCAAAGGGACCAGCACCAGTGGCCAGAAATGGATGCGGAGAAGGGGTAAGCTTCCGCTACCCCTGTCGACTGTTGTGGATGCAGCAGAGGCCTTCCCCACTGGGGACCGTTGTGAGTGTACCTGGAAACAACCTTTTCAGGACTACTTATGGTGGCTAGACCTGTGCTGGAAGTGTGCCCATGCCACACAGGGCATAAGGTGAACATAGACATTGTTCACAATGTCTATGCACATTGTGAACACATATGTTGCATGAAGGGCAGCGTTCATCTCCCACCTCTACACAGAGCATCAGTGTCCCAGCAACATAGTACAGACAAGCCACAGAGCTGTCTGCTCTGGACTGTGGGAAGAGGCTCTCCTCTGAGACCATTTCAGTGATAGCCACCAGAGGGACATTTTTGCAGACCTCGGTCACATTGCTGCTGGGAGACAAAGGACAGTGCCTATATGAGCTGAAGGTAGCAAGTCCTGTGAGAGGGGCATGATAGAGAAGCAGACCTCATTCCTGGTGACCAGGACAAGAAGCTAGTGTAGCACCTCATGCCCTTCTCCCTGAGACCTCAGTGTGCCCCCAGTGAATTCCCTCCATCACCCTAGTCCATGCAGGTTCTTCCACTCATCATCAGGTTACTGGAGAACAAACCAGCTCTTACTTTTCATTGCCACCCAATGGACTAGAGACTGAACTGCACCACCAACTAAAACATTCTGCTGTCAGAGGGCATATTTCTAGTGTATGAGATAAGCTTCCTGGGACCTCTGCACTGCTAGCCCCACAGAAGATAGTTTGTTGGACCTTATGCCCGATACACCACTACAACAAGCAGCATTTAAGAAAGCCACTGCACAAAAGCTATCCATAACCAAGGAACCCCAGATCCTTAACACACTTAACGTACCCAGTAAGGAAGCCAAATGATCATACACAATATACACTATAGTCACACCCTCAAGGGGAAAAATAATAGAAAATTAAAAAGTCCCATTCAAACAATAGCAAATTAAAAAATAAAAAGAGAGGGCTTCTTCAGGTGGAAGTAAACAGCACAAGAACTCTGACAGTACAAAAAGACAGAGTGCTTTGACACTCACAAAAGATTGTACTAGCTCTCTAGAAATGGATCCTAACCAAAATGAAAAGTCACAAATGACAGATCAAGATTTCAAAATATGGATTGTAAGGGAGCTTAAGAAGATCCAAGAGTTAGTTGAAAACCAATACAAAGAAACCAGAAAAACAATTTAGGATATGAAAGACAAGATAGATATATTAAAAGCAAGCAAGCAAACAAACAAACAAAAAACTACTAGAAATGAAAAATTCGCTGAAGGAATTTCAAAATACAGTTGAAAGCTTAAGCAATAGACTAGACCAAGCAAAAGAAATAATTTCATCACTGGAAGACCAGTCTTTTTAATAAACCCAATCAGAAAAAAAAAAAAAAAGAAAGAAAAAAGAGTTTAAACAAATGGACAAAGACTTTGAGAAACATAAGATTATGTAAAGTGACCAAGCCTGCAACTTACAGGCATTCTGAGAGAGAAGAAAAAGTAAGCAATTTGTAAAACATATTTGAGAGAGTAATTCAAGAACATTTTCTTGATCTTGCAAGAGAGGTAGACATCCAGATACAATAAATTCAGACAGCAACTATAAGATACTACACTAGATAATGATCACCAGGGCATATACTCCTCAGACTATCTAAGATGAACATGAAATTAAAAAAAAAAAATCTTAAAAGCAGCTAGAGAGAAATGTCATATCACCTATTAAGGAAATCCCATCATATTAACAGTGAACATCTCAGAAGAAACTTGATAAGCCAGAAGAAATTGAGTGCCTATTTTTAGGCCTCTTAAAGAAAAAAAAAATGCCAGCCAAGAATTTCATATCCTGCCAAACTAAGCTTCATAAAGGAAAGAGAAATAAAATATTTTTAATCAGACAAATGCTAAGGGAATTCATCACCACTAGACCAACCCTACAAAAATGCTCAAAGAAGTTCTAAACATGGAAAAGAAAGGACAATACTTACCACCATAAAAACATATGTAAGTACAAAGGTCACAAATCCAATAAGGCAACTACATAATTGAAACTACAAAGCAACTAGCTAACAACACTATGACAAGAACATAACCTCACATATCAATATTAACTTTAATGTAAATGGCTGAAATGCTCCAATTAAAAGATATAGATTGGCAAATTAGATTTAAAAACAAGGCCCAACCATTTGCTGACTAAAAGAGAGCCACCTTATGTGAAAAGATACATACAGACTCAAAGTAAAAGGGTGGAAAAAGATATATTATGCAAATGGAAAACAAAATACAACAGGAGTTGCTATTCTTATATCAGATATAACAGACTTGAAACCAACAACAGTAAAAAAAAAAAAAAAGATAAAAAGAGCATTATGTAATTATAAAGAGTTCAATTCATCAAGAAGATGTCATTATCCTAAATATGTATGCACCCAACACTGGAACACCCAGATTTATAAAGCAAGCACTACTATACCTAAAAAAATGAGAATGACTTTAATACAATAATAGTGGGGGATTTCAAAACCCCACTGACAGCACTAGATAGATCATCAATGCAGAAAATTAACAAGGAAACTCTGGACTTAAACTGGAATGTTGACAAAATGGACCTAATAGACATTTACAGAACATCTTATTGACCAATTGCAGAATATACATTTTTTCTCATCTGCACATGGGATATTCTCCACAACTGACCACATGCTTGGCCATGAATCAAGTATTAATAAATTCAAAAAATGGAATCATATCAAGCACCTTCTGATATTACAGTGGGATGCAATTAGAAATTAATATCAAGAGGAACTCTCAAAACCACACAAGTACATGAAAACTAAACAAACTTGCTACCAAATGACTTTGAGAAAAACAACTAAATTAAGGCAGAAATCAAAAACAATTTTGAGACAAATTAAAATAGAATCATAATATACAAAATCTCTTGGATACACCCAAAGCAGTGCTAAGAGGAAAGTTTATAGTGTTAAACGCCTACATCAAACAAATCTATAAGGAACTCAAACAAATCAACAAGAAAAAAGCAAATAGCCCCATTAAAAATTGGGCAGAGGACATGAGCAGACATTTTTCAAAAGAAGACAGACAAGCAGCCAACAAGCATAAAAAATGCTCAACATCACTAATCATAAGAGAAATGCAAATCAAAACCACAATGAGATACCATCTCACACTAGTCAGAATGGCTCTTACTAAAAAAGTCAAAAACGTCAGGTGTTGTTGAAGATACTGAGAAAAGTGAACACTTATACACTGTTGGTGGGAAGGTAAATTAGTACAACCTCTATGGAAAACAGCATAGCAATGTCTCAATGAACTAAAAATAGAGCTATTATTTGACCCAGCAATCCCACTACTGGATATTTACCCAAAGAAAAAGAAATAATTATATCAAAAAGACACTTACACTTGTATGTTTATCACAACACTATTCACGATAGCAAAGTCATGGAATCAACCTGAGTATTTCATCAATGGATAACTGGATAAAGTAAAAGTGGTATGTATACAATTTGGAATATCACACAGCCATAAAAAATAATAAAATAATGTATTTTGCAGCAACATGGATGGAGTTCAAGGTCATATACCTAAGTGAAATAACTCAAAAATAGAAAATCATATACTGCATATTCTCACTCATAAGCGCGATCTAAACAATGGGTATACATGGACATAGAGAGAACAATAATAAACAGTTTGGACTCCAAAATGGGGGAGGGTGGGAAGGAGATGAGGTTTGAAAAATTATCTAGTGAATTTCATCTACAATATTCACTATTCAGGGAGCAGATATGCTGGAAACCCAAACCTCACCATTGTACAACATTCATGTAACTAACCTGCACATGTACACCCTGAATCTATCACTTAAGAAAAATGAAAAATTCCAAAAAAGAAAAGTGTTTCTGTGTCTGTGTGGGACCAGTGAGCTATATGACATGGCAAAACACAATTTCTTTTACTTTCTATTTTCTAACTTATAAAGTCGGGGGAGGGAAAGTATTCTAGAGGAATTCTAAAGTTCACTTAAGCTCTGAATACGTAACTGTCTATTTCCTAATTCAAATAATTACATAATTTTTTCACTCTGATTTTGAAAATTATGCAATATACAACTGGAAGATATGAACTTCAGCAGAATATATGCCATGCTTTTATAAATGGCTGTTAAATTTTTTACTTATTTCACAGTGGGTAGATTATGACACAAACAGAAAAATGTGTTTTAATGTTACTACAGTCTACACCTTTAATCACAAAATTTAAGAGAAAAACACACAAATTATCTCATAGTCATCAAAGTATTGGGTGTGCAGCGTTGCTTAAATCCAATTCATCTGATTTCACTTAAACACATTGAATATATTCCCTACCTCTAACAAGACATAATTTAGGGAACCAAGCCTCTAATTAACCTAATACCTAGCTCTCCTTTCCTCATTATTTACTCCACTGACAGACAATTTCATTAACCTCCTCCTGTGTAATAATTTTCTCTGTCACACGTTCAGGGAAAACATATTTTCTAGCTGCACAATTTTGTGACCATGGTAAAGGACAAATGTTTTCTGAAATTCGCCAAGGAGATAAACTCTGACACCTGGCCTATTTGAGCTAGCTTGAAAATAATGGGGGGTTCTTTTTGTTCAATTGGATGAGAAATTTAGAATTTTAGATTTCCATTAATGTATTGATACTTCAGGACTTGGCACATCAGGGCATCTCATGACATTTGCATTTTAGAAATGGATCTGACAACACTATATTGAGAATAATGAGAAATTCATCTGGAGTATGGTACAAAATCCAAGCATGCAGTGATTGTCTCTGTGTTACTGATTTTGTCTGGAGGATTCAGTAGTTCTATCATCGGGTTGTGTCTTCACCAACTGAAGAGTTTAACTGCCTCCACAGGGTTGAAAACAATTACTGAGTGTTTTTCGACGTAGGCAGACACTGGAGGGAAAATTGCCCAGTTATTTGGGGCTTAGTGAAGATAGGCCAAAAGCAAGTGCTCTGTGGGACAGCTATCACCCACAGAAGAATGCCCTTTTAAGTTTACTTAACAACAAAGGACTATCACAGAATTTTTACAGCTGCATAACCACTAAATGGGACATATAGACAGATATATTTACTGAGGTGAAATTCTGATGCTTTCCATTTTAAAATTAGCCAAATCATAAAATGGTCAAAGAGATAATCGTTTTCTCAACTTGTTTAGATCATCTGAAGCTCTAACCATTTAGACTGCTAAACAACGTACACAGACAATTCTTTCATTAATTCAATCAATTACCTCTTACAAAGAGATACTATCAAAGGAACTGGGGACACAACAATGAATAAGTAATACACACTTCTTTCCCCAAGTCCCTTAGAATCTAGTAGGATGAAAAACATATAGATAGATTCAATATAGTGTGTGCCAATAGATGGAGGTACAAGATCTTATGGTAGTTCATACATAGGGAGACATCCAATCCAGTTTGGAAGTGGTTCATAAAGATTTCTTAAATGATGATAATTTGAGCTAAGACTTGAAAGATTAGTAGTTTGCTAATCTGCTGGGTGAGGCAGTAGTGCATTAGAAGCAAAGTAAATAGCAACTGCAGAGCTCAGGGATGGCATGAACAATTGTTTGAAGGTGACAAACACAAGATCATGTTGTGGTAGAAACAAGGTTTAAGAAAGAAATCATAAAAATTAATTTGTTTTCTTCTTATCTGCCATTTTCACTAAAAGTCAAATGAAGAATAATGCCAGTTAATTGAAGGCTCTGAATAATTAAAAGTTTAAGCAACAACAATAAAATAGCACGGGAGATGAAGGGGTAAATATAACTATACTACGTGAAATATGGTCCAAGATTTAGTTTTTATTTGAAGAACGTGCAACTGACTGTGGTGCCAGGTTGGACAGTAGTGGGCCTGATTCAGGTGTGGTGTGTGTATATTGTTTTTTTTTTTTAACTGTAATTATCATCATGTGTTCTTGTCAGCAATTTGAATTCACCAGGGAGATAATGTAAATTTTATCAACCATGCTGCTTTTACTCAATCTTTTTCTTTCTCTCTCTCACCCCCCTCTCCCACCTCTCTCCCTTCCCTGTCCTTCTTCCTCTTTTTCCCACTCCCTCTCTCTATCTTGCTTTGTTCCAAAAGTGTCATAAGGCAGCTTAGCAGTCTATAAAGATGCATGCAATACAATAAGAGAACATAAATTGAAAATAAGTGAGAATATGAGGCAAAGGAGAAATGAAAGCAATAATGTAGAGGAGAACTAAATAAGTGGGATTAGCCAGGAAGAACATTCCATGAAGACCTTATAGAATAGGAAAAGCTAGTCTACAATGTTGACTGTCAACCTTCTGGCACGCACCATGAAGAAGGATACACAGTTACATGATTCACAATGTCTACTGGGCAAGGGCAAACCATTGTTCAGTAGAAACACCACTTGTCCTATCCTCGATGTCTCCCATGGGAAGACACTGCACCCTGAGTTTATCAAACAAGGCACATCAGAGAACCACAGACAAATATGTAAACTGTCTCAGATGTCCAATGGATTTGTCACCATCTCAAACTTTTTTTTCAATGTGTTCTAGGTAGGTAATCCTTTCTTTTCATGATGTGGGTCCAGTCTCACATGTACACTGGATCCCATGTACACTGTTGGTGGGAATGTAAATTAATACCATTACTATGGAGAACAGTTTGGAGGTTCCTCAATAAAACAATTGAACCCATGGACATAGAGGGTGGAAGGATGGTTATCAGAGGCTGGGAAGTATGATAGGGGGGTATGGAAAGTGGGAATAATCAATGGGTACAAAATACAGAAAGACAGAATAAAACCTACTATTTGATAGCAGAACAGGGTGACTATGGTCAAGAATTTTAAATTGTACATTTAAAAATAACTAAAGGAGTAAAATTTGATTATTTGCAACTAAAATAATAAATGCTTGAGGGAACAGATGCCCCATTCTCCATGATATGCTTATTTCATATTTCATGTTTAAATCAAAACATCTCATGTACCCCATAAATATATACACCTACTATGTACCCACAAAAATTAAAAATTGAAAAAATTGAAAGAAGCCAGGAAAAACATGACCATAAAAAATATGAGCTTTGGCTAGGAGCAGTGGCTCATGTCTGTAATCCCAGCACTTTGGGAGGCTGAGGCAGGCAAATCACGAGGTCAGGAGTTCGAGACCAGCCTGGCCAATATGGTGAAACCCCATCCCTACTAAAAAAAAAAAAAAAAAATTAGCCGGGTGAATCACTCGAACCCAGGAGGAGGAGGAGGTTGCAGTGAGCCAAGATCACACCACTGCACTCCAGCCTGGGCAACAGAGTGAGACTCTTTCTCAAAAAAAAAAAAAAAAAAAAAAAAAAAAAAAAAAAAAAAAAAAAAAAGAGGTTGAAACATCTGATAGTGCCAGAAACAAAGGAAGTGTTCAAAATTTACAACAATTAGAGTATGTAAATCAACACAGGAGCTAAGTGAAAGGGCCTCAATGGCCAAAACAGACAATCTTAGCAACAAAATAAGGAAGCACTGAACTGTAACTCAAAGTATAAAATAAATATTAATGAATCTATATTGATATAAATAAGTAAATACATAGTGGGCATGGAGGGATTTGACAAATCTCACATAGGTTAGAATTACAAATCACTTATTTAAATACTCTGCCATAAAAATAATATAGCCTAATTCTCCACATCTTAAATGCAGTGGCACAACCCACATTCATAGAAGCAACTCTATTTACAATACCCACATGGTGGAAGCACCCCATATGTCCATCAACAAATGTATGGATAAATAAAATGTGGTATATACATACAATGATTATTATTCAGTCTTAAATAAAGAGGGAGATTCTGACACATGATATAACATGGATGAACCTTGAGGACACTGTGCTAAGTGTAATAAGTCAGTCATAAAAGGACAAATATTGTATTTTATCCTTTTTTTTTAATGTGGGGGCACACATTGACTTCCTTCCCAAGAGTAAAATATAAAAAGGGGGCAGGAAAGAAAAATAACTTATCAGCTAATAAATATGAAAACCATTACCTGAGCCAGATGGTTGAAACCACCATTGCAAAATTATAACTGAGACAGTGAAAGAGATCTGGCCTAACCAGCTCCATCTTGCTTCTAACCTCCAAGTTCTCCTTGTTCATTCCTGAACATAGGCCAAACTAACTGTGAGGAACTTAGTTTATAGTTTAAAAAGAAAGACAATAACAGCCTTTTTCCAAAACAAACCCTCTTCTTGCCTGGGGACTAGACTGCTTTTGTAGGACTAACAAATTAGACAAAAGATTATAAATTATGATTTAGAAATCATGAATCTGGAGGCTACAAGATTCTGACCCTGCCCAAATTGCTCCTGGGGATAACATCACTATTGTAAAACCTAAGATCAGTGCTTCAGATATTTTGCAGATCCTCCACTTGATGGATCATCTAGCACCATTCAGATTTATAAATTGACTCATCTGATCTTGTGCCCTCCACTCAGGAACCAACTCAGCACAGGAGAACAGCTTTGACTCCCTATGATTTCATCTCTGACCCAATCAATCAGCAATCCTGACTCACTGGCCCCCCACCCACCAAATTATCATTTAAAACTCTGATCCCCAAATAAGAGACTGATTTTTAGTATTAATAAAGCTCCAGTCTCCCGCACAGCCAGCTCTGTGTGAATAACTCTTTCTCTATTGCAATTCCTTTTTTCTTGATAAATTGGCTCTGTCTAGGCAGCGGGAAAGGTGAACCTGTTGGGTGGTTACATAATCAAGGTCAAATTGAAACCACCTTTGCAAAAAGTATAACAATGAGAAAATGATGACAGTGAAAGACATCTGATGTAACCAACCCCCATCTTGCCTTTAACCTCTGAACTGCCCTTAATCATTCCTGGGCCTGTGGCAAGCTAATTTTGGAAGACATTTAGTTTATAGTTTAAATAATAATAGTCCTTCCCCCAAACTAAACCACTAATGTAAAGCTAATAAAAGACCACCAGGTTAGGGATATATGTGAAGAGTGAGTTCTATTAAGGTGTAGACATAACTGATTAACAGCAATTATTCCAGAGGTTACAAGTTTTGCAACTTCTCTAATTTCTCCTGCAGATATCAGCATTGTAGAACCTAGAATTGGCCTTCTGAGATGTCTTTTTGAGTTTTTGCATTTGTGATGATCTGTGGCTCCACCTGGACCCACTGAACCCTAGCCAACCAGTCCTGTGGCCTCACTCAGAAGCAGACTCCCTGGCCCACCAAACTATATTTGAAAAACCCTAGCCTCCAAATTTGGGGGAAGATTGATTTGAGTAATAATTTCATCTCCCACATGGCATGGTTGGCCTGATGCATATTAAATTGTGTGTTTATCACAATGCCATGGTCTCAGTAAATTGGTTTTGTCTGCTCAGTGGGCAGAAAGAACCTTTTGGGTAGTTACAATATCATCAGTCATAAATCATTTTGATGCATGTATCATTGTGATGATATGATAAGGACAGTACTTTACCTCTGCAGTCTTCCTTCCAAAAAAGAAAGCGTTTTAGAAGAAAATTAGTCTCTGGTCTCAGATTTTTGTCTGAGCTCTCATGGCTAGAATGATTTATTCCTCGATGGGTAGGTCCAAAGTTATTAGGAAAGCTCATTTTTAGCAGGTTGTAAAGTCTCATGACCTATGAAGAGAAAATAGGGGGAGTAAGGGAGAAAAACAACAATCAATAGAATAATCCTGGAAAATCAACGTAGGCCGCATTACTCTGAAGTCCATACATCAGTATGAGATGGGATTGTTCCCATGATTTTGACCCCCTTCGTGGGCAGAAACTGAAATGGCTCATTTTACTCAACCTGCAGTTCTTTTTGACACCCGTGTTCTTGTTTGCTGTCCAGGAAGAATCAGGTCACATGAACTATTTGAAGGCTAGTGTATGCAGAGGATTTTATTGGGTGATAAATGTGGCTCTCAGTGGGATGGAGACCGGAAAAGGGATGGTAGGGGAAGAAAGTGATCTTTCCCTGAAGCTGCACCACCTGAAGTTAGCCGAGTCTATGCGTAGTCTCCAATGCTCAGCCACGTGTATCCCTGATGTTAAGCAACTTGTGTCCCAGATGTCCAACAGCTTGTATCCCTGTTGCTCAGTAGCTTGTATCCCTAATACTCAGCAGCTTATATACCCGAGGCTTAGCCGCTTGCATCCCCGACCACTTGCATCAGCTACTTCTGTTGCCCTGCCAGCTGAAATATGTTATGGGCACAGGATAGGAGTGGGGTGGGCCAAAAAGGCAATCATTTGGGTGGAAAAACAGGGTCAAATGTTTTCACTTAGGGCCGAGGTTCCAGGCGTGATGGTGGGGTTTAGCTGGAAGCCCAGCCCTTCAGGGTCAGCTGTTTTCACTTAGGGCCAATGGTCCAGGCTTGAGGGTGGGGGTGGGGGTGGGCGTTGGGCGGGCAGTTTAGCTGGGAGCCCAGCTGTTCTGTATCGGGTAGGCAGGTATGAAAATGACTTATATATGTAAATAGGTTGCTGTTATTTTCTTCTGAAGTTTAAGTTTTCTAGCTTCAGTTTGCAGGGCTTTATGAAAGCACAGCTTAGTTTTCAGTGACTCCAAATTAGAAAAAATAGGGGTGAGGAAGAAGGAAAAGAAACTGAAAACATTATTTTGAAGACTTGTAGCCACCCCCCAAAAAAGAATTTGGTCCAAACTGTAGAAAATAATAAAAATTGAAAAACATTAGGCAAGACTAGAATTTAACAACAGGTGTACTATAGTTTTTGAAACATAATTTTTCTCTCTCCAGTTTCCCATTTTTACTAAAGGCAAATCATGGTAGGACTGATTTGCTTTATTATACTACACCTGATTATTTGTATACAGTGTAGCAAGAATAATTATTTTTTACACAGGCTTTAAAATTGGCTTTGATGGAACTTTATTCCATAGAAGAAATCTCAGATAAGATGTTTTTAAAGCCAAGACCAGCCATGGATTTGTACCATCAAATACCTATGTGTTGGATGGATTTCTCTCTTCTTAAGGTCCCAAGACAAACTTGGGGCTCATGAGCCTGTCAGAAAGTGACATTTTTTACTTACCACAGGTCAGGAACCCTGTATGGGAACTGTGTAGACAAAGGTATTAGGCCATTTTTCTCAAGGGGCTTTTATTGTCTCTGTAAGTCAAGTTGGATTCCTTAAAGAAAAGCACACCATTCCAGTCAAAGCCTTGGTAAAATTACCAGTTTCTCCAATTGTATCCTATTACAAATAAAAACATATTCTTATTGCACTTATGCAAATAACTGTATTGCCATAAGTTAAGAATACTCACAAATAGTTTCCAAATTCTAGAGAAATTAGGTAGAAATATTCTCCAAATTTTGTTCATGGGAGTATACTAAATAGTTTAAAGCTGTCAATAGCTCAAAAGAAAAGTTTGCTTGACTGAAAAAAAAAGAAAACAAATAATCACCATTTTAAGCAAAAAGTCAAAAAAATTACTTCAGCCTTCTATTATTTCAGTTCATACAGTTAATTCCTGTTCTGCTTGATAGTCATGAACATTTCAGCTCTCCATGAGTCCTCAAAGTTTTTCCTCTATTTTGATGTCACAATCTCCAGTTATCAGAAACCTGCATTCAAGAGCACATGTCACAGTTTTATAGCTGATTATACAACTACCATCTAAAGAGGACCAAAACAAGACAACAATTATCTGTGGACAGCAAAAAGTTTCAGGGAAGTCACAGTCAAAGACAAAGTTGACAAGGAATTTTGTTACCACTTTGGCACAAAATAATTTACCATTACAATTTTAATTATTAACTGATAAAGTACACTAAGTTATAAGAGAATTAGAGGAGTTTCCTATAATTTTAGAGCACATACCAATAACATATTTTTATTTATTTATTTATTTTTATTTTTCCATAAGTTATTGGGGTACAGGTGGTATTTGGTTACATGAGTAAGTTCTTTGGTGGTGATTTGCAAGATTTCAGTTCACACATCACCCAAGCAGTATACACTGCACCATATTTATAGTCTTCTATCCCTTGCCCCCCTCCCACTTCTTCCCCCCAAACCCCCAAATTCCATTTCATTATTCTTTACCTTTAATTTTATTTTTATTTTTGTTTTTATTTTTTTGAGACAGAGTTTCACTCTTGTTGCCCAGGCTGGAGTTCAATGGCGCGATCTTGGCTCAATGCAACCTCTGCCTCCCAGGTTCAAATGATTCTCCTGCCTCAGCATCCCAAGTAGCTGGGATTACAGGTGTCCGCCACAATGCCCAGTTAATTTTTTTGTATTTTTAGTAGAGATGGGATATCACCATGTTGGCCAGGCTGGCCTTGAACTCCTGACCTCAGGTAATCCACTTGCCTTGGCCTCCCAAATTGCTGGGATTACAGGCATAAGCCACTGCACCTGGCCCATTGCATTATTCTTATGACTTTGTGTCCTCATAGCTTAGCTCCCACATATCACTGAAAATATACGATGTTTGGTTTTTCAGTTCTGAGTTACTTCACTTAGAATAATACTCTCCAATAGGCCAGGTGCAGTGGCTCATGCCTGTAATCCCAGCACTTTGGGAGGCCAAAGCGGGCGGATCACCTGAGGTTGGGAGTTCGAGACCAGCCTGACCAACATGAAGAAACCCCATCTCTACTAAAAATACAAAATTAGCTGGGCATGGTGGCACATGCCTGTAATCCCAGCTACTAGGGAGGCTGAGGCAGGAGAATCACTTGAAGCTGGAAGGTGGAGGTTGTGATGAGCCGAGATCCTGCCATTGCACTCCAGACTGGGCAACAAGAGTGAAACTCCATCTAAAAAAAAAAAAAAAAAAAAGAATAGTACTCTCCAATCTCATCCAGGTCACTGCAAATACTGTTAATTCATTCATTTTTATGGCTGTGTAGTATTCCATCATATATATATCTATATGTATATATATATATCATTATATATGATATATAAAAACATATATAGATATATATATACATATACATCTATATATAAATGTAATATATATGTAAATATATATATCAATATGATATATATATATTTATAAACACCAGAGTTTCTTTATCCACTTGTTGATTGATGGGCATTTGGGTTGGTTCCATGATTTTGCAACTGTGAGTTGTGCTGCTATAAACATTCGTGTGCAAGGATCTTTTTCAAGTAATGATACCCAGTAGTGGGATAGCTGGGTCAAATGGTAGTTCTACTTTCAGTTCTTTAAGGAAACTCCACACTGTATTTCATAGTGGCTGTACTAGTTTACATTCCCACCAGCATTGTAGACGTGTTCTCTGTTTGCCACATCCACATCAGCATCTACTGTTTTCTGATTTTTTTACTTTGGCCATTCTTGCAGGAGTGAGGTGGTATCACATTGTGGTTTTCATTTGCATTTTCCTAATCACTAGTGATGTTGAGCATTTTTTCATATGTTTGTCAGCCATTTGTATATCTTCTTTTGAGAATTGTCTATCCATGTCCTTAGAGCACTTTTTGATGGGAATGATTGTTTTTCCTTACTGATTTGTTTGAGTTTGTTGTAGATGCTGGATATCAGTCCTTTGTCAGATATATAGATTGTGAAGATTTTCTCCCGCTCTGTGGGTTGTCTGTTTACTCTGCTGACTGTTCCTTTTGCCATGCAAAGGCTCTTTAGTTTAATTATGTCCCAGCTATTTGTGTTTGTTTTTATTGCATATGCTTTTGGGTTCTTGGTCATAAAATCCTTGCCGAGGCCAATGTCTGGAACAGTTTTTCTAAGGTTATCTTTTAGAATTTTTATAGTTTCAGGTCTTAAGTCCTTAATTTATCTTGAGTTGATTTTTATATAAGGTGAGAGATGAAAATC
This sequence comes from Homo sapiens, assembly GCF_000001405.40. NCBI lineage: Eukaryota > Metazoa > Chordata > Mammalia > Primates > Hominidae > Homo > Homo sapiens. The sequence continues at coordinate 93,569,571 of NC_000023.11, forward strand.
CAGTTTCATTTTCCTGCATGTGGCTAGCCAAGTATCCCAGCACCATTTGTTGGAAAGGGTGTCCTTACCTCACTTTATGGTTTTGTTTGCTTTGTCAAAGATCAGTTAGCTGTAAGTATTGGGTTTATTCCCGGGTTCTCTATTCTATTCCATTGGTCTATGTGCTTATTTTTGTACCAGCACCATGCTGTTTTGGTGACTATGGCCTTATGGTATAGCTTGAAATCAGGTAGTGTGATGCCTCCAGATTTGTTCTTTTTGCTTAGTATTGCTTTGGCTATGCGGGCTGTTTTTTGGTTCCATATAAATTTTAGAATTGTGTTTTCTAATTTTGTGAAGAATGATGGTGGTATCACCAATAACATATTTATACAAATACAACCCCAAAAAACCCAAACACCACTTCATATTTGACAATGCTTCCTGTATAATTTATATACCACATAAGCCAAATTACATCAATTTTTGGACTTCAGGAAACCTAATATCTTAAAGGATTAATTAGGTCAGAAAAAGACATAATGAATGATCTGATTTTGGAAAGTTTGTCAAATATCAAAGGTTTAAAACATTTGATATTACAGGTCATTGTAAAATAAGTTATTCATTTGACCAAAGTGATAACTCAAGGATTTCAGAAAAAGGCAAAAACCTGTATTATTTGAGAGAGGAGAAACAATATTTTTTGTATTTTTAGTAGAGATGAGGTTTCACCGTGTTAGCCCGGATGGTCTCGATCTCCTGACCTCGTGATCCACCCGCCTCGGCCTCCCAGCGTGCTGGAATTACAGGCGTGAGCCACCGCGCCCGGCCCTGAACTTTCAAGTTCTTAATAACCTGTTTCACTACCCTAGGCAGTTGTCAGCTAAATAGCCTTAAATTTGCATATTAAAGAAAAAAACTCAGGTAAAAATCAAATTGCAAAATTTGCAACATAAAGTATGGAGAGAAAAAGTCTGGAGTGCTAGAGGAATATTAAAACTGATTTAATTGCCTATGAAACATAAAATTATAGAAATTATAAAGGCATTTTAAATACACACACACACACATACACACACGCACACACACACAAAGATCCTATAGCTTTTACTTCAGAACTTTAGCGGTGACATAAATACAAATTCCCCAGCTTGCAAAAAAACCTGTTGGTTCCAAACAGTGGTTTTTATCTTAGTAGAAAAATAACAGCACATGTAAATCACGCAGAAAAGAACATAGAGAAAAAGAGAACTTAGGAGCTCTATAGTTTGCAAGTCAAACTTAGGGCTCTTTTTCCTTAATGTAAATGTGCATAAAGATCATGTTATTTCAATTTTACATAAACTCTGGCAAGTAGAGGTGCAATAAAATGTACAGAGTGCTTGAAAGGGGGGGTATCATCCTTATCTTCTCTTCATTCTATTTGTTTTCCACTTTTTTTTTTCTTAAAAGGAAGAACTGAGTTGTGGCCTAGGGTTTTTGTGTGGTGGATTGATGTGTCCTGCTTGTGGACAGGACTCCACAGTGTGTCACCACTGAGTCGTTTCCACCCTCTTACATGTCTCAGTTTCTCTCTCCAGAAGTCTATGACCTCTGAGATGGCTCAAAACACTGGGTGATCAGTCCTTACATGTGTTTCTTGGAGGAGCCTTTATAAAATCAAATTTGTGGGGATGTCCCTGTAGGACTGCTGCATGTCACAGGGGTTCAAGTCCCCAGATGCTCCCACAAGGCCGCTGGTCACCCAGCAGCACCTTTCAGCTGGGAGAAGCAAAATATCCTTTCTCTTCAGAGCCGAGAAAACTCAGTCTCTCATTTACCTATGAAAACAATAGTTCAGTTCCTCATGCAAGTGTGCACAGACAAGCCCAATCAAGATTAATTTTGAGAAAAAAAGCAATAGAGGAGATCCATTAGAATGCATCTCCACACTGGAATTAGGATCCTTAAACAACAACTTCCTAGGAGAAAAAATAAAAAATAAAAAACAGCCAAGACCACTTCCTGTAAAATGCTCACAGCCACCCCTAACCTCGCAGCTCTTGTATGCCATTACACAGGCCACTGTCAAATCCTCTCAGAATACAAGGTCATCTCTGGTGCCCCCAAAGTCAAAGAGGTCAGGTCATGCAATAAAATAAAATATAGCTTTAGACCTAAGAAGAACCTGCCCAAGGCTCTTGAAACTCCACAAAGAAAACAGAACACCCCAAAAGGGGTGAGTGGCACTTTTGTTTTAAATTCTTTAAAGGGGTTCAAGTCATTGAAAGTCTTCTCTAGATTTTTTGGTACTGCAGATGGCAAAGGGAGAGAAGGAGGCATAGGTTGGAAGAAAAGTAAACAAAAGAACTTTTATTTTAAGAGAGGAATAAAACACAGAAACCAAGTGCATGTGTTTTTTATTTTGTTTTGTTTTGTTCCCTCTTTTGCAGCTGTGAGGAATTTTGCCAAATTAGAGAGGATTTGTTACCCATAATTTGGAATTCTCACTCAGATTTGATCAAGTCAGGTAGAGTTGGTCAAATCTGATGTGAGAAAGACCGGAATAAATAACAACAGGAATCCCCAACAATATGATCACTGAGTGCTCTATTGGTAAGGAGAAATTAAGACCAGCTGGTTGTTAACTTTAGCCAAGACAAAACCCCAATTCAGCTACTTACCTGAAAATGGGTCTCAGGATGAATTTGCTCTCTATCATCCTAGAAACAAACAAACAAACAAACAAACAATGTCAAACTTGCCTTCTCTGTTGAGAGTGAGCTCAAACTCCATGAAAGAGTTACCTGCCATTCATCATCATGGAAGGAGAAAATCTTGTCTTCCTTGTTGGACGTAAGTAAAACTCCAAAAAGGGAGTTGTACAGCAAAATAAACTTTATATCTCAACCCAGTTTTGGAAAATATGGCGGGGCGTGCTCCCAGACCTCAGCAAATTGTCCTATTGGTTTTAGTCAAAAAGTTAGTTTATACTGGTACCAAGCACCAATAGGAGATTTGTCAAAGGTCAGGGACGCCTTTACTCAGAATCTTTTCATGGTTACCAAGATGTGAACCCTGAATATCTGAGACAGGTCTCAGTTAATTTAGAAAGTTTATTTTGCCAAAGTTGAGGATGCGTGCCTGTGACACAGCCTCAGGAGGTCCTGATGACATGGACCCAAGGTGGTTAGAACACTGTTTGGTCTTATACATTTTAGGGAGACATGAGACATCAATCAACATATATAAGATGAACATTGGTTTGGTCTGGAAAGGCAGGACAACTCAAAGCAAAGGCAGGATGACTCAAAGTCAGGAGGAGGCTTCCAGGTCATAGGTAGATAAGAGACAAACTGTTGTATTCTTGTGAGTTCCTGATTAACCTCTCCAAAAGAGTCAATTAGATATGCATTTATCTCAGTGAGCAGAGGGGTGACTTTTCATATAATGAGGGGCAGGTTTGCCCTAAGCAGATCCCAGCTTGACTTTTCCCTTTAGCTTACTGATTTTGGGGTCCTGATATTTATTTTTCTTTCACATTAGTAATGTAAGATGTTAACAGTAGAGAAAACTGAGTAGAAAACGTATGGAGTCCCTTTGTATTACCATTGCAATTTTTCTGTGAATCTAAAATTAAAAACATGTATTCGTTTAAAAAGGAGGCATTGCAGATTCAATGCTCCCCATGTCATGAGTTATGCTTTGTCAGTCATAATTGTAGTCAGGAGAAGAACACTTCTTCATATTTAATCCTGATCATTCTTCAACATTAGCAAGTGAATTCAGTATGATTTAGAAGAAAACAGGCAACTTTGTTCAGGGTTTTAAGGAATACTGAAAAAATACAATTTTACTGGTTTGTCTCTGATTTTCTAGTTTCTATGTTTGTGTTTAGTCATAATAAAAATATGCACGTGATGATGAGTATGTTCTATTTTAAAAATTATCCGGAAGAGGAGTTTTGTGCTATCATAAGAGCATTTAATATATAACTGGCCCATGTGGCCAGAAAGCTTACATAAATTGTTGCATTATTTTAAAGTTCTCCATGGACCTCCATGGAGGTGGGTGCTGTTATCATCATCACTGTGGAGATAAAGAGAATGAAGCCTCAGAAAGGTTTCAGTGCTGTGGTAGTCTGATAAATAGTCCCATACTTCCCCCACCCCACCCCCACCACATATATCTGCTCCTAATCCCTGGAATTTGTAAATGTTACTTTACAGAGTACTTGTAGATGGGATTCGGATTTTAAAAATCTTGCTCTTTTCCAGCTGGAACCATGGAGGGTGTTGACCCATGGAGGGTGTTGAAAAGAGGAAGAAAAGGTTTCTTCTGTGCCAGAAACCCTTAACAATAAGTAAAAGGAATTTTACATAGTTGAAGATCAAGCGCCAGAGAAAAAAAGCCCAAAAGATGCTTTGAAAGGCAAGGAGAACAAAGGAAAGCATGCTTTGTCTATGAAAAAGTGAATTACTATCACAATGACTATAGGCAGATGTACAGAAATGAAATATGAATGGCTAGGATGACAAGAAAAGCTGGAAACTTCCCTGAACCTGCTGAATCCAAACTGGCATTTGTCGTCAGGATTAGAGTTATTAATGGTGTGAGCCCAAAGTTCCAAAAGGTGTTGCAGCTTCTCTGCCTATGTCACATATTCAATGGAACTTTTGTTAAGCTCAGCAAGTCTTCAGTTAACATGCTGAGGATTGTAGAACCATAGGGTTACCCAAACCTGAAATCAGTAAATAAACTAATCTACAAGCATAGTTATGGCAAAATCAATAAGAAGCAAATTGCTGTGACAGATAACACTTTGATTGCTCAGTGGCTCAGTAAATAGGGCATCATCTGCAGGAAGGATTTGACTCATGGCATCTATAATTTTGGAAAATGCTTCAAAGAAGCAAATAACTTCCTGTGGCCCTTCAAATTATCCTCTCCAGATGTGGGAAAAAAAAAAAAAGACACATTTTGTAGATGGTGGAGATGCTGGCAACAGGGCACACCAGAACAACAGGTTTGTTAGAAAGATAAACTAAAGTGTCTGCCATGATTATCTTTGTAACCTGGTCAGTTAATAAACAGTTATTACTTTCAAACTGAAAAAAAATATTTCGAAGATCTTGAGAAGGAGAGATTATCTTGTATTATCCAGGTGGGCTCTAAGTTCAATCACAAATAGAACAGAAGACAATGTGACCACAGGGGCACAGATTTAAGTGGTTCAGCCACAAGCTGATGAATACTGGTAGTCACCAGAAATTGGAAGTCAAAAAAGCAGGTTCTCCCCTAGAGCTTCCATAAAGAAAAGCAGCTCTGCCAACATATGAATTTTAGCCCAGTGATATTAATTTCAAACCTCCAAACTCCAGAATTGTGAGATAATAATTTTTTTTTTTTTTTTTGCTTTAAGCCATGAAATTCATTACAGTAGCCATAGGAAATGAATACAAGGGCCTCTTCCCAAATGCACACAGTTAGCAAATGATGAAGCTGGTTTCTCAACCAGGCTTTCTGTCTCCAGAGCCTATGTGCCTAATTACTATGCTATACTCCTTCTTATGATATCTAAAGTCATAATACACTAAGTGGTAAACAACTTGGCTACATAGAAAAGCTAGGGTCCATGTGATATTTTACTTAATCTCAGGATCCCTGTGATACTCACATTATTTAATAAGTAGGTACCACTTTAAAGTGCAAAGAAAATACATTGCCAAGAGGAAAAGCTTTTTAAGAAATTGCCAGAAAGAGATTTCAATTTTTACCCACTCCCAGTGCTTTCCGATTTTCATATTGTATTACTGTATGTCTACTAATTAGTAACAAGAGAGCAGTTTTTTTTTTCTTGTGCCTGTAGGTATGTGAAGCACATTAAGTCAAAATCTCAACTTTCTTCCTACTAGAAACCAGTACTTGGAATTTTATATGTATAAACATCATATTTGCTCCCAGAAAATAATGCAGGTAAAGATTAAGTTTTTTCATTTAAAAATTGTTCAATAGGTCATCTTTTAATTAAATACAAAACATTTCATTGAATATAAATATTGTTGGCTGACTCTCATGAGTTTATATAAGAAATTAGCAAATTCCTCCAAAATTTATTTGAAACTGTTGTGTTTAAAATACTTAATCTGGCTGGGAGTGGTGGCTTACACCTGTAATCCTGGTGCTTTGGGAAACTGAGTTAAGAGGGTTGTTTGAGGCCAGGAGTTCAAGACAAGCCTGAGCAACATTGTGAGACCCTGTCTCTATAAAAAGTAAAAACTAGCCAGACATGGTGGCAGGCACCTGTAATCCCACCAACTCAGCAGTCTGAGGCAGGAGGATTGCTGGAACCCAGGAGTTTGAGTTTGCAGTGAGCCATGATTTCACCACTCAACTCCACTGGGTGAGAGAGTGAGATCCTGTCTCTTATAAAATATATATTACATTAAATTATATTCTGCATTACAAATATTATAATATAATTATATATTATAAATACTATATTGTTAATATATTGATATATATACTTAAAAATACTTATATCTTGTTACTTTAATCATTACCACTTCATAATTACATAGTATTTTCTAAATTTTACAGACATTTTACATGCTCGTATGGTTTCAATATTTGTCCTGTCCAAAATTTATGCTGAAATGTAATTGCCATTGTAACAGTATTAAGAGTTGGGATCTTTAAGAGATGATTAGACCATGAGGTCAAATCCTATCCTCATATGTGTAGGATTAATGCTTTTAGAAAAGTGTGAACTTGGCCCCTTTTTTTTCTCTATGCTTGTCTACCTTACTCTGTGTGAGGACACAGTGTTCCTCTTCTCTGAAGGACACAGCAAGAAGGCCCTCAGAAGATGCTGGCACCCTGATCTTGGACTTCCTTGCTTCCAGAACTGTGAGAAAATAAAACTGTGTTCTTTTAAGTTATCCACTCTCAGCTATTCTGTTATAGTAGCAAAAATTGACTGAGACACATATCTTATTTGATCCTCACAACAACCTTTTAGGTAGGCAGTGAAGACAAATACATTTATTTTAGCCTATTTTTCACATATACCTATCTAGATTTTATGGGTAATGTAAGACTAATAAAATTTAAGTTATGTGTCCAGGTCATACGGTTATTATGATACAAAATTGGGACTATAACTCAGGTCTTCTGAATCCTAAAACAGTTCTGTTTTCATTACTATGAAAACAACTGCCTTAAGATAATAAAACACTGATTAGCCAGATCAGAGGAATTGTAATTCTTAGTAATCACATTTTAATTTTGTTCTACAGTGCTATAGGAGGAAGAGGAATACTGATAACTAGAAAATAAAGATATAAAACACAATAAAATATTCTCTAGTAGACGATGAGATCTAAAAGTTACATCTTCAGACCAAGTCTCTTAAAATATCTTTATTTACAAGTAAAAGAAAGTCATTTTTATAAATGATTTATTTTAAGAATAATGGCCGAAGGTCCTGAAAGATTCTCAATCACCAAAGAATGAATTACCTTCCCCAGACTACCATTACTGAGGCAGCAAAATGGACTAACACAACTAAAACATGTTTAAAATATTTTCAGCAGAGGAATGAAACATAATTGTTTCATTTTAAATACTCAGGCAAAAACTATGTAAACCAGAATGCTCATTTTCTAACATTTTGTTACATTGAAATTTTACTATACTACTTTTCACGTAGTATCCCAAATTTATCAAAATCTTAATGGCAGACAATTGAGAATGACTACTAATTTCTTTAAAGATGCTATGTCCAAATACAGTCACATTCAAAAGTACTGGGGACTAGGATTTCAACATATGATTTTGTAGAGAGACACAACCCATAACAGCCTTCCAAACTTTTAAACAAAACTAAGTAATAAGTTTCAAATGAATTTGAATATACTGGGCTCATTATGAACTGAGGTCTAAGGTATTTGCCTTATAGTTGTAAATTAGCAGTGCTAATTATAATTTTTTAAAGTTTATGTTTCAAATAATACTGCACTGAACCCTGGGCCCCTGTCCATCCTTGAGGTTTTGAAATAGCCCATCTTACTGATGGCAGTGGTGGACCATCTAGAGTGGCCACTGACATCATGCTGGGTGCAGTGGGGAGACTTGAACAGTGGTAGCAGGAGTGGCTGTGGGAGCAGCAAAGGCAGTGGTGAAACTCCTGTGCCACATGTCTCCTGTGCCCTGAGGAACCCAACTGCATGACCCCCATTCTTGTGTTGCTGGGTGGGACCCACTCCCAGGCCCAGAGCCTCCACCACTCCAGACCCTGTCCCCGTGTTGCCACTCTCGCCCACTGCTGCTGCAGATAGGGCATGGAGAGGAGGTAGACAGTCTCTGGAGCCCACCCTTAGGAACCTCCTGGAGTCCCCCACCCTGGGGGCCACCATAATGGGGCCAGGCTGAATCACCTGATAGCTGGGGAGCAGTGCGGTCGGGAAGAGAGAGACCCCAAAATGGAGCTGATCCAGGGGCAGGGACGCGTTTGCACATGGAGCATGGGGGCCAGGCCTGGGGTGTGGAGCTGGGGCCATGTTTCAGGGGCCCAGGGTGGGAACTGGGAGCAGTGCCCACTTTGGGGACCTGGTCAGTGGCACAGCCACAACATTCACCCCACTGAGGGCGCTGGGTTCCTGTGCTTCATGAGGCGGCTCTGCATGGGGCTGCCCAGGGCCGCATCCCCAGGGACTGCCCTGCATCAGGGTGACCACCGATCCTGACACTCCTGACTGCTGGGACCGGGACCTGCAATTCGCTTCTAGAGGCACTCCCTGGGCAGAACCATGAGCCAGATGAGGGGAAGCCCCAAGCTACTCCTGAATGCTGGGGACGTGGTAGGAGCTCATGGTGACATTACCCCTGCCCCGGATGCCAGCCTGGGCCCACTAATGACCTGGAGCCCCTGTCCCAGGCTGTGAAGGGGCATGATCAGGGCTGCATGCTCCAAAGAACCAGCAGGAGCTAGGGACAAGTGAGAGCCCCCCATTCCAAGTTGGTGGGGCAGGAGCTCCCTGAGTGCAGCTGCAGCCACCCTGCCATGGCTGTGGATCCAAGCATCTCTGTACTCTGGGAAACCTGGGAAGGCCCCTCTGCCCCCCAACAGGATTGAGGATGCCTGCTTCCACTGCCTGGCTGTTCCCTGCTGTCAACATCTGCTCCAGTCTTGGAACAAGTTCGGGGCTGAGCCAGAGTGCTGTGTCGCAGCCTCGCTGGGTGTGCACATGCTTGAGGAAGCGCTGACATGCCAACCCCCTGCCACCTCGGTCCCCTCCAGACATTGAGTGTCAACAGGCATAGGAGGGAGGCTGAGGGGGTGCTGAGGACTGCCCAGTGCTGGCCTGCAGGTGCCCCTTGGCATGAACAGCCTGGGCACATTGAATAGCGGCATGAAGCAGACAGGCTTTGGGGCAGAAGGGGGTGGGTCCCTTCTGAAGCCCCACCTTAAAGCCAAAGAGGACCTAAAGCCTGGGTGCCAGGCCACCAGTCCCATGGACCAGAGGGGGAAATTGTGGTGCTTTTCCCTGGGCCCTCCCATGGCTGCCCATGGGAGGCTTCAGACTCAGCCACACTTGAAGAGAAGATGGAAAGACAATGGGGAGATAGCGGAATGACCTGCCTGCAGAAAGGAGCTTTCCACTCCAGGGAGTTGAACACTCAATGAGATGACCTGTCTGCAGAGAGGAGCTTCCTACTCTAGGGTCTCCTCTCTGCTAGGAGTTGAACACTCATCGGGACACTCTGGCTGTAGAAAGGGGATATCTACTGCAGGTCTCCTCTGAGCTGTTCTACCGCTCAATAAAGCCCCTTTTCCTCTTGCTCACCTTCCACTTGTCTGCATACCTCATTCTTCCTGGTCACAGGACAAGAACTCAGGACCCACTGAATGATGAGGCTAAAAGAGCAGTAACACAAACAGGGCTGACACATGCCCTTGCTCACCACATTGCAAGAGAAGAGAAGAGAAAAGTTGTGGCCCTTTGGGGAGCCCAGACCTGGGAGCTCCCCAAGCCAGGGCTGTGACTCCCTCTTTGGGTCCCTGCAGTTGCCGGTGTCTCCAAGTTTCTGGGCACCAACGCATTCCCTGGTGCCAGCCTAGGAAGCTGCGTGTGGTGCACCTGGTTCAGCCACAGCCTCGCAGACAGCCAACACTCATGTCAGCACCTGGAGTTGCCCACTCTGCAACAGTAGCCGGAGTGTCTGACTGGACAGTGGCTGGACCCCATAATTGCTCACACACTCCTCGCTGCTCCACACCTGATTTGCAGTCTCCCTTGAAAATGTGGGATCCAGGCTGGTAGCATGAGATGAGTGCAGCCTGCCAGATCAAGTGGGCAGAATGAGCCCAGTGGGCACAAGCAAAACTTGGGCAAAGGTGCCACCAGCCACGGAGGTTTCTGGCCAGAAAAGTAACACCCCAAAGACCCCGTAACATTACCCTGTACCCCATAACCTTTTTTCTTGTGTTTCAATGGTAATCTGTTAGCCTGGGACAACCCTCCATCTCTGTCCTATGGATCTCTTGTGTCTTCTGCCTTGGGCTAGCCTATATCCTTGTTTCCATGACCTTATAGTGACTCTCACTCAAAGCAATTTAGTAATAAAATGATTATCTCTTTTCTTAAAACTCTGCTTTTCAGCTAATTACTGCAAGGGGGTGGACTTCTCTCCCCCTCCTTTAGAATATTACTTTGAAGGTCTTGATGCATCTGGAGAAGGGTGTGGAGGTAATTAGAGAAATGGAGGCTATAGGAGGAAGTGGAAGGAAACAAGATGAATACTCATAGAAAGCCTTCATATGCTCATGAAAATAGCGGCCCTGGGATGCAAAAGGGCAATGTTTATTCACCCTCTGGGCAGAATATAGTAACCTCTGGAAGGCTTGGACCTGGCATAAGAACTTGCAAATAAAGGAAAAATTCCCCCTGCTCCCAAAGTGGTGCTTACTCAGAAAAACCAAAAGAAAGTAGATGGGATCCTTAAAGGTTCAGAGTGAAGCCCTATGCAGGTGAACAAACTGCTTTTAAAGGCCACCAAAAACTTGGCCCCAGGGCATAACAGAAATAAAAAGCGTACGGTAAATTATAAGGAGCTGGCAGAGCTAGAGTTCCAATTAGTGTCTGTCCAGGCCATACGCCAGCAGACAGAAGAACAGTTGGAGGCCCTCTGAGCTGGTAAAAACAAGTAAAAATCTCAGGGGATATCTATAAGGGAGCCCACGTCTTTGCTGCCGCAGAAACGCAGAGAGTCATAGGGAGTGTGTGTTTAAGAAGTCATGTGGCATGCAAAGTGAAAGCAAAGAGGTGCACTTGCCCCTGAGGCAGATGGTCTGGCAGGTGCACAAGGCTATTTCAGAACACACATAGAGAAAACGGGAGAATGGGCCATTGGGCCATGCAGGGTTTTGGAAAAGAGCTAATTTTAGTCAAAAAACAGAGGAAACCCCAAGACACTGCATGGTTTTAGACCTTAGCCTCACCACTCTTTTGAGCCTCCCTTCCAGAAGGGTCATCAGTGCCTCAGATCTACTTGGTATGGACCCTAAGGTCCTTCCCACCTCCACAAGCAACCCATCATGGTGAGCTGAGAAATTAGCTGCGGGGAACAGAGTTACTTATGACCAAGAGGAATTGTTCTGGGGGATGGGTAGTAAGCAGGAGAGAGAAAAAGGGGAGAAGAAAACAACACACGGGGGTCAAATGCCTCCAGCTGACGAAGGTGAAGCATAGAGATCTCTCACCACTAGGGAGCAATCCAAGCCAAACAGCATCAAATATGTTAAGGGTAGAAGGTATCCAAGTCACATGGTATCAATATGTTAGTGGTGGAGAATATCCACATGACCAATGGCAAATTTGTACCGGTCTGTAGCAATCTCAGTTCTTGCCTCCTCAGAAGAAAGAATTCAACTGAGGGGGCATAAGGCAGAAAAAGAGATGAAGGCAAATTTCAGAACAGTAGCAGAAGCTTATTAAAAACTTCAGAGCAAGCAAGAAAGGAAAGTACATTTGGAAGAGACCCAAGTGGTTGACTTGGAGGACAATCGTGGTGTTTGACCTTTTGACTTGGGATTTTATATGTTGGCATACTTCCGGGGTCTCATGTCTCTTTTTCTATGGTTCTTCCCTTAGGGTGGGCAACCTGCATGTGTGGAAGCCTGGACAAAAGACCCTGAAAGTATGCCAACATATAAAACCTCAAGTCAAAAGGTCAAACACTACACTTACCCTTCAAGTTGCTCACGTGGGGCGTGTGTTTAAGAAGTTGTATGCCTGCCCACCTGAGGCTTTCTTTTCTTTTCCGGTAGAATGGCCCCAGAAGGTCATACTCTGCCATTTTGTCTTTTAGTGTGCATGCTTGAGCTTACTCGCCCAACTCCTGAAAGGTGCCAATTACCAGTTACAGATGTTTCCTGTCTATAGGGAGGCTGCCTTCCCCTGGTGCTGGTTGCGACCAATTATTATTTTAGAGAGTCAGTTAAAAACCACCTGACCATCACCAGATGGTCACCTGACTTTCCTGGTGGGGGTGTAAGGAGGGCCCTCTCCTGCCCTGCTCATGCCTAACTAACTACCTACTGTAACATTTCCACTTAATTCCAAAGGTGTATTTGAGAAAACATCAGATACTCTGACTACAGAACCCATGCTCTTAACTACTGCTTAATAATTAGAAGTTAGAATTGATATTCTCTTAATGTTAAGGCCCCTAACCAAAATCTGTGTTTGAGTGAATGATTTAACCTACCTCTGCAACTGGGTTGAGAAAAAGGTACTTGTGAATTGGAGTAGAGTTTTGAGTTTTTTGTTTGTTTTACTTTTAGTTTTGTTTTTTTAATTTATAAATATTACCAAGATAAAAGGGCAATTAAGACCCAAGAGGTTTATATCGTAGTGAGAATGCAATACTTTTGACTTGTACATTTTATCAAAACAGGTATTTTTAGTCATTTAAGAGAGTTATAGAAAACTCTCTAAGTCATCATGCTTTAAACACAATTTCAAGCAATAATTACTCCTCAATGCTAGTTTCCTATGACTGCAGTAAAAAATGAACATAAACTTAGTACCTTAAAATAGCACAAATTTCTTATCACATAGTTCCAGAGGTCAGAAACCAGGCCTGGGTTAAAGTCAAGGTGTTAACAGGGCTGCGTCACTTTCTGCAGTCTCAAAGAAATAATCTACTTTCTTGCCTTTTCCTGCTGCTAGGGTCCACCTGTAGTCCTTGGCTCATGCTCTCTTCCACCATCTCCAAAGCTAGCAATTGCATTCTGATCTATATTTCCATCACAGTATCTCCTTCTTTGACTCTTCTGCCTCCCTCTTTTATCTTTCAAGACTCCTTGTAATTGGATTTAAGGCCCACCTAGATAATATAGAATAATCTCCCCACATCAAGATCCTTAACCTAATCACATATGCAAAATCTCTTTTGACAAGTAAGGTAACTATTCACAAATTCTCAGGATTAGGATGTTGATATCTTTGGAGGACTGCTATTCTGCCTTCTATATAATCTGACAATTAACAGCTACACAAAACAATATAAATCAAGAGGGGAGTTATTGGATTCAATTAATCTTGAGAGACTAATGATTTTAAGAAGCAAAACAAGATATTTACCAACTCTAGATTTTGTTCTCTGAACAAAAGGAAAGTTAAATTCTAGTAAATTTCCTGAGCAGACTCTAACTTAGTCTGATTTTTAATAAAAACAAGACTCAATTATCAGCTATATGGCATTCTCAGTACATTAACCAACCTTCCCAGTGAGAACAAGAGAAAGTGATAGATAATTTCTTTAAAAAATATATTTTATTTATTAAAGGAGCAAGAAGGAATTAAGAAATATTTAAGTCAAATTCTAAAACTCTTAATTAAAATTATCAAATAATTCTTATATTTAAAGCACCAATAAATATGAACACCATGTGAAAAAATTGCAAAATTACATAGAATAAAATAATTTATGAGCAAAAGCCAGTAGAATAAATAAAATAGACAAATAAGATGGCATTGAGTACCCTTGGGAGGTAATTGTCTCCCCCACTGGCAGCATCAGTGAGGGCCGAGTGAAAGTCTTTACTAATACTCCCCAACAAGCCATGTCAGATGACCTAAAATTCCACTTCCATGTTGGTACATTATAACAAAAGACCAAGTAGTGAGTCTAGACTTGCACCATTTCCAAGTTCTATCAAAAGGTGCCCATCTCCCTCCCAAATAGAGGGTAAAGGAAGGATATCAAAGAGAAGGAAGTTGGAGACAGGGAATCTTTATATCTGCATAGGAAGTACTGAAAAGACCCTGCAATGACTCACACCTTAATGTGACTAGTATCAACACACAGAAAGGTTTGAGAACTAAACTACAGTGTAGAAAATCACACTGTTTCAGAATGCCTCACAAGTGCTACACAAAGTAAACCAAAATAGCACTGCAAGGGCTGTGGATAGTAAATTGTTATTGGAAACACAGCTCAAAAGAGGAGGCCAGACTTGCACACTAAAATAAGATGAATTCCTAGTAAAACAGAAGATTTAAATAGAATCTGAAGTCTCATATGCCTAGGATATAATAGAAAATTACTCATCATACCCCAAAAAACGGAAAATTACAACCTGAAAAAACAACAGAGGTCAAAATGCAAATTATTTAGATATTGCAATGATCTGGCAAATATTATGAAGCAGAATTTATAAAAATGCTCCAATGATCAATTATAAATATTGTTGGAACTAATGGAAAAAATATATAATCTTGGCAAAGGAGCAAAAGAAATAAAATAGAGCCAAATATAATATAATTTACAGAATTAAAAAGTACATTAACTGAGATAAAAATTCACTACATTAGCTCAACAGTAGATTAAAAAGAAAAGAGAAAAGAATCAAGAAACTTGAAGAAAGAATAATAGAATTTATCCATTATGAACAAGAGATAAAAAGTAGACTGGAAAAAAATGAAATTAGCCTTAGAGTCCTGTGGTGCAATAGCAAAAGATCTAACATCAAAGTTCCAGAATAAGAGGTAGAGACAATACCAGTAGACCATACTAAGTTATAGAGGTATATTGTCACACTTAGAACAACTACTAAGATAAACAAAGTAATATATAGAAAGGTACTGTAAGTAAATCAAGATAGAATTTTAAAAGTATTCAATTAAGAAAAGAGAAATATCAGAAGGAGGAACAGAAGAAATATATTGAGAATTTGTGACTTGTTACCTTAGTTGGCAAGAGTCTTTGCATATGTGATTAGGTTAAGGATCTTGATGTGGAGAGATTATTCTAGATTATCTAGATGGGCCTTAAATTAAATTACAAGAAATATTATAAAACACAATAAAACGGTAAGGGGTAAAATCTCAGGCCTGGTAGAATGAGAAACTTGGTTAACTTGCTCTCCCTCTAAAACACTGTAAACACGGTCATGCATCAGTCAATGACAGGGATACATCATAGAGTGTACTTACAGGAACCTAGGTGGTATATCCTACTACACACCTAGGGTATATTGTATAGCCAATTGCTCCTAGGCTACAAAACCTGTATACATGTTACCGTCCTGAATACCGCAGGCAATTGTAAAACAAGAGTAAGTATTTGTGTATCTAAATATATCTATACTCAGAAAAGTTGCAGTAAAAATGTGGCATGAAAAATTAAAAAATGTAACACCTGTATGGTGCACATACCATCAATGGAGTTTGCAGGACTGAAAGTTGCTTGGGGTGTGTATTAGTCAGGGCTCTCTTAGAGGGACAGAACTAATAGGATAGGATAGATAGATATGATATGATATATATGTCATATATATCTATATATGATGTGATATATAGAGAGATATATTATATATATGATATGATATATAGCTATATCTGTAATATATGATATATCATATATATGGGAATTTATTAAGTATTAACTTGCAGGGTCACAAGATCCCACAATAGGCTGTATGCAAGCTGAGGAGCAAGGAGAGCCAGTCCGAGTCCCAAAACTGAAGAACATGGAGTTCGAGGACAGAAAGCATCCAGCATGGGTGAAAGATGTAGGCTGGGAGGCTAGGCCAGTCTCCCCTTTTCTCATTTTTCTGCCTGCTTTATATTCTATGGCAGTTGATTAGATTCTGCCTGCCAGATTAAGGGTGGATCTGTCTTCCCCAGCCCACTGACTCAAATGTTAATCTCTTTTGGCAACACCCACACAGACACACCCAGGATTAATACTTTGTATCTCTCAATCCAATCAAGTTGACACTCATTATTAATCATCACAGGGTGAGTCAGTGAATTACTCATGAGTTAATGTGAAGGCCCAGGATATTACTGTATACTACTGTGGACTGTAAAAACACTGTACACTTAGGCTACATTAAATTTATTTTAAAAATATTTTTCTTTCTTCAATGATCAATTAAATTTAACTTTCTCTAATGTTTTTACTTTATAAACTTTTAAATTTGTTAACCTTTGTTTTTAAATAACACTTAAAACATAAACACATTGCACGGCTGCACAAAAATATTTTCTTTTTTGTATCCTTATTCTGTAAGCTTTCATCTATTTTTATTTATTTGTTTGTTTGTTTATTTTAAGAGACAGGGTTTCACTATATTGCCTAGGCTGGCCTCAAACTCCTGGGCTCAAGATACCTTCCAGCCTCAGCCTCCCAAATAGCTGGGACTACAGGTGCATGCCACCATACTTAGCTTTCAATTTTAAATTTATTTATTTACTTACTTTTAAAACTTTTTGTGTAAAAACTAAGCCACAAACACACACATGAGGCTAGGCCTACACAAGGTCAGGTTCATCAGTGTCATTGTCTTCCAACTCTACATCTTGTCCCCCTGGAAGGTCTTCAGGGGGCAATAACATGCATAGAGCTGTCATCTCCTATGATAACAATGCCTTCTTCTGAAATACCTTGTGAAGGACATGCCTGAGCGTTCTTCTTCAGGATATATCACTATTGTCAGAAATATGCCCATGGTTAGTTGTTTGGTTTATTTCATTGTTACATCACAGATGTGCTTAATGCACCATAAGCATTCCTCTCTATTAATGAAAACCTTTTGTTGTTGGGGGTCCGTATAACCTTTTAAAAAATCTTGCTGAGGTCTTCAAAGGCTTCTGCTAAACCCTTCACTCCAATTTTCTTGGGGGTTCTTCATCATTTTTGTATTATTGCTTTCAATGAAGCAGATCCTCTAATAGCTTCCATCAGTTTCTTCTTGTTCTTCAAGATCATAGATCATGGTGGAATGGGATATGTGTGACTGGCAATAACTATCACTGAGTTTTCATCTTTGGAGTTTTTAATCACTTCTATTTGTTTATTTATTTTTGAGATGGAGTTTCGCTCTTGTCACCCAGGCTGGAGTTCAATGGAGCGAACTTGGCTCACTGCAACTTCCGCCTCCTGGGTTCAAGCAATTCTCCTGCCTCAGCCTCCTGAGTAGCTAGGATTACCGGTGTGCGTCACCGTGCCTGGTTAATTTTGTATTTTTAGTAAAGATGGGGTTTCACCATGTTGACCAGGCTGGTCTTGAACTCCTGACCTCAGTTGATCTGCCCACCTTGGCCTCCCGAAGTGCTGGGATTACAGGCGCGAGCCACTGTGCCCGGCCCTTAATCACTTTTAATTTTGCTTCCAGGTCAAGCTGTCAACCGTGGCTCTTACTGGCAACATTAGCAGTGGATTTTCGACACTTAAGGGCCATGATGAACAAAATAACAAGAGATGTAAATCAAGCACAATAGAAAATGATGCAATTAAGAGACTCAGTAAACGTAAGATGTAAGAAGTTGCTGCCTGCATAGTATACTTTTTTAATAAGTAAAAGAAGTACACTCTAAAATTACAGTAAAAGTATATTAAATACATAAACCAGTAACTAATTGTTTTTATTATTATCAAGTATTATGTACTGCACATAATAGTATGTGCTATCATTTTAATATGACTGGCTGCACAGTAGGTTTGTTTACACTAGCATCACCACAAACACCTGAGTAATGCATTGCACTATGATATTAGGATGGCTACAATGTCACTGAGCAATAGGGATTTTTGAGCTTCATTATAATGTTATGTGACCACTGTTGTATATGTGATCTGTTGTTGACCAAAACATCATTATGCAGTACAAGACTGTACAACTAAAGCAACCTAATAAACAACTATTTTATTGCAAAACCAATGAAAATAAACCATTTCCACAGAACAACCCAAAAAATTGTCTATAAAAGAGAAACTATTGAACCGCAATAAGACAACAGAGGCCGTAACATTTTTACTTGAGGTTATTTCCACCCTCCCCCTCCAGTTCGGTGGTGCAGGAGTCAAAACTGAATGGTATTTCCAACAATGGAGAGCTCTAACTACTTTTGGAGTTCTGTTAGTGCACAATCCCCAGAGAACAGTCAATAATTTATCTGAACTTACAGCTCCCTTAGAAATCTCTGTTCTCAGAGTAGGGTGGGTATTTGACTCACAGCTCAGCTTAGAGAGAAAAAAAATGCTATGCCTAACCTACGACATTACAAAAAAAAAAAAAATTCATAAACTGCTGGCAACATCTCAGCTATCTAAGGCTGTGATATCGATTGAGGCAAATAAGTACCTGAATGAGAATTGAAAAGCTAATCCTGGAGAATTAAATGACCATAGGAAAAGCTCCAAAAGATTCCAAGGGATTTAAAATGATGCGTGTATGTATGACAATATGGACATGCCCAGAAGAGGACAAAACACAAGTCACTCAACTCTGACTGACCTTGCCACCCTGTAAAAGCAGGAAGAGAAAGGTAAAGCCTTTTTGAAAGCTCCCTAAAGTGTGAAGACATACTTTCTCACACAGATTCTCTTGACAAAGGGTAGAAGTCATTTGGGAAAGGCATTTAAGGAAATCTGGCCAATCACTGGCTGACCACTAAATTTACAATGACCCAGGTGTGATCACTAGGAATCCAGGCTTGAAATAAAAATTAGTACTTATAAAAAATCTGGCAGAAATCCCAGAGGCCATACACTAGAGAGAATATATAATTTAGAGAAATAGTCCAGGAGAGTGCTAAACAAATAAGTGTGAACAAAAAACAATAGCACAACCACAAGAGTAAAGCCAACAATCACAAATCTTGGGGATATAGGAATCAGATACCAGAGTTGACAAAATATATACTTAAAATTTTCATTTCTGAATGAAAAATTACAAGACAGGGAAAGAAACAAAAATATATCACATACTAATGGGTATAAAAAGACACTAGAAAATAGCACTAAGAGATAACTAGAGACAAAGGCTTTCGATCAGCTAATGCAACTATCTTCAAAGACTTCAGGAAATCACGTTTATAGAATTAAAGGAAAGTATGACAAATATCTCCTCAGAGAATATCAATAGAGAGAAATTATTTTAATACAATCAAATAAAGATTCGGGAGCTGGGAAATACAATAACTGAAATTAAAAATGGACTAGAGGAGCTCAACAACATATTTGAATGACAAAAGAAAGAATCAGCAAACCTACCTGATGAACAAAAAGAAACAAAAAGAGTAAAGAAAAAAAACCCAGGCTGGGCGCGGTGGCTCACGCCTGTAATCCCAGCACTTTGGGAGGCCGAGGTGGGCGGATCACGAGGTCAGGAGATCGAGACCATCCTGGCTAACACGGTGAAACCCCATCTCTACTAAAAATACAAAAAATTAGCCGGGCGAGGTGGCGGGCACCTGTAGTCCCAGCTACTCGGGAGGCTGAGGCAGGAGAATGGCGTGAACCCGGGAGGCGGAGCCTGCAGTGAGCCGAGATCGCGCCACTGCACTCCAACCTGGGCGACAGCGAGACTCCGTCTCAAAAAAAAAAAAAAAAAACCCAGCACATCAGAAACCAGTGGGACACCATCAAGAATACCAACATATGCATAATGGACACACAGAAGGAGAAAATAAAGGGGCCAATTAAGTATTTGAAGAAATAATGGCTGAAATCTTGCTAAGTCTGATGAAAAACACTAATCTACTGGTCCAAATAGCCCAGGAAATTCAAAATAGTATAAACTGAAAGAGAACCACATCAAGACATACCACAGTCAAATTGAAAAAGTCAAAGACAGGGAGAAAAATCTTGAATGCAGCAAAGGACAATAATTTAACAGAAACAAGTTTTTTCAATAAGATTGGCAGCTGACTTCTCATTAGAAATCTTGAACAACATAAGACTATTGTGGGGTGATATCTTCAAAGAATTGAAAGAAAATGACTATCTCTCCAGAATTATAGAAAATCTCCTCCTAGAAAATCTCCTTTATAAAATCTTGTTCAAAAACGAAGGTGAAATTAAGATGTTGTTAGCATATCAGACTTACAGGAAATACTAGAGATAATCCTTCAGACTGATGTGCAAGGATCATCCACATCAGCCTGATTTCCTTGGCTTCTGGTGAGTACCTCAGGTTGCTTCTACTCCTGGCAGCGAGATACATATCTGACTTCTAACATACAGAGATCGCTTGGTGATAGAAGAAGCAAGAGAGGGGAAAGGTGCAAGGCTTTTTTTCTCAAGCCGCTCTGGGCTGGGGAGAATGGGTGGGGAGTAGGGAGGGTAGGAGTATGATCTCATGGGAGCTAATAGAATGAGAACTTGCTTATTATCACAAGTACAAGGATGATAGCATCAAGCCATTCATGAGGGATCCACCCCCATGACCTAAACACCTCTCACTAAGCTCCCTCTCCAACACTGGGGATCAAATTCTAACATCAGGTTTGGAGAGCCAAATATGCAAACTATAGTAATTGCTTACACACAAAAATCTATGATAGGGAAATGAATAGAGACAGGAAAGATTAGTAATTGCTTAGGGCTGGCGAAGGAAAAGTAAGATGGAGGGTGCTAGAAAAAGGGTATGTGCTTTCTTTGTGAGGTGATAAAAATGTTCTAAAATTCACTTTGGTAATAGCTGTACATATCTGTGGATATACCAAACCCAACTTGAAATGTACACTTTAAATGAGTAAATGGTATGGTATGTAAATTGTATCTCAATAAATGTGTTAAAAATCAAATTTAAATTAAAAAAAAAAAACAGTAAGTCCTGATTTGAAGACATCTGTATTAGTTTCCTTTTGCTGCTGCCCCAAAATTGTACCACAAATTTAGTGTCATAATACAATACAAATTTATTATCCTGCATTTCTGGATGTTAGAAGTCAGATATGTGTATCCCTGGGCTAAAATCAAGTTAACGACAGGGCTCTGTTGCTTTTGGATTCTTCAAGAGAAAACCAATATCCTTGTCTTTTCCAGCTTCCAGAAACTGTCTGTATTCCTTTGCTCATGGCGTCTTCCTCCACCTTTAAAGCCAGCAATCTCATCATCTTGACCTCTACTTCTATAATCACATCTCCTTCTGTGACTCTTGCCTCCGTCTTACATTTTTAAAGGCATCTTGTGAATGAATTAACATTAGCCACCCCCCACCTCCAGATAATCCTAGATCATCTCCCATCTCAACATCATTAACCTGATCCCATATCCAAAGTTCCTTTTACCACATAGGATAACAAATTCACAGATTTCTGGGATTCACAGAATAGTGCCCTCTACCCACCCCACCAAAAAATGTGGACACTATTCTGCCTACTGCATCTTCTAAATATACCCTTAGTAATTTAATTTATCACCTTATATATAAGCCATTTAATTATTAGAGGCCATCTTCAAAAGGAAAGAAAATGCTTTTATTTGTTTGTTTTGGAGCACTCCTTATTCAGCCATTCATTTTTGACAACAATTAAACAAAAGGCCCAGTTGTCTATCAAGACCTATCAAGAATAATATAAGTGATTTTTATTTCCTAGGTTTTTAAATCCGTTTCTTCCTTAATTAAGCAAGTATTCTTTATATAATTTCTAATATTAATATAAAGGAAGAGAGTGAGAGAAAGGAACAGTTTCAGTCAACCTTAATTCTCAAAGCAGGATTAAAGTGCAAGTTTTATATCAGCATCAAGCCACTAGGGGTCTGTATTGATGTCATATAGTTCAGCCTATCACTAGTTCTTTTGTCCAGTCAAACAAAAGCTGCAGTCTTATGTGGTTACTAATAGATTCCTTGGAAATGGTAAATAGAGGAACTCCAACTGGATATTAAGACCTATTGATTTTACCTCCTGGAAATCTCTCTATGGCATCCACATCTGTCCTTCAGTAATGCCAACACTATAATCCAGGTCACCCTCCTCTTTTACCAGAATTATTGTGAAAACTTCTTAATTGGTCTCTTTTGAAATAGGCTGAATAAGAAGAGCTATCATTTATGGAGCAATTGCTATGAGTCAGAAACTCTACTAAGTGCTTTGTATTTATCAGCTTCTATAATCTCCATCACAACCCTATGAGATTGATGCTATACCCATCAGCATTTGACCAGTGAGGAATCTGAAGATTTGAAAGAGATGTAGTTACTCTATGTAAACTGTGGAGCAGCAATTATCCAAAGCCAAAATACATGCTCTTTAACCCTATGTTACAGCCCCATAATCCCAACTCCCCCTCCACCTTGCCTTGCAATCCACACTGTAGCTGGAGTGATGTTTCTAAACTACCAGCCTTCTTAACTCTTTGCTTAGATGTTTCCAGAAGTGCATCATTAACCTCAGTGTAAAATCCAAAGCCCTTAACATAGCACTCAAGGCCGGATATTACCCATTCCCTGCCTACATGTCAATCCTCCTCTGATTTATCTCCCTATATCACACAATCAGAACTCCTCTTGCTGAACACATTGGGTTCCTTAATGTGCCTATGCTTCTTGACTCCACATCTTTGTTCATGTTGTTCTTGCTGTTGCATGTAATTCACTCTCCTATTCTGCCCCCTCCACACATACCACTCTTACTTCAAGACTTAGGTCAAGTTACAATTCCTTTCCCAGATACCCAGGCAAAGTTATGCACTTCATTATCCACAAAATTTAGTCAATCTCCTATGCTAAGATGTGCTTTTTGTAGTAGGCTTCGTTTACCTTTTAGTCACCTCCACTAGACTAGAAGGACCTGCAGGGCAGAGATTGTTCTACTCACATTTATGTCAACAGTATATTGTATGATGCCTGACACATGGTCAGCATATAAGCATGCACTCTCAAAAAGTATGTCATCTAAGAGTAACTGGTTTAGGATACATGGACATCTATAGATATAACCAAGCTTAAAATCTATATACAACTTCAAATAACAAACATTCTAAGAATGATATTTTAACCTTCTCATCCCTTCATTTGTGTGTATGCAAATGTGGTAGAAAGCCTCTATGATGAACCCCAATATGCTCCACCTCCTAGTATTCTGGTCCTGTGTCATTATGTCCCCTTGACTGTGGAGTGGGCCTACACTGAGATGCTTCTAAGGAAAAGAAATAATGGGATTTCACTTCCAAGATTAGGTTATATAAAAATAAAATACAAATTCTAGCTTGGGTTCTTCCATTCTCTCTTCTCTCTTCCTTTTCTTTTCTCTCTCTCTGAATTAAAGAGCCATTTGTGAGCAGCCCAACGGAACTGATATCTTCAGCCAACAGCCACATGAGTGAGCCTGAAAGTGGATAATCTCCCTGTCAAGCCTTTAGGTAACTGCAGCCCCAGTTCACACCTTGATTGAAGACTTGCAAAAGACCCTGTGCCAGAACCACTCAGCTAAGCTTCTCCCAAATTCTTCATTTACCAAAGTTTTAAATAAAAATGTTTATTATTGTTTTCAGCCACTAAATTTTGAGGCAACTTGTTTTGCAATGTTATAACTAATAGAGCAGGTATGAAACCCGAGGACCATCTCTCACAATCTGTGGGAAATGGTAAATAGAGGAACTTCAATTGGATACTAAGACCTATTGATTTTAACTGTGGGAAGGAGACTGAGGAAATAAGAAAAAATGGAGTGGAGTAGTCAGGAAAAAAAAGTAGGTAGGGCAATTTAGAAGTGCCAGGTAGAAGCCTTTGCCTTTGAAATCTTCTTGAATAATAATTTATTTTGAGACAGTTTTTAAATT
Source organism: Homo sapiens (assembly GCF_000001405.40). Taxonomy (NCBI): domain Eukaryota; kingdom Metazoa; phylum Chordata; class Mammalia; order Primates; family Hominidae; genus Homo; species Homo sapiens. The sequence continues at coordinate 93,593,618 of NC_000023.11, forward strand.
CTAACAAGTAGATATTAATTCATTTGCTCTCTTTTAAAATACAAAGTTTCTCTGGGGGAGCTATCATCTATTTAACCTCCTGGAAGGAGTGATCTGACTAAATAGTAAAATGAGCTCTAAAATGTGACTCAGTATGAAGATAGAGTGGAGAGAGGAGGAGAGAATTTGGAAGCATGAAGAGATTTGGCCTGGATGAATGATATCATTGAAAAGTTTGGGCAACAAAAGGGGAATCAGCTAAACGGGGGATGAAGGGAGAGAGCACCAAGTGATGGTAGAGACACTTTTTTCACTGTACGTATGCACAACAGAAGGTCGTTTTGATATACCCCATTTTCTAATGTCTCCAGAATAAGTTTTCCTTTGATTATGAGCAACATAAAGAAGTGAGCTATTTTATGCATTCATGACATTGGTTTGTGTAAGAGTCAGTTTTTAAAACTAGTTTGAGTTAAGAGCTCTTGATTCACATACAAAAGAATTCCTAGAAGGGGCTAAGATTCTCTCTATGACAGTTATTTTTCCCTTATGTTCGTAAAGATTCTAAACTCCATATGGCTTGCAATCTGATTCATAGGATGAAAAAAAATCGGATAGGACCAATTTTGTCTCCATTTTTAATCATATATTCAACTTTATTCTAAGCCAAAGAATAAACTCATATTGGTAAGAAAATGAGCATCTTAATTTACTACTTTTTTACTGGGGTGGTGGCACTATCTTATGCCACATCTCTATAAGTAGAACTGCTGTATTAAAATTTACATTTGGATTTCCAACAAACAACAAAACTATAATCATCTGTTAAATTATTTAAAATAAATAACGAAATAACATTCATTAGGAGAAACGCACTCACCTAGAGAAGGGCTAAATACTTTGAAGCTGATCATCCAAAGTATTGACAGGAGACAAACAGTTCTGTGATGGATATATTCTTGTTGACCTTGTAATGTGACTGTCACTAAGCCTCCAAATGTAAATATGCTCTTCTTTACTCTTTTTCTGAACAGACAGAAACTAATTTGTCAGCATGTCAGCTTTAACTAGCCTAGATGAAGCTAAGCTAATTTAATAGAAACTGTTCAATAGCTTTGACCGACCTGACAGTGTCAGTTAAAGTGGCTCTACGCCCCACTGTCTTTCATTATTCTCAATTCTTTCATTAGAATGCTTGAATACCAAGTAAAATAATATGCTGAGTAGCCAATAGGCCCTACGTTTTTCTCAAGGACATTCTTTTGGTATCAAAAACTGTCAAGTGGGAAAACATGTACTGTGAAGGTGAGAGGACACTAATTAAATATACATAGCTCTAGCCAAAGAAGCATGAGGCACAGCTTGCAGAATGAAAACACTGCCTGCTTGACTGAGGTCACAGCTGTTTACTGGCCTCAGTTCCTAAGCTGCAGTTTTCTCTGGGATATCATTTAACATTCTTGTATTTAGATTAGGCACAGGCCATCTTCAAGGAATGCTGCACAGTGCCAAGTGCAAATATTCTTGTTCAGTTAAGCGTATTTTATCCTTAGGTCACTGAACTTCTCTACCTCTTTAGATTCATGTACTGTTTTTGAAGTATTAGAAGTTATTCTGACCCATGCTAGATATGTAATGAGAGCAAGAAATAAACTTTGGTTGGGTAAGCCAGAAAATAAAATAAAGGTTGTTCTTTGGCAGTGCTTATAGGGAGGGATAATCCTCCTTATCCATGGGTTCAGCATCTTTGTATTCAACAAACCATGGATCGAAAATACTGTTAAAAAAAAAAAAATCCACAAAGTTCCAAAAAGCAAAACTTGAATTTGCTGCACACCAAGTACTATGTTGAATTCATGCAAATGAAGTGATGTGTAGGAATTATATTAGGTATTACACGTAATCTAGAGATGATTTAAAGTATATGGGAGGATGCACATAGGTTATATGCAAATACTCCACTATTGTATATAAGGGACTTGAGCATTTGTGGATTTTGGTAACCAAAGCAGGGGCCTAGAATTAATCCCTTACAGATACTAAGACATGATTTTGTAATGTAGTGATGCTCTAGAGTCGAGCAAACTTCTTTTGAAACCCTAATAATATTTAATCATGGGAATGTCTATGCCTCAGTTTCCCCATTTTTAACAGGCTAATGGTAATAAGTTACCTTACCTCAGAATTATTGTGAAAACTAAAAGAGAAAATACATGTAAAACTTTTAGCACAATGCCTGGCACGTAGCATGTTCTCTAAAAGCTGTAACTACTAGTATAGGTTGGAATTTAAGAAACAACACTTTGAAACAGGACAGTCTAGATGGCCCTTCCTCTTTCTTAATTAAATCTACCTTTCGCCTCTGCCTTAAACACTCCACCTTTGGTGTGACTGACCTAAAAACAGTTGGTTTGATCATCTTTAAGCATCACAAGACCAGTGGCTTTTTTCAACCTAAAATAGCTCCTAAAATTTGACCATTTTAGAGGCATAGTAATCTGATTTCATTAAGTCTATTACAGAAGAGTGACTTATAGGTGAAAATAAGATATGTCTATGCTAGACATTTTGATTATATTTATACTCTGATTCTCAAGGAACAAAATGTCTTTAAAATAAGCTCTGTATTTAAGAAACAATACAAATTATCAAACACAAAATTCATTTCTGTGCTCTGGAAGCCAAGCATAGCCAAAACACTATTGTATAGATTATGTTTGTCCATTTCCAATTCAGGGTAAACAACACCAACTGTAAGTCAAATAAAGCCAACACTTCCAAGTCCTCTTCCCTAAACTCCCAAATGCACACTGGATATTTTACAAACCATTTGCCTATTATTTAATATATCCAAATATAAACCCTTGTATTTGTGAGGTCAACATACACTGCTATGTTATTTATAAAGTTGATCCCTGGTAAAGACATTCTGGTTGAAGAAGCATATCATAAGAATGTGATGCTTTGACTAACAAAAGTGGCAGATATAATTTTTCATAAAGGATTACTCCAGTTTACTTTAGACAAGTGGTGAACATTTACTCTCTTCTCTGATTCTTGAATTAGGCTTTCTTTTTTTCCCAAAGTATCAATGGTTTTCTTATTTAAGAAGAATAAAGAGTTTTATCTGTATACTCTGAATTTTAAAATATTGCATACATTTTAAGAAATAAGAGTAAATAACCTAGAATATGCCACTCAGAACACTCAAAGATAAATGCTGTTAACATCTTAATCATTTACCTTCCATATTTTTTAAAGATACATTTACATGTAAAAATACATTCACAGAGAGTTTAAAAGAATGCGTTTATTCCATAAATATACATATTTTAACTTTTTTTTCAAATTAACAACAGACTTGAGACATCTTTTCATGACTGTACTCATAAAACTACATCATCACTTTAGCCCTTTACTTTTTCTTTTTTGAGACGGAATTTCGCTCTTGTTGCCCAGGCTGGAGTGCAATGGCGCAATCACGGCTCACCGCAACCTCCGCCTCCCGGGTTCAGGTGATTCTCCTGCCTCAGCCTCCTGAGTAGCTGTGATTACAGGCATGGACCTCCACGCCCGGCTATAGGCCTTTACTTAAAAAGATATGTGGAATACTAAAAAGCTGAACTCATAGTAGTAGGGAATAGAATGTGGTGGTTAACCAGAGACTGAGGGATGTAGAGGTGGTTGGGGCAAGGAAAGACATTGATCATAGGGAACAAAGTTTCCATTTTAAACAGGGGAATAAGTTCTGGTGATCTATTGCACAGCATGGTGACTACAGTTAAAAATAACGTATCGGCCAGGAGCAGTGGCTCGCGCCTGTAATCCTAACACTCTGGGAGGCCAAGACGGGCGGATCACCTGAGGTCAGGAGATCGAGACAAGCCTGGCCAACATGGTGAAACCCCGTCTCTACTAAAAATACAAAAAGTAGCCAGGATTATGCCTGTAATCACAGGTACTCGGGAGGCTGAGGCAGGAGAATCGCTGGAATCCAGGAAGCAGAGGTTGCAGTGAACTGAGACTGTGCCACTGCACTCCAGCCTGGGCAACAAAGCAAGACTCTGTCTCAAAAAAAAAAAAAAAAAAAAAATTATGTATCCTGTATTTCAAAATTTAATGAATTTTAAATATTCTCACCACAAAGAAATAATCAGTATGTGATGTGATGAATATGTTAATTAGCCTGATTTGATCTTTCCACAATGTATTCATGTACCATAAGTATGTAAAAGTATTATTTGTCAATTAAAAATTAATTTTAAATAAATAAATTAGAGAACATGTAAAAACTGCTTCTTATTTTCAAGACTATTGTTTCAAAATATTCTCCTCCTAAATTTCTGATGTAATTTCTACTTTCTGTATTTTAGATAGTTCACATCTCCTTTACTTTTATACTCTAACACTTTGGCTATGGCTAAGGTTTTATAAATCAATACCCAAATATAGGCAGAACCTGAAACTGATTTAAACATCAGTAAAAAAAATTAAAAACTTCTCTGTCATGTATTAAAAGAGCTAATTAGATTTTACTATGTAGCAAGTACCATGCCAAAGTTTTTCACAGATTAATTCGTTTAATCTTTTCAACAGTCATGTAAGGTAAGTAGTATCCTCATTTAACAGATGAGGAATCAGAGTTTAAACAACTTGCCAGCAGCCAGATGGCTAGGAAGTTGTGGAGCCAGAATTTAAACCAAAATAGCTTGAATTCAGAGCCCACATGCATAACAACTCTGCCTTAGTGCAAGAGATAGCTGCACAACAGTATGCAAATGAATGATATATGATCTGCAATATAAAACAATAAGTGGTAACTGAACATGGTGGTGCATACCTGTAGTCCCAGCTACTCAGGAGCCTGTGGTAGGAGAATCCCTTGAGCCCAAGGGTTCCAGGCTAGCCTGGGCAAAATAGCAAGACCCTGTCTCTAAGGAAATAATTTTTAAGAGTCAGTAAGTGGTATTGTGAAGTCCACTGTAGTGGAATTTCAAAGAAGATTCTGTAATGTGTTATAAAGAATAATAACGTATTAGATGCAAGTTTTCTGAAGAAGAAACAGTACCTGTCTCATTCCTACTTTGCCCTCATAGTAATGCACCGTTTCTGCTCATGTGTGAGTTTCCAAGTTACAGGTTGTTTTTTGGTTTGTTTTGCAAGAACAACTAATAGCTGCCAGCTTCTCGACTTATCAACATTGTATATTTTAGGTATCTTGGTTGGCATATAGCAAGCTTAAGAAAGGGGAAGAAAAGGGGTTTATATATTTTGTGTTAATATCATAAGTGAAAATGCTGCTATATACACTGTACATTGAAATCTAAGCAGCTCAACAAGATTAGAGTACACAAATAGTTTTAATCATCCACTTTTAATTTCACTAATAGTTCTCTTTATTTTACTGTAGCTGAAGTGAAATGCCCTATTATTTTTCACACTTGATAGCTAAAAGATAAAGAGACAAGGGAGGAGAAATTTCAATAAGATTTCAAGAAAATGCCTAAAAATTATGACCTCCAATACTTATATTAAATGTTCTAACCCCAGTACAAATGAACACTTTTTTTTCTGGATGAAATCTGATAGCCTCTAGCTATTACTAAAGCTTAGCGGATATTGGATGTATCAAGCATGTCACTGAGATCTGTGAATAACAAAAACAGGATTCAGATATAGAAACATTAATAAAAAAGCCTATAGCAAGATTTTTCTTAAAAAAAAGATAGATGGTATAATTATAAATAAAAAATGAAATATGGGCACAGTTAAAGAAGATATTAGAAAGGTTTTTCAAAAACCTTATGTCAGTAAACTTGAAAAGTTAGATGAAATGAAAAACTTCCTGGAAATATATAAATTACCAAAACTGACTCAAGAAGAAATAAAAGTATGTGAAGATTTAAATTAGTGTGACAGAAATTAAAGCAGTTACTTAAAAACTTCACACAAATTAAGCACCAGGCCCAGATAAAATTTACAAGCAAAACGTTCAAGGAACTTTTCAATATTATGCAAACTCTTCCAAAAAAATAGAATAAGAAGAAATTTTACACAACGTATTATGTGAGGCTGGTATAATCATGACAATAAATTCAAAGAAGGATAGGAAGAGAAAACACAATTATAGGTGATTTCAATTATGACTACAGATGCTATAATCCTAAACAAAAAGATAACTAAATCTTACAGTGTATGAAAAAGAAAACACACCATGACCAAACAAGATAATATATAATATTATACGTAATAATTAGATGATAAACAGTAGTTTCCAATAGCACAAAAATATGCAATAGTTAGGTAAACGTCTAACAAAATACATGCAATAGCTACATGTTAAAAAACACAAAACACTGATGAAACAATCAAAAATACCTTAAAATTGTTCATATGTTGGAACATTCAATGTTTTCCAGATGTAAGTTCCCTAAAAATGATCTGTAATTGCAATGCGATTCTGATAAAATTGTCAGAAAAAATATTTATAGAAATCAACAAGCTTATTCTAAAATTGACATTGAATAGCAAAGGAATTAGAATAGCCAAAAAAAAAATTGAAATTCATTAAGTTGGAAATCTTTAACTGTCTTATTTCGAGACTACCATAAACTAAAGTAATCAAGATAGCATGGTGTTGATGAAAGGAAAAATATATAGATTAATGGAGCATAATAAAGATTCCAGAAATAGATTCACAGATAAATATCCAATTAATTTTTGACCAAGGTGCAACAAATAGTGTTTGAATTATTGGAAAGCCATATCCCAAACAATGACCCTTGATTCATACATCCCACTACATACAAAATTTAAGTCTAAATAGACAACAAACCTAAATATAAAACCTAAATTATAAAACATTTAGCTGAAAATATAAGGGAAATTCTTCATGATCTCGAGTTAGGCAAAGATTTCTTAGATATGACACCAAAAGCAAAATCTATAAAAGTAATGGATACACTGGATTTCATCAATATTTGAACTTTTTTCCTGTATCGAGGTAAAAATAATAAATAAATAAATAAATAAACAAACAGAAAAACAAATAAGTAAAAGATTTTAAAACTTCCACTCTTTGAAACAGAATGAAAAGATAATACAGACTAAGATAGCAAATTTGAAGAACGCATAACTGATAAATGACTGATACCTAAAATAGATAAAGGAATTTAAAAATTAAAAAAAGTATAAAATATAAAGGTGAATGAAAAGTGGGCAAAATATTTGAACAGATACTTCAGCAAAGAAGATAAATAAACATCAAATAAGCACATTGCTTTACTTTGGTTTTACCTCTCCAAATCTCATGCTATAATTTGATCTCTGATGTTGCAGGTGGAGACTAATGGAAGCTGTTTCGGTCATGGGGGAAGATCTCTCATTAATGGCTTTGTTCAGTCCTTTAGGTAATGAGTGAGTTTCCACTCTACTAGTTCCCTCAAGAGCTACTTGATAAAAAGAGCCTGATATCTCCCTTCCCTCTCTCTCTTGCTTTCTCTTGGATGTGATCTCTGCCCATGTGGGCTCCTCTTCCTCTTCTGCCATGAGTGGAAGCAGCCTGAGGCTCTCAGCAGATGCATATGTTGGTGCCGTGATTTTATACAGTCTAAAGAACTATGAGCCAAATAATTTTTTTTCTTTTTAAATACCCAATCTTAGATATTCCTTTATAATAACACAAATAGGACTAAGACAGACACGAAAAAAAAAAGTTCAAAATTTTTAGTCATTAGAAAGAAGCAAATTAGGCCGGGCGTGGTGGCTCACGCCTGTAATCCCAGCACTTTGAGAGGCCGAGGCGCGCAGATCACAAGATCATGAGATCGGGACCATCCTGGCTAACACGGTGAAACCCCGTCTCTACCAAAAATACAAAAAAATTAGCTGGGCGTGGTGGTGGGCGCCTGTAGTCCCAGCTACTCGGGAGGCTGAGGCAGGAGAATGGCACGAACCCGGGAGGCGGAGCTTGCAGTGAGCCAAGATAGCGCCACTGCACTCCAGCCTGGGTGACAGAGCGAGACTCCATCTCAAAAAAAAAAAAAAAAAGCAAGTGCTAGTAAGTATTTAGAGCATCTGGAATTCTGTCAAAGATAAAGCATTGAAACTAGGTTTTATTCAGCAAGTAATGGAGACTGGGGGAAAGAGTTGACCTCTCTAAATTTTTCCAGAGGTGACTGGCCTTTTAAAGGAACAATGAGGCAGTAGGGATGGGAGGGAGATCAGGGTTGATGTGAAAAATAACCAGGGGTTGTTCTGGGTAAATGTGATTTGGCCAGCTGTGTCTGCTAACTGGCAGTTATGGAAGTCAGGATTCTATCCTCCCATAGAAACTGAGAGAGAGAAGCTCCATCTTTCCTGATGATTACATTTCAAACGAATGGCTTTCAGATCCTTGATAAAGACCTTCTAGAGTCTTAGAAGATACATATACATCTCAAAGGGACAGAGAAAGGATTCACAATTTTAAGTCCTTTTCAGCAAATGTTCTAAGAAAGGGAGGTCAAGGGCATATCATCAACTGTTGGCTAAAAAAACCAGAACATTCTGAGCTTTCTCAGGCAGGAATTTTAATGTGGGGCTGGGGTCATCTTAAGGACACAACTTTGCACTGCTAGAAGACATGCTAGAAAGCTGGTCATCACTTAGTGCAGAAGTTTGGATGAAGTCACGTGCCCTGAGTTAGTGCAAAATACAGTCTCTTTGGAAAACAGTTTAACACTTTCTTTTACAAAGTTGAAACATGCACTGTTAGTTGGGCATGGTGGTGCATGCTTGTAATCCCAGCTACTCAAGCGGCTGAGGTGGAAGGATAGCTTGAGCCTCAGAGATCTAGGCTGCAGCGAGCTGTGATTGTGCCACTGCACTCCAACCTGGGCAACAGAATAAGACCTTGTCTTTAAAAAAGTGAAATATACACTTACCATACAACCCTGCAATCCTACTCCTAAGTATTTACCAAAGAGATATAAAACATATTTTTATAAAAAAACCTACATGTGAATATTTTAATGGCTTTATTCTAGCCCAACACTAGAAACAATTGGTAAATGAATGAGTATGATGTGTGGTACATCCAAACAATGGAATACTACTCAGCAAGAAAAATGAACACACTACCGAGGCACACAACAATGTAAACAGACCTCAGATGCATGTTGCTAAGTGAAAGAAACCTGACTTAAAAGGCTACTATATGATTTCATTTAAATCATATTTTTAAAAATGCAAAATGATAGGCTTCTGGTTGCCAGAAGCAAGAGTTAATTGTAAAGGGGCATATAAGGGAATTTTGGAGGGTGATTGAACTCTCTTATATCTTAATTTTGGTAGTGTTTTTGAAAACTCATAAAATCATATATTTTTCATAAGGGTGGATTTTAATTGGTGTCATTTATGCCTCCATAACCCTGACTGAAAAAAGGGTGAATTTACAAATGTTAATTCTACGTTTGTATACATGCACAAACAACTAGAAAGTACAATTTTCTTAAAAGGCAATACTTACAATAGCAACATAAACTATAAAGTACTTGCCAGTAAATCTCACAAAATATGTGCATGGCCTAAATAAAAAAAAGTATTAAAAAGCATTGAAATATATTACATAAGACAGATAAATGGAGAAATATCACATCTTCATTAATTAGAAGACATCCTTGTAGGTATGTCTGTTCTCTCCAAATTTATCTATAATTGAATTTTAATGCAACTCTATTCAAAACCCTAGCAGGGTTTTCCTCTAGAACTTAATAAGCTTACTAAAATTTAAATACAAATAGAAAGAGTAAGAATAGAGATAATACCATACCAGATGTTAGGTATAATTATGATGCTATAATAATCAGGACACTGTGGTATTACCACTGGAAAAGAAAATTTTCCAAAGGAATATAATAGAGATCCAAAAACAGACCCATGCATGCATGGAATGGTGATTTATGACACAGGTAGTGTTTAAAGATAAATTTAGGTGGCCAGGCATGGTGGCTCAGGCCTGTAATCCCAGCACTTTGGGAGGCCGAGATGGGCGGATCACAAGGTCAAGAGATCAAGACCATCCTGGCCAACGTGGTGAAACCCCGTCTCTACTAAAAATCCAAAAATTATCTGGGCATGGTGGCGTGTGCCTGTAGTCCCACCTACTCAGGATGCTGAGGCAGGAGAATCACTTGAACCCAGGAGGCAGAGGTTGCAATGAGCCAAGGTCATGCCACTGTACTCCAGCCTGGTGACAAAGTGAGACTCCATCTCAAAACAAAAACAAAACAAAACAAACAAACAAAAAGATAAATTTGGGCATTTTTAAATGCTAAAGAGTTTATTTGAGCAGACAGAGATTCATGAATTGGGCAGCACCAGACCACAAGCAGTTGGGGCTCCACCAAAGAGGTACGAGGGAAAAACTTTCAAAAGGTAGTCTACAAAATAAGATTTTAAAATATATATATTTGATTATTTAAAGTGAGACCATAGCCTTAAAATCCCAAGTGAGAGGTTAGTTTATGATTGGTTAAGCTTAAGTTTTCTTGCCTTAGGCTATGACCACCTACGCTGAGATGAGCACTTATTTCCTTACATATAAACCAAGAGTACTGGAGCCACCTCAGCCTAGTCATCTCCCAATTAATTTTTTTAAACAGTTGCATAGAAGATCAGTGGGGAAAAAGAAACCATTCAATAAATGGATCTGAAAAAGACTTATCCATGTGGAAAAAATGAAATTGCATTCTGTCCTCATTCTATAAATAAAAATAAATTCCAAATGTATTTCATATGTCATTATCAAAAGCAAAATTTTAAAACTTTTAGCAGAAAATATGAGTAAAGAACTTGGTCTTTTAACCTCAAGCATGTCTTATACATTGCTCAAGAGAGTATAAATAAGTATACATGTAGAAAAAGATCAATATTACCTTGTAAGTTTAAAATTCACATACCAAACAATGCAGCAATTCCATATATACACATTTATAGGTTCACACATATTATACAACAGCAACATTTCATAACTAGTGGTATTTGAGGAGGTTCATTTAATTATTGTTAATTTTAAAAATAAAATTTCATTAAAATATTGCCCTTAAAAATTGAACAGCTGAAGACTCCATGTCAATACGGAGTAAGCATATGTGGCAGTTAGAGGAGAACAGATAAGCATATTCATCATGTCCACAACCCAGATTATCAAATAGTTTATCATACATTTGAGCAATTCTTGCTTTGGCAATGGTTTTGGATATTGTTTTATTTTAATTTTTTTTTATTCTTAGCCACATTGTTTTCAAAATGTGAACTTATATTGGCCAATACTTACATACATGTAGCATAAGAATCAGTAGTGTTCAAAGGCAAAAGGAATAAGGAGCATAATACTGACAATAGCTATGCAAATTTGCTTTGGGATCATCTCCATAAAACCATACATTGAAATAATCTAATCAAAATTCTTATTCAGCAGGTTAAGATACCTCTTTTTCAAACCCACTTTTTTTTTATTTGTTGGGAACAATAAAAATTTCACATTTCTAATTAATAATTTTGTAAAGAACCTCCTGCAAAAAACATCAGCCTCAATTCTGAGTTGGAACTTAAAGAATTTGGGCAGACTTAACATATCTCTGCCTTATCTTCCTTATTTTGACGATGAGAATAACAATAGTACTTACTTCATGAGGTTGTAAGGATTAGATAAGTTATTACATGCAAAGTACTTGGAAGAGTGCCTGGGAATAATTTATATTAGCATTAGCTACTGTTAGTATTATCTCATTATTTTGACATATAAAAAGAAAATTATAAAAAATAAAACAGTCAAATTTTTAAGACCAACATGTAAGAGTTCTATACATTATTTGAAAAATCAGAGGGGTGGAGCAAGATGGCGGAATATATGCCTACACCATTTGTCACTCTTACTGGTACACCAAATTTTAACAATTATATGCACAAAGAAAAGTACCGTCACAAGATCTGAAAATCAGGTGAGAAATCACAGTACTTGGTTTTCATTTCATATCATGGACATATGCATTGAGGAGAGCTGGAGAGACAGTCTTGGATTATCACGATGCCACCCCTTTCTAACCCCTGTCAGGAGCTATGCAGCACATAAAGATAATCTGTGCACTTTTGGGAGGCAGAGCACAGTGAATGGGGAACTTTACATTGAACTCAGTGCTGCTCCGTCACAGTGAAGAATAAGCTAAGCAATGCTGGGCTCAGCTAGCACCCAGGCATGGAGGGAGCATCTGGAACAGGCTTAGTCAGAGAGGAGTCACAATTCCAGTGGTAGGAACTAGAGTTTCTAGGAAAGTCTTGCCACCACAAGCTGAAGTGCTCTGGGGGTTCTAGGTAAACTTGAAAGGCAGTCTAGAACACAAGGATTGCAATTCTTATGCAACTCCTAGTACTAGGTTGGGCTTAGAACCAGTGAACTCGGATGGCATGTGATCTAGGGAGATGCCAGCTGGCATGGCTAAGGGAGGGCTTTACCACCCCTCTGCCAATCCCAGGAAGTACAGCTCGCAACAAGAAAAGTGAATCCTTTCTTCTGCTTAAGGAGAGGAGTGAAAAGAGTAAAGAGGACTTTGACTTGCATCTTGGATACCAGCTCAGCCACAACAGGATTGGGCATTGGGAAAAGTTGTGAGGACCTCATTTTAGGCCCTAACTCCTGAAAAACATTTTTAGACACAACCTGAGCAGAAAGGGAACCCACTGCCTTGAAGGGAAGAACCCATTCCTGGCAGGAATGGTTACCTGCTGAGTAAACAGCCTTTGAGTCCTGAATAACCAACAGCCCCAGGGAGTATGCAATGGGCCTTGGGCTCTGAGACATGTTGGCTTTTGGGGGGTACCTGGCATGTTCCAGGCTGTGGCGGCTATGGTGCAAGCTCCTTCTGTTTGAGAAAAGCAAAGAGAAAAGTAAAGGAGACTCTGTCTTGCACCTTAGGTACCACCTCGGGCACAGTGAGGTAGGACAACAACTAGGCTCTTGAAGTCCCCAAGTCCAGGCCTTGGCTCTTGGACAGCATTTCTGGACCTGCCTTGGGCCAGAGGGGAGTCCACTGCCCTAAAGCGTGAGTCCCAGTCCTGCAAGCATTCAACATAAGCTGATGGAAGAACTCTTGGTCTATAATCAAGCGTCAGTGGTGGTCTGGTAGAACACCCTGTGGACAGGTGGTGGTGGTGGCCATAGGGAGAGGCCTGCAGAAACTAGAAGGAAGAATGGGAAAAACTTTGTACTGTGGTTTGAGTGCCAGTTTAGCCACAATGAACATGTGGTAATTACTAAGATTTTAGACTCCAATCACTGGTTCTCAGAAATATTTTTGGACAGCCCCAGGGCCTGGGGGAGCTCACCAACCTGAAGAGAAGGGTCTTGGCTAAGGCCCAGTGCTGTGCTGGCTTCAGGTCTGACCCAGCACAGTCCCAGTTGTGGTGGCCACAGAAATGCTTGCATCACCATACCACCAAGTCCAGTGGCTCAGCAGAAAAACAGGCTCTATGTTCTGGGTGGAGAAAGGAAGGGAAAAGAATAAGATCCTCTGTCTGGTAAGTCAGAGAATTCTTTGAGATCTTATCCAAGGCCATCAAGATGGAGGTACCTCTATGAGTCTGCAAGAATTGGGCTTGGGGCCCAAGTCCCTGTGAATACCTGAAAAGTCTTCCCAAGAAGGACAGGCACAAACAAGCCCAGACTGTAAAGACTACAATAAATACCTAACCCTTTAATGCCCAGACACCAAGGAACATCTATAGGCATCAACACCATATAGGAAAACATAACTCCAACAAATGAACTAAACAAAGAAGCAGCAGCCAATCTTGAAGAAACAGAGATATGTGACCTTTCAGACAGAAAATTCAAAATAGCTGTATTGTGGAAACTCAACTCTAAGATAACACAGAGAAGGAATTCAAAATATTATCAGATATATTTAACAGAGAAGAAAATAAGAAGAATCAAGCAGAAATGCTGGAGCTGAACAATTGAACTGACATACTGAAGAATGCATCAGAGTCTCTTAATAGCAGAAATGATCAAGCATAAGAAAGAATTAATGAGCTTGAAGGCAAGCTATTTGAAAATACAGTCAGAGGAGACATAAGAAAAAAGAATAAAGAACAATGAAGCAAGCCTACAAGATCTAGAAAATAGCTTCAAAAGAGCAAATCTAAGTTATTGGTCTTAAAAAGGAAGTAGAGAAACAGGCATAGGCAGAATGTTTATTCAATGGGAAAATCTCAGAGAACATTCCAAACCTAGAGAAGTATACCAACATTCAAGTGCAAGAAGGTTGTACAACACCAAGCAGATTTAACTCAAAGAAGACTACCTCAAGGCATTTAATAATCAAACTTCCAAAAGCTGACGATAATAAAAAAACCCTAAAAGCAGCAAGGGAAAAGAAATAAATAGCATACAATGGAGCTCCAATATGTATGGCAGAAGACTTTTCAGTAGAAACCTTACAGGCCAGGAGAGAGTGGCATAACATATTTAAAGTTCTGAAAAAACATTTTTACTCTGGAATTGTATATCCATACAAAAATATCCTTTAAGCAAGAAGGAGCAATTAAGACATTCACAGACAAACAAGTCACAGAGATTTTGTCAGCACCAGAACTGTCTTACAAGAAATATTAAAGACAGTTTTGTAATCTAAAAGAAAAGTACATTAATGAGAAAGAAGAAATCATTTGAAAATAAAAAACTCACTGGTAATAGTAAGCACACAGAAAAACATGGAATATAATAATGCTGAAATTGTGGTGTGTAAACTACTCTTAAGTACAAACACTAAATGATGAACCAATAAAAATAATAACTACATCAACTTTTCAAGACATAGTACAATAAGACACAAATAACAAAAAAAATAAAAAGCAAGGGACAAAGTAAAAGTGTAGTTTTTATTAGTTTTCTTTTTGTATGTTTGCTTGTTTATTTGTGCAATCAGTGTTAAGTTGTCATCAGTTTAAAATAATGGGTTATGAAATATTTTCAAGCCTCAGGGTAACCCCACATCAAAAAACATAAACTGGATACACAAAAAATAAAAAGAAAGAAATTAAAACATAAAAAATCACTTCACTAAAACAGGAAGAAAGGAAAGAAGAGAAGACTGCAAATAATAAAACACAGTAAACAAATTAATAAAATCACAAGAGTAAGTCCCTACTTATCGATAACAACATTGAATGTAAATGGATTAAACTCTACAATCAAAGGACATAGAGTGACTGAATAATGGATGAAAAACAAGACCCAATGATTTGTTGCCTACAAGAAATGTACTTCACCTGCACATCAAGAGTGATATAGAAAAATGTGTATAGCTTTCCTCAGATAATAAATACATGAGACAATCCAAATATCCTTCAACTGTGAAACACATAAATTGTGGTATATTAAAAAAACTGAATATGATAGCGAAAATGAATTACCTCTGTATGTATTAATATGGATGAATTGCAATAACATAATAGTCAAAAAAGTAAACCACAGAGGAATAAATAGATGTGATATTTAATATTATGTGTCAAATTGGCTGGGCCACAGGGTGATCAAATATGTGGTCAAACATTATTCGGGTGTTTCTATGAGGGTGCCTTTGGACATGATTAACATTTAAATAGGTAGATTTTGAGTAAAGCAGAATGCTTTCCATAGCGTGAATTGGCCTCATCCAATCAGTTGAATGTATAAATAGAACAAAAAGGCTGCCCTCTTCCAAGTAAGAGAAAATTCT
Source organism: Homo sapiens (assembly GCF_000001405.40). NCBI lineage: Eukaryota > Metazoa > Chordata > Mammalia > Primates > Hominidae > Homo > Homo sapiens. The sequence goes on from NC_000023.11 coordinate 93,609,355, forward strand.
CCAGCAGAGCAGACTGCCTTCAGACTTCATCTGCAGCATCATCACTTCTTTCTGGTTCTGTAGCAGATGGCATTCAGACTCAAACTGGAGCATAAGCGCTCCTGAGTCTCCGGTCTGCTGATATTTGGACCGAAACTGAAGCATTGGCTCTCTGGGATTTCCAGTTGCTGGCCCACCCTGCAGAGTTTGGGATTACCAGCCTCCATAATTGTGTGAGTCAATTTCTTATAATAAATTACTTTCTATATAAATTCATATCCTATTGGTCCTGTTTTTCTGCAAAACCTGGACAAATAAAATGTAGTATGATTCCATTTATACAAAGTCCCAAAATAAGAAAAATAAACAGTATATTATTTTGGGATATATACACAAGTGGCAATACTATAAACAAAAACAAGCGACTAATTAAAACCAAATTCACGGCAGTGGTTACCTCTTGGGGGAAAGCAGGAGGATATAATCAGACATAGGCCCACAAGGGCCTTCCAGAGTACTGGTAACATTCCATTTCTGAACCTGAGTGTCAAGTACATAGCCATTTTTTTCATTATATTCTTTAGCTTATGGAGATGTATTTCACACAGAGATACCCCAATGCACACACGCTCACATGTGCATGCAAACACACACACACTTTTAAAAAGCAAATATAAGGAAGCATTAAAATAAAACATAGGATAACATTTTTTATAATCCTGGGATAATCCTGAGATGGGGAAGATTTTATTAAACTAGACAATAGATCCCAGAAACTGTAAAGTAAAGGGATAAAGGACTTGAATATATAAAACTGGTAGATTATTTATGATATTATACACTGTTTGTGGGAGTGTAACTTAGTCCAACCATTCTGGAAAGCAGTATGGTGATTTCTCCAAAACCTAAAAACAGAACTACCATTCCACCCAGCAATCCAGTTACTGGGTATATACCCAAAGGCATATAAATCCTTCTACCATAAAGATACATGTATGCACATGTTCGCTGCAGCACTATTCACTATAGCAAAGACATGGAAACAATCTAAATTTCCATCAATGGTAGACTGGATAAAGAACATATGTACATGTACACCATGGAATATTACATGACCATAAAAAGAACAAGATCATGTTCTTTGTAGCAACATGGATGGAGCTGGAGGCCATTAACCTTAGCAAAGTAATGCAGGAACAGAAAATCAAATACCACATGTTTTCACTTATATGTGGGAGCCAAATGATGAGAAAACATAGACACAAAAAGGGAGACAACAGACACTGGGGCCTACTTGAGGGTGGAGGGTGGGGGAAGGAAGACGATCAGAAAAATTAACTATTGGGTACTAAGTTTAGCACCTGAGTAATGAAATAATCTCTACACCAAATCTCAATGACACGAGTTTACCTATATAACAATGATGTGCATGTACCTGTGAACCTAAAATAACAATTAAAAAAAATCTCTGGGGTTTAAGACATCTATCTAATTTTCTTTTTTTGACAAGACTAATCCATAAAATGTGCAACATGGAAGTATTTGAAATATAGCTCACAGTAGAAAAAGAATGGTTTCTTTTATTTGCTAATACACTAAAACCAATAATAGTTTTAAAAACAAATAAAAATAGCATGCATTTAACCTAAAAAAAAAAAAAGAAGAAACCAGGGGAAAGAGAAGAGGGAGATACCTTTACTACAGAGGAACAAAGATAAGAATTACAGTAGGCTTCTAATCTAAAACCCTGCAAGCAAAAAGAGAGTGAAATGAAGTATTGAAAATGTTGAAAGAAAAGAAAAATAATAAGATAAAACTATTTTCAACATATATGTTACAGCTAAACATCAAAGCTTAATATCCTCAAAAATAAGTAAGTGCCTACAAATTGATGAGAAAAAAACAAACCATCAGGAAAAACAAATGAACAAACAACATAAATAAGCATTCTAAAGAAAAATACACTTGGCCATTAAAGATAGGAAAATATGTTCAATCTTACTAGTAATCAAAGGAAATGCAAACTACAATTAGATAGCATGTTTGTTTTTTTCCTTCTAATTGTAAAAACTGTAACAATATTTCAGTTGGCTAGGTTGTACAGAAATGGGAATTTCGACATAGGACTTGTTGGGGTATGATTTTGAAGGGCAATTTGATAGTATCCTTTAAAGTTAAAAGTGGGCATACCCTTAAGCCCAGCAATTCTGCTCTTGAGATTTTATCTTATGAAGAAATGTTTGCACTGTGTCCAAAGATACATTTACAAGGTTGTTCACTGCAGCATTCATTGTTTTTACTTAACTTTTATTTATGTTCGGGGGAATATGTGCAGGTTTGTTATACAGGTAAATTTGTTTCACATGGGTTTGTTGTACAGATTATTTCGTCACCCAGGTATTAAGCTTAGTAACCATTAGTTATTTTTCCTGATCCTGTCCTTCATTCCACCCTCCACCCTCAAGCAGGCCACAGTGTGTGTTGTTCCCCTTTATGTGTCCAAGTGTTCTCATCATTTAACTCCCACTCATGCATGAGAACATGTGGTATTTGGTTTTCTATTCCTGAATTAGTTTGCTAAGGGTAATGATTTCCAGCTCCATCCATGTTCCTGCAAAGAACATAATTGTGTTCTTTTTTATGGTGCATACTATTCCATGGTGTATATGCACCATATTTATTTATTCAGTTTACCATTGATGGGCTTTTAGGTTGATTCCATGTCTTTGCTATAGTGCATAGTGCTGCAATGAACATATATGTGCATGTCTCTTTCTAATAGAACAATTTATATTCCTTTGGTATATGCCCAATAATGGGATTGCTGGGTCAAATGGTAGTTCTGTCTTTAGGTTTTTGAGGAATTGCCACGCTGTCTTCCACAGCGGCTGAACTAATTTATACTCCAAACAACAGTATATAAGTATTACTTTGTCTCCACAACCTTGACAGCATCTATTATTTTTTGACTTTTTAATAATAGCCATTCTAAATGGTGTGAAATGGTATCTCATTGTGGTTTTGATTTGCAGTTCTCTAATAATCAGTGACGTTGAGGTTTTTCTTTTCATATGCTTGTTGGCCACATGTATATCTTCTTTTGAAAAGTGTCTGTTCATGTCCTTTGCCCAGTTTTTTTATGGGGTTGTCTGTTTTTTTTCTTGTAAATTTGTTGAAGTTTTTTATGAATGCTGGATATTAGACATTTGTCATATTCATAGTTTGTAAAATTTTTCTCCCATTCTGTAGGTTATCTACTCACCTTGTTGATAGTTTCTTTTGGTGTACAGATGCTCCTTAGTTTAACAAGATCCTATTTGTCAATTTTTGCTATTGTTGCAATTATTTTTGGTATCTTCATCAGTAAATCTTTGCTCATTCCTATGTCCAGAATGGTATTGCCTAGGTTGTCTTCCAAGGTTTTTATAGTTTTAGGTTTTACGTCCTTAACCTATCTTGAGTTTTTTGTTTGTTTGTTTGTTTTTGTATATAGTGTAAGGAAGAGGCCCAGTGTCAATTTTCTGCATATGGCTAGCCAGTTATCCTAGCATCATTTATTGAATAGGGAAACACTGCTACATTTTCCCAAATAATTGGCTTTGTGAGGGATGGCTGAGAATGAACCTTTTGGGGATTTTAGAACGGAAGGAATAAATAACTTACAGCCCTGTCTTTGACACCTGAGTTCAGGAACAAGTGAGAGAAAGAGATCACAATCATATCTATTCATGATAAATGCTGGAAGACAGGACTTGACTTATATAAGCAGTCATAATGGACTTTCTAATATTTTATTCTTGAGGAAGATAAACCAACTGATCTAGCCACAGTCACAGGTAGATAACTAAAGGCCTCCACACATACACACACCAGAGAGTACCTCCATGGAAAACCAGGTCCCAGAAAGCATTAAGGCAAGTATTTGTTTCTACTTGTCAATCCACCAGTCAGGGAAGTCACTCCACCTCCTCTGGGGAGGAGTGAATGAAAAGGTAAAGAGTGTACTTTCTATGTTTCCATTTAGAAGAAAAGGAGTGGAAAGTTATTCCCTTTCCATATGATACTATGAGGCCTGGGGAATAAGGGTTTCACTTGCAAATCTCTCCAGTGAGTCTTGATTTGGTTGTGTACTCTTCTGTTGGTTGAGCAAGCTTCTCTGGTGGTAGATGCAGATGCAAGTCTACCATGGTTTGGAGGAACTTCTACTTAAATGATTAGTTATCCTCACAACCATTCTGAAAGGTATGTAAGATATTCATACTATTTCCATTTCACAAATAAGGTATTAGGGGTTCAGAGACATACAATAATTTACTGTGTGACAGGGTTGGAACTAGACCAACAGACTCCTGTGTAAAGCTTTTATGCAAATGCATGAGTTATTTCATTCATTCAACTTCCCACTGTCTCACTTATTCACTCTGATTTATTCACTTATTCATTTATTTGTCACTTTTTAATATGTCAGACATGGAAGCACATACTAGATTTATTTTGTATATATTTCAATGCAGAAATTTGTTGTATTAAGTGTTTGTGACTTGACTATGTAGGTTATCAGTTTCTATTATTTAATGAGTTAATGTGTGCTTTAATTTCATAGGCATTGATTTTACACCAGTAAGCTGAGATTTCACACATTATAGAGATTTCTTATGTTAACATTTGTGAGGAATAGTAATGGTAGTTATTTCTCTGGCTGATAGGAGTATTAGCATTTTCTCCTTTCTCCTTTTGTGTGCTTTCCAATTTTTTCCAGGGAACAAATATTTTTATAACATCCATGAAAATATATTCTTTTTGAAGAAGGATCTAGACATAGGAGTCATTAGCATTTAAGTTGCAGATTAAGCTGGGTATATGGATGAGATAGTATATGAGAGTAAATTAGATGAAAAGTGAGCTAATAACAATCTTGAGGAATATTAATGTTTAGGAACCCAGATGAAGAGAAAGCCCACCACACACACACACACACAAATTCTGATAATAAGCTGTCAGAGTGGTAAAAGAAATAGGAGTGATTCTTTTCATCTAAACTAAGGGAAAACAAGACTTTCAAGAAGGGAAGGATTGAGGATATCAATCTCTACAGAGCAGCAGTCAACTATAATAAATACAGGAAATTGCCTATGAGATTTGGTGCTTCTGGGGTCACAAGTGACATTTTCAAGAGCAGCTTTAATAGACTGACTGTAGAAGAGGCCAGGCTGTTGTGAATTGAAGAGTTAAGGGGAAGTAAGATGAGGATAGTAGAAGAGAGTTTTTGTTTGTTTGTTTGTTTGTTTGTTTTGTTTTTGAAAATGTGGCTGTGCCTTCTCTAGAAAGAACTTGTTACTTAGCAGCTATTTAGCCTATCTACATAGAAAACAAATATAAGTTTCCTTCTCTCTCCTTGAAAATTTACAATTAATTTCTAGAATGGAACTAGTTTGCTCATGATGGAGATTTGCTCAGCAAGAATTACAAGGATGAATTAAATAAAATATGAAAATGCCTAACACGAGGCCTGATACACAGGAGAAACCCAACCAATGTTAGTTTTCATAAAGAAATGGATCAAAACAATAGCAGTGGTTATGTCAAAGAAATGATAAATGCTTTTCTTTTCTGTTTTGTCCTATTTTTTAAAAAATATGTTACTTTTATATTTTGATGTTTCACTTTTTTGCCTTTCAGAGAACCCATTCAAACCAGCTGCCAAATTGCCAACACTCAGAGGAATAACAGGGAGTCTGGCTTAACTACATCAGAGAGTTATTTTTTTTAACCTTCTTATCTTCTAGTCATCTCTTGTGATCATTAAGTCCTGGTCACTAAGGTCCCACATCAGTTTTATATTAACTTCGTTTTTCCTTATAATCGTCTCTTGAAATAATAGGATCTCCAAGACCTAGTGGATCAGGTCTGTTCAGGCAGCTCTTCTTTTTTAAATTTTGAGAAGTAAATCTTATTAAGACATACAGCTGGGCCAGGTATGGTGGCTCACGCCTGTAATCCCAGCATTTTGGGAGGCCGAGGCAGATGGATCACCTGAGGTCAGGGGTTCAAAACCAGCCTGGCCAACATGGCAAAACCCCATCTCTACTAAAAATACAAAAATTAGCCAGGCGTGGTGGCACACACCTGTAATCTCAGCTACTTGGGAGGCTGAGTCAGGAGAATCACTGGAACCCGGGAGGCGGAGGTTGCAGTGAGCCAAGATCACACCACTGCACTCCAGCCTGGATGACAGAGTGGGACTCTGGCTCAAAAAAAAAAAAAAAAAAAGACAGCTGAACTCTCATTTATGTTACCATCTGTGTCTATTATTGGTAGAGGTATATTTATTGCAGGTTTATTCACAGTTCCCTGTATACTCCCTTTAATATTTATACATTTACCAATAGAAATGATTAGTACATATTTTCACTTCACATAGTCAAATACATGCTTTAAAGAGTAAGATTATACCAGGCACCCTGTTAAGTGATTTATTTACACTATTTAACAGAATTGGACCCTTGATCTCATTATCGTTGTACTATAAGTAAAGAAACCTAAGTTCAGGGAAATCAAGTAACTTCCTCAAGGTTATACAGCTTGAAAAATGACAGAAGCATGAATTGAATTCAGGTCGGTCTGGCTGACCCTCAAGCTCCTATTTTTAACCACTGCTTATGGTTTCAGGTTGTAAAATTACTTTGGGGAGTTTTCTTTTGTTCTTAAGTTTTATCTTGAAAGTGTTTTCTGAAAAGTTGAATTTTACAGTGAACACCAATATAGCCACCACCTAGGTTCTGCAATTAACATTTTGTAATACTTATCTTACTCCATATCTGTCCACTTACCCATCCTATCTGTCTGCCACTTCTTCTCATTTTTATGCATTTCAAAGTAAGTTGCAGATATTAGTACATATTCCCCAAATACTTCAGAATGGATATCATTAACTAGAGCTTAATATTTGCTTATAGATTTTTTCTATTCAGTTAAAATTTACATACAATGAAATGCATAAAACTTAAGTGTACTATTCCACAACTTCCTCCATAAGTCAAAACACACACCTGTGCCACCCAAATCCCCATAAAGATACAAAACATTACCATCACCCAAGAAGGCTTCCTCATGTCTGTTCCCAATAAAACCCCACCTCCAACCCACAGAGGAAACCATTGTCCTGGTTTGTTTTCACAACCGATTACTTTTGCCTTTTCTATGACTTCATATTAATGGATTCATGCAGTAAGTACTTTCATGTAAGGTTTTTTTTTAATGCAACATAATGTTTCTATGATTTATCCATGTTGTGTCTATCAGTAGTTCATGCCATTTTACTGCTGAGTAGTATTTCATTGTGTGAATATGTCATGGTTTGTTTATCCATTGTCTTATTGTTGAACCTGGGCTGTTTTCATATTTTGGCCATCAAAAACAAAGCTGCTTTAAAATTGTGCAAGTATTTCAGTGGTATTCAAAACATGTTACTTAGCAAGGCTCATGGTCTAGAAAGAGAAAATGCAAACATACTTAGAAAACATGTGTGAGAGAGAAATATAGACTTGGGGGTTAGGAAAACCGGGACATTGGTCTTCAAACACAAGATGAGCTGTCACAGGAAGAAAGTGAATCAGGGCGATGTGCTTATTCAATGCTCAGTCTCTGTAGCCCTGTTATCTAACTGTAGGGGCTTACCTTCTCCAAATCTTAGTTTTCTCATCTGTCAAGTTGGGTTAAAAGTACATCTGTCCCATAGTTTCTATGAGCATCAAATTAGATAATGCATATGAAGTGCTTCACCATTTTTTTTTAGGTATTTTTTTAAATTATTATTATACTTTAAGTTTTAGGATACATGTGCACAACGTGCAGGTTTGTTACATATGTATACATGTGCCATGTTGGTGTGCTGCACCCGTTAACTCATCATTTAGCATTAGGTATATCTACTAATGCTATCCCTCCCCCCTCCCCTGACCCCACAACAGGCCCTGGTGTGTGATGTTCCCCTTCCTGTGTCCATGTGTTCTCATTGTTCAATTCCCACCTATGAGTGAGAACATGCGGTGTTTGGTTTTTTGTCCTTGCGATAGTTTGCTGAGAATGATGGTTTCCAGCTTCATCCATGTCCCTACAAAGGACATGAACTCATCATTTTTTATGGCTGCATAGTATTCCATGGTGTATATGTGCCACGTGTTCTTAATCCAGTCTATCATTGCTGGACATATGGGTTGGTTCCAAGTCCTTGCTATTGCGAATAGTGCCGCAATAAACATACGTGTGCATGTGTCTTTATAGCAGCATGATTTATAATCCTTTGGGTATATACCCAGTAATGGGATGGCTGGGTCAAATAGTATTTCTAGTTCTAGATCCCTGAGGAATCGCCACACTGACTTCCACAATGGTTGAACTAGTTTACAGTCCCACCAACAGTGTAAAAGTGTTCCTATTTCTCCACATCCTCTCCAGCACCTGTTGTTTCCTGACTTTTCAATGATCGCCATTCTAACTGGTGTGAGATGGTATCTCATTGTGGTTTTGATTTGCATTTCTCTGATGGCCAGTGATGATGAGCAGTTTTTCATATGTTTTTTGGGTGCATAAATGTCTTCTTTTGAGAAGTGTCTGTTCATATCCTTCGCCAACTTTTTGATGGGGTTGTTTGTTTCTTTCTTGTAAATTTGTTTGAGTTCATTGTAGATTCTGGATATTAGCCCTGTGTCAGATGAGTAGGTTGCAAAAATTTTCTCCCATTCTGTAGGTTGCCTGTTCACTCTGATGGTAGTTTCTTTTGCTGTGCAGAGGCTCTTTAGTTTAATTAGATCCCATTTGTCAACTTTGGCTTTTGTTGCCATTGCTTTTGGTGTGTTAGACATGAAGTCCTTGCCCATGCCTATGTCCTGAATGGTATTGCCTAGGTTTTCTTGTAGGGTTTTTATGGCTTTAGGTCTAACATTTAAGTCTTTAATCCATCTTGAATTAATTTTTGTATAAGGTGTAAGGAAGGGATCCAGTTTGAGCTTTCTGCATATGGCTAGCCAGTTTTCCCAGCACCATTTATTAAATAGGGAATCCTTTCCCCATTGCTTGTTTTTCTCAGGGTTGTCAAAGATCAGATAGTTGTAGATATGCGGCATTATTTCTGAGGGCTCTGTTCTGTTCCATTGGTCTATATCTCTGTTTTGGTACCAGTACCATGCTGTTTTGGTTACTGTAGCCTTGTAGTATAGTTTGAAGTCAGGTAGCATGATGCCTCCAGCTTTGTTCTTTTGGCTTAGGATTGACTTGGCGATGTGGGCTCTTTTTTGGTTCCATATGAACTTTAAAGTAGTTTTTTCCAATACTGTGAAGAAAGTCATTGGTAGCTTGATGGGGATGGCATTGAATCTATAAATTACCTTGAGCAGTATGGCCATTTTCACGATATTGATTCTTCCTACCCATGAACATGGAATGTTCTTCCATTTGTTTGTATCCTCTTTTATTTCATTGAGCAGTGGTTTGTAGTTCTCCTTGAAGAGGTCCTTCACATCCCTTGTAAGTTGGATTCCTAGGTATTTTATTCTCTTTGAAGCAATTGTGAATGGGAGTACACTCATGATTTGGCTCTCTGTTTGTCTGTTATTGGTGTATAAGAATGCTTGTGATTTTTGCACACTGATTTTGTATCCTGAGACTTTGTTGAAGTTGCTTATCAGCTTAAGGAGATTTTGGGCTGAGATAATGGGGTTTTCTAGATATACAATCATGTCATCTGCAAACAGGGACAATTTGACTTCCTCTTTTCCTAATTGAATGCCCTTTATTTCCTTCTCCATTTTTATTTTTAAAATTCCTGGAGAGAGACTTCTATGATGCTATGTTGATGAACTAGCTTGATCTGGGATTAGTTATAAACTCCAAAATCAGGAGAATTAATACACAATAATTGAGGAGTGACTTTGTGATTAATCCATAAACTTTCCTAATTAGTTTGTCCAAAGTTCAGTTTCATTTATGACCACCTACTATACCCTAGACCCTAGTCTAAGACCTGAGTATGTCACAGTGAATAAGGAAGACATACCTCAGCCTTCCTGGATTCTTAATTGGAAAGATACAGACAAATACTTATAAATGAGAGGTGGTTAATTAAAAAGCATAGAGGAGGCTTTGGAAAGCACATTATCGGTATGACCTAATGTTTAAGTCTCTCATAATTCTAAAAGAGGCAGTTGCCTTACTTAGTACTGAACAAAAACCAGGCCAGGCATTATTTTCTTGTCTGAGAATTACACATAAAACTGTTTCATCCTTCTTTGAATGCACATGTTTCTTAATGCATATTCAAAGAAGCCATATGCCTGGAGCCATGTCAATAAGGTACATTCTAAACCTAAAACATTCTAAACATGTACATTCTAAACCTAAAACAGTTAAATCTCGCTAATACAATATTTACATATGAATAGAACGTCAGAGTAGAATACCATCCTATTCTACTAGAATTAGAATACCATACCTAAGGAAGAACAAAATATACAAATATGTAAATATAAATACATAAAATATATTTACTCATTTTTAAATATATGGTCATAAATATAGCCATATTTATTTATTACTTCCCATTCTAATATAGTCTTGAGTTTTGGCTGCTGAAAGTGAGGGAAGGAGGAGAAAATAGGGTAAACTGTTGTTAATTAAGGGATCTTTAGAGCATGAGGATTCTTATCGCTTCTTTGTCACTCATGTGTTTTCAGAGGCTTTCATTAACCCTTCAGAATCCCAACACTGCTCTAACATGATTTTGAGGAGAATGGCAAAGAGAAGAGGGATGAAGTGAAAATAGGACAAAATGAGTAAATACATTGCATATATTTATATTAAAATATTTGTATATTTTGTTCTCCTTTAGATATGGTATTCTAATTCTAGTAGAATAGGATGGCATTCTACTCTGGTGTTCTATTCGTATGTAAATATTGTATTAGTGAGATTCAATTGTTTTAGATTTAGAACATACAGGTGGGCTAATTGCCTTATTGACACGTCTCCAGGCGTATGGCTTCTTTGAATATGCATTAAGAAACATGTGTGTTCAAAGAGGGATGAAACATAATTTTATGTGTAACTCTCAGAAAAGAAAATAGTCCTTGGTCTGGTTTTTGTTCAGTAGTAAGAAAAGCAACTTCTTGTCCTGCCCCTACTCCATCTGCTATCCTTAGCCCTTGCACACAATCACACAAGTGCATCTTTCCATAATGCATAGAGTCTATTTCTCCCCTTTTAAAATATATAACAGAAAGAGGTTTTTCATATTCATTCCACTTTGTTGAAATTTTCTTTTGTTCTATTTTTTTGTTACAGGTCTCCATAGTCTATTCAAAATAATTCCATTAATAAGCAGGTCTTTCGTGTCAAGCATGTTTATGGGGAAAAAATTGTAGGAACCTGATTTATCTATTGGAACCCTTCTAAAAGACTAGAAGGGTTTCAATCTTGTTAAAGATTTTTTCATCAGCCAGGCAGATCTAGACCAATCAGAAGGCAGAATATATCACCTAAGGAAGAGCATCAACTCATTTGTACCATTTTAATAAGACTAATTTTAAAGTAATGCAAAAAGGACTCAGGACTTCAACTTATTTTCAATAGTACCTCCACTTGTTAGAGTCCTTCAAAGTCATTAGTAAAATCATACATAGTGTATTTTTGAGGCTCCCAATCTTTTGAGGTGAGTTACTTCATATTTCTTAAAACAGCTACCATTTATTTAACATTAACTTTAACAGGCTTTTTTGTATGTGTGCATTATTTCATTTTATCCTCACAATATTACTATGATAGGTGTCCTTAAAATTTACAATTTAAAGATGGGGATACAGACTCAGATAGGTGAGATAATGTTCCCCAAGTCATATGGTCAGTAAATGGTGGAATTGGAAAGTTAAACTGAGATCTCTCTGATAATAGGGCCTGAGCACCTGGCCACCATATTGTACTGAATAAATGAGATTCCTGGGTTCCTCTGAAGTCTGACCATACACATTCAAATGCAGAAACAAGAACATACAAACAAAAACTTCCAAGGTGTGGTGGAAGAGAGAGGAAAATGCCTGATGTTCTCTGAGCTCTACTTTCTGTAAGCACTGTCAAAGAGGTAACAAGTCCTGGAGGGGAATGGCTGTGGAGTGTGAGTTAGATGCTTGACACAAGAAGTTAAGCCTCAGCAAAGATTCCTATATCTAGGTTTGGCACAAAAATCAACTGTGTATCCCTATACCTGACAGATTCATTCAGGCTGAGATAACAGTCATCTCTGTGGTAACTGCATGGTCAGATAACTGAAGACAAAAATCTCTCCCCTAAAATATTAGTGTAGTGTGAGATCCTAAAAGTGTAGCATGGATTCTATAGGGTAGAGAACACTGAAAACGAGAGTTTAAATTTCAATCATTCCTCTAAAATGGAGACTAAGAAGCAGAAATTATACTATTATAGAAAATGAAGTGATATTTCCAGCACACTTGAGTCCATCCATGCCTTCTACACTTCTTCCTGCACTTGATGTCACAGTCTATCCTCAGTTAACAACACTCTATGTGAAGCACTTAGCAGCACTTAGCACAGAGCTTGGCACATAAGAAGTGCTCCATAAATGTTAGGTGAGTGCATATTAGATGTATAGAAAATACCTTTCATTTTGAACTAAATGTATGGTTCATACGAGCTGTTTAGTATATCCATTATATAATTCAAATGACATTATTTAAATTAAATAAATTATTTCAGTGTAATATTACAATTCTGTATATTTTAAAGGCAGAATTTTAAAGCAATGGACAACTTTTCATTATAATTTCAAAACTGGTTTTTCTTTCCCAAATTCACAAATTTGATGTCACATCTAGTATGAATACGTAATTTCTTATTATAAAGATTTTTATTAATAGGAAACTCTTAGCAATGAAATTTGGATTCATTTACATGTCTAGTTTTTAAACATGCTAAATTCGACTTGGTCAACCTAAAATGCATATATATGTATGTATATATATGTATGTATGTATGTATATATATATGTATGTATGTATATGTATGTATGCATATATATGTATGTATATATGTATGTATATATGTATGTATGCATATATATGTATGTATATATGTAAAATGCATATATATATGCATTTTAAGTTGACCGAGTCGAATTTAGCAAGTTTAAAAAATAGACATGTAAATGAATCCAAATTTCATTGCTAAGAGTTCCCTATTAATAGAAAATGTAAAAGAAAGCTAACAGCTTAATGTCATATAGTGTGCAGCAGACTTACATTCTGGCAACATAAAAATAATTATGGGGCAACTACGTATGTTTGTGCTGTTATGCTGTGTCCACATTATTTTAGACTAGTGTGTTATATGAGCTGTAGAGGTGTTCATCTCTTAGAAACTATGATGACAGATGTTATTGTATGCATATTCTTCTTTCCTATATATTTGTGTTTCAGAATTTTAAGATAACTTGAACATAATAGTTGGGTTACAGTACTTCTTTTCTTTCTTGCCAGAAAGATTTCTAAACTTTCTGGTCCATTATTAGGTCCTTTTTAAGTCAAAAAGAAGCTGGTTAGAGTTTTAAAACAATGAATATTAGCAATATGCAACAACAGAGGAAATGCCCAATATATTGTGATATAAAAGAAAATACATATATTTTTTAAATAAAATGTTTGAAAGGATTAATTTGAGTAAATGGAAAAGTGCTATAATGGAATTTGTATAAACTTGCTCTTCTCTATCTGTTTATATGTGACATTCTCCCATCCTTAAGAGTAGGTACCATGGATCTACTATATTACAGCAAGGTTTTTGCTTCCCAGGTTGGAATTTATCTCTAGAACTTTTAGTCTCTTTCATAGGTAACAACACTCATGAAGGTTTAACAAACTATAAATGTGGACACAAAATATACAGAATAACAAATCTTGTTCCTGTAATTTATGTGTACAGAGAAAATTGCCAGATTTATGTTATGCTCTATTTGCAATTTATTGTACACATAAACCAGTTTGGATAAATTCTTACCTACTTTATTTACCAAACTAAACCTTCACAGGCTGGTTTTACTCAAATAGAAATGAGGGCTGAAAACCACCACCAACAGCCTTACGGTAGCTGATGATTAAACTGAATCAATTTCTTTCAAGTTTTAACTTTCATCCTCTGTGATAGCTTTTTTAACCATATAACCACTAGAACCTTCATATTCAGTATTGAAACATGTAATTGAATTATCTTGTATATGTGCCACTGTTTCAAATTTTAATATTCTGGCAATTATGTGCAATGAATACTTTCAGAGGGAAATTATGCTTAGGTTATGAAAATCTCAGAATATTATTTATTCACAGGTATTTATTCCATAATATTCAGTTATTCTTTATTTTTAGAATAAGTAGGCTAACCCAAGCTAGTTTATGAATACAATAATAAAGCTAAGATAAAACAGACTTTTTTCAGTATCTGTGTCTAGATATTTAGAGAAAATATATGGAAAAATTCTTGAAATTCATCTAACTTAAATTTTGTGTCAACAGACTGCAACAGAATTTTGTTGTACTGAATATTGATTAAAATAAATGAGCCCTTGGCTAAGACTTAATTTTTTAAAATCATATGGACATTTTTTGTTGTTGTTGAAAGAGATGTCCTGGAATAAGAGTTAACCTTTAACAGTGACAACTGTCAACAGAATTATCTAGGAAATGAGACAAGCCTGATTTCTCCTGTAAAATTTGTAATATCAATCTATGTATTTCATTTTCCCCACAGGCAAATGAGCTGACAGTGGGGACTCTGGGGAGATTCAGCTGCAGGACTTAGATGAAAGGTGCTCTGGTGATCAGAGGAGCTGGCCAATGAGAGAGAGAAGCAACTGGATCAACACAAAACATTCTGGGCACACTAGAAATTGAAGCATTATTTTTTAAGACAAATAATACTGTAGACTACCTAAGGCAGGATGAACTACATCACGTTTGCTTATGCAGGCTTTCCAAGTTACATCAAAGCATCCTGCACTGCTCTTCTTACACGGACTCCTGGAGACTCCCCTTTTATCAGTACAGAGCCCAGCACAGAATCCTAAGTGATTTAATAAACAGGACTCTCAAATTCTATCTCTGCTCATGTGTGTTTTCTTGCACAGCATGTGCACACCCTAATTATAGCCTGTCAGATTTTACTATTTGTTTGCTTATCTTCTTATTCCACTAAAGGATTTTCTAAAGACAGAGTCTTTTTCTACTTTTTATCTGCTAGGCTCAGACACATTCATGGCATTGAGGAAGGGCTCCAGCAATGTTTTCTGTATACATACTGAGTGAAAGAAGCTAATTCCCTCTTTGGAAACACACTTATATTCTGTAATAAAAAACAGAATTTAAACCACAAAGAATATTTTATGTTTCCTAGTTTAATATTGAATTAGATGTTTACATCAGTTTTTATTAAAATAATTACAACAAATAGTACAGAAATGTAATATTACCAAAGAAAAGTGTAAAATGAAAAGTGACTACTAACAGCAAACCCTACCTTCTCACTCAAGAAATTACTGCTAACAGTTTCTTCTGGATCCTTTCAGATATTTTTGTATTTCTATTTAACTTTTTATGCATATATCATTTGCTTTCTACCTCCCTAGTTAGATGCTGAACTCATTAAGTTCAGGGACTGCAGCGTCTATTTCTTTCATATTCCATATACTGATTAACTCTGTGCTGGACACTTAGTAAGTACACAATAAAAATAACTGTACTTGTGATTATTCTGTTGACTCGGTTAATTAAGAAAAGATGAATTGCAAGCCATTGCAATCCACGTAGAATATTATACAAAACGAGGGCAACATTTAAGACTGAATAAAAATGTGAAATCTTTAATGACATTGGTTGAGTAATCTCAGGGTCACAGCACTAAAGTTATGCATTTATTAAATTTTTGGCATGCAGTCAACATTAATATATTTGTGCAGAGAAAGTACGTGACTGTATTCTGTGGGGTATACAGATGCACAGCCACTTTTGAAGCAAGCATTATTATTATCTCCATTTCATAGATGAAGAAACTAAGATTTAGAGAGGTTTAGTGTTTGACCAAGTTTATACAATTAGAAGGTAGCATAGCTGGAATTCAAATTCGGACAGTCAGACTCTAAATAATATTACTTTATTTTCCCTATGTGATGCTACTACTCACACAAATATACTGGGACTTTTTGTATCAACAGTACTAGATGACTGTAATATTCTTGGCTAAAGTTCATCTCCCCAACAGACTCACGAGAAGCAGATTAATAAAGATGATTTCTTGCACTTGGAGGTTAAAATCATGCCAAGCTCAATCACAGCAAGATCAAGTGTCTGCCTATCAAGTATTCTTTCCTGTGGATACCAGGTATTCAAGTTCATGATAGCTGCTGAAATAGATAAAAACAGTAGAAAACCATAGCAGGAGTAGGGAGAATAATCTTTTTGTACAAATATACTTTCTTGATCAGGGTAGACGTTCTTTATTTCTTCTTGATTTTTAGGGTGCCTTTACGTTTTCTTATTAAAGATTATCTAGTGATTCTTCCAAAAATTACATATACAGAACCAAGGTCCAATAAGATTGAAGAAATGTTACTACAGAGAAATTACAAGAATATTGTGACTTTCATAGAGGCTGACATATGCAGCACCATGCCAGAATGCCTGGTTTAGTCTTATAAAAGTATTTAGTTATCTCCGTCCTATGAAAGAAGCCAGGACTGTCTCACTCAGTTGGATAATAATTACTTCCTAGAACATTCTTCCTCTGAATAGTAGGTATCTCCATGAGTGTTTCTCTCTAAATATGATAGTTGTCTTTTTTCTGAAAGCCTGTCACTTTAAGTGTTGGTCTTCTTCCTGAAAGCCAGTCACTTGCAGAGAGGCAAAAATGCAAAAAACAGCCAAAGTGATATTTGATGAGACTTGTTTTACTGGCATGCTTCTAATCTGAAAATCTTCAACTTGCATGCAAGTCTCTATGCATATTTGTACGTGGAGACTTTGAAAAAGATTTTCAGTATCAGCTTCTAGAAGAAGATTCATTTCCTTCCAGTATATCTCATAAAAAGGAATACTTCTGTGAAATAGAATATATGCATCATGGAAGCATTCAAGAATTTAGAGGAGATATGTTATTGTTACTAATTATTAACTTATATCTACACAGTGATATACAGCACATAATAGGATAGAAGTAAAATATTCAGTTGTCTTGAATTGTCATGGCCTAACCTGACGCAGAGGAGGGCAAGGATCCACAGATAAAAAACACAGTGCCACCTATCCCACACCCAATTGTCTTAATGGATCACAGCAAATAAGACCCACTGGCCACATTCTTTATTCAGTGTTAATAGTAGGTAGGAGAAAAATATATTTTGAAAAGAACATATTTATCACGACATATTTCATGAAAATGTTTCATTCAACAGGTATGCTACTTGCCTAGGGAAGATCTCTTATCACAGCATGTCTGTATTTTCATGTAAGTGATCAAAATCATGTTTTAGGCTTGTCAAACAATTAAAAAAATGGAAATATACTTGAACCAAAATGTGTCTAGAAATATGCAAACTACTAATTCTTAATACCCTGCTCTTTTTGTTAACATGTAAATTCCCAGCCTTCTAAAAAGCATCCTACTGTCATTAAACTCAGTTTAATGACAAGAATTATTTTCCTCAATGTATGTATTCAGAATTTAACTCCAAAAGCAAAATTAATAGTATAAAGATTATGGACACAGAGTCATGATCCTAACTCTATGTATACCCTAGTTTTAAAAGTGATTATCTTGCTCAAGATGCCATAACTAATAACTGGAGAAGCAGTATTTGAATCTACGTGTCATCACTCCAAGGCCAATGGGCGTCCTGGAACACCAAGTTGTCTTCCAGAGATTAAGAAGAAAAGGCCATAGTATTGGTTGGGAGCCAAGATGGCTGAATAGGAACAGCTCCGGTCTACAGTTCCCAGCATGAGCAACGCAGAAGACGGGTGACTTCTGCATTTCCATCTGAGGTACCAGGTTCATCTCACTAGAGAGTGCCAGACAGTGGGCTCAGGACAGTGGGTGCAGCACACCATGCGTGAGCCAAAGCAGGGTGAGGCATTGCCTCACTCAGGAAGCACAAGGGGTCAGGGAGTTCCCTTTCCTAGTCAAAGAAAGGGGTGACAGATGGCACCTGGAAAATCGGGTGACTCCCACCTGAATACTGCACTTTTCCAACGGGCTTAAAAAACAGCGCACCAGGAGATTATATCCTGCACCTGGCTTGGAGGGTCCTACGCCCACGGAGTCTCGCTGATTGCTAGCACAGCAGTCTGAGATCAAACTGCAAGGTGGCAGCGAGGCTGGGGGAGGGATGCCCGCTATTGCCCAGGCTTGCTTAGGTAAACAAAGCAGTTGGGAAGCTTGAACTGGGTGGAGCCCACCACAGCTCAAGGAGGCCTGCCTGCCTCTGTAGGCTCCACCTCTGGGGGCAGGGCACAGACAAACAAAAAGACAGCAGTAACCTCTGCAGACTTGAATGTCCCTGTCTGACAGCTTTGAAGAGAGCAGTGGTTCTCCTAGCACGCAGCTGGAGATCTGAGAACGGGCAGACTGCCTCCTCAAGTGGGTCCCTGACCCCTGACCCCCGAGCAGCCTAACTGGGAGGCACCCCCCCAGTAGGGGCAGACTGACATCTCACACGGCCGGGTACTCCTCTGAGACAAAACTTCCAGAGGAACGATCAGACAGCAGCATTCGCAGTTCACAATAATCCTATGTTCTGCAGCCACTGCTGCTGGTACCCAGGGAAACAGGGTCTGGAGTGGACCTCTAGCAAACTCCAACAGACCTGCAGCTGAGGGTCCTGTCTGTTAGAAGGAAAACTAACAAACAGAAAGGACATCCACACCAAAAACCCATCTGTACATCACCATCATCAAAGACCAAAAGTAGATAAAACCACAAAGATGGGGAAAAAATAGAGCAGAAAAACTGGATACTCTAAAAAGCAGAGTGCCTCTCCTCCTCCAAAGGAATGCAGTTTCTCACCAGTAACAGAACAAAGCTGGAAGGAGAATGACTTTGACGAGCTGAGAGAAGAAGGCTTCAGACGATCAAATTACTCTGAGCTATGGGAGGACATTCAAACCAAAGGTAAAGAAGTTGAAAACTTTGAAAAAAATTTAGAAGAATGTATAACTAGAATAACCAATACAGAGAAGTGCTTAAAGGAGCTGATGGAGCTGAAAGCCAAGGCTCAAGAACTACGTGAAGAATGCAGAAGCCTCAGGAGCCGATGCAATCAACTGGAAGAAAGGGTATCAGTGATGGAAGATGAAATGAATGAAATGAAGCGAGAAGGGAAGTTTACAGAAAAAAGAATAAAAAGAAACGAACAAAGCATCCAAGAAATATGGGACTATGTGAAAAGACCAAATCTACGTCTGATTGGTGTACCTGAAAATGACGGGGAGAATGGAACCAAGTTGGAAAATACTCTGCAGGATATTATCCAGGAGAACTTCCCCAATCTAGCAAGGCAGGCCAACATTCAGATTCAGGAAATACAGAGAACGCCACAAAGATACTCCTCGAGAAGAGCAACTCCAAGACACATAATTGTCAGATTCACCAAAGTTGAAATGAAGGAAAAAATGTTAAGGGCAGCCAGAGAGAAAGGTCGGGTTACCCACAAAGGGAAGCCCATCAGACTAACAGCGGATCTCTCAGCAGAAAATCTACAAGCCAGAAGAGAGTGGGGGCCAATACTCAACATTCTTAAAGAAAAGAATTTTCAACCCAGAATTTCATATCCAGCCAAACTAAGCTTCATAAGTGAAGGAGAAATAAAATACTTCACAGACAAGCAAATGCTGAGAGATTTTGTCACCACCAGGCCTGCCCTACAAGAGCTCCTGAAGGAAGCACTAAACATGGAAAGGAACAACCAGTACCAGCCACTGCAAAATCATGCCAAATTGTAAAGACCATCAAGGCTAGGAAGAAACTGCATCAACTAACAAGCAAAATAACCAGCTAAAATCATAATGACAGGATCAAATTCACACATAACAATATTAACTTTAAATGTAAATGGACTAAACGCTCCAATTAAAAGACACAGACTGGCAAGTTGGATAAAGAGTCAAGACCCATCAGTGTGCTGTATTCAGGAAACCCATCTCACGAGCAGAGACACACATAGGCTCAAAATAAAAGGATGGAGGAAGATCTACCAAGCAAATTGAAAACAAAAAAGGGCAGGGGTTGCAATCCTAGTCTCGGATAAAACAGACTTTAAACCAACAAAGATCAAAAGAGACAAAGAAGGCCATTACATAATGGTAAAGGGATCAATTCAACAAGAAGAGCTAACTATCCTAAATATATATGCACCCAATACAGGAGCACCAAGATTCATAAAGAAAGTCCTGAGTGACCTACAAAGAGACTTAGACTCCCACACAATAACAATGGGAGACTTTAACACTCCACTGTCAACATTAGACAGATCAACGAGACAGAAAGTTAACAAGGATATCCAGGAATTGAACTCAGCTCTGCACCAAGCGGACCTAATAGACATCTATAGAACTCTCCACCCTAAATCAACAGAATATACATTTTTTTCAGCACCACACCACACCTATTCCAAAATTGACCACATACTGGGAAGTAAGGCTCTCCTCAGCAAATGTAAAAGATCAAAAATCATAACAAACTGTCTCTCAGACCACAGTGCAATCAAACTAGAACTCAGGAATAAGAAACTCACTCAAAACCACTCAACTACATGGAAACTGAACAACCTGCTCCTGAATGACTACTGGGTACATAACGAAATGAAGGCAGAAATAAAGATGTTCTTTGAAACCACCGAGAACAAAGACACAACATACCAGAATCTCTGGGACACATTCAAAGCAGTGTGTAGAGGGAAATTTATAGCACTAAATGCCCACAAGAGAAAGCAGGAAAGATCCAAAATTGACACCCTAACATCACAATTAAAATAACTAGAAAAACAAGAGCAAACACATTCGAAAGCTAGCAGAAGGCAAGAAATAACTAAAATCAGAGCAGAACTGAAGGAAATAGAGACACAAAAAACCCTTCAAAAAATTAATGAATCCAGGAGCTGGTTTTTTGAAAGGATCAATAAAATTGATAGACTGCTAGCAAGACTAATAAAGAAGAAGAGAGAGAAGAATCAAATAGCCACAATAAAAAATGATAAAGAGGATATCACCACTGATCCCACAGAAATACAAACTACCATCAGAGAATACTATAAACACCTCTATGCAAATAAACTAGAAAAGCTAGAAGAAATGGATAAATTCCTCGACACATACACCCTCCCAAGACTAAACCAGGAAGAAGTTGAATCTCTGAATAGACCAATAACAGGAGCTGAAATTGTGGCAATAATCAATAGCTTACCAACCAAAAAGAGTCCAGGACCAGATGGATTCACAGCCGAATTCTACCAGAGGTACAAAGAGGAGCTGGTACCATTCCTTCTGAAACTATTCCAATCAATAGAAAAAGGGAATCCTCCGAACTCATTTTATGAGGCCAGCATCATCCTGATACCAAAGCCGGGTAGAGACACAACGAAAAAAGAGAATTTTAGACCAATATCCTTGATGAACATTGATGCAAAAATCCTTAATAAAATACTGGCAAACTGAATCCAGCAGCACATCAAAAAGCGTATCCACCATGATCAAGTGGGCTTCATCCCTAGGATGCAAGGCTGGTTCAATATATGCAAATCAATAAATGTAATCCAGCATATAAACAGAACCAAAGACAAAAACCACATGATTATCTCAATAGAAGCAGAAAAGGCCTTTGACAAAATTCAACAACCCTTCATGCTAAAAGCTCTCAACAAATTAGGTATTGATGGGACGTATCTCAAAATAATAAGAGCTATCTATGACAAACCCACAGCCAATATCATACTGAATGGGCAAAAACTGGAAGCATTCCCTTTGAAAACTGGCACAAGACAGGGATGCCCTCTCTCCCCACTCCTATTCAACATACTGTTGGAAGTTCTGGCCAGGGCAATTAGGCAGGAGAAGGAAATAAAGGGTATTCAATTAGGAAAAGAGGAAGTCAAATTGTCCCTGTTTGCAGATGACATGATTGTATATCTAGAAAACCCCATTGTCTCAGCCCAAAATCTCCTCAAGCTGACAAGCAACTTCAGCAAAGTCTCAGGATAGAAAATCAATGTACAAAAATCACAAGCATTCTTATACACCAATAGCAGACAAACAGAGAGCCAAATCATGAGTGAACTCCCATTCACAATTGCTTCAAAGAGAATAAAATACCTAGGAATCCAACTTTCAAGGGACGTGAAGGACCTCTTCAAGGAGAACTACAAACCACTGCTCAATGAAATAAAAGAGGATACAAACAAATGGAAGAACATTCCATGCTCATGGGTAGGAAGAATCAATATCATGAAAATGGCCATACTGCTCAAGGTAATTTATAGATTCAATGCCATCCCCATCAAGCTACCAATGCCTTTCTTCACAGAATTGGAAAAAACTACTTTAAAGTTCATATGGAACCAAAAATGAGCCCACATCGCCAAGTCAATCCTAAGCCAAAAGAACAAAGCTGGAGGCATCACACTACCTGACTTCAAACTATACTACAAGGCTACAGTAACCAAAACAGTATGGTACTGGTACCAAAACAGAGATATAGATCAATGGAACAGAACAGAGCCCTCAGAAATAATGCCACATATCTACAACTATCTGATCCTTGACAAACCTGAGAAAAACAAGCAATGGGGAAAGGATTCCCTATTTAATAAATGGTGCTGGGAAAACTGGCTAGCCATATGTAGAAAGCTGAAACTGGATCCGTTCCTTACACCTTATACAAAAATTAATTCAAGATGGATTAAAGTCTTAAACGTTAGACCTAAAACCATAAAAACCCTAGAAGAAAACCTAGGCATTACCATTCAGGACATAGGCATGGGCAAGGACTTCATGTCTAAAACACCAAAAGCAATGGCAACAAAAGCCAAAATTGACAAATGGGATCTAATTAAACTAAAGAGCTTCTGCACAGCCAAAGAAACTACCATCAGAGTGAATAGGCAACCTACAGAATGGGAGGAAATTTTCACAACCTACTCATCTGACAAAGGGCTAATATCCAGAATCTACAATGAACTCAACAAAATTTACAAGAAGAAAACAAACAACCCCATCAAAAAGTGGGCAAAGGACATGAACAGACACTCCTCAAAAGAAGACATTTATGCAGCCAAAAAACACATGAAAAAATGCTCACCATCACTGGCCATTAGAGAAATGCAAATCAAAACCACAATGAGATACCATCTCACACCAGTTAGAATGGTGATCATTAAAAAGTCAGGAAACAACAGGTGCTGGAGAGGATGTGGAGAAATAGGAACACTTTTACACTGTTGGTGGGACTGTAAACTAGTTCAACCATTGTGGAAGTCAGTGTGGCGATTCCTCAGGGATCTAGAACTAGAAATACCATTTGACCCAGCCATCCCATTACTGGGTATATACCCAAAGGACTATAAATCATGCTGCTATAAAGACACATGCACACGTATGTTTATTGCGGCACTATTCACAATAGCAAAGACTTGGAACCAAGCCAAATGTCCAACAATAATAGACTGGATTAAGAAAATGTGGCACATATACACCATGGAATACTATGCAGCCATAAAAAATGATGAGTTCATGTCCTTTGTAGGGACATGGATGAAATTGGAAATCATCATTCTCAGCAAACTATCACAAGAACAAAAAACCAAACACCGCATACTCTCACTCCTAGGTGGGAATTGAACAATGAGAACACATGGATACAGGAAGGGGACCATCACACTCTGGGGACTGTTGTGGGGTGGGGGGAGGGGGGAGGGATAGCATTAGGAGATACACCTAATGCTAAATGACGAGTTAATGGGTGCAGCACACCAGCATGGCACATGTATACATATGTAACTAACCTGCACATTGGGCACATGTACCCTAAAACTTAAAGTATAATAATAATAAAATAAAATAAAAAAAGAGAGAGAGAGAGATAAAGGACATTTTTAATGGGCCAAGGATTGAACATAGAACTTCTTTCCTTAGTCAAAATTAATTTGGGGGAAAAACACAACATCAATGCTCTAAACCCTTTTGATAATTAAAAACAAAGTATTCTTCCTTGTTTACTTTATTCAGAGCATGGGCTGGTTATCACACACTTTTGCCAATATGTAACTTGACAGTTTCACTTTTCTACCTGAACAACTTGAGAATCTAATGATCATTTGAATTCTTCCTTTTCCTAGAAGAAATGTGATCTCTGTATTTGAATACCTAAGCCTGTCACTTTTGAAGATGAAAAATTGAAAGTAATCAAAATCAAATAAAACAAGGTAACAAGATAAATTTTTCAAATAGGATAAATATTCTTAAACGTCTATACTTCAATTCTATTAACATTTTGCTAAGAATATACTTGTGCCTATGTATAGCAAAAAGTATTAATCTTATTCATGCATGAATTTTGATTTTCCTAAAAAATACAAGCTATTATCTACTTGAGCAGCTGGAATATAAAATTATTAGTAACTTTCTCTTTGCTTAGAAACTTAAGGACAGGGACTGTTTATGGTAGGTAATGATAAAGTTGTTTACTTTGGAAAGTTACATTTGTAATTCTCTCATATTTGAATATTCTTGTAAAGTGTCTTAGGTATGCACTTTACAATAATTAATTTCATTGTTTCATCTATCACCATAAATGACTCTTCCTGATGTCAACCTAGATTCATCACAGGCTGTAAGAGGTTAATTTCTTTACTGAAAACCCACCATAAATATTACTGATCTGTGTGTATATTCTCTGTAGATAGAGGTAAACAAAATGAGCTAGATTTTCCATAGAATCACTTTATATATAGGACTAAGAAAATATATTTTAGAGGCTAGGCAGCAAGCTGGAAAGAATAGAGCTAGTATTTCATTAATCCCCTTAGTCTACTGAATAATAATACTAATACTAGTAATAATACCAGCTTATTAATCATTCACTATATAGCAGAAAACCAGTGCTAAGTATTTTGTACATTATCTCAGTTATTCCATGCAGCTCTATGAAACAGATGGCATTATTATTCCCATTTACTGATGAGAATCTGACTTTACAGAAAATAAATTAAGTTGCTCTGCATACCTTGACATTAAATTTAGGTTTGTCTGACTCCTAAACCAGTTTTCTCATATATATGTGTAGTGGAGGCATTATCAGAGAAGAAAACACAACAATGATGCAATTTGTTTATCTTTTTTTTGTGAGCAAGATTGCCAGGTAAGTCAGAGTTAATTTGCAAGTAGGATGCCAGGGGATGGGACAAATATTGATAAAGAAATGGAAATTCCTGGAAAATACAAAATAACCAGTGAATAGAGGGCTATTCCTTATCTAGTGGTAGACAGAATAGAGCCTCAACACACACACACACACATACACAACACACACACATACACAACACACACACATACACAACACACACACATATATACATATGTGTGTATATATGTGTGTGTGTGTGTGTGTGCATGTGTGTGTGTATGTGTGTGTGTGTGTGTGTGTGTGTGTATCTATATATAGAGAGAGAGACAGAGAGAAATCTTTATAAGGGTAGGGGATATTAGACCTTCAAGAGTCATTGAGGGTAGCCTCTCAGAAGGGTAGTTGTAGGTGGCAGACTGCATAAAAGTTATGAGAGAGAAAATGTTTTCTAAAGATGGGGATGGGGTGGTGGGAAGAGTTACTGTGAAGAAAAGGTAGGATACTGGTTTGTCAGGGTTCTCCAGAGAAACAGAACCCATTGGAGATATATTAGAGAGGGAAAGGAAGAGGGAGAGATTTATTATAAGGAATTGGCTCACATGATTATGGAGGCTGAAAAGTCCCAAGATCTGCAGTCAGCAAGCTGGAGACCTAGAAGAGCACATAATGTAATTTGAGTCTGGCAGGCTCAAGATCCCAGAATAGCTAATGACTGGGTTTGAGTCTGAAGGCAGAAAAAACCCAATGTTCCACCTGGAAGGCTGTCAGGTAGGAAGAGTTTCCTCTTATTAGAAGGAGGGTCAATCTTCTTGTTCTATTCAGGTGTTAGGGTGATTGGATGAGTCCTACCCACATTAAGAAGGGCAATCAGCTTTACTTAGTCTACTGATTCAAATGTTAATTGCACCTCCAAACACACTCACGGACAAACCCAAAGTAATATTTGAATGAATGTCTGGGTGCCCCATAAGTCAGTCAAGATGACACATAAAATTAATGAACACACTGGCTATACTGATTACAGTTCATTAAAATGATGGTTTTTAGAAATAATCCTCTTAAAACAACAGTTTCAGGAAGGACATAGTTATGTGGGAAATTTGAAACAGTTGGCTGATAGACTTTAACATAATGGGCTCAAGCATGGCACGATGTTAAGGCCGTGACATTAAATATCTCCCCCAAAGAATTACTGCAACAGAGCTATGTATAATAACAACTGAGTGGTAGGTGTACTAGAGTAGTATAGGTAGCATACTCCTTAAGTTTTGCTTCCAGGAAAAAGCCTTTCTCCCACCTCCATCTCCTTCACTCCAGTACTACTTAAGCAATTGACAGGAAAAAAAATTACCTAAAATATCACAGAAGTTAGAAATTTCTGTGATGATTCTGAAGGGAAGGCCTATAAGGAAATGAGAAGTCTCATTAAAAGAAGTATTACCAGCTACAGTGTTACATGTTTAGCCCAATTTCCTGTTTAGTGGTCTCTAAGATAAAGTAAAAATGCAAATAATAACTTTTTTTAGGAAGAAACACAGATCCTCACACAAGACTGATAAAATGAACAAAGGCTAAGAATAATAGGAGATTGGTGGAAAAAATAAAAGATAGAATAAAATAAGGACTTTGATATGTTTTGGATCTGTGTCCCTGACCAAATCTCACATTGAATTGTAATCCCCAATTTTGGAGGTGGAGCCTGGTGGGAGGTGATTGAATCACGTGTGCGGTTTCTAATGAATGGTTTAACACCATCACACTGGGTACTGTTCTCCTGAAGGTGAGTGAGTTCTCATAAGACCTGGTTGTTTAAAAATGTGTAGCACCTCCCCTAACCTCTTCTTCCTGCTATGGCCATGTGAAGTTCTGGCTCATCCTTTGCCTTCCATCATGATTGTAAGTTTCTTGAGGCTTCCTCAGAAGCTGAACAGATGGCCAGCATCATGCTGCTGTAAGGCTGGCGGAACCATGAGCTAATTAAACCCCTTTTCTTTATAAATTACCCAGTCTCAGGTAGTTCTTTATAGCAATGTGAGAATGAACTAATGCAGAAAGTTGGTACCAAGGAGAGGGTCTTTGCTATAAAGATACCTGAAAATGTGGAAGCAGCTTTGGAACTGGACAACAAGCAGAGGTTGGAAGAGTGTGGAGAGCTTACAAGAAGACAGGAAGATGAGGGAAGGTTTGGAACTTCCTAGAGACTTGTTAAATTGTTGTGACCAGGCCAGGCATGGTGGCTCACACCTGTAATCCCAGCACTTTGGGAGGCTGAGGCAGGTGGATCACTTTAGGTCAGGAGTTCAAGACCAGCCTGGCCAACATTGTGAAACCTGGTCTCTGCTAAAAATACAAAAGTTAGCCAGGTGCAGTGGTGCATGCCTGTAATCCCAACTGCTCGGGAGGCTGAGGCATAAGAATCGCTTGAACCCAGGAGGCGGAGGTTGCAGTGAGCCGAGATTGCACCACTGCGCCACTACACTCCAAACCTGGGTGACAAAGCGAGACTCTATCTCAAAAAAAAAAAATGTTGTGATCAAAATGCTGATAGTGATACGGACAATGAAGACCAGGCTGAGGAGGTCTCAGATGGAAATGAGAAACATATTGGCAATTGGAGCAGAGGTCACTAGTGTTATGCACTGGCAAAGAGGTTGGCTGTATTATGCCCCTGCCGTAGGAATCTGTGAAACTTTGAACTTAAGAGTGATGATTTAGGGTATCTGGCAGGAGAAATTTCTAAGCAGCAAAGCATTCAAGATGTGCCATGGCTGCTTCTAACAACGTATGCTCATATACGTGGGCAAAGAAATGACCTGAAACTGGAAATTATATTTAAAAGGGAAGCCGAGCATTGATGTTTGGAAAATTTGCAGCTGGATATGTGGTAGAAAAGAAAAACCCATTTCCTGGTGAGGAATTCAAGCCAGCTGCAGAAATTTGCATAAGTAAAGGGGAGCCAAAGGTCATTAGCCAGGACAATGGGGAGGCATCAAAGGCATTTCAGAGACAATCATGGTAGCCCTTCCCATTATAAACCTAGAGGCCTAGGCAAGAAAAATAGTTTCACAGATGTGGGACACTGCTCCTCACATCCCAGCTGCTCCAGTTTGAGCTGTGGCTCAAACAGGCTCAGGTATAGCTTGGGCCGCTGCCCCAGGGGGTGCAAGCTGCAAGCCTTGGTGGCTTCCATGTGGTGGTAAGCCTGAAGGTGAACAGAGTGCTGAGGCTTAGGAGCCTCTACCTAGATTTCAGAGGATGCAAGGAGAAGCCTGGATTTCCAAGCAGAAGCCTGTTGCAGGAGCAGAGCCCTCATGAAGAACCTCTACTAGGGTAGTGCAGAATAAATATGTGGGGTTGGGGCCCCTACACAGAGTCCCCACTGGGGCACTGTTTAGTGGAGCAGTGAGAACAGTGCCATTATTCTCCAGACCCCAGAATAGTAGATCCACCAGCAGTTACACCGTGCACCTGGAAAAGCTGCAGGCTCTCCACACTAGCCCATGAAAGCAGTTGTGGGGGCTGAACCCTGCAAATTCACAGGGGAGGAGCTGCTCGAGACTTTGGGAGCTCACCTCTTGCACCAATGTGTTCCAGATTTGGGACATGGAGTCAAAGGAGATTATTTGGCAGCTTTATGGTTTAATGATTACTCTGCTGGGTTTTAGATTTGTGTAGGGCCTGTAGCCCCTTTCTTTTGCCTGATTTCTGCCTTTTGGAATGGGAGTATTTACCCAATGCCCTATACCTCTATTGTATCTTGGAAGTAACTAACTCATTTTTTATTTTGCAGGCTCATAGGTAGAAGGGACTAGACTTTTCTCAGATGAAACTTTGGATTTCGCACTTTTAAGTTAATACTGCAACGATTTTAGACTTTGGGGAACTGTTGGGAAGGC
This sequence comes from Homo sapiens, assembly GCF_000001405.40. Classification (NCBI taxonomy): domain Eukaryota; kingdom Metazoa; phylum Chordata; class Mammalia; order Primates; family Hominidae; genus Homo; species Homo sapiens. Next base: position 93,638,667 of record NC_000023.11, read on the forward strand.
AAAATTGTATTTTGAAATGTGAGAAGGACGTGAGGTTTGGAAGGGGCCAGGGACAGAATGATTGGCTCTGTGTCCCCACTCAAATCTCATGTTGAATTGTAAACCCCACTGTTGGAGGTGGAACCTGGTGGGAGTTGATTGAATCATGGTGGTGGTTTCTCATGAATGGTTTAACATCATTCTTTTGGGTGTTGTTCTTGTGATGGTGAGTCGTTTCTCATAAGAGCTGATTGTTTAAAAGTGTATAGCACCTCCCTCCTCTCTCTCTTCATTTTGCTGTGGCCACGTAAGATTTGCTTGCATCCCGTTTGGATTCCACCATGATTGAAAGTTTCCTGAGGCCTCTCCAGAAGCCATCATGCTTCCTGTACAACCTATGGAAATGTGAGGTAGTGAAACCTTTTTTTTTTTTAAATAAACTACCCAGTTTCAGGTATTTCTTTAGAGCAGTGCAAAAACAGACTAATATAGATTTTACGAAAAGAAAAACCGAGTTCAAGAAAAGTGAAAGGCAGTCAAATTATAAGTTAAACATATGGCCAAGAGCCATTCATTTATCATTATTTTGCAATTCAACTATTAAAAGAGAGTAAGAATGAAACAGCAAACTTGCCATTTCTTTATTTAAGGAATGCTTTATTCACAGAATTATACATTTTCACGTTATACATATATATATGTCTGTGTGTGTGTGTGTGTTGGAAAAGGTTGAACAAGTAAATCTTTATCTGTGCTACACCAATGCACAAAGGAAAACCAGCATTATATAAATAGTAATTTAGTGTAAGTTTGTTACTGGAACAATTAGTTTTAAAAGTTAATTAGCTTTATACAAAGAGAAAAAGTCTATAGAGACCCAAAACATCAATAAAGTAAATAAACAATTCATTTTTAAAATAGAATTGCAAGCTGTAAATGAAAATTAGAAAATAATTCAATTTATAATACTATCAAGAAGAATAAAATACTTAGGAATAAATTTAACCAAGGAGGTATGATACATGTATGGCGAACTGCAAAACATTCCTAAAAAATTATAGAAATCCTAGATAAATGTAAAAGCCTTCCACATTTATGGAATAGACAAATTAGTATTGTTAATATGGCAATACTCCCCATATTGATATGGAAAGTCAATGAAATTCCTGTCAAATTTCCAGGTTGCTTTTTGCTCTTTTTTTTTTTTTTTTTTTTTTAACAGAAATTGACATGCAGATCCTAAAATTCACAGTGAAATTAAAGAAAACCAGAATAGCCAACATAAGAACGAAAGTTGGAGCACTCACAAGTTATTACTTCAAAACTTACTACAAAGCTACAGTAATCAAAACTGTGTGGTACTAGCATGAAGAAGGACATATGAATCAATGGAAGGAAATTGAGAGTCTAGTCTAAATAAAAGAAAAAAATGTTAAAGGCAGCTAGAGAGAAAGGCCAGGTTATCTACAAAGGGTAGCTCTTTGTATCCCATGTTCTCCAGCTGACAGAGGTTTCAGTACTCCCTGGAGCAAAGCTCTCAGGGAGATGAGCGGGATGCCATCTTTGCTGTTTGGGCTACAGTGAACCTCTCAGCATCATTTCTATATGCTGACAGTGAACACTCTGGAAAAGGAAATAAATCCCATTTACAGTAGTCACACATAAAATTAAACTCTAAGGGGTTACCTTAACCAAAAAAGTGAAAAGTCTCCATAACAAAAATCATAAAATAGTTATAAAATAAATTGCAGATAACACAAAAAATGGGAAGATATACAATGCTCCTGGATTGAAAGTATCAACATGGTTAAAATGTCAATAATACCCAAAGCAATTTACAGTTTCAAAGCAATCCCTATCAAAATACCAACAGTTTTCACAGAAATAGAAAAAAAAATCCTAAAACTTTTATGGAACTACAAAATAAATAGCCAAAGCTATGCTATGCACAAAGAACAAAAGTGGAGGAATTATATTACCTGACTTCAAATTATACTACAGAGCTGTAGTAATCAAAATATCATGGTACTGACATGAAAACAGACACATAGACCAATGAAACAGAATAGAAAACCCAGAAATAAATCCACACACCTACAGTAAACTCATTTTTGACAAAGATGCCAAGAACATACACTGGGGATAAGATGGTCTCTTAAATAAATGATGCTGGGAAAAGTGAATATCCCTATGCAGAAGAAAGAAACTAGATCCCACCTATCACCATATACAAAAGTAAAATAAAGATAGATTAAAAACTTAAATCTAAGACATCAAACTACAAAATTACTAGACAAAAACATTAGGGAAAATTCCTAGGACATTGGTCTAGGCAGAAATTTCTTGAGCTTTACCCCACAAGCGCAGGCAACTATAATAAAAATAGACAAATGGGATCACATCAAGTTAAAAAGCTTCTGCACAGCAAAGAATACAATCAACAAAATGAAGAGATAACAAGAGTAAATAACAAAATGAAGAGATAACAAGAGTAAAAAAAAATGGAAAACTACCCATCTGGCAAGAGATTAATAACCAAAATATATATTAATAAGAAGCTCAAGCAACTCTGTAGAAAACAGTCTAATAATCCAATAAAAAATGAGCAAAAGGTTTTAATGGACATTTCTCAAAAAAAGACATACAAATGGCAACAGGCATATAAAAAGGTGCTCAACATTACTGATTATTAGACAAATGCAAATCAAAACTACAATGTGATATCACCTCACGCCAATTAAAATGACTTATATCCAAAAGACAGAGAATAACAAATGCTGGTGAGGATGTGGAGAAAAAGAAACCCATATATGCTGTTGGTGAGAATGTAATGTAAGTTAGTACAATGGAGGTTCTGGAAAAAAAAAAAAAAAAAAAAAAAAAAAAAACTAAACATTGAGCTACCACATGACTCCACAATCCTACTGCTGGGTATATACCCAAAGGAAAGGAAATCAGTATATTAAAGGGATATCTGCACTCCTATGTTTGTTGCAGTACTATTTACAATAGCCAAAATTTGGAAGCAAACTCAATGTCCATCAACTGATGAACGGATAAAGAAAATGTGGTACATATACTCAATGTAGTACTATTCAGATATGTATAAAAAAAATGAGACCCAGTAACTTGCAACAACATGCAGAATATTGGAGATCATTATATTAAGTGAAATAATGCAGACACAGAAAAACAAACATCAGATGTTCTCACTTGTTTGTGAGATCTTAAAATCAAAACAATTAAACTCATGGACATAGATAGTAGAAAGATGGTTATCAGAGGCTTTGAAGGTTAGTGGTGGGGGGGCTACAAGGGGAGGTGGGGATGGTTAGTGGGTACAAAAATATAGACAGAACAAATAAAACCTACTATTTGATAGCATAGTAAGATGATTACAGTCAATTGTGACTTAATTGTACTTAATTTAAAATAACTTTAAAAGTATAATTGGATTGTAACTCAAAGGATAAATGCTTGAGAGGATGGATACCTCATTACGTATAATGTGCTTATTTCACATGACATGCCCGTGTCAAAACACCTCATTTATCCCAGAAATACATACCCCTACTCTGTACCCAAAAAATTAAAAAATAAATAAATAAAAATTTAAAAAGAAAGATAAGTATATAAATAATAAATAAAATTTAGAAAAAAAAGAAAGTAAAAAACAGTCAACAAAACAGAAAATTTTTGCAAATAATATACCTAATAAAGGGACTTGTATGCAGAATATACAAAGTCTTACAACTCACCAGTAAAAAGACAAATAAATAGTTGGCAACAAATCTGAATAGACATTTCATCAAAGATATTAAAATTATCTATAAGCATGTGAAAAGATGCTTAATATTATTAGTCATCAGGGACATACAAATCAAAACCACAATGAGATACCACTTTACATTCACTAGGATGACGGTAATAAAAAGGACAGAAAATAGTCAAATTACTGTAATTAGCGTATCCATTACCTCAAACATTTATCATTTCCTAGTGATAGATGAATGTTCTTTGAACATTCAAAATCCTCTCTAACTCATTACATATTGTATACATGTATCAAAACATCACCCTGTACCTCAAAAATATGTACAATTACCTGTCAATTAAAAATAAAATAACACTTTGTAAAAAGACAAAAAATAACAGGTGTTACTAAGAATGTCATGAAATTAGAATCTTCATACGTTGCTAGTGGAAATGTAAAATGGTGCTGCTGCTTTGGAAAACAGTCTGACACTTCCTCAAAAGGGCAAACATAAAGTTATCATGTGACCCAGCAATCCCATTCCTGGGTGTATTTATATTCAAGAAAAATAAAAACATATGTCTGAATGAATGTTCATAATAGCATTATTCATAAGACCCCAAAAATTGAAACAACCCAAATATCATTAGTTGGTGAATGGATAAACAAATCATGGTATATAAATGAAATGGAATATAATTTAGCCATTTAAAGGTGTAAAGAATTGATACATGCTATGATACAGATAAACCTTGGAAACATACTAAATGAAAGAAGCCAGTCACAAAAGGTCATATGTTATATGACTCAATTTCTATGAAATGTCCAGAATAGGCAAATCTATAGAAACAGAAGGAAGATAAGTGGTTGTCTAGGGTTTGGGGCCAAGGAGAAGGAATTTGGAGAAAATGGGGTGTGACTGCTAATGGATAAAGGATTTCTAAACAGGGTAATGAAAATTTTGATTGTGATCATTGAACCACTCTGCAAATATACTAAAAATTATTTAATGTATACTTAAAAGTAAACTGTAATGTTTATTAATTATCTCTCAAAGAAGTCACCATTTTCAGAAGGATCAAATTGCAAAATAATTAAATAATTACTTTTGGAGGTTGGAGAAGGGTGAGAAGTTCTTGATTTCTTTTATATATGATATTGTGGAAAGGAATAAGGGAGAAATAGAGAGGAGAAGGGTGATTCCTTTTACTTTAGTATTATTTAAAATATAAAGTCATAGCCTTGTCTCAGGGATTTACCAAGTATAAAAAATATATCCAATTACTGACAAAAGAACTTGATGTCTTAGAGTGAAGAATGTATAAAAAGTTATGAACTATGTTCAACATCAAAATTTATTCTACTTTGATATCTATGCTTGGGATGTTTGCATTGTTTCGGGCTTTGTAGTGAGTGTACTGCTGCTAATTTATTTTGAATCTTTAAAAAGACATAGCAGTCTCTTTTGGATGGTCAATTCCTCAGCTTGGATTTTAAAAACCAGATTAATTTTATTAATAAACTTATTTTATCCAATTTAGAAGTAAAAACAATCCCCTTGCCTGAGACTTCCAATTAAATTTTACAGATTACAGTACACTTAACTATGCAAAACACGCTGTAGAAAAGCAATAGCAAGCAAAAGTTGACTTCACAATTTGTCCAAAAAGTCAAAAGCAAGAAAGAACGTGAAAAAAAATTAAGATAGAGAAGAGTGATGGTAGACAAAACAAGGAGAAAGTAGAACACTAGAGAAAGTGAGAGATACACACTGAAACAAGGAGACAGGAAGAGACATAAAAAGAGGCAACTGTAAAGATAGTCTAGGCCCTGTATTTCAAAATCCTTTTTTTGGTTTACAGAAGGAAATGCACTTATTCTATGTATATCTGAATAATACAGACTGAGAAATACATAGTATAATTGTTTCATCTGGAACATCATGGCTAGATACCCTGTGGCAAGGGTGAAGTTTCTGCTGAAGGAAATGCTGGCTTTTGTTTTTCAATTTTCCTTTTTTTATTTTAATTTTTATTTTTAGTTCTGGGGAACATGTGCAGGATGTGCAGGTTTGTTACGTAGATAAATGTGTACAATGGTGATTTGCTGTACCTATCAACCCATGACCTGGGTATTAAGCCCAACATGAATTAGCTATTTTTCTTATTGTTCTCCCTCCTCTCACCACAACCCCCAACAGGGCTCAGTGTGTGTTGTTCCCTTCCCTGAGTCCATGTGTTCTCATTGATCAGCTTTCACTTATAAGCGAGAACATGCAGTGTTTGGTTTTCTGTTCCTGCATTAGCTTGCTGAGGATAATGGCTTCCAGATTCATTCATGTCCCTAAAAAGGACATGATCTCACTCCTTTTATGGCTTCATAGTATTTCATACTGTGTATGTACCACATTTTTTTTTATCCTGTCTATCGTTGATCAGCATTTGGGTTGATTCCATGTCTTTGCTATTGTGTATAGTGCTGCAATGAACATACACATGCATGTATCTTTGTAATAGAATAATTTACATTACTTTGGGTATATACCCAGTAATGGGATTGCTAGGTCAAATAGTACTTCTGGGTCTAGATCTTTGAGGAATCACCACACTGTCTTTCACAATGGTTGAACTAATTTGCATTCTCACCAACAGTGTAAAAGCATTCCTATTTCTCTGCAAGCTCGCCAACATCTGTTGTTTCTTGATTTTTTAATAACTGCCATTCTGACTGGTGTGAGATGGTATCTCACTGTGGTTTTTGACTTGCATTTCTTTAATGATCAATGATGTTGAGCTTTTTTCATACGTTTGTTGGCAGGATGAATGTCTTCTTTTGAAAAGTGTCTGTTCATGTCCTTTGCCCACTTTTTAATAGGGTTGTTTGTTCTTGTAAATTTGTTTCAGTTCCTTGGGGATTCTGGATATTAGCCTTTGTCAGATGGATAGATTGCAAAAATTTTCCCCCACTCTGTGAGTTGTCTGTTTTCTCTGATAGTTTATTTTGCTGTGCAGAAGTTCATTAGTTTAATTAGATCCCATTTGTCAATTTTTGCTTTCGTTGCAATTGCTTTTGGCAATTTCATCATAAAATCTTTGCCCATGACTTTGTCCAGAACGGTGTTGCCTAGATTTTCTTCTAGGGTTTTTATACTTTGGGGTTTTACATTTAAATCTTTAATCCATCTTGAGTTAATTTTTGCATAAGGTGTGAGGAAGGGGTTCAGTTTCAATTTTCTGCATATGGCTAGCCAGTTTTCCCAGCACCATTCGTTAAATAGGGAATGCTTTCCCCATTGCTTGTTTTTGTCAGGTTTGTCAAAGATCAGATGGTTGCAGATATGCAGTCTTATTTCTGAGTTCTCTGTTCTGTTCTATTGCTTTTGTGTCCATTCTGGTACCAGTACCATGTTGTTTTGGTTATTGTAGCCTTATAGTATAGTTCGAAGTCTGGTAGCATGATGCCTCCAGCTTTGTTCTTTTTGCTTAGGATTATCTTGGCTATATGAGCTCTTTTTTGGTTCCATATGAATTTTAAAATTTTTTTTCTAATTTTGTGAAGAATGGCCATGGTAGTTTAATGGGAATAGCATCGAATATATAAATTACTTTAGGGAGTATGGCCATTTCAACAATATTGATTCTTCCTATCCATGAGCATTGAACATTTTTCCATTTGTTTGTGTCCTCTCTATTTCCCTTGAGCAGTGGTTTGTAGTACTCCTTGAAAAGGTCCTTTACTTCCCTTGTTAACTGTATTCCTAGGTATTTTCTCTTTGTAACAATTGTGAATGGAAGTTCATTCATGGTTTGGCTCTTTGCTTGCTTGTGTTAGTATATAGGAATGCTTGTTACTTCTGCTCATTGATTTTGTATCCTGAGACTTTGCTGAAGTTGCTTATCAGCTTAAGGAGATTTTGGGCTGAGACAATGGGGTTTTCTAAATATACAATCATGTCATCTGAAAACAGGGACAATTTGACTTCCTCTCTTCCTATTTGAATACCTTTTTAAATTTCTCTTGCCTGATTGCCCTGGCCAGAACTTCCAATACTATGCTGAATAGGAGTGGTGAGAGAGGATATCCTTGTCTTGTGCTGGGTTTCAAGGTGAATGCTTACAGCATTTGCCCATTCAGTATGACTTTGGCTGTGGGTTTGTCATAAATGGCTCCTGTTATTTTGATGTATGTCCCTTTAATACCTAGTTTATTAAGAGATTTTAACAAAAAGAGATGCTGAATTTTATCAAAGGCCTTTTGTGCTTATATTGAGAAAATTATGTAGTTTTTGTCTTTAGATCTGTTTATATGATGAATTACGTTTATTGATTTGTGTATGTTGAACCAGCCTTGCATCCTGGGAATGAAGCCAAGTTGATCTTGGTGGATAAACTTTTTCATGTGCTGTTGTGTTTGGTTTTCCAGTATTTTATTGAGAATTTTTGCATTGATATTCATCAGGGATATTGGTCTTAAGTTTTCTTTTTGTTGTTGCTGTTGTATCTCTGCAAGGTTTGGGTATCAGGATGATGCTGGACTCATAGAATGAGTTAGGGAGAAATCCCTACTTTTCAATTGTTTGGAATAGTTTCAAATGAAACGTATCAGCTCCTCTTTGTATTTCTGGTAGAATTCAGCTTGATGTTGCATAAGCATTTGATAAAATTCAACATCGCTTTGTAATAAAATCCTTCAAAAACTGGAGATAGAAGGAACATATCTCAACATCATATAAGCTATATACAACAGACCCAAAGCTAGTATCATACTGAATGGGAAAAAATACTGAAAGCCTTCATACTAAAATCCACAACACAACATGGATGCCCACTTTCACCACTGTTATTCAATATTGTATTGGAAGTTCTAGCTAGAGACAAGAGAAAGAAATAAATAGCATCCAAATGGGAAAGAAAAAATGAAATCATTTTTATTTGCAGACAATGTGATCTTATATTTGGATAAGTCTTAAAAATCCATCAAAAAAGCTCTTAAAATTGGTAAATTCAGGATAGTTGCAGGACACAAGATCAACATAAAAAATCAGTCGCATTTCTATATGTCAACAGCAAACAATCTAAAAAAAATCAAGAAAGTAATCCCTTATACAAGAGCTACAAGGAAAATAACATACCTAAGAATTAACTTATTCAATTAAGTGAAATATCTCTACAAAGAAAACTGTAAAACATTGATGCAAGAAATTGAGAAGGACACAAAACAATGAAAAGATATTCCAAGTTCATGGGTTGGAAGAATCAATATTGTTAAAATGTCCATACTACCTAAAGGAATCTACAAATTTAATGCAATCTCTATCAAAACACCAAAGACATTTTTCACAAAAGTAGAAAAACAGACCTAAAATTAACACAGAACCACAAAAGACCCAGGATAGTCATAGTCATAGCTATCCTGATAGAAGAAAAAAACTGGAGGAATTGCATTACACTATTTCAAATTGTACTACAGAGCTATAGTAACCAAAATGGTATGGTGCCAGCATGAAAACAGACACATAGACCAATGCAAAAGAATAGAGAACCCAAAAACAAATCCACACATCTGCAGTGAACTCATTTTTGACAAAGATGCCAAGAAGACATATTGAGGAAAAAAAAAAACAGTGTCTTCAATAAATGGTGCTGGAAAAAATGGATATTCATATGCAGAAAAATGAAACTAGACCCCTATCTATCACTACACACAAAAATCAAACCAATATGAACTAAAGACTTAAATACAAGGCCTCAAAATATGAAACTACTGAAAGAAAACATTGGGAAACTCTCCAGGTCATTGGAATGGGCAAATATTTTTTGAGTAATACAGCACAAACAAGCAATTGAAGCAAAAATGGACAAATGGTATCACATAAAGTTAAAAAGCTCCTGCACAGCAAAGAAAACAACAAAGTGAAGAGACAACCAAGAGAATGGGTGAAAATATCTGCAAATGATCCATCTGACAAGGAATTAATATCAAGAATATATGAAGAACTCAACACTATAGAGAAAAAACTAATAATCTAATTTTTAAAATGGCAAAAGATCTGAGAAGACATTTCTTAAAAGAAGACATATGATATGGTTTGCATCTGTGTCCCCAAAAAATCTCATGTGAATTGGTAATCCTCAATATTTGAGATGGGGCCTAGGGGGAGGTGACTGAATCTTGGGGGTGGATCTTTCATGAATGGCTTACTGCCATTTCCTTGGTGCTGTTCTTATGATAGAGTTCTCATGAGATCTGGCTGTTTGAAAGTGTGTAGCACATCCCCCACCTCCTTAATCCTACCCTGGTCATATGTCTGTGTTCTCCCTTCTGCCATAATGGTAAGTTTCCTGAGGCCTCCCCAGAAGTTGAGCAGATGCTGGCATTATACTTTCTGTGGAACCATGAGACAATTAAACACATTTTCTTTATAAATTACCCAGTCTCAGGTATTTCTGTATAGCAGTGGAAGAACAGACTAATATAGGTAATTAACAGGGCATTGATATAAAGATACCGGAAAATGTGGAAGCAGTACATGTGGGTAACAGGCAGAGGGCAGAACAGTTTGCAGGCCTCAGTAAAAGACAGGAAGATGAGGGAAGGTTTGAAACTTCCTAGAGACTGGTTGAATGATTATGACCCAAATGGTGATGGTGATATGGGCAGTGAAGGCCAGGCTGAGGAGGTCTCAGATCGAAAAGAGGAATCTATTGGGAATTGAAGCAATGGTCACTTTTGTAATGCTTAGCAAAGAGATTCACTGCACTGTGTCCCTGCTCTAAGGATCCGTGGAATTTTGAACTTTTAAGTGATAATATAGGGTATCTGGTAGAAGAAATTTCTAAGCTGCAAACTGCACAAGAAGTAACCTGGCTGCTTCTAGTGGCCTATGCTATATTTTTGAGCAAATAAATGATCTGAAATTGAAACATATTTAAAAAGGAAGCAGAGCATAAAAATTCAGAATATTTGAAACCTGGCCATGTAATAGAAAGGAAAAACCAATTTTCAGGGGAGGAATTCAAGAAGGCTGCAGAGATTTGCATAAGTAAAAAGGAGGCAAGTGCTAATAGCCAAGACAATGGGGAAAAGGCCTGGAAGGTATTTCAGAGACCTTTGCAGCAGCCCCTCCCATCAGAGACCAGGAGGCCTGAAAGGAAAGAATGGTTTCAGGAGCCAGGCTCAGGGAACCATTGTTCTGTGCAGCCTAGGGACATTGTTCCCCATATCCCAGTTGCTCTAGCTCTAGCTGTGGCTCAAAGGGGCCCAGGTACATCTCAGGCTGCTGCTTCAGAGAGTGAAAGCCATAAGCCTTGGTGGCTTCCATGTGGTGTTAAGCCAGCGGGTGCAGAGTGAAAGAATAGAGGCTTGGATGTCTTTGCCTAGATTTCAGAGGATGTAAGAAAAATCCTGGATGTCTAGGCAGGAGCCTGCTTTGGGAAAGGGGCCCTCATGGGGAAACTCTATTAGGGAAATGTGAAGGAAAAACGTGGGGTTTGAGCACCTACTTAAGTCCCTACTGGGGCACTCCCTAGTGTAGCTGTAGGAAGAGGGCCACCCTCCTCCAGCCTCCAGAATGTTACATCCACTGGCTTGCAACGTGTGCCTGGAAAAGCTGAAGCCACTGAACACCAGCCCATGAGAGCCACTTCAGGGGCCGAACCACTGTGGCTAGGATGTTAGACATGGAGTCAAATAAGACTATTTTGAAGCTTTAAGATTTAGTTACTGCCCTGCTGGATTTTGGATTTGAATGGGACCTGTTGCTCCTTTTTTTTCGGGGGGGGGTGCGTTATTTCTCCGTTTTGGAATGGGAATAATTACCCAATGCTTGTACCCCCATTGCAACACATTTTTGATTTTCCAGGCTCATAGGCAGCAGGGACTAGTCTTGTCTCAGATGAGACTTTGAACTTTGTACTTTTGATTTAATGTTGAAATGAGTTAAGACTTCAGGGGATTATTAAGAAGGGATAATTATATTTTGCAATTTAAAAAGGACATGAGATTTTAGGGTCCAGGGGAGAAATCATAAGGTTTAGATCTGTGTCCCCACCCAAATATCATGTCCAAATGTAATCCCCAATATTGAAGGTGGGGCCTTGGCTCAGGTGATTGAATCATAGGGTGGATCTTTCATGAATGGCTTAGCACCATTTCCTTGGTGCTGTTCTCATGATAGAGTTCTCATGAGATCTGGTTGTTTGAAAGTGTGTAGCACCTCCCCGCAACTTGCTCCTACTGTGGCCATGTGATGTCTGTGCTCTATCTTCACCTTCTGCCACAATTGTAAGATTCCTGAGGCCTCCCCAGAAGCCAAGCAGATGTCAGCATCATGCTTCCTGTACATCTTGTGAAACTATGGGTCAATTAAACCTCTTTTCTTCATAAATTACCCAGTCTCAGATGATTCCTTATAGCAGTTCAAGAATGGACTAATAGAACATACAAATGGCAAACAGATATATGAAAAGGTGCTCAATATCAGAGACATGCAAATCAAAACTACAATGAGATATTATCTCATCTCAGCTAATGTGGCTATTATCCAAAAGGCAGGATATAACAAATGCTGGCAAGGATGTGGAGAAAAGGAAACTCTAATACACTGTTGGTGAGAATGTACTTTAGTACAATAACTATGGAGAATAGTTTTAGTTTGCTCAAAAAACTAAAAATAGAGCTAACATATTATCCAGCAATCCCACTGCTAGGTATGTATGCAAAAGAAGGAAATCACTATATCCAAAAGATATGTGCACTCTCATGTTTATTACAGCACTATTTACAATAGCTCAGATTTGGAAGCAACCTAAATGTCTATCAGCAGAAGAATGGATAAAGAAAGTGTGGTACATATACACAACGGAGTACTATTCAGCCATAAAAAGAATGAGATCCTGTCATTTGCAACAACTTAGAGAGAAGTAGAGGTCATTATGTTAAGTGAAATAAGCCAGGCAGAGAAAGACAAACTTTGCATGTTCTCACTTACTTGTGGGGGGTAAACATTAGAACAATAGAACTCATGATAGAGAGTAAAACAAAAGGGAAGGGTTTTGAGGTGGGGCAGGTAGTGGGAATGGTTAATGGGTACAAAAATATGGATAAGATCCCCCATTTGGTAGCACAACAGGGTGACTGCAGTCAACAATGATTTAAAGAGTATAATCGGATTGTTTGTAACACAAAGAAAGAGTAAATGCTTTAGGTGATCAACATCCCATTTACTCTGATGTGATTATTACGCATTGTATGCCTGTATCAAAACATTTTATGTACCTCATATATTAATATACCTATTATGTATGCACAAAAACTTAAAAAAAGAACTGAAAAGTGAGAAGCAGACATACTTTTCGACCATAAAACCAGACCCTCTCTGCTGTTTCTCAGAAATAATTGGAAAAGGAAACTAGGTTGTGATTAGGCTACCTGGTCAGATAGTTAGGTTACTTGGGGAAAGGAATGCTAAGACTAGTTATTACGGTATTAAAGGGAAAATTAACCATTGAAGTTCAGAGATGTTGGAAAATCTTTGTTCTTTAGTAACAGTTAATTATTCAAAAAATGGAATGAGAAAGAAGCATGGTTTTGTGAACCTCCTGCTAACTAGCTCTTCTGTGACTTTGGATAGGATTTAGATGCAAAGAGCCCAAGATTTCTCACCTATACAATGAGGAAATAGGTAATCGTTAACATTCTGTTAGTGTCAGCATTGCTAAAATAAATATTTGTTCTTAAGATGACCATTCTGAAAGGAACAACTCCTGTGTGTATGCTTTAATACATTTTTAAAAAATGCAATTCTAATGTTGCATAGCTCAAATATGTGCCTATATAGCATTTGCACAATTTTGTATGTTTCTTTTACTTTAGCTGCACATAATTTTCTCCTTGACCCATATATATCCACCATAATTCTAACATGTTTCTTTTTCTCCCACTTTGTTTTCTTTTGATCACAACTGTAAGTTCTGATCATGATATCAAATTTGAAATGCCAAAAATTATGAATATAAATTACTCCAAACCCTGGGACATATAGATAAACAGTATCTACATTTTTGTGTATTACACGTAACATATATACAGTCATGCAACACATAAAGATGTTTCAGTCAATGATGGCACACATATAAATGGTGGACCCATAAAATCATAATGGAGCTGAAAAATTCCTATCACTTAGTGAAGTCATAGCCATCCCAACATTGTAGCATGACACATTACTCATCTGTTTGTAACCTGTTTGCTGGTGTAAACGAACCTACTGCACTTCCAGTTGTAGAAAAGTACAGCACATACAATTATATACAGTACATAATACTTGACTATAATAATTAATGACTGCTACTGGTTTGCATACTTACTATACTTCCTATCATTATTTTAGAATTTATTGCTCCCACTTATTAAAAATAACTATAAAACAGCCTCAGGCATGTCCTTCAGGAAGTATTGTCATAGGAGATAACAGCTCCATGTATAGTATTGTCTCTGAAGACCTTCCAGTGGGACAAGATGTGGAGGTGGACGACAGTGATATTGATGACCCTGACCCTGTGTAGCCGAGGCTAATGTATGTGTTTGTATCATAGTTTTTAACAAAAACACTTTAAAAAGTAAAAAATGAAAATAAAACATTTAAAAATAGAAAATGCTTAAAGAATAATGATGTAAAGACAATAATTTTGTCTACTGTGCAATGTATTTGTGTTTTTACCTAAGTGTTATTATGAGTGAAAATATTTTTAAAAATTAAAAATTTATAAAGTCAACAGTTACAGTAAGCTAAGGTTAATCTACTATTGAAGAAAGAAAAGTATTTTTTATAAATTTAGTGTAGCCTAATTGTACAGTATTTATAAAGTCTACAGGAATGTACAGTAATGTCCTAGGCCCTCACATTAACTCACTAAGCACTCACTGACTCACCCAGAGTGACTTCCCATTCTGCAAGCTCCATTGACGTTAAGTGTCCCACACAAGTGTACCATGTTGCAATCTGTTATGCTGTATTTTCCTCTACCTTTTTTGTGTTTTGACATATGTAAATACATAACTACCTGTTATTTTATTACAATTGCCTACAGTATTCAGTACAGTAACATGCTGTATAGGTTTGTAGCCTAGTAGCAATGGACTATACCATATATCCTAGGTGTGTAGAAGACTATACCATCTAGATTTGTGTAAGTATACTCTATGATGTTCACAGAACAACAAAATCATCTAACACTACATAGTATCCCTGTTTTTAAGCATACATACATATATTTCCATATTCTGTGACATTTTTCATTAAACAATTTATCCTAGGTATCTTTCAGTGTCATTATAGATCTACATTATTACTTTAAATGGTCTTCAAATTATTCAACCTTATAAATAAACCGTAACTTATAAACTGAGTTTTCTATTGCTGGACATTTACATTGTTTTCAATATTTCAATATTATAAGCAATACTGAAATGAACAGTATTAAAATCGTTTTTTCTTCACTATTATTTCCTTAGGACAAATTCCTTGAACATTTGTTGGTTCAAAGAGTATGCACATTTTTCAGGTTTTCGTTAAGTATCATCAAACAGTACTCCAGCTATGTGTACTGTTTTACCCTTCCACTTGCAGTATTTGACAGTGCATCATCATTTTAATTTTTTTTTTATTACTAGGACAGGTAATTTTTAAAATTTTTTCTGAATTGCCTATTCCTTTCTTTTACAAGTAGTTTTATATTTATACTTTGTTTTACAAATGGTGTTAGTATGGTCTTTACTTGCAAATATCAAAACAGATCCTGAAATTGAATGAGGAATGTAACTCAGTCTCTTTTACCTTTCTTTAGATATAAGTTACCATTAGGAAAACTATCACAAAGCAAGTTGCAAGATACAGAAGACAGGCCAAGTAAAGAAACTTAAACATCAAGAAATTTTGATATATTTTGTAAAAAGTGCCTAATATATTTTTGCTGGATAGAAATACACAAACACTTTGTGTGAGCTACATTTAATATCAAATATGTGATTCTGCTCCAAAAAATAACTATTCTCTTTTTGCATATAAATACTACTATAATTAAAGTTTGCCAATAGCATTTGTGATCTCGTTTCCTCATAAAAATATCTTGAAATAAAAATCATACTGCTGGGTTAATACTTCTTCAAACCTGTACCTTAATACACGCATTTGTTTTGTTGGTTCTTGTAAAGTTACTTCATCAGTAATAATTATACATGAAGAAATAGTTACACTATCTCAACAAACCTAATTGCAACCTTTGAAAAGACTCATTTCTAAAACTGTTGTTCAGAAAATCAACCAGAGATTTCTCTATGCTAGAGAAATTTTCTGAAGGCTTTCCCATGTACTGCTTAGAGATTGTTCCTTTAGTATACATTGAAATAAGTCAGGTTTTATTTTTCTAAAGCTTCATCATCTAGGCAGATTTTTTTAAATAGCCATGTTCTTTCTCTAGGACTTCAGACTACTTAAATACTACTTAAATACACAGAAGAATTTCAATTAATTGGCAACCTGCTGACACAATTATTACGCTGTGAAAACACATTTCTTCCAATATTTACAGTTATATTACATTTGTTGAAATGCTTTCTTTGTACCCTGAACCCAGGAAAAAAAATTAACAAAATAATAAATAGATGTGATTTATTTTTCCTCGTCCATTTTTTTCATTTGCCTTTCAATGTAAAGACTGCAGAATTATATTAAAACTTGAATTACACCTAACTTATTCTAAGTAGTGCATCCTATTTCCAGAGTCCTTGTTTTCTATTAGACTAAAGAAACTGTTTTTTTTAATGCAAGCCAGGCTGGTGTGAGTTAATACCAATTCCAGGAGGTCAACATTATAATATTTGGCCTGAAGTTGTAAATAGTGGTAATAGTTTAAGGAAAATATTTTGAGAAAGACCTCTACTTTCCTCAAATGTCATTTCTCACCGGGTACAGTGCAAATGTTTTAAATAGGTGCCATTTGGTATGTCATCCATTGCCTTTCACCTTTTGTATTCTCTTAAACTTCTACAAGCAATGAAAAGAGAACCCTAGGACACTGTTGGTGGGAATGTAACTTAGTACAACCACTATGGAGAACAGGTTGGATATTTGTCAAAAAACTAAAAATAAAGCTACTATACAATCCAGCAATCCCACTGCTACATATATATCCAAAAGAAAGGAAATCAGTATATCAAAAAAATATCTGCATGCCCATACTTACTGCAGCACTATTTACAATAGCCCAGATTTGGACACAACCTAAGTGTCCACCAACAGATGAATGGAAAAATAAAATGTGGTACATATATACAATGAAGTACTATTCAGTCGTTAAAAAGAATGAGACCCTGTTATTTGCAACAACATGGGTGGAACTGCAGGTCGTTATGTTAATAAGGTGAAGTAAAAGACGAACTTCATAAGTTCTCAATGATTCGTGAAAGCTAAACATTAAAACAATTGAACCCATGGAAATAGAGAATAGAAGGATGATTACCAGTGGCTGGGAAGGGTCATGGAGGGGCGCAGGAGAGTAAGGATAATTAATGGGTACAAAAATAGATAAAATGAATAAAATCTAGTATTTGATAGCACAACAGGGTGACTACAGTCAACAATAATTTATTATAAATTAAAAAAATAAAGGATTATTATTAAACTCTTTGTAGCACAAAGGATAAATACTTGAGGTGTTCAATACTCCTTTTACACTGAGGTGATCATTATGCATTGCATGCCTGTGTCAAAGCATCTCATGTATCCCATAAATATATACACCTCCTATGTTCCAACAAAAATTAAAAATTAAAAAAAGGCAGTGATTTTGCCCCAGAGAAATGGATTTCCTGATAAAAATATATTTTTTCAAAACCAATTCAATAAATTACTGACTGGTCTCTGCATCCCCTATTAATACCCTGGCCAAAACTAAAAGAGGTTTTGAGGAAAGCATTCCAAACTGGAAATAGTTTTTAAATTCCTGTCTTATAGTTTCACTGGTGTTATCAATGAAATATAAACATAGAAATGGGGGTCTAGGGTTCTAGAAAGGGTCCCATTATATTCAACATTACTAAAGAAAAAAGTGTATATCCTAGACTTTCACAGGCAACAGATTATGTAGAGTACTGGCCCTTTGGAGGAACAGATAAAAATTCAAAGTGACATTGAAAGAGTAAAGATGTAGTGATGATATAAAAAGGTAAGTGTTTACCAGAAATCAATTGAGAGCTATTGATTCAGGGAGAAAAAAACAAGAAAGGGCAGGAATAATTACATGACATACATGAAAGGTATGTTTCACGCATTTCATGAAAGATGTATACATGAAAGGATCTTTTTCTCTTGAAGCCAGCCTGGGTGAATTAATACCAATTTTAACATCTTTAGTTTCATGACATTTTGCCTGGAGTCCCAAGTAAAACTCACTTATTGTAATTGTGGCACTAATAATAGTAATTATTATTTGAATGTTTACTGTGTGCCAAACACTATGCTAAGTGTTTGAAAAATAGTATGTCATTTAAGTCTTACAATAACTCCATGAAATAGTCATTTAACAGTTCCATTTTATAATTATGATCAATGAGGATTAGAGAGTTAAGTGACTTGCTTAAGGTCACACAGCCAATAAGTGACAAAATTGAAAAGCAGTACAAAGTGTCTACAATGCCCAATTCTCTTACATTTCCCTTTGGGCTCTCCTCAAGGATGCTAAGGAGCCAATTGCTTTACCAGCTTCTTTTCCCTTCTTACATCTATTGATTTAAAGGCTGTCTATTGCTGCTAACTATAAGAAAACAGATGGGTAATAATAAAATATAACAAGTTGGAAAGCTAAAAGAAATCTTCAAGGGTAATGTATTACCCTGCATTTAATTGAAATATAAATTTACTAAGCCCATCTTCATCATATTCCTGGGTATGATGGATGTGAACTGCAGGCTAACCCCTACCCAATGGTCTCCCTAAGCTATAAATCTTGACAAAGTTACCCAGACATGAGCTACAAGTAGATTCAGTGGAGTACCACTACTAGATAAGATGAAATTCTTAATTTTCCTCTTTAGATGAGCACCTCAACCCCTTGCCTTCAGTTTGTACTTATTTCTTCTTGGCTGCTTTCCTTGGCCCTATCTAGTCCTGAGTATGGACAAGGAAGGCACTTTTCTAAGTGGTATAGCATGGTGAAGAGGTGGTATTACATAGCAGTTAAGAACAGGAACTCTAGCCAGACTGCCAAGTTTAAAGCCTGGCTTTGCCACTTACCAGTTGTGTAAGCTTGGGAAAATTACTTAATCTGTACATACCTGGTGTACTGTAAACACTATATAACCATTTGTTCTTGATAGTATTAAACTTTCATGCATTACAAAGGAAGACCTTGTAATTCCTTTTTTTTTTTTTTTTTTTTTTTTTTGTCCCTACGGGCAGTTCTGGCCACTGGCAGTGCTACTACTCCCTTCCCACCTAGTTTTATTTCCTATTGAGTGGTCACAGATTAGTGGTTAACACAATGGGATATACCACTTAGCAATTAAAAAAAACAACATCAACCTATTGATACAGGTACAACTTGGATGAATCTCAGGATTATTATGCTGAATGAAAACAGGACAATTTCAAAAGGTTACTTACTGTATAATTCCATTTATATAACCATCTATATTATTTTATCATTTAAATAATAAGAACAAATCAGTGGTAGTCAGGAATCAGAGAAAGTACGAGCTTAGTATAAGGGTGTATCTTTGTGGTAATGAAAAAGTTCTGAACCTTGGTTGTAGTGGTAGTTACACAAATCCATATATGTGATAAAATTGCTTAGAAATACACTCACACACACACGCACACACGAGTGCATGTAAAATCTAGTGCAATCTGAATAAGGTCTGTAGATTGTACCGATGTTAAAATATTTCCTGGTTCGGGTATTGCACTATAGTTGTGTAAAATGTTACCATTAGGGGCAGCTGGGTGAAGGGTACACAGGACCATTCTGTTCTATATTTGCAACTGTTTATAAGTATTTAATTGTCTCAAAATAAAAAGTTAAGAAAAACTAGTGATTAAGAATGCTTTTACTTGTGGGTAAACCTGGGCTAATTTACCTATTTGGCCAAAGTCAGTATTCACCAAGCTAGTATTTCTGGAACAATACTTAGTTAGGAGAGTGGTTGATAGTTGTGCTGCAGAGAAAGTTTTCTGAGATCAATACAGTTAGAGGATACTACATACTTCCAACTTGAGATTCCCCTCAATGTTGCTCTATGATTGTCAATCTTGGCTGTGCATCAGAATCATCTGAATAAAAAATAAAAGAATAAAGGATCTTCAATGAATCAAAGAAATAGCCACAACCCTACACTACACATTGAAAATAATATCTTCCTGTTGCAGTGAAATTTGGACCAAAGCAATGCAGGAATCTGAGTTAATGTCTGCTTCCATAGATTTCAGGCAGGGTGTAGATTCTCTTAAGTGTTCAAGCCCTGATGATGTGATTCAGGGCTGTGTCACACAGTGAAAACAACAGGAATGACCCCTTAGGAAAACAGTCCTATAACACAGAAGGGGAGCTAGAGGAAAGGGGAAATTATACCGAAATATCATCTTCATTTTCTGAGATCCTCCAGAGGAAATAGGCAACACACAGTTACACAGATGTTGGCCAGTGAGTCGAAAACAAATTAACTAAACAAGATCACATTGAACACCTCTAACTCAAGGCATTTCACAGAGTCACGCTGACCTGAAGCTCATTCCACAGATTGATTGCAATGAGCTGTGGAATGAGCTTCCTCTCCTAAATTAAGAGGAAAAATAACCTCAGCGGAAGACGTGACAATTTAGAGTGAGATGATAGTGAGACAAACCTGAATTAAAGCTTCTGAGATGCCCAAGTTCATTTCCTCCCACCTCTTCACATACTGCACTTCAGCAAACAGTTACTTCCATTCAAAGCTGAAAAAAAGGACACAACGCCTAATCATAGATGATTTAAAAGTAACCAGCAAAACAGCATAGACAAAAGACAATCAATTGGAGGAAAAAGTAAAAACAAGTTTTTGAAAATGATTCAGACGTTATTTAACAAATAAACTTCAAAATTCTATTGAATGATATAAAAAAGACAATTAAATGGAAAAACACACCTTGACCTTGGATAAGAAGACTGAATAATATGAAGTTCCTGATTCTCTGTAAGTTGGTCTATAAATTCAAAACATGCCAATCTAAATATCAGTAGGTTTTGATGGGAGAGGGAGTTGAAAAAAAGTGATACTGCAGATCATGTGGGGAAAAAATAGGTGAAAATATCCAAGAAAATCTTAAAAACTAGTTTTATAAGAAATTATTCTTACTAGATATTAAAATGTATATAAACAAATTTATGTTATAAGATTAACATATATAGTATAAGATTTATACTGCCACAAGAATAACACCTCTGAATAGGAGTACAAAAATAGGCCCAAACGCATACAATAATAAATTAGATAATAAAGGCAGCAATTAATTATATTGGATATTCAATATTTAATAAATGGTGTTGAAAAAACTGGTTAGTTGTGTTGAGAGAAAAAAAAAGTGGTGTAGCTATCTTGATCTTTACGTCAAAATTATTCCAAAAAGTTTAAGGCTTTAAATAGGACTATAAGAGTATTAGAAGAAACATAAGTAATTTTAAACAATGATCTTGGTGCAGAAAGATTTTTCTAACCAAAATACCTCAATTCCATAATGTGAAAAAAGATAACTATGACCATTAAAACTTCTGTAGGGAAAAATATAAAAACAAGTGAAAAAAGTAATGTTTGTAACACATGCAACATTTTTTCTTAATTTGGTGCTTAAAATTACTAATCACATATAAAAAGATGCCTATATCCAAAATGACATTATAAGGAACTGATGAAATAAATTATAGGACATCCATTTGATGTACATTATATAACATATACGTGCTTTGAAACATCACACTGCACCCCATAAATATGTATAATTACTGTCCAGATCGAAGATGGCTGAGTAGGAACAGCTCCCTTCTGCAGCTCCTAGCGAGATCAACGCAGAAGGCGGGTGATTTCTGCATTTCCAACTGAGGTACTCAGCTCATCTCACTGGGACTGGTTACACAGTGGGTGCAGCCCACAGAGGGTGAGCAGAAGCAGGGTGAGGCATTGCCTCACCTAGAAAGCACAAGGGGTCAGGGAACTCCCTCCCCTAGACCATGAGGAATGGTGCATTCCAGCCCAGACACTACGCTTTTCCCGCGGTCTTCACAGTCCACAGACCAGGAGATTTCCTCCGGTGCCCATGCCACCAGGGCCCTGGGTTTCAAGCACAAAAGTGGGCGGCCATTTGGGCAGACACCAAGCTAGCTGCAGTTTTTTTTCATGCCCCAGTGGTGCCTGGAATGCCCGCGAGACAGAACTGTTCACTCTCCTGGACAGGGGCCTGAAGCCAGGGAGCCAAGTGGTCTAGTTCAGTGGATCCTACCCCCATGGAGCCCAGCAAACTAAGATCCACTGGCTTGACATTCTTGCTGCCAGCACAGCAGTCTAAAGTCTACCTGGGAAGCTCGAGCTTGGTTAAGGGAGGGGGGTCCACCATTACTAAGGCTTGAGTAGGCAGTTTTCCCCCCACAGGGTAAACAAAGCCACTGGCAAGTTCGAACTTGGTGGAGCCCACCAGAGCTCAGCAAAGCGGCTGTAGCCAGACTGCCTCTTTAAATTCCTCCTCTCTGGCCAGGGCATCTCTGAAAGAAAGGCAGTAGCCCCACTCAGGGGCTTATAGATAAAACTCCCATCTCCCTGGGACAGAGCACCTGGGGGAAGGGGCGGCTGTAGGTGCAGCTTCAGCAGACTTAAACTTTCCTGCCTACCAGCTCTGAAGGCAGCAGTGGATCTCCCAGCTGAGCGATCGAGCTCTGCTAAGGGACAGACTGCCTTCTCAAGTGGGTCCCTGACCCCAGTGCCTCCTATGGGGAGACACCTCCCAGCAGGGGTCGAGAGACACCTCACACAGGAGAGCTCTGACTGGCATCTGGCAGGTGCCTCTCTGGGACAAAGATTCCAGAGGAAGGAACAGGCAGCAATCTTTGCTGCTCTACAGCCTCTGCTGGTGATACCCAGGCAAACAGAGTCTGGAGTGGACCTCCAGCAAAATCCAGCAGACCTGCAGCAGAGGGGCCTAACTATTAGGAGGAAAACTAGCAAAGAGAAAGAAACAGCATCACCATCAACAAAAAGGACATTCAAAGAGAAACCCCATCCAAAGGTCACCAACATCAAAGACCAAAAATAGATAAATCCACGAAGATGAAGAAAAACCAGTGCAAAAAGGCTGAAAACTCCAAAAACCAGAATGCACTCCTTGCTGGCAAGGGAACAAAACTGGATGTAGAATGAGTATGACGAATTGACAGAAGTAGGCTTCAGAAGGTGGGTAATAACAAACACTTCCGAGCTAAAGAAGCATGTTCTAACCCAATGTAAGGAAGCTAAGAACCTTGAAAAAATGTTAGAGGAATTGCTAACTAGAGTTGTCAGTTTAGAGAAGAATATAAATGACCTGATGGAGCTGAAAAACACAGCACGAGAACTTCGTGAAGCATACACAAGTATCAATAGCCTAATCGATCAAGCAGAAGAAAGGATATCAGAGACTGAAGATCAACTTAATGAAATAAAGCATGAAAACAAGATCAAAGAAAAAGGAATGAAAAGGAATGAACAAAGCCTCCAAGAAATATGGGACTATGTGAAAGACCAAACCTACGTTTGATTGATGTACCTGAAATTGACAGGGAGAATAGAACCAAGTTGGAAAATACTCTTCGAGATATTATCCAGCAGAACTTCCCCAACCTAGCAAGACAGGCCAACGTTCAAATTCAGGAAATACAGAGAACACCACAAAGATACTCCTCAAGAAGAACAACCCCAAGACATATAATCATCAGATTCACCAAGGTTGAAATGAAGGAAAAAATATTAAGGGCAGCTGGAGAATAAGGTCGGGTTACCCACAAAGGGAAACCCATCAGACTAACAGCAGATCTCTCTGCAGAAACCCTACAAGCCAGAAGAGAATGGGGGCTGATATTCAACATTCTTAAAGAAAATAATTTTCAGCCCAGAATTTCATATCCAGCCAAAATAAGCTTCATAAGCAAGGGAGAAATAACATCCTTTACGGACAAGCAAATGCTGAGAGATTTTTGTCAAATTGGATAAAGAGCCAAGACCCATCGGTGTGTTGTATTCTGGAGACCCATCTCACGTGCAAAGACAAACATAGGCCGAAAATAAAGGGATGGAGGAATATTTACCAAGCAAATGGAAAGCAAAAAAAAAAAAAAAAAAAAAAAAAAAGCAGGGATTGCAATCCTAGTCTCTGATAAGACAGGCTTTAAACCAACAAAGATCAAACAAGACAAAGTAGGGCATTACATAATGGTAAAGGGATCAATGCAACAAGAAAAGCTAACTATCCTAAAGATATATGAACCCAATACAGGAGCACCCAGATTCATAAAGCAAGTTCTTAGAGACCTACAAAGACGCTTAGACTACCACACAATAATAGTGGGAGACTTTAACAACCCACTGTCAATATTAGACAGATCAATGAGACAGAAAATTAACAAGGTTATTCAGGACTTGAAATCACCTCTGGACCAAACAGACCTAATAGACATCTACAGAACTCTCCACCCCAAATCAATAGAATATACATTCTTCTCAGCACCATATCACACTTATTCTAAAATTGACCACATAATTGGAAGTAAAACACTCCTCAACAAATGCAAAACAACGGAAATCATCCTCAGACCACAGTGCAATCGAATTAGAACTCAGGATTAAGAAACTCACTCAAAACCGCACGACTACACGGAAACTGAACAACCTGCTCCTGAATGACTACTGGGTAAATAATGAAATTAAGGCAGAAATAAAGATGTTCTTTGAAACCAATGAGAACAAAGACACAATGTACCAGAATCTCAGGGGCACAGCTACAGCACTGTTTAGAGGGAAATTTATAGCACTAAATGCCCACAGGAGAAAGCAAGAAAGATCTAAAATCGACACGCTAACATCACTATTAAAAGAACTAGAGAAGCAAGAGCAAACAAATTCAAAAGCTAGCAGAAGACAAGAAATAACTAAGATCAAAGCAGAACTGAAGGAGATAGAGACATGAAAAACCCTTCAAAATATCAATGAATCCAGGAGCTTGTTTTTTGAAAAGATTAATAAAATAGATAGACCGCTAGCCAGACTAATAAAGAAGAAAAAAGAGAAGAATCATGCGGACCCACAAAAAATGAAAAAGGGGGATATCACCACTGATACCACAGAAATAGAAACTACCATCAGAGAATACTGTAAACAGCTCTATGCAAATAAACTAGAAAATCTAGAAGAAATGGATAAATTCTTGGACACATACACCCTCCCAGACTAAACCAGGAAGAAGTTGAATTCCTGAATAGATCAAAAACAAGTTCTGAAATTGAGGCAGTAATTAATAGCCTACCAACCAAAAAAAGCCCAGGACCAGACAGATTCATAGTCAAATTCTGCCAGATGTACAAAAAAGGAGCTGGTATCATTCCTTCTGAAACTATCCCAAACAATAGAAAAACAAGGACTCCTCCCTAACTAAATTTATGAGGCCAACATCATCCTGATACCAAAACCTGGCAGAGACACAACAAAAAAAGAAAATTTCAGGCCAATATCCCTGATGAACACCAATGCGAAAATCCTCAATAAAATACTGGCAAACTGAATCCAGCAGTACATCAAAAAGCTTATGCACCACCATCAAGTCAGCTTCATCCCTGGGATGCAAGGCTAGTTCAACATACACAAATCAATAAATGTAATCCATCACATAAACAGAACCAATGACAAAAACCACATGATCATCTTAATAGATGCAGAAAAAGGCTTCGATAAAATTCAACACCACTTCACGCTAAAAACTCAATTATGTAGGTATTGATGGAACGTGTCTCAAAATAATAAGAGCTATTTATGAGAAACCCACAGCCAACATAATACTGAATGGGCAAAAGCTGGAAGCATTCCCTTTGAAAACCGGCACAAGACAAGGATGCCCTCTGTCACCACTCCTATTCAACATAGTATTGGAAGTTCTGGCCAGGGCAGTAAGGCAAGAGAAAGAAATAAAGGTATTCAAATAGAAAGAGAGGAAGTCATGTTGTCTCTGTTTGCAGATGACATGATCATATATTTAGAAAACCACATTGTCTGAGCCTAAGTCTCCTTAAGCTGATAAGCCACTTCAGCAAAGTCTCAGGATACAAAATCAATGTGCAAACATCACAAGCATTCCCAGACACCAATAATAGACAAACAGAGGGCTAAATCATGAGTGAACTCCCATTTACAATTGCTACAAAAAGAATAAAATATCTAGGAATCCAACTTACAAGGGATGTGAAGGACCTCTTCAAGGAGAACTACAAACCACTGCTCAAGGAAATAAGAGAGGACACAAACAAATGGAAAAACATTCGATGCTAATGCATAGGAAGAATCAATATCATGAAAATGGCCATGCTGCCCAAACTAATTTATAGATTCAATGCTATTCCCATCAAGATACCATTGACTTTCTTCATAGAATTAGAAAAATCTACTTTAAATTTCATATGGAACCAAAAAAGAGCCTGTATAGCCAAGACAATCCTAAGCAAAAAGAACAAAGCTGGAGGCATCACGCTACCTGACTTCAAACTATTCTGCAAGGCTACAGTAACCAAAAGAGCTTGGTACTGGTACCTACACAGATATATAGACCAATGGAACAGAATAGAGGCTTCAGAAATAATGCCACACATCTAAAACCACGTGATCTTTGACAAGCTTGACAAAAAACAAGCAATGGGGAAAGGATTCCCTATTTAATAAATGGTGTTGGGAAAACTGGCTAGCCATATACAGAAAACTGTAACTGGACCCCTTCCTTACACTTTATACAAAAATGAATTCAAGATAGATTAAAGACTTAAACATAAGACTTAAACCTTAAAAACCCTATAAGAACACCTAGGCAATATCATTCAGGACCTAGGCATGGACAAAGACTTTATGACTAAAACACCAAAAGCAATGGCAACAAAAGCCAAAACAGACAAATGGGATCTAATCAAGCTAAAGAGTTTCTGTATAGCAAAAGAAACTGTCATCAGCGGGAACAAGCAACCTACAGAATGGGAGAAAATTTTTGCAATCTATCCATCTGACAAAGGGCTAATATCCAGAATCTACAAAGAACTTAAACAAAATTACAAGAAAAAAAAAACCTTCAAAAAGTGGGCAAAGTATATGAACAGACACTTATCAAAATAAGACATTTATGCGGCCAAAAAACATATGAAAAAAAAGGGCATCATCACTGGTCATTAGAGAAATGCAAATCAAAACCACAATGAGATACCATCTGATGCCAGTTAGAATGGTGATCATTAAAAAGTCAGGAAACAACAGATGCTGGAGAGGATGTGGAGAAATAGGAACAACTTTATGCTGTTGGTGGGAGTGTAAATTAGTTCAAGCATTGTGGAAGACAGTGTGGTGATTCCTCAAGGATCTGGAACCAGAAATACCATTTGACCCAGCAATCCTATTACTGGGTATATACCCAAAGGATTATAAATCATTCTACTATAAAGACACATGCACACGTATGTTTATTGCAGCACTGTTCACAATAGCAAAGACTTGGAACCAACCCAAATGCCCACCAATGATAGAGTGGATAAAGAAAATGTGGCACATAAACACCACTGAATACTATGCAGCCATAAAAAAGGATGAGTTCATGTCATTTGCAGGGACATGGATGAAGCTGGAAACCACCATTCTCAGCAAACTAACACAGGAACAGAAAACCAAGCACCACATGTTCTCACTCATAAGTGGGAGCTGAACAATGAGAACACGTGGACACAGGGAGGGGAACATCACACACCAGGACATGTCAGGAGGTGGGGGGCTAGGGGAGAGATAGCATTGGGAGAAATACCTAATGTAGATGATGGGTTGATGGGTGCAACAAACCACCATGGCACGTATATACCTATGTAACAAACCTGCACATTCTGCACATGTATCCCAGAACTTAAAGTATAATTAAAAAAAAATACAAATATAAAAAATGTACAATTATTCCACATCAATTATAAATCCAATACAACTAAAGAGTGAAGATTTACATGCACTGATATAGATAGTACTTCAAAATATAATAAATGAAATATGAAAGGTATAAAATAGTAATTATCATGTTTAAAGACATATACATACTTTCTCATATAAAGTGTCAAATTTCAAATAAAGTTTTAAATTATTTTGTACTTTTCAATATATCTTCCAAATTTTCTACAGTGAACACATTTCATAATCAGAAGATTTAATAAAACAATATAACTTTTAGTAAAGCACAATGCAAAGAAAATATGCTTGATCATCTTCAAACTCAGGTAATTAAGCATAATAATTTAAAAATTACAAATATAATTGAAGAGTAAAAGATGAATGAGAAAGCCACTTGCAAACAGTAACTTTTAATAACACTACTATGGGAAGTAACAGCCTAATTATTATTATATTTTTCTTTATAAATTTGTGTTATGCAAAATTCAAAACTATAAATAATCTAGGATAATTTATATTAATGGATTTCTGAAAATTCTTAGCTCTATGTTGCTTTATTCAAGAGGTAAAATTTTGGAATGTACCATTGCATAATAAATAAGTCTATTTTTACAGCAAATTAATGCAGGTATACCTGGTACAAGGTGACTTAAACCCTTCCTACTTCTGAGCTGGAGGCAAACATACACTTGGATTCATTCTTCAAGTGTATTTTTCCTCAAGTGAATATTAGCTTCACTGAAAATTTCTGATAATTTTTACTGTTGCTCTCTAATAGCTGTATGATAAAAATACATCATAAGAACTAAACTACATAGCAATAAATAAAGATTTTTTAGAGAATTTGTTGTGTTCTTCATCTCAAAGAAAGGTATACTTCTAAGTACTATGTCTTTTAATACTAAAACATTCCACTTTTGACATTTTGAAAATATAATCTACAAAAAACACAAAATGTAAAATTTTAAGTAATGCTTAATTGTGTTGAAATATTATACTGTAGGTTATACACTCTGCTTCTTCAAATCATGTTGTTTTCTGAGTTCAGATATTCAAAGTATTTTCCAGATATTGAAAACTCAGCTTTTCCATCTTATAAATTGTTGGGCCAAGATCTGTCAGCCTTTCAGTTTGCTGTCATCCTAGGCTCCAACAGACTCTTCTGTTTAGTGTAAATCTCATTTCTGAATTAGAAAAGCATGTAACTTAAATCCAGCAATCACACAGTTATAAATGAACCTGACTTTTTTTCTTCATGGGTTCCACTTTCAAGCACTGTATTTCAAGAGAACTAAAGGAAATAAAGCACTGAAGGAAATAAATAGTCTTTGGGAACTTCTTCAGTTTGGGTTGGAGTGTCAGATTTAAAATGTAATTATCTTACTTTTAGAGGGATGTTTTTTATTTTCCTCTGGTCTACGTGACATTCTTTACAGACCTTATTTTCTGAATATTCAAAAAGGAAGGGATCAGGAAATCTCATTTTAACATCAGCTCCTATCTTCTTCAACACCTTAATTTTGAAATATTTTGTTCAAATAAAATATAAATTATAACTTCAAAAAGTCAGCACATGCTCAGTACTTTAAGGAGTTTTTTCCTAAATCATTTTTCTCCTTTCCCATCTTTGCCCCTCCTTTTGTTTCTCAGCTTTACTAGTTAGCTCAGAATCCAGATTCTCCTTATTCAAAACCTCATCACTTTCAGGACATTCACTTTGCAATCTGTAGGTATAATCCCACATCTTCACACATGGGCTGGTGGGCTCAAACACCTTATAAAGTGAAGATATATACCTTTCCCCAGAGCCTGCAATTCCTGATAAAAAATCAGCTTCTATCTTATCGAATCACCCTGAAGCTTTTTAAGGGCAAATGAACTGGCATTGCCAGATAGTATGGCACCTCCAGGCTTGGAGCACTCCAGGCTGCAGAATAGGACATTTGCATCCTTTGACTGTGTTGTCACTTTCTTCGCTCAGCTCGGGTACCTTCCATTACCATTTCAGTAGTCTCTGCTGCTGCTGCTTAGAGATGTCTCTTGTTATCTGAGTCTGCAACATTAAACAAAAAAGACCTAATATTTAGAATGACTAGGTGGATGCTCAGAGCCCAACTCAGGAGGGAAATGAGCTCATTAACAAGGAGGTGGTCTGGACTGCAAAGGAAGATAAAGAGCGGGTGGAGGAGCAGTCTGGAGGAGGAGGTGACCTTTTCCTTGGGCCGGGGGCAGCTGGCCTAGACTTTGAGTCACAGCAACAAGAAACATCAAACCATAAGGAAGGTGCAGAAGATGACCCACTGAACACTTCTCACTATCTCAGCTTCCCTTTAGCTTAGTTCCCAGCGGGCTTCTCCTTCTAACATCATTCATTGTCTGAGCAAGTGTGATGGGCAAACATGAAGCCCAATACATGTGCCAGTCCAATGAGTTTTCTGGCTCTGCCCATCTTTCTTAACATGCAGAGGTGGTTGAAGCATCCACTACCGGCTGATTGCATTTCCAGTATCCCAACTTTACTGATGCATAAATCTTCGGCTCTCTGCAAGCCTGCCCCATCCCTAGATCTAACTTTAAAGTTAAAAAGAACAGTAATAAAACCTTACCGAGAGATAAACTGGGAAAAAATACACCAAACCACAAAAGAGCATATCTTAGTATAGTGTGCTTCTGAGTGATTTTCATCTTCTGCATTTCTGCTTCTATTTTGCAAACATTCTATAATAACATGTATTCCTTTAATATGGAGAACACAGAAAGGGAAGGTGCTAAATACTTTTGCTAAGAGTTCTAAGATGCAAAAAGGATATTGCATCCTATGTAGAAGTTTTAAGGGCTCTGCTCTTTGTGATGTCTGGCAAGTACAGTATATATCCTATTTGGACACCTATGCATCAGGAGCCAGGTACACTATATTTGTTACATTCTTCATTTTGGTTTTGGCATATAAGTAAATCTGCCATATCCATTCTTCGTGGATGCAAAAATCTCAGAAATAAAATAGGCACTGTAAAAACAATGTTATGGGCCAGACGCAGTGGCTCATGCCTGTAATCCCAGCACTTTGGGAGGCCGAGGTGGGCGGATCACCTGAAGTTGGGAGTTCGAGACCAGCCTGACCAATGTGGAGGAACTCTGTCTCTACTAAAAATACAAAATTAGCTGGGTGTGGTGGCACATGCCTGTAATCCCAGCTACTTGGGAGGCTGAGGTAGGAGAATCACTTGAACCCAGGAGGCGGAGGTTGCACTCCAGCCTGGGCAATAAAAGTGAAACTGTCTAAAACAAAACAAAACAAAACAAAACAAAACAAAAAAAAAAAAAACAAAAAACGCTGTGGTATTGCTAAAAACAATAATTTGCTTCCTGATGTTGTGGAAAATCATAAAGCAAACCTAACTATCTGAACACATGTGGTGGGTTAAATATGACATTGGTTTTAATATTTTTACATTATAGAAATTGGGGAGTGACTATTGTTAAGCAGAATAAAAGTGAGATGCTAAACTATATATGGTAGGGTACGGAAGACTATTATAGATCATTTTAGGCCTAGAGAGTCAGAAATTCTAAAATCCTCTCTTACTTCGGCTACAGTTTCCTATGAGATTTTCAAGGGAAACATTTGTGGACTGGGAAATGGCAAATGTGAAATAAGGTACCACTTTATTATATGCTGTGCTTCTTCCTTTATGTCCAGTGCAAAGCTCCCTGGTAAACTGAGTTTAAGTGTGAGAGAACCTCCTCACACTTATCTCAAACCAAAATCTTAGGATCTCTTTGTGACCAGCTGCATGGTGAAGAGATGAGAGCCTGGTATCACTGTAAGAAAAAATGAGTCAAGGTAGTGTGACCTCCTTCCAAGTCAAGGTGAAGGGTGGGTCCATAGCTTGTCTTCTACATAACTGGTGTTGTGAGTGAGGCACTCCTGCTCTCCTTCCCCTCTTCTCTCCAGTTCCCTTTGCCACCGCCCCCCCCCCACATTCCTTCTGCTACCCACCTTCCTCCCTTTCCCTTTTTCACCTCTCTTCTTTCTTCTCCACCCCTCCTTTCTCCCTCCTCCCTTACCCATCCCCATCCCCTTCTACCTTTCCCTTCCTTTCCCTCCATGCCATGTTCCTTTTCCTTGTTCCATTGCTCTCCAAAATCTTGAATGAGTGTCCTCCAACAGAAAAGCTAAGATGTGGGAAATACATCAGAATGTTAATAATAGTTATCTTTTTATTAAATTGTCCTTTTCCTTGTGATCCTCTACTTTCTTCTATGATAAGCATCCCTCTTTTATAGTCAGGAGAAAAGGCTAGATTTTTATAGTATAACACACTTTAATATTTATTTATTTTAGGTTGCAATACAAGAACATGAAAAACAGTATCAAATGAAGTGATCATTTTCAGTGAAAGGGAAGGTAGAACACAATACAAAGAAAACACGGTATCTTTAGTTTACAATTACACAATATAAGATGAAGAAACTTTTTCAAAAATACTATGTTATATTAACACCTCAGTGGTAAACAATAACATCATTATGATTAAATTTATAGGCCACTATATGTCACATACACAAGGTCTCAGTTGAATCAAATGTGGTCTTTTCACATTAGATGTATGCTAATCTTTTTCAAGCAGTCAAACTTCAAAATACACTGTTTTATTTACTATAAGTACTGGATTTCTATAGCAAACTAATGAAGGCACAGCTAGTGCAAGCAGATTTAAACCCTTAGTCTTATGGGCTGGAAAAAAGAAAAAAATAAAACACTTGCATTGGTACTTCATGAACTTTTTTTTTCAAGCAAATATTTGTTTCAGTTAACAATTCTGACAGTTTCACAGCTACAGTCTAACAGAAACATGACCAAAGGACATCACAAAAATCAACACTGTGTAGCACCAAACTAACATGCTTTAGATAATTGACAACAGCTTACATATTTTGAAGAATATTATACTACAACAGCCTAGATAGAATAAACTGGCACTTAGACACTTTTTAGGACTATTTTTAAAATATAGACTACCAAGAAACCACAAAAACTTGACTATAAGGAATAATAGTGTTCAGGTTACAGGTCAGGGTTTTACTTTTTTCAAGGCTGTATGAATCTGCTTCACTTCTTGAGATTTTAAGATTCTTGAAAAATCTTTCAGATTGACTTATTTTCTGTATTTCTTGTTTCCATAATGTTTGCCAAATTGATAGTAGGTACCATTGACTTCTCCAGTATAGTAATAGATTGATTTCAGGATGACATTATCATGTAAAATCTGCCCAATTTCAAAGTCCTCATCCAGGATAGCATCTTCTCGTGGTTCCAGCTTCCCAATCATAGGAATCTCAGGAGGACTAAAGAAGTTGAAGAATGATGCATTAGGAACCACTCTTGGCTGGATTTCAATTTCTCCAGTAGCAGTTGTGCGACTCTGGGTAGTTGTCACAGTAACATCTTTTCCTCTTCTCCAGTCTATCTTGCAGCCTTTGCAATCTTCAATTTCCCATCCCCAAGAAAAGAAGGGATCATTGTGATCTGGTTTTGCCTTTATTATATATGTCTTCACCAGCACCTCATTTCTGAAGTATGGGTTGGGTAGAAAATGAAATTCAAAGGTGTAACTTACAGGCTGGCCAGGTTTTGAGAACTTCAGGCTAACATCCGACAAGAACTTCAGAATGGGCTCATCATACTTCTGAATCATAGGCCCGAGCTTGTCAACATTCTTTAAAACAATCAGCCAATAGTCAGGAATGCCTTTAGGGTCTTCTCTTTTAGGCTTTCCCTTCCTAGCTCTTTTAAGATCTACACTGTCCTGAAGCCTTTCCTCAGGAACTCTTTTATGAGTCTCTCTTACTGCAGCCCTTGCCTTAGCCTCTGTTGCTTTAGGCTGTTCTTTATCATCTGCCTTTACCTGGGGGACTTCTTTAGGATCTTCTTTTACTTCAGGGGTTGCCTCCATACAGTCTTTAGAATCTGCTTTTTCTTCAGCCTTTACCTCAGGAATTTCTTTAGGAACTTCCTTTTCTTCATCCTTCACCTCAGGAATTTCTTTAGGAACTTCCTTCTCTTCAGCTTTCACCTCTGGGTTTTCTTTAGGGTTTTCTTCTTCCTCACCCTCTAAGGGAGGCATTTCACTAGGGGTGTTATCCTGCACCTCCTCATCACTGCTGAACTCCTCATCCTCTGAATTCCATTCACATTCTTCTTCTGTAGGCTCGTATTCTGCATTGATGATTTGAAACCGCCTATCATACAGAGGCTTGTTGAGTTCAGCATATTTTCTTTCAAGATCATGAATTGCTTTTAAGAACAGGGTATCTACCTTGTCACATTCATCTTGAATGTTTCTAAGCGCTTGCACACGATTTCTAACTGCCTGAGGCAGCCTATCCACGAAATTTGTTCCCAACGGGGCCCGCCGCGCCCTTCTGGAAGGCTCAGGTACCCTCTTCTTTCTATACAAGCGGCTGCGGCTGCTAGTGCTGCCGCTGCTGCTGCTGCTGCTGCCGCTGCCGCTGCTGCTGCCACTAGTGCTGCTGCTGCTGCTGCTGTCACTAGTGCTGCTGCTAGAGCTACTGCTGTCAGATTCTTCCCCAGAATCACTAGTCGAGCTAGCCATCTCCTCTTCGGCAACCCCATGGGCGACAGGTTCCGAGACCATTTTAAAATCTGCTTCTGCCATCTTGCAAGCCTACAAACTCTACCAGGGAGACCGCGCGACCAGAGATGGGCAGAAAATGACTCACGGATGCTTGAGTGGCGGCGGCGGAGGCCCGGGCTGCGGAGGTGGCAGCGGCGATGGCAGCAGCGGCGCAGAGCGGAGCTGGAGCTGGGGATGCAGAGGCCGGCGCTGAGGTGGCAGCGGCAGTGGAGGCTTGGGCGACAGCGGTGGCGGCAAGGCCTCTCCCGGCTGCAGCTAGAGTGCCGAGATGTACCGCAGCCGAATGGCGCAGTATGAGACCCCGAGATCTCTTCTCGTTTTAGATCGCGAGCCCCCTCCCCTTGCAGTCAGACCTCCCGTTAATTTCGTTCCCAGTGTGCCTTTAGTTCGCTCCTCATTTGCTGGTCCACCTTAATTGACAAACTGTACGCCCAACGAACGGCCAAACGCCACTACTCCTGGCTCCGCCCACCTTCCCAGACGCCGCTCGCTGGCTGAGGTGCGACCCCTTGGAAGGTGTCCCCCTGCCCCCCAAAAAGTCTATATTTATAGTTTTATAATTAAAAAAGAAAAAAAAGCGTAGACATGAGGTAAAAATACCAGCCATAGTTCCTAACAAGGGCAAAAGAGGCGTGTCTTCCTTCTCCCATCCGCCCACCCTGAATTCCCGTTTAGTTTGTCACGGGTCTCTTGACAAAAAGCTGTAAAAAAAAAAAAAAAAAAAAAAAAAAATTGAATGAAAATGGTCCAAATGGCGTCATTGGGTAGTGTGACTATGGACGATTTAAAAACAAAACGATTTTCTCTAAATATTCTATGAGCATGCATTTTTACACTGGATAAAAAAGGGGAGAGTCGGTTATTGGCAGAGGAGGGAGGGACTAGACAGCAGGCGTATTGCATTCCACGAAGCTGATTTAATAAGTGCTGTCTGTGATGTTTGGCAAGCCTGGTTTATATCCATCTACAAGGTTTGCGAACCCATGTTGCCGTGAGTCAGTTACACCATTTTTATTATATTTCTCTTTTTAGGCTGGCATATTATATACCCCAACCTTGCTGCTAACTTGCCACGTAGCCCTTCTCAATGCTTGTAACAACCTTGTAGATAAAACAAAGAGGTATTAAATGTTAGGTAGTATTGTTAAAAAGCAAATGATTTGCGTTATACTTTTGTGCAGCAGGTTTCAATTCCAAGAACAGTGGGATGGGAGGGGGAATTTGTGCTAATGAATGTGCATCTTCTGTCAGTGTATGCGATGTCATCTGCCACCAATTTCCTTCTAATGTTGTAAAATTCTAGCCATACTATAGTATGATTTACAAGTCCAGTAATATGTGAATAAACTTTTGCAAAATGAAGTTTAAAAACGAGTATTTGTTATTTTTATTTACAGGATTTTTTTTTCTGCTACAGAACAACTCCCTTGGTACAATAAAAAAGACGAGTATTTACTTTTCATTGAAAGGTAAGGATCATATTTAGCACATTTTAAAGAATGACAAAAATTACTCATCTCCATCTGAATAAAAGTTTACAGGATACAGTCATTTAAAGATTTATTTTAGAGAATTATCTTGATAATTCTATGGAAACAGGAAAATCCACAGAGGTAATTTGGCATACTAATGTAGACAATTACATACTTAACCGCATTAACTATCTAAACCTGGTCATAGAATACAAGTGGTAAATTAAAATATGAAATATGATAAATTATTCATTTCAAATGAGGAAATGTATTAAAGTTAGATTAATCTTTATAGAATTTGTGCTTTGTCATGTAATCACGTTTTTTAAAAGTTAGGAAACGCTTTTCTGTTTCATAAATGCATTTACTTTTATTGTTTATCTCTAATTGTCAAAGTCTGTGAACATTGCAAAGATAAAACAATATAGAAAATTCCAACAGTAGTAAAAACACAAAATCTTAACCACCAAATGATAAGAATTACTAGCATTTTGATGCACTTCCTTCCAGAAATTTCCTTGTGCATATACATACCTGCCTATTTATGTATACTGCTTTATCTATGTGACACCATATTATGTTTTGTAATCTTTTCATTTAATTTATCAATTACTAATGGCTATATTTTCATGGCAAATGATCGACATCTTATTTTTAAGTAAGTGCATATTCCATGGAAATAATTGCCTTAATTTATTTGACCAGATTCCTGTTATAGGGTGGCCATTTCTATACCATCTCTCCCCTTAAATACATACTATTTTCCTGCTATAATCAAAGTGTCCCTGGATACCTAAAGCATGTATTTCTATGCACTTGTGAAAATTGGTCATAAGATAAATTCCTAGAAATGGATGGCTTGGGGATGATCATTTCATATTATGAAATTATTATTGTATACATATTGCCAAACTCTCTGCAGAATTATTATCACAATTTACAGTTCCAACAGTGCATAAAGTTCATTTTTTTGTTATTCAACTAATATATTTTTGTGCTTGTCATATGCCGGGCAAATGTGGTAGAGGATTGTAGTATAATGGTGAATGAAATTTACTAAGTGCATATCCTTTCGTTGAATAATTTTAATCAAAACATATGTTATAGAAACAATGATTTACGTCATTGATGTTATACCATAAATATTGTTCTGAAACTTACTATTTTTATTTTAAATTATGGAGATTTAAAAAAATGTATGCTCTTATGTTTTAAACTTTGTAGCATTAGGAATTAGTATTTTAGAGTCAGTCATGAGTTAGGGATCCAGATTTTTAAAATATTTATTTTTATTAGCTAGCTAATTCTTCTAGTACCATTTATTTGGTAATCTTTCTATCTCCTGCTTACTTGAAATGCTATTTTGATCACATTAAATAAATTGCTTGGGTCTGTCTCTAAATTCTTTTCTGATCCATTGGTCAGACGTTTGCTGCAAACAACTAATGAGTCGGTTTTAAGATAACTTTACATTTTGTGAAGATGATATGTGTTCATTGATAAAGTCAGGCAATACATTGAAATACAAAGAAGAAATTAAAAGTAACTCAAAATACCACTGAGAAGTAATCACTACTTACATTTGTAATCAACATCTCCAAATTAATTTATCAATATTATGTATTCATATTTCTTAGATTAGTGGTAAGATTGTCTTTTCATATGTTTATGTTTTTTTGAGAATTGTCTATTCATATTTTTTTGCCACTGAATTAAGCAAGAAATTAATCAATGGTGAAATCCTAAAGGTAAAATGATTTTGGCCTTGACTTAAGACAACTATGATTTCTTCAGGAAATAACGCATGATATTGGGCAAATGTGACTAAATTACTTTCAGTTACTTTCATATTAAAATTGGTTGTTTTTTTTTTTTTGGATACTTGTGGGGTTTTTTGGATGCTTTTCAAGGATTACAGATTACTACTTAACCACTCACACTGATCCTGGAAAAGTTTGGAATGGAACATGGAGATGAAAAATAGAAAAAAGCTTACAAAAACATCATACAAAAATAATGTACTAATCAACAATTGTTATTTTCAATTTGGAATTATTTTTTCCAGATATAGGCAATGAAAATGGTTGAAAGTAGATGACTTTTTCTAATCACAATTCTCTACTTTAATTGTGTATACATAGGGATCTTGTAACACACTTATTTTTGTAGCCTTTTTTTTTTTTTTGGTCAATTAGTTTCTTTAATTTTATGTAGTAGGTATCTAAAAGAAAATAAGCTTTTTCTTCATAATCAATTTAATTGATGCATTATATCCTATTTGTTCTACTGTGAAATATAAGTATTAGTTTTATCATATCATATGCTTGTTTTTCTTAATAAGGTTAGATATAAATTATTTGCATAGTGATATGTTTTTTTGTTCAATTAACATGATTTTTTGGCGGGGGGGCTAAATGTTCATGCTTCTACATGAGATGATACATAACACAGAATCTGATAGTATACTCAGACTGAACATAGTACATTAACATCTGTTGATACCTCCCTTAATATGAACATACACACAATCCCTTCCACCACCCACTCCTACCACACAAACACGCAAGGTATATAATGACAAGTGTAGCAGCATTATCTTTTTTTGTAGGTATCTAAGAAGCAAAGCATTGCAAGTTCATTTATTTTTGAATGACTTCCTCCTGTTCTTCTTGGACAAGTTGTATCTGAATACACAAGTGAATTCTTTTTTAAAAACCATTTTATTGATGGATAATAGGCACACAATAAATGTGTGTATCTGTGAAAGTATCACCACAGACAAAATAATGAAAATTGTGTCATCCCTGAAAGTTTCCTCATATGCCTTTGAATCCCTCCTCTTGTCCCTAGATATTCACTGATCTGTTTTCTGTTCCTATAGATGAATTTGCATTTTCTAAAATTTTATATAAGTGGAATAATGTAGTATGTTCCTCTTTTTGCCTGTCTTTGCAGACTTATTTTGAAATTTACCCATGTTGTTGTGTGTATCAGGAGTTTATTTTTCCTGTTTACTGCTGAGTAATTATTCATTACCTGGCAATACTACAATTTGTTGATGGGCATTTTTGTTGTTTTGAGTTCTGGGCTACTACAAATAAGGCTGCTATGATCATTGGTATATAAGTTTTGTATGGACATATGTTTTAATTTCTTTTAGAAAAATACATAGGAGTGGAATGACTGGATCACATGGTAGGTGTATGTTTCACTTTTTAAGAAATTACCTGTTTTCCAAAGTGGTTGTTTTGCATTTCCACCAATAGTGCTCACATTTGATATGGGCAGTGTTTTAAAAGTTAGCCATTCTAATAAGTATTCAGTAGTATTTCATTGTGATCTTAATTTATATTTCTTTGATGACTAATGATGTTGAATACCTTTTCATGTGCTGATTTGCCATCCACATATCTTTTTTGGTGAAGTGACCATTTGTATTTTGTCCATTTAAAAAAATAGGATTGTTGTTTTATCATTAAGTTTTGATAGTTCTTTATATACTCTGGATGCAAGTTCTTTATCAGTTATAGCTTCTGCAAATATTTTCTCTCAGACTGCATATTTTCTTTGCATTCTCTTAAGGGTGCCTTTTACTGTTTTTAAAGAGGAAATGTTAGTAATTTTTATATTGATACATCATATTTTGGGGGCACATGTGATTTCAATACATGAATACAATGTGTAATGGTCAAATCAGGGTAATTGGGATAAGAAGTTTGCAATTTCGATGAAGTCCAGTTTATCTTGTTTTTCTTCTATGGAGCATACTTTGTGTGTCATCTCTTAGAAATCTTTGCTTAACCCAAAGTCACAATTATTTTCTTCCATTTTTTTTAAGTTTTATACTTTTAGGTTTTGCATTTAGGTCTGATACATTTTTGCAAAAAGTACAAGGTATGGATTGAAGGTTTATTTCTTTTGATATAGATATGCAGTTGTTCCAGCACTATTTGTTGAATAGACTGTCTTTTCACCACTGATTTGCCTTTGCACATTTGTCAAAATTAGCTGTCCTTGTATGTGTGGGTCTATGTTGGAAGCTCTAATCTGTTCCTTTGTGTACTGATTTTAATGACACAATCGGTAGTTATCCATTTGTTAGATGCATTTGGGAAAGAATGAGAACAAAATTGTGTGATAACAGAATTTCATTACAATGGAGAC
This sequence comes from Homo sapiens, assembly GCF_000001405.40. NCBI lineage: Eukaryota > Metazoa > Chordata > Mammalia > Primates > Hominidae > Homo > Homo sapiens. The sequence goes on from NC_000023.11 coordinate 93,678,920, forward strand.
AGTCACAGGAGCTGGATCTTCATCCTTGACCTTTCACTTCTGCTCCCAACTATGTGAGATAAAGGGTCAGATAACAGCAGTAAAAACCTAGAAAAGAAATAACAAAAAGAAACATAAATGTTCTTCTATTTTGTGGAGTTGCCAGTGTGTAGATGTCCATAGCCCAGCCACAAGAATGGTAGTTAGCATTATTCAGGAGCACAAATAATGCCCTTGTTTTTCTCACTCCTGATAAAGAGAGACCTGCTTGCAAAAATGGAAATATTGAATAGAAAGTATCTTTAAGCTGTTAATAAATTATAGTTAAAAAAAGAATAGTAATAAAACATTGGTTGTTATGATGTTACTATTATTAATAGTAATAAATAAAACATTGGTTGTTTTATAACATTTCAAACCATAGCAGTGGTTTTCAAACAAAAATATTTCATTTTATACTTATTCCTATAATACAGATATACTCAAATTAACAGAATATGGTATGTTGTTATAGATTTTTATTTTTTAAGGAAACATTTCTGAATTGCGTTTCTAGCAATATACCCTTAACTGCATGGAGTTTAAAAGGGAAGTTTAATGCAACATAAGATAAGGAAAATTGTTTCCCAATTTGGATATTTAACATAGCGCTATTTTTTAAAGAAATTTTAATTGTCATGTAAAAATTACATATATTTTGCCATATAACATGAAGTTTTGGTATATGTATACATTGTTGAATGACTAAATCAAGCATTTTAACATATATATTACCGTAAATACTTATTTTTTTCTGGTGAGAACACTCAAAATCTCTCTTACCTCATTCCTGTCTAACTGAAATGTGTCTTTTTTTTTTTTTTTTTTTTGAGACGGAGTCTCGCTTTGTTGCCCAGGCTGGAGTGCAGTTTGTGATCTCGGCTCACTGCAACCTCCACCTCTCAGGTTCAAGTGATTCTCCTGCCTCAGTCTCCCGTGTAGCTGGGGCTTCAGGTGTGTACCACCACTCCTGGCAAATTTTTTTTTTTTTTTTTTTTTTTTTTTTTTTTTTTTTTTTTTTAGTAGAGACAGGGTTTCACCATATTAGCCAGGATGGTCTCCATCTCCTGATCTCGTGATCCGCCCACATTGGTCTCCCAAATTGCTGGGATTACAGGCATGAGCCACTGCACCAGGCCGTGTTGTTTCTTTTGACAGTATCTCCTCAAACCCCCAACTCCCAATTGTCTAGTAACCACCCATTTTACTCTTTGTTTCTATGAATGTGACATTTTTATGCTCCACATGTGAGATCACATGGTATTTGTCTGTTCCTGGCTTATTTCACTTAGCATATTGTTCTCCAGATTTGTCTATGTTTCCACAAATGACAAGATTTCCCTTTTTAAAGTCTGATCAATACTTTACTGTGTATACATACCATATTTTCTTTATCCATTCATCAACTGATGGACACTTAGGTTTATTCCATATCTTGGCTATTGTACCTAATGCTGCAATGAAAATGGGAGTACAGATATCTCTTCAATGTATTCATTTCATATCCTTTGGATATATCCTCAGTACTGGGATTACTAGATCATATGGTAGTTCCATTCTTACAGTAGTTTTGAGGAATGTCCATACTGTTTTCCATAATGGCTATACTAATCCACATTACCAGCAACAGTTTACAAGGGTTAACTTTTCTCCATATCCTCACCAACACTTACCTTTCGTCTTTTTGATAATAGCTGTCCTAACAGGCATGAGATGATATCTCATTATGTTTTTAATTTGCATTTACCTGATGATTAGTGATGTCAAGTATTTTTTCATATACCTATTGGCGATTTGTATGCCTTTTGAAAAACATCTCTTCAGATCTTTTACTCATTTTAAAAAATTATGTTTTTTAAAATTACTGAGTTGTTTGAGTTCCTTATATATTTTGAATATTTAACTCCTTATCATATGTTTGGTTTGCAAATATATTCTGCCATTCCATACGTTGCCTCTTTACTCATTTACTTCCTTTATTGTGCAAAAACTTTTTAGTTTGATGTGATGCCTTTTGTCTATTTTTGCTTTTGTTGCTAATGCTAGTTTTGAATGTACAAACAGCGTACATTTTTCAAAAATGTAAAACCACATCACGGAAGAATACTTTTACAAGGGTAATCAGGAATTTTTTGCCTGTAGTACTCATCTGAAGAATTTCCATCCTACAATTCAAATAAAGCAAGCCTTTTTATTGCAAGTTTGAAAGTATTTTATTTAATTTTACTATAAAGGAAGAAAAAATCCAAAGACTTTGAAAAATGGACAATGTTTACAATATATATAGATATATCTTATGTGCATATGATATATATGTATATATCTTATATGATATCTTAGATATATTCTGTCTATCTATCTATCTATCTATCTATCTTTGCAATGGCTATTTCCCCATTTTGCAATTTATTTGGACAAAATGGAGGAAGCCCAAAGTGACATTTTCTGCTGATTTTTTTCCAGACTATCCAAATATATTTAATTAATTTCATTAGGTACCTCCTCTCAGAAAAAAAGTAGTTGTTCTCCATTCTGGCAGATGTTTCTATGAAAGTATATGTTTAGTAAGTAGTATAGACTAATGCTTCAGCAAATCTAGTATTGATACTTTCAAGGTGATGATAGCTAACACTTCACAATTCTCTAAGAAGTGAGTAAACAAACAAGATGTCAATGAACTAATTGTTGCTTTTGGTTAAAAAATCTGCTTGTCAGAGAAAGAAGAAATAGAGGCCTACATTCTCTAGATTCATTACTTTGATTTAGCAACTGTCTTAAAACAGGTGTAAACAAAATTTTAAAATTATAATATTGACCACTTTTGTCTGTCTTCTCTTATAAGCAGCATTTGTCTATCTAAAAGAATAAGCATTTTTTTGTTTGTTTAGAGGTAACTGGATACCTTAATTAAAACTGTTTCATTATCTACATCATGAGAATGTGTTTAGCCTTCTTTGTAAGAAAGATTAAATATGACATGACAAGAGAATTACATAAATGATTAGACTATCTGACCAATCTGCTTGTAGCAGCCCCCAAACTGCCCCTTAGCCTCTCAGATATGCTATACATAGTTCTTTGAAAGGTCTTTCTGAAAACACTTATATCCTTGCCCTAATCCCAAATTTTTAGTGATACTTCACTGTCTTGAATCAAACCAGTGTATAAGTACAAGCTGTGTCCTTTACCCTCCAGTGACCTTGGGCACATTTCTTAACTCTCTATGCCTCAATTTCCTCATCTGTAGAATGGGGATAATAATAGTACCCATCTCACAGAGCAATGGTGAGCTTGAAATGACATAATACATGTAAAATTCTGATAACATAGTGCATGTCCAAACAGTTTTTACTAAACTTATCTTCTCCAGGAATAGTTACCCAGTGGAACATAGTTCTTTAACTCTTTCTTTCCTTCAGAGCTTATTTGCTTGGAGTGTATTACATTTTTGTGAGCTTTATGATAAACATTATAACAGAACCACATAGGTCATTTATTGTGTGTACACACACATGTTCTTTTCCTATGTATATTTTAAATTTACCTAGGAAAAGGACCAAGATATTTTCTTATTTATAATCCTCTGTCCTTGCTCAGAGTATTGCTCTGCACAAGAATACATTTAGTACTGTACTAATTAACTTCTTAAACAAATGAACTGGCTTCCTTACAGCAGTACCATTTTTTCTTTTTTTGAGACAAAGTTTTGCTCTTGTTGCCCATGCTGGAGTGCAATGGTGTGATCTCGGCTCACTGCAACCTCCATCTCCCGGGTTCAAGCCATTCTCCTGCCTCAGCCTCCCAAATAGCTGGGATTACAGGCGTTCACCACCATGCCCAGCTAATTTTTGTATTTTTGATAGAGACGGGGTTTAACCATGTTGGTCAGTTGGCCTCGAACTCCTGACTTCAAGTGATCCACCTGCCTCGGCCTCCCAAAGTGCTGGGATTACAGGAGTGAGCCACCGCGTTCAGCCAGCAGTACCATTTTTACTTGCTGTTCAAATAAAATTCATTTTTAGCCTTTAATTGCACTCTAATTTTATTTAACAGTTGTCTCTTAATTGTGCCTGATTTACTAATGTGTAATTGTCATGCAACAAATTACATTAGTTTACTAAATTTTCAGGTTTTAAAGAATTGGTGTTTTACCAACCAACTTCTAAATAGTAACACCTCACAAACTATTAATAGTTAGGAGGACACACAGAGTCTTCAGAAGAAAAATTTTGAAATCTAATGATGATCCACATTTAATATTAAATTAAAATGTCTGTTTATTTAACCCTTTCATTTCATTAGTATTTTCTTTCTAAAGGACAGTATTTTAGATAAGTATTGCAAAATTGCTTTACATATAATGAGCATTTAAAGGAAAATATAGATCAGAGTACCAGAGCTTATTTTAATAAACAGTACTCTATCTCATAAAATGGCTACCCTAATAACCCAGTTACTTTTATTCTTATCAGAATCTGTTGCTTGAATTAAGCATAATCAAACTTGCCACATTGCCTTTTCCTGTCTCATAAATTATGGAAAACAACTTCCCTCCAATTTCTTTATTGTTTGAAAAATACTTTTCTTTGGAAAGTCAAATCATATTTCTATTATAATCATAAAAATTATGCATGCTTGTTTTTTGAGGAACCTCCATACTGTTCTCCATAGTGGCTGTACTAGTTCACTACTTAAAGTGTATAAGAGTTCCCTTTTCTATGCATCATCACCTGCATTTGTTAATTTTTATCTTTTTTATAATAGCCATCCTAACTGGGGTGAAATGATATCTCTTCGTGGTTTTGATTTGCATATCCCTGATGATTAATGATGTTGAATATGTTTTCATATATTTGTTGGCCGTTTGCATGTCTTCTTTTGAAATGTCTATTCAGCTAATTTGCCAATTTTTGAAATGGGTTTTTTTTTGGCTGTTTTGAGTTCTTTGTATATTCTGGATATTAATTCCCTGTTGTATGAATACTTTGCAAATATTTTCTCCCATTCTCTAGGTAGACTTTTCACATTGTTGATTGTTTCCTTTGCTGTGCATAAGCTGTTTAGTTTGATATAGTCCCATTTGTTTACTTTTGCTTTTGTTGCCTGTGTTTTTGAGGTCTTATTCATAAAGCCTTTTCCCAAACCAGTGTCCTGAAGCATTTACTCTATGTTTTCTTCTAATAGATTTATAGTCTTGTGTCTTACATGTAAGTCTGATCCATTTTGAGTGTATTGTTGTATAGGCAGAGAGGTGGGGGAGTCTAGTTTCAGTTTTCTGCCTATGGTTATCCAATTTTCCCAGCACTATTTATTGAAGAGTCTGCCCTTTCCCAATGAGTGTTCTTGGAGCCTTTGTCAAAAATCAGTTGGCTGTAGATATGTGGATTAATGTTTTGATTTTCTGTTCTGTTCTATTGAACTACGTGCCTCTTTTTATGCCAGAAGTCAATTTTTTTAATACAAAAATCAGTTATTGAAACATTTAGATGGTTGGGAAAATGCCAGAAACCAGAGCTTAAGGGCATATCTGCCTTGGTAACTTAGAACAAAAGAGCTGGTTCTCAATATGTAAAAAAGATGTCCATAATAGAGTTTCAAATGAAAAAAGCAAGTTGTGAGACAATATCTATTATTTGCTCCCATCTATATAAAAAAGTATAGATGCATATATGTTCTGTGCATGTGTGTTTGTTTTCATTCACATAGAAAAATGTCTGACAATATATACACCGAACCAGTGAAATCAGATTGAAGGAAAAGCTTTAACTTTGTATTTTCTATTCTGAATCACGTTTTGAATTTTTAAAACAAGCATATATTATTTTTATAATTAAAAAAACAAACATTTAACACAATAATGAATAACATTGTTTGTTTAAATTGGGTCATTATTTGGTCAAAGTTTATACAGAAAGCTGAAATAGTGTTTCAATTACTACTTTTGCAAAAGAGGAACTATCTTTCACTTGAATAGCACTCATACTGGCTGCTCTGAGGTATTATCATATATGGGTGCCATGTAAATTGTACAATTTTTAAAGAGCTTATGCTTTATTCTGATTGGTATTTGAAGCTTTTATGCATCGTTGTTCTTTCCAAAAAGCATGGTATTTTCTTGGGATGACAATAAAGTTATCAGAGGCAGTACTGTCCTGCTCTCCATTATGTTCACAGTCTAAGTTCTGTGAAATTACTTTTAATTGTTTCTTCTTATTTCAAAACTTCTATTCTTTTTCTTATTGACTCGTACAGCTGTTTTTAATGGAGAAAAATGACTCTTGCTTCTAGAGACCTTTCTTACCTGAAAAATGAAGATCGTGAGTTGGCTAACCATTCTTCTGAAAAGTTTATTTTTACTCTTGTAGGAAAAAACTTGAGCCAATTTCTACAAATGTCTATCTTAATTTTATGATATCCTTTTTTCCTGTAGTTTTGTGATGATTTGAAGAAATTTCAACCTATAAAATATTGCTCGATCATAAAATCACTAGGGAGATTGCACTTTTTCTGCAAATGATGTGTACCTAATTTAGCTGCAAATGATCTATGCATGCTTATAAGTTTATAATATGCTTACCAAGAGATTCTGTTTAATTCAGTAAGACTTATGCTTACTGGACTGAAATTTGAAGTCATTGGACCAAAGTTATTATAAAATAGTAAAAAGAAAAATTAATAGGATGCAAATTTCAGAGAGATAGCCATGAAAACCGATAGAATATTCTAATAATTGTTCCCTTCTACACTGTCTTACGTTCCAACCATCATTTCACTGTTTAGACTTCTGTCATTTCCCACATGGATTATTCACCTCACCTTCTTCATTTATCTTCCAACCTCAAGCTCTCTTGCTTCCCTTCCAGCCTACATACTCTGAAATTAACCCTTTTGCCAGGAATGCTAGCTCATGCCTGTAATCCCAGCACTTTGGGAGGCCAAGGCGGACAGATCACTTGAGGTCAGGGGTTCAAGACCAGCCTGGCCAACATGGTGAAACCTGGTCTCTACTGAAAATACAAAAATTAGCTGGGCGTGGTGGCAGGCACCTGTAATCCCAGTTATTCGGGAGACTGAGGCAGAGAATCACTTGAACCTGGGAGGCGGAGGCTGCAGTGAGCCTAGATGGCGCCACTGCACTCCAGCCAGGGTGACAGAGTGAGACTCCATCTCAAAAAAAAAAAAAAAAAAAAAAAAAATTAACCCTTTTAAAATGTAATTTTCTTTATATCATACCCTTCTCTAAAATCTGCAGTCACTTCTCATTTAAAGCCAGAATGACATAGGGATAAGAACATCAGTTTTGAAGATTTAAATTAGAGTTTAAACCTTGGCCTGACACATAGCCTCTAGTAGGTAATTTTATACAACTTAGATTCCAGAGTCAAACATACCCACATTTACCACTTGCTAGCTGTGTGGCCTTGGGAATTTACTAAATTTCACAAATACAAAGTCTTCTTTTCAGTGAAATGTGGAAAATAATACATAGCTATGTCAATTAGGACTTTTTAGTTACAAGCAACAGAAATAGACTCTGGCTAACTTATGTAATATTTAATTCATTGGAAAAATACCAGGGTCTCACAGAATCAATGGGAGGCTAGTGAGTCGGGTGTGGAAACAGGCAGAAACTGAAGTAGCCCTGCAGACCACGGAAACAGGGAATACAACATGGCCCCATAGCCAGAATAGTCTAATCATGATGTTGAGGCTGAGATAAACTGGAACATCAGTCATTTTTAATTCAATTACTTGCCACTTGGCTATAGGAGGATGAGGCTGCTGGTCATAGTCTCACTTGACTACTCTCAAAAGAAAACAAGAGTGCCATGAGACAAAGGAAATGGATTTCCAATATCTAATGTACAAAAGATGCCCACTAGGCATGTGACCCACCAGTCACATAATAGTGCTTAGTAAAGGGCTATTTTAACAAGTCTAGACTCATTTATCAGACATTCATGGCCATTCACTGTCTGGCCTCAGCCTACTTTTCCAAACTTAATTTTCCTCTGCATGAGCCCTGAATTTTCCTATCTGCTTTTCTCACTCAGCTCATTCCCACTGCCTGCAATGCTTTTGACCTGTTACTTTGTAAAAGGATGTATGACTGCACATGCATGTTTAATAGCAATGTAATTCACAATTGCAAAAATATGGAACCAACCTAAATGCCTATCAACCAATGAGTGGATAAAGAAAATGTGGTATATATACAACAGCCATAAAATGGAATAAAATGGCCTTTGCTGCAACTTGGATAGAGCTGGAGGCTACTTTTCTAAGTGAAGTAACTCAAGAATGGAAAAAGAAATATCGTATGTTCTCACTTATAAGTGGGAGCTAAGTGTGAAGATGCAAAGGCATAAGAATGATATAATGGACTTTGAGGACTCGGATGGAGGGGTGGGAAGAGGTGAGGGATAAACAACTACATATTGGATACAGTGTACACTGCTCAGGTGATTAGTGCACTAAAATCTCAGAAATCACCACTAAAAAATTTATCCATGTAACCAAAGACCACCTGTGCCCCAAAAACTATTGAAATAAAATTTAAAATATTTTAAAAATTTAAAAAGATGTGTGATTGACACATAATGGTTATACATATTTACGGGTTACAACATGGTGTTTTGGTACATGTATATATATTATATAATGATCAACTAGGGCAATTGACATATGCATCACCTTAAACATCATTTCTTTGTGATGAACATTCAGTAACCTTTCTTCTAGCGATTTTGAAATATACAATGCATTGTCGATAACTCTAGTCATCTTACTATGCAATAGAACACCAGAATCTATTCTTCCTAACTGTAACTTTGTAGCAATGACCAATCTCTTCCCATCCCCCGACTAACTCACTACCTTCCTCATCCTCTGGTAACCACTAATCTACTTTCTACTTCCATAAGAACAACTTTTTAAATTCTACGTATTAGTGAGACCATGTGGAATCTTTCTGTCTCTGGATTATTTCACTTAACATAATCTTCTTCAGATTCATCCATGTTGCTGCAAATGACATGATTTCACTCTTTTTATGGCTGAATAGCATTCCATTATGCCTGTATATCACATTTTCTTTGTCCATTCATCTGTTGATGGACATTTAGGTTGATTCTATATCATGGCTATTATGAAAATTGCTTCAATAAACATGGGAATATAGATACATCTTTGATATACTGATTTTTCTTTCTTTTTTTTTTTTTGGCGGAGGGATATACACCAGGCAGTGGGATTGCTGGATCATATGGTAGTTCAATTTTTAGTTTTTTAAGGCACCACCAAACTGTTTTTTCAAAATGACTATACTAATTTACATTCCCATCAGTAGTGTGTAAGGATTGCCTTTTCTCCAAATCTCTCATGTTTTAATATTCAACTTATCTTTTCTAAGACTTAGCTCTCCTTTCACTGGTCCCCGAATCACTGATTTTCTGTTTCCTCATTTTCTTTTAATCATGTATTGCTTGTTAGTATCTTTTTTGAATGGTAGTCTTGTATATTTGTCTAACTATTTATGTGCCTTACTTTCCCCATATAGATTATAAACCCCTTGAGAGGAGAGATCATGTATCATTTATTTATTTGTTTTCTTGAGAACCCAGTGTTATGTATGTAGTAGATGTTCATTAACTTATAATAAATGTTTTTCATTTCATTTCACTTTCTCAAAATCATTTTTGCCAAATGAACTTATGATGAATGAATGCAAGAATGTGAGTCATTAATTTAAATCAATATTAATTTAATTACCTACTGTATATGTAGCACTATATTGATTGCTTTGTGGGGATAGAAAAAACAAACTTGAAAATTGCTTTAGGAGTAGCTCACAATCTAATTTAGGAGAGAAAAAAATACAAGTATGAGACACCCCCAGAACAATTATATAAATAAGTAAAATAAATACTCTAAAAATTTTAAATATCAGTGCTAAGGATATAAGAAAATGTAAAAGCATGACTTAACTATATATATATGTGGTACAAGCAGATTGCTTTGTCTGGCATAAAGGGATTATGTTGGAACATATAGAGATGGTATTGGAGAATACAAGGGTTATAAATTTAGATTTAATATAATAGGTAACAGCAATTTTTTTTTTTTTTTTTATGAGACAAAGTCTCCGCGGCTGGAGTGCGATGGCGTGATCTCGGCTCACTGCAACCTCCGCCTCCCAGGTTCAAGCAATTCTCCTGCCTCAGCCTCCCAAGTAGCTGGGATTACAGGCATCTGCCACCATGCCCGGCTAATTTTTGTATTTTTAGTAGAGACGAGGTTTCACCATGTTGGCCAGTCTTGTCTCAAACTCCTGACCTCAGGTGATCCTCCCACCTCGGCCTCCCAAAGTGCTGGGATTACAGGCATGAGCCACTGCACCTGGCCACAGCAATCATTTTTTAATTAATTTTAAAAATTTTTGGTAAAAGTAATAGTTGATTAAATAAAATAAAGTTCATCTATCCAAAGGAATACTAATCCGCTATCAATAGTGATAAGTATTTATTGACTTAGAAAGATGATCATGATATAGTATTTAGTCATGCAAACAGGTTACAAAATATTATGTATATAAATTTGTTTTTTTAAATAAAGGGTATAAATATGCATTAAAATATCTGGAAGTATAATCAACAAGGTATGTTTACATATAAGTAGTGTACTCCATGGTTATTTTTTATTTGTGTTTTTTTTTCAGCAGATATTTTTGGTTGAAAAAATGCATATGTAAATTTAAAGACACTACAAGTTTTCAAGGACTGTAGTGATATGAAGATAGAACGTGAGGTAGATTGCTTTAGCACCTATGCATAAGGATATCAAACGAGCAAGACTTATTTGATGAGACAATGGAAAGGGCACATTTAAGAGATGCTTTGGAGAAAATCAGTTTTACTAGGTTTCTAATTTAATGTGGGATTAAGATAAGGAGACTGAAAACAACACTGAAGTTGTGAGAAACATAGGAAAATATAGGTGCCACTAATAGGTATGGGAAAATTGAGAAGGAAAGCAAGAGGTGGAGGAGTTAACTTTTGCCAGGAGTAGTATAAGAGGTAACCAACTATATGAGATGAAAACTGGAAAAAAAAAAAGACTTAGAAGTCAGGGCTGGAGATATAGACTTGGGTGTAAAGAGTGTTAGTATAGAAGTAGAAATTATGAAAATGGGTGCATACGGTGAGCCTAAAAAAGCTAAGTAAGGACTTAAGAAAATCCACTAAATTGTTTTTATTTACTGCATCCCTGTGTGTTTTTTAAAAACCTTTATTGAAATATAATTACATACCATAAATTTCACTCATTATATGTGTATAATTCAATAATTTTAGCAAATTTATAGAGAGTTATGGGACCATCACCATAATTGTTAGAATTTTCCTGTCTCCCCAGAAAGTTATCTAGGGCCTGTTAGCAGTCAATCCTTGTTTTTACAACCAGGCTTAAGCAAACACTCTTCTGTTTTCTGTCTATATAAATTTGCCTTTTCTGTACATTTTATCTAAATAGAATCATACAGTATATTCCTCATTGTGCCCAGCTTCTTTCACTTATGTTTTTGAGGTCCGTCCATGTTATAGCATGGATCAATAATTTTTCTTTTTAATTGATGAATACTATTCCATTGTATGACTGTATCACATTTTATTCATCCATTTACTAGGTGGTGGATATTTGGACTGTTTCCAGTTATTTTTGTTATTATGTGTAATGCTATTATACATGTTTACATACATGTATTTGTGTAGACAAATGTTTTTGTTTCTCATGGATATATTTCTAGGAGTAGAATTGCTGTGTTGTATGGTATATTTGTGATTAATTTGTTAAGAAACTACCAAAATATTTTCCAATGTGGCTGTACTATATGACATTACCATCTGCAAATGCACTGTGGGCCACTTTCTGTGCGTCCTCATCAACACTTGGTATAATTTGCCTTTTTTATTATGGCCATTCTAGTGTATGTGTAGTAGTTTCTTGTTGGACTTCTGATTTGCATTTCCCTAATGTGTTTTCTTTGAAGAAATATTTATTCAAGTTATTTGCCAATTTTTAATTTTTTGGTCTTAAAAATTATTGACTTGTAAGAGTTTTTCAAATATTCTGGATATGATCAGATATATGATTTGCAATATTTTCTCTTATGTTCTTTTAATGATGACTTTTGAGTAACACAAGTTGATGAAGTCCAATTTATAATTTTTCTCTTCTTTGAAACATGCTTTCAATATTTTACCTAAGAACTCTTTGCCCAACCCCAACTCATCAAAATATTCTCCTATATTCTCTTCTAGAATTTTATAATTTTAGCTCTTACCTTTAGATCTTACATTTAGGTCTGTGATCTATTTTGAGTTAACTTTTTATATATGGTGTGAAGTGTCTAATTTCTTTCTTTTCAAAAAAGATGGATACACAAATGTCCATTTGTTGAAAAGACTATCGTTTTCACCACTGAAATGTCTTTGTCCTTTTGTAAAAAATCAATTGACCATAAATGTATGCATTTGTTTTTAAACTGTCAATTCTGCTCCACTTATTTATATTATATGTCAACACCACATTGTCTTAACTGTGGCTTTATAGTAAGTTTTGAAATCAGAAAGTATGAGTCATCCAATTTTACTCTACGTTTTCAAGATTGTTTCAGCTATTCTGGATCCCTTGTACTCTTATACGAATCTTCCAATCAATGTGTCAGTTTTAGATCAACTTGTCAATTTCTGTGAAGAAGCCAGCTGGTATTTTTATAGGGGTTGGATTTAATCTATTATTCAAACTAGGGAGAATTGCCATGTTGACAGTGTTGATCCTTCCAACCCAAGAGTATGAAATGTCTCTTCATTTAGTTAGATATTCTTTAATTTCTTTCAGTAATGTTTTGTTTTTCGGTGTATGAGTCCTGATAGAACCTCTGAGCTAAATGAGCTAAGGGTGGGGAGTTATGGGAGCAGCTGTAGGCCACAGTTACCTACTATTCTTATCCAAAAGGCAGAGATTTTTCAAGCATAAATGCTTCTTAGATGGAGGTATGTTTTTGGTTAATTTCCAGAGTACCAAAATGGTTGCTTTTGTTAATTTTGTCCAGGCTTATACAGGTTGAATATTCCTTATCCAAAAGACTTGGGACCAGAAATGTTTCAGATTTTGGATTTTTTTGGATTTTGAAGTATTTGCATTATACTTACCGATTCTATAGCCCTAATCAAAAATTCAAAATCCAAAATGCTCCAATGAATATTTCCTGGGAATGTCGTGTTGCCACTCAGAATCTTTTGGATTTTGAAGCACTTTGGATTTCTGATGTTCACATTAGGTATACTCAACCTGTAATTCTTCTGTGGGAAAGGATTTCCTGATCTTCTCATCTGGTCATAACTGGAAGTTCTGTCATCTGTGTATTTTTATGAGAATTTATGTTCCAAGTGCTTCTAGCTCCAAATGCTCAGTAACATAGTATGTATTGAGATGCCAATTCAGTCAAAAAACATGTTAAACTAACACTTGTCTTATAAAGACAAAACATTTAGGTTACTGAATAGTTTCCTTTTTTTGCATTGAATAGACTATGTTTAGCATGGTGATGAAACAGTTACTGAGATTGGCTTTGTAATTTAAATAAACAAACAGATATATTCCAGCACTTCTTATATATTCAATACCACAGGAAATAATGGGTGAATAAATCATCATTGCTTCCCTAAGGATCCTGCAGACTAGGTAGTAGTTATGTGCTGCTATTGAACCATTATGGCACTGTCATATTTTTAATTATGTAGTTACTTGTGATTTATTTAATATGAACATCCATAAAATCTATGAGGTTAGGAACCATGATTGTATTGTTTACTTCCATGTTGTCAGCATTTCCTAGCACAGTGTTTGGAACATAATAGACACTCCATAAATATTGTTTGAATGAATGAGTGAACAACATGTCATGGAAATATAGGGCAGAAGGAAATTAATTCCTACTAAGAGGATCAGAAAAGTCAGGGATTAAAGGAAAGGTTTCCAGCCAAAGGAAAGAATATGATTGTTTAAACTCAAAGAGTTAGAAAAGACCCAGAAATATTTGAGGAACTGTAAGGTATTTTCTAGGGCTGTAGCATAGGAGTTATAGTGATGAGTCAAAAAGAAAAGAGAATAAGAGGAAGAAAGTTAAGGGGAGATGAGTTTGGAGAAGCAAGTGGAAGCCAGGGTCTTTCTGACAAACTAATGACATTTTAAAAAGTCAGGGTTTTATTTTAAAGTAGGTAACTAGAGTTGGCAGTATGGAAGATGGACTGGACAGAGAAAAGAATAAATAATATGTATGCAAGCTGGGCAAACCCAGTGTACAATATTTGTATAGCCATCTGTATTATGTATAGGAGCCTCCTAAAAGCTTGAGAGAGAGAGAGAGAGTGTAATGTCACTGAGATATATATTCTTTAATTTCAAAATTTGCTTTGGAATTTTTGTTAAATAGAGCCACATGGTCCTCCCTTTATATCCTTGTGACAGCATGATAATTCTTAATATTAACAATTCTAACAATATGAAATTACATCAGTATGACACATTTGCCTTTTTGAAGTGTGCCCCTATTAGTACTATATTTGATTTTCACAAAAACCCACAAGGTAGAGACAGCATTTTTCATTTTACCAATGTGAAGACTATCCTAATAAAGACTAAAAGATCAGCCTATGGTTTCATAACCATTACAAGTTGAGATGCAACATTAGAACCCTTTTTGAAGTCCAAACCCCTTCTAAAGGTAGCATTCATCCATGCATTTTAGTACTAATTTTATTGCTTTTGCTTTTTGTAACTAATGTTTCTTATAGAAGTTTTATAAGAAAGTTTTAACTTTGAAGTAACAACAAGGTTAGCATTTGCTTCTTTCAAATTGCTCTTTTGAAGTATTTCCACAGTGTAAAAGGTTGAATAAAGAATTACCTAGATAATAGATTATGAATATAATATTTGTTAAAATTAAAATGTTATTATCTAGTACAATAAAACACCTGTATTTTAGACCTTTTACAAAACCCAAGGTATATTTTTTTTAAAGGGAAAGAACAAGTGAGCACAGAGAAAAAATAACATTTGGTTGGCAGCACAGGGATCATCTTGTATGTTTAGAAAGTGAGAGTAAGATCAAGAGAAGCAGAGGTAGAAATGCAAAATGCAGATGAAAAATGTCAATATTACTGAGCATCTTTTGAGAAAGATGATATTACATGCTTGTTTATAATATTTTCATATGGAATATCTTTTTTTTTGCAGTAAACCACTTTGAAAATATTCTCCAGTTAATATAACACAATGAAAAACTTCTGCCATGGGATTTTTACAATTAATAGACTTTATACTAAACATTCTTGAGATCTCTTTAAAAGTTGATTGCTTGTACTTTTAAAATTCGATGTAGCGTGTGAAATCAATACAAAGGGGTCAGAAATTCAAGGTGAAATTAGGAAAAATTTAAATCCCCAGTAAGATAAAACACCTGCAAAATTAACCCAAGAGATGACTGGTGAGTAGATAATTCAATTTGGAAACACCCAGAGTTTTGGTTGAGTCTGAAGGAGACACAAATAGACCGTGATTATAAATTGAAAAAGTAAAATCTAATCATTTAACAGGAGAATGAATTATCAGAAGGAAAACAGCTCTATTAGGGAAAATCAGAGAGCTAGTTGCAGGTTTCCAGCACTGTCTGGGAAAGAGGGTGTCCTGATTAGTAGATTGGAATATTCTAGTCCCTATCTCAATGATGGAGATGGGTAAGTACATCAAATTAAACCTTGAGGCAGTGATCATTAAAAAAATCTACTGACTCTCTTTTTAGTGATTCCAGGCTCACCAAGGAAAACTCTGATTATGATTTTAATGTATGATATACATACAAAAGTATGTATATCCTTTAATAGAGATGTAATATGCTGGTTATCAAACTAAACATTCCTGTGTTTATAATATTTCCCAGTATAAGCTATTGCATGGGCATTCTAATTTATACTTAAATATCTTATGACTTTAGACAGGGAGAATTAGCCTCACTACTCTTGGTGCTACTGGGACACTGCAGAATAATAGTGTCTAATTGGAAGGAAATAAATATGTCTATATAGAAGGGCATGTTGGTGACAACATCCATCTGTTTGCAGTTGGTAAAAGAACTAGGTGATGATAGAGAATATGCATATTTTTCCTATTCTCTGTATTGTTTTTATGTGAAATTTTTCCTATGGCAATGGTTTTCAGACTTTAGTTTCTATCATAATAACCTGAAGACATTTTGTTTTTGTTTTTTTTTTCTGAGATGGAGTCTCACTCTTGTCGCCTAGGCAGGAGTTCAATGGCGCAATCTAGGCTCACTGCAACCTCCGCCTCCTGGATTCAAGCGATTCTCCTGCCTCAGCTTCCCGAGTAGCTGGGATTACAGGCGCGTGCCACCACGCCTGGCTAATTTTTCTAGTTTTAGTAGAGATGGGTTTCACCACGTTGGCCAGGCTGGTCTCGAACTCCTGGCCTCAGGTGATCTGCCCGCCTAGGCCTCCCAAAGTGCTGGGATTACAGGCGTGAGCCACCATGCCAGGCCCCTGAAGACATTTTTTAAATTCCTAGGTCTTATTCCCAGAAATTCTGACACACTTGGTCTGGGATGAAACACAGGAATCTGCTTTTTTTTTTTTTTTTTTTTTTTTTGAGACAGAGTCTCGCTCTTTCGCCCAGGCTGGAGTGCAGTGGCGCGATCTCTGCTCACTGCAAGCTCCGCCTCCCGGGTTCATGCCATTCTCCTGCCTCAGCCTCCCGAGTAGCTGGGACTATAGGCGCCCGCCACCACGCCTGGCTAATTTTTTATTGTATTTTTAGTAGAGACGGGGTTTCACCATGTTAGCCAGGATGGTCTCGATCTCCTGACCTTGTGATCCACCCACCTTAGCCTCCCAAAGTGCTGGGATTACAGGCGTGAGCCACTGCGCCTGGCCAGGAATCTGCATTTTTAAACTTCACTCTGTATAATTCTCATCCTGAGGGTTAATGAACTATGAGCAGCACTTTTATACAGAGGAAAACTTTCTTAAAAGGATAGTTCACTGCTGGGCAAAATTTCATGGGTTTCTGTTAGGTTTCTGTTAACTGACTGAATTGGTAACAGTCTAACCAGTTCTAAGCCTGTGATTGGTCAGAACTGTGTATTCAAACTACAACGAGCGTTGAGGAGTTACCAGGCAGCTCGATAAAAATAACTGATTTGGGTTGGGGCTAGGGCAAGACAAAATGGCTGCCATCTTCACCCGCCGTATGCTTGGAGGTGAAGAACAGAAAATAAAATCCTCTGAGGGGGCCCTCTCTGTTCAATAGCAGAAGCAAACAGGTAAGTGTCGATGCCAAGGAGTAGCTTGGGAGACAGAATCCCATTAAAATCGCCATCATCTTCTCATAGCCACCTCAAAACAATTTAAGTAAAAACAACGTGTCTCTTATGGAAGTGCAAGTTTCCTTTCCAGTGTTCTTTCTCTCAGACCCAGATTACTGCCTCTAAAACTTCTCTGATACAAAAGCTTGGAGCTTCTTCAAGAAATGAGCAATTATTTAATTGAGTATATGCAGTTAGAATAGGATTCGGGACATAGGGGGAGGGGAAACTAAGAGCTGGAAATTGCTTAAGAGTAGTATAGGCGGCCGGGCGCAGTGGCTCACGCCTGTAATCCCAGCAATTTGGGAGGCCGAGGCGGGGGGATCTCGAGGTCAGGAGATCGAGACCATTCTGGCTAACACAGTGACACCCCGTCTCTACTAAAAATACAAAAAATTAGCCGAGCATGGTGGCGGGTGCCTGTAGTCCCAGCTACTCGGGAGGCTGAGTCAGGAGAATGGCGTGAACCCGGGAAGCGGAGCTGGCAGTGAGCCGAGATCGCGCCACTGCACTCCAGCCTGGGCGATAGAGTGAGACTCCGTCTCAAAAAGAAAAAAAAAAAAAGGTAGTGTAGGCTAGGGTTACAACCAGGAAGTGTACGAACTAGAGTTTGAATTAATCAGACTTCAAAGTCTATATACCCCTTCCCTTGATTTTTCTAATTTTAATGTGTATAAGAATCAACCGGAGACCATGTTGAAAATGTAAACTCATGACAAGTTCCCCCAAAATTATGATTTAGTAGGCATTCTGCAAAATCAAAAATCTGTATTTTTAATAAATATAGGCAAGTTATATATATATATATATATATATAATATATCATAGGCAGGTTAATATATTAAAAATAAAAATATGTTTTTAATAAAAATAAGACAGGTGGTCAGTGGGTATTATTTGAGAAACACTTTTTCAGAGAGAAGTTTCTCCAACTTTTTAATCTCAGGATTCCTTTGCACTGTTACAAATTACCAAGAACCTTAAAAAGCATTTATTTATGTGGTAAATAATATCTGATATATAGTAGCTATTGATATTTGTGGTATTAAAAGTAAAACTGAGAAATGTTTACAATATTTAACCCGTTTGAAAATACCAAGAATAAATCCATTACCTGTTAACCAGGTAACACTTTATAAAATATAACTGTATTTTCCAAATTAAAAACATTTAGTGAAAACAAGATATACTACTGCATATTTTTTAAAATCTCCTTAATGCCTAGCTTAATAATTTTCTTATCTGTTTCTACATTCAGTCTGTTGTGATATGATATTTTAGTTGAAGTATATGAAGAAAATCAGACCTTACACAAATACATAGTTAGGAAAAGGAGAACCTTGGAGACTCCCTGAAAGGATCTTGAAGATGCCCATGGTCATGGGACCATACTTTGAGTTCCTGTTTTTTAGGAATAGCTGTTTTTACTGTCAGAGTTCTATATTCATCAGTTTTTGTTGGCAATCAAAGTTCAGGGACACTGAGGAACATTAAAAATGAATTTATTTCTTAGATTACTTAGGGTGGGGAAAATTATTTTATAAATATTACCCCAGTCGCTCTTTCATTAATTTACTTTATTAGGTTTAAAGCACTATTGAAATATAAAATAGAAGTGTAGGTGATGGGGAAGAATTTTGTTTAAAGAAATTGGGTTTTAGAACAATGATTAGATTGAGGATAGAGTGGTTTCAATAGGCAGTGAGGAAGGAATACGTTAGGTAAACAATTATAGGTAGAAAAAGTGGGAGAGCAGGGAGCAATCTATAGTTATTTATAGTAGATAGTTGTTTACAATTGAATAAATAACAATAATGTTAAGAAAGTGCTAATCGTAACTTTCTAAAAGGGGTGATTAATTTGCCTGATAAAACAGTATTTTCTTGTGGTCACATACCTCCTCAAATTTTCTTACATTTTTTGTTACTCTAAGTTTTAGTTCTGTAACCTAAAACTTACTGCCATGTTAGTGCAATAACTTTGACAAACATTATCTTATTTCTCATTTATCTGTGGTAAAAGTGGAGAACCTGAAAAGGAACCTGGAAAGAAGCAGCTGGAAAAGGTGAGAGGAAAACCTAGAGTGTGTGTTATCCTGCAAGCCAATTGAGGTAAGTGTTTCAAGGAAGAGGGAGTGATCCACTCTGTCAAATTATGCTGATCCATGAGGTTAAAATGAAGAATAATCATTGATCATGAGATTTAGTGACATGGAGGTCATTCATAACCTAGAGAGGAAAAGTTCCCATGGAGTGTTTGAAGTGAAAGTTCCATTGTTATGAGTTCAAGAGAGACTGAGAGGAAAGGAGTTGAAAACTTTGTATAAGTAGCTATTTCCAGTTTTGCTGAAACAGTAAGCAGAGAAATGGAGCAATAGATTTTAGAGGAAATGAGGTTAATACAGGTGGTTTCTTTTGGTTTGTAAATGAGATAAATAATAGCATGTATATTTGCTTATTTTTTTGAGAGCTTCAGTGGTGAACTCTGAAGACATGAATCCTTTCCTTATAGAATCCACGATCTAGTGGGGGAAAATGGTATTAAACAAATGATTACACAAATAATTAGAGTATGATTACCACACCTAACTTTTTCAAGGACATCAAGAAAGGCTTCCCTATGTAAATGATACTAAGGTTGCACTTAGGGAGGGAATACTACTTGAAAAGGTCTTGGGCAGAGGGAATATGGCATATCAGGGATACTGAAAGAAAGAAGCTACTGAGCT
This sequence comes from Homo sapiens, assembly GCF_000001405.40. Classification (NCBI taxonomy): domain Eukaryota; kingdom Metazoa; phylum Chordata; class Mammalia; order Primates; family Hominidae; genus Homo; species Homo sapiens. Next base: position 93,699,103 of record NC_000023.11, read on the forward strand.
TGAAGTACAGACAGAGGGGAGAATGAATTTGGCAGAAGATAAAGAGGAAGAGTTAATCAGTGGCTAAATTATTTAGGTTGGAGTTCATAGATTTAGTTAAGGTCTTTGGTTATTATGCCATGTACCTTAGGGATTCTTGACTTCGTGTGTTTGGCATAACAAAAGTAGACTAGCCAAAACTGAAAGGTAAAAGATGGGACAGATAGAAAGCAGAAAGGAAAGGTGAATTGCATTACCACTATTCATACTGCCACACACATGACATTAGGCCAAGTCTATCTGCAGCTTCATCATCAATTATTTTTTCTCATAAATACTAAATTTATTCAGTATTCACAGCATTGAGATATTTCTGTCTAACTGATCAAATCATATAGTAAGCAGGTCCAATTTGTTTGTTAATATGTTCAGTAACAACAGATTGTCATTCCCTACCTAATATCCTCCAGCGGCTTTCTTTTAATCTCTTAAAAATAATATATTTTCCAACTTTTTCTTATGAAATTTTTAAGCACTTGGAAAACCTGAAGACTAACACCTATATACCCGCAATCTAGAGCCAAGAACTTTTATCATTTCGTTCTATTTTCTTTCTCTGTTTTGCTGCATAATTTGAAAGTAAGTTACAGACCTCATGACGCTTCATATGCACATACTGCAGCATATATTGCCTAAAAATAAGGGCATTCTCTGTAATCTCAGTATTACCATATTTAAGCTACTTAAAGTATTTTCCTATCATCTAATGCCTAATCAGTATTAGATATCTTAGAGCCTCCCCCCAGTTTTTAGCAGTTTTATTGGAGTTTTTATACCATGAGAATTATTTATTTTAGGTGTACAGTTTGATGATTTACTGCAAATTTACAAAAGTTGTACAGCCATCATCTTAATCTAATTTGAGAACATTTCTAGAAAGAAGCCTCTGATACATGTTTTTTTTTTAATTGAACTAGGATTAAATCAAGGTTATGTCTCTTTAAAGTTTTTTCCTAAAATAATTTTTCTTTTAGTCCATGAAATTGATTTTTAGAGGAAATCAGCTGTTTTATGGAATCTTCCACATTCTAGATTTATCTGCCTGTTTTTTCATTATGTCATTTAACTTTTTCCTCTATCCATCCCCCAACCGCCACTCCCAATATTTTCTATTAAAGTCCTGGTTAGACTCATTCTGATATATTTGGAATAAAAACCAAATTTGCTAATTATTTTTCTTCTCTAAAATGTAAGCCCCATAAAGCCTTCTCTAATACCAGTGTGTGGTTCACAGTAGGATCTCAATAAAAATTTGTTGAGTGAATGAATGAATCACCTACATTCAGGTTATATATTTTTGCCATCCAGTTTCAATCTCAGCTTAAGACATTTTTCCATTTTAAATTTTCTCCCTCTGACGATGAATACTGAGTGATCCCTCCACATGTTTTTTCAAATCATGCCAGTTATGGAAATATAGTCCTTTTTGATTCCAGTATGATAATTATAATATAAATTTGCACAGTTTTTGATGCTTCTGACCATTACGTGCTATTATTTTCAGTAGTCATCTATAATTTAGTTACGTTAACAAATATACTCTGGCCTTTGGATTTTAAGGAAATGTACATATACATAGACATTTCTAATGTGAGAAAATCTAAAACTCATATAAGTGTATCCAGCTTCAATAAATAACGTAGTACTTTTGGCTGTTTCTCAGCCAGTATATTTACATCAAATTCTCTGTTCTCTTTTCAGAAATACATTAAAAAAATTTATGTGGGGGTGGCAGTTTGCAGAAGGCACTGATACATGTAAAACCAAGTAATGCTATTTAAAGCCATGCACAAATAGATATGTTTTGAATTATGTTCACTGGGAAAAATAGTAAAGAACTCCCCTGGTATTTTGCTTCCTATGCTTAAGGCCTTATCTTTGATAAGTTGTTAGACGAGATGACATGTGTATCTTGGCACAACTAGATGCTAGGGAAATGTTGACATATTTTAGATTGCAAATCGGTTTGTATGCACAGTGCATTGCCTCAAAGTGCATATTATGGTCCTCTACTATAAAATATATTGCTTTAGTTTAAAGCTAAAATGTAGATGAAATTATAAGAAATAAATGGGAAGTCCAGTTTGATCTCAATCTGAAAGTTTGAAATAATTTTTCATTTGCATACTGGTCAAATCCAAATAAAATTGATTTTAGGTGTTCAGTGCTGAACAACACTGGCTTAATAAGATTTGTAATTTGAGGAACCTTGTCAAGGATTTCTACAAAACTTACAAGACATTTGTTAAATAGGAACTAGGACAATGGGCAGAGAACATAGGGCAAACCTTATTTGTTTGGGGTGTATTTTTATATAAGTAGTCATATCACATAGATGGAAATAAACTAGTATTTAATTAGATTTGTTTCATGTAAGGTGACCCGTGAAAATAGAGGGGCTGGAATTTTCAGGGCTCTAGGACATTTTGGTTACTTCATATGTAGTCATGTCCCACTACATCTGAACATAGGGCTCTAGAGCAAAATCTGTTGTCAAGAAAGAATCAAGAAAGTTACTAGTGAGTATCCAAAACATATCAAATGCATTTTCAAAACAAGTACCTTCTTGGAAAATGCGTATTTGAAGTTGGTATTTATGTATATAATGGTTTTCTACAGAGGATTTCCTAAAGCATTGACACTGGAACTATAGAAACTATTGTTATTTAGTTCATGGCTTCTTGGCTAGGGTAAAGTGCTAAAGGGTCAAAGCTTGCAAATTTAGTTTCTCTGAGGGCCTTTACGCTTTTTATTAGACTATACTCTTAGACTTTCAAAGAATTTCAGAAGTATATGCAGGACAGATCCATTCCTACTACTTGAGAAATAAATGGACTTTGTCGATGATGACTCAGTCATATCACCTAGATGTCCATTATAGTAAACACAGTATTCTATATATCATCTTTAAATAATTCCTGTCGCGTGCAAAGTGCTTAATTTAAACTTAATATGTGATCGAATGAATTAAAAACATTTTACATATTTTGTAGCTCTGTCCATTGAGAAGGCCTGGAAGAAACAATATCCCAATAGCAATAAGCACACCCAGTGCCAAGGTCTTGTTTTCTATTATCGTTCTGCAGTAAAAGGAACCCGGGCTCTGTAGAAATAGCTGATTCTAGGGCTAATGCAGGGGTTATACAAAATGGTACTGGAACATCTTGTAAGAGCCAGCAAGTAAGGGAGTACTTAAGAATCAAAATGAGGGAGTTAATGTCAGAGGGACACAGGAGCTAACTAAAAGAGCTTTCAGTGGCCAAAGCTGGAATAGTTTAATCAACAAAATAAAATTGTGTTGGAATATTACCCAAAGTATAAAATTAATACTCATGAATCGATACTGGTATAAATAAGTGACTTAATACATGGGGATAAATGGAAAAATCTCCTGTACAGATGAGTTCCAGAAAATTTATGTAGGCATACCACCATCAAGAAGTTGAAATGTAACTTCCCGTTCTTTAAGTGTGGGCTGCACATAGTGACTTTTTTCCCAAAGAGTACAGTACGGAAATGGGAGGAGAATAATCTTAGAGTGGAGAAAACTGATAAATACTACTTTGGTCAGGTGATCAAGGTTAGTAACCTTAGCAATAAGTTAGTAGTACATACCCTTGATATGATGTGATGAGAATGGTACTTTGCCTTTGTGTTATTTCTCCCAAAAACTTACAATCTAATTATAGCTATGATAAAAAAAAAAAAAAAAAAAAAAAAAAAAAAAAACAACACTAGACAAACCCAAATTGAAAAGCATTCTAGGCTAGGCACTGTGGCTCACGCCTGTAATCCCAGCATTTTGGAAGGCCAAGGCAGGTGGATCACTTGAGTCCAGGAGTTCGTGATCAGCCGTGGTGACATGGCGAAACCCTGTCTCTACGAAAAAATACAAAAATTAGCCAGATGTGGTTGCACATGCCTATAGTCTCAGCTACTCAGGAGGCTGAGGCAACAGAATCGCTTGAGCCCAGGAGGCAGAGGTTGCAGTGAGCCGAAATGATGCCACTGCACTCCAGCCTGGGCAACAGAGTGAGATCCTGTCTCAAAAATAAAATAAATATAAAATAAACCTTCTATAAAATAAATAACTGATGATTACTCCTCAAGACAGTCACGGTCATCAAAAACAAATTCCTCTGCCACAGTTCAGAGGAGCCTAGGAGACATGATGCCTACTTGTAATGTGGTATCTTAGATGGATTCCTGGGACAGTAAAAGGACTTAGCTGAAAACTAAGGAACTTTGAATAAAGAATGGACATTAGTTAACAATAGTGTGTCAGTACTGGTTCATTAGTTGTGGTAGATGTTCCATATCAATGTAAGATATTAACGGTAAGAGAAACTAGATGCAGGGGATACAGGAATTCTCTGTACAGTATTTGCAAATTTTCTGTAAATCTAAAATATTTTAAATAAAAAGCGTGTTTAAAAATACATATCACTTGATTGGCATAAAAGCTAAACAATAGTGATGATTTGTTTTTCTGAATACAAAATTCAAAATGTCTTACTATATTAAGGTAAATGAGAGAGTGAAGTGCTCATTTCTTTAAAACAAACATTTGACAAACATTTATACTTGGAGCTTCTACCCTGTCACGTCATTCTTTTCTATCTTATCACTTGCATCTACAATATTTTGTTGCTTCTATAAGCTTTCAGATATCATCCTTAAGATGGCGGAGATTGACTGTTTGTCACTTGACAGTTCTGTAGAGGGAAGAAAGAGGAAGAGATATTTTAAATTCTCACATTTTCCTTAGAATGACAAATGCTCCATGACAGAACTATGCTGGAGGGAATATACATGAGAAGAACTGTTTCCACACTGCACAGTTTTCTACCATGTTGATTCCAGTCAGGATAAGAGTGATAATTTCTGCTTCAGAACAGTCATGTTGACAACTAGAATAGGATGTGTTCATGCTTGGCTTTTATTTAGGAAAAAAAGGATATTATATTACACACCCTTGCTGGAGCTATGTATTTCCTGGAAATTAATATATATGATTAAATTTTCCAAAAAAACCTCTTTATTTTTCATTTGTCCTGTGACTTAGATTGCACTATTGTTATTTTCTATATTATCATCCAATGTGAAATGGCCAAACATATTGTGGTAATTAAAGATATTGTTATATGTGAAGATTATTGTCATTTTATAATTTGACAGGCCCATTCCTATCTTAAATCCTTTAAGAAACTTTCTAAGATACATTTGTTTCAGCAGCATGGTAATTTACATAAGCTAGTGTGAACAAAGAACATTAAGGTTTTTTTTTAAATAGGAGCCTCATCCAAATGTCCAGATATTTGCAGAAGAGTTGAATGCTTCAGATTAAGGCTTAGAGGAATTTCCAGCTACTTTGAAAAAGATGTTTCAACTCAAATTTATGTATCTGTGAGAATTTATCTACAATTATACATCTCAGTGAAAATTCATTGGAATCATTTGTAATCTTTAAATGATTTAGAGGTAGCCTTTAAAATAACTAGTTTTAGTGATATTTGTGGTAGAAACTACATTGTGAAACATTTAAATATCTTTTCAGTGATCTTACATTTATATTGACATTTACCTAAGTATGTTTCATAACAGATGGTATAATCACTTTCAAAAAGGAGAAATTGAGATGATTACTAGTTTATAAAAGTAATATGAATATTTTGTACTGTATTCAGCTTTTCCTTTGTACCTCAAGGCCTTAGCATCTGATATTCCTTCTGATTGGGGCATTCAAACAATTTTGGCTCTTTTATTACTCCCATCCTGTTTAACTGCTTTTTCTGGCTAGCTCTGGTTTATACCACAGGTCTCAGATGATATGTCAGTGTCTCAGATGATATGTCAGTATCTCAGACTTGACCTTCCCTTCTGAATTAGGTCTCTGTTTCTTTCATAGCATCCTGTACTTTTCCTTCATCTCCCCAGTCATGATTATGATTATATACTCATTTGTTTCATATTTGTGTAATAACTATTACCTTTACTAAACTGTAATATCCATTGCATAGTATCTTGGCACATAATAGATTATCAAAAGGGAATTGTAAGAATCAATGAACAAATATTATTATAATATCCAGATTACTAGCATGATTGTCACAATTTATATCTAACCTTTACAGGATTTTAGCATATTTCATGAAAATAAGTAGATGTACAGAAAATCAAGTTACTCTTTGTTCTATAATAGAAACAGAGAAGATAAGCCACAGTGCTTTTAAAACAGAGTATTTGAGCAAGAGACTTTGTTGGTGTTACTTTTTCTCTTTTCTCAATTTGATTTATCTTCTAGGAAAGGATCATACAGATTCTTCAGTTCAGAAGAACTCCAGCAACACTTACATGGTGACAACACCCTCTCCCATTCTCTGTTGTTACTCCAAATTTTAATTACTGGTCTCAAAACTCCTGTCTTAATCTTAGCAGACAACCTTGGCACTTACCACTGAATGAAAATGAAGGCTATTATGTGAGAAATACTTCATCTTTCTCCCTTTTACCTCCTACCACCCTACAAAAAATCCTGCATCCATTCCCTGTCTTTATTCTTTGCCTCTGCTCTTGGGGGAAGAAATTCTTTCTATCTCTGAATTTAATTTCATTCCTTTCTGTTTTCTCTGTGATATTGCCACATTAGTTATTTCTTCTCTTACCTAGGTTTTTAAAACATGTTTTCTTTGTACTTTATCCTTCTAGATGCCCTATGAATATGCTCAAGTTTCTTTCATGTAAAAAAAAACACAAAAGAATTTTAACTCTGCATCTTTCATGGTTGCCTTCTTATCTCTTTACTTTCCGTATTGACTGTGACTATGTACTCTAGGTCTCTACATTCTCACCTTCAATTCAGTCTTTTAACCCACTGTCACCTGGCTTGTGCCTTCACCACTTAGCTGAGATTGCATTAGCAAAGGTTACTAATGACTTCTTGATAGCTAAGTATAATGGACATTTTCAGATCTGAACTTGACTGATCTTCTGCATTTAATACTGTTGTCTGTAACAAATCTTTTCTATTTTTATGAATTTTTCAAAGGTAAGGATAATACTTGTTTTTTGTAGAAAATTTAAACATTACAGAGTCATAAGGATTCTTATGCTCACCTTGAAACTTTATTCACCCTGTGTTTCTTGACTCTTTCTTTTCTGATACTGGTCCAGCTCTTACTACTCTGGCTAATTTCTTAATGCATACTTTGTAGGTTTTTCATTCACTGCCAACCCCTTGCATGTTGGTGTTCAGTTGGATCCAGTCTCAAACTTTTTTCCACTTGAAATTTCCCTGCAAAATAATTTAGTTTTCTCTCATGACCCTAGCTATCACTCAGCGACTGCCAGTTCAGTATTTCTAACTCAGATCACTTTCCAAAGTGCCAAATCCCATACATCCTCTTTCTTACATGGATAATTGTCCATAAATCTCATAGGCACTTCAAACTTCAGGAGTCCAAAATGGAAACTAGAACCTTTTCTCGAAGTCTGTGCCATTTTCTCTATTACCTAGTCATTGTCATTGCCTTTGGTCTAATGTGTCGAGCCAGAGCCTTACCCCAGATTTCTTTCTCTTTTTCATCCTTTGTATCCAATTTGTCACTAATTTCAATAGAATCTTCTCAACATGTCTCATATATTTCTCATTCTTTTCATTCACAGTGTTGCTGTTTGAGTTCAGACTCTTTCATTTCTTGTCTACATGAATTTTTAAGTGGTCCCATTGCCTTCTGTCTTAACCTGACTTCAATCCGTCTGTCACTGGGCAAATAATTGTCCTTAAACACTCAAATATGACCATATCATTTTTCTGCTTAAAATAGTGTCTCCCCGTTAGCTTCACTGTAAATCCCACAGGAGAGATTCCAACCACCTTAGCATACCACCCAAAGCCTTTGTTAACTGGCCTTCGCCTATCTTTCTAGCTGATGTCAGGACTAGGTCTCAAGGGACTGAAATTAGAATGGATTATTCTATTGTAAGTGTCAAGTAACAGAAAGAAGCTGCAAGTTGAATATGAACTGAAGTATTTAAGAGTTTTGAATGGTCAAATCAGAGACACAATGATATTTGAGACGTGGTTAGGGTAAGAGTAAGAATGAAAATTACAGAAAGACCTAAAAGGGCTGCCTATAAATAAAGAGGAAGGAGAATAAGATCAAGAACACAGAAAATAAGATGTTGGAAACTATCACCAAGAGTCACTGAAATGTCTATAGCATTGAGCTTATGATGGGTAGGTATGTTAGGTTGACTTAAAGGATCAGATTTAAGATGGAGATTGATAGAAAAATCTATTATATGTCTGATCGTCTTTCTCTTCTATATAAAAGACTTTATTGGCTCTTGTATCAACTATAGGACAAAATTCAAGATTTTCAAATGACCTAAGAGGGCCTCCATATTTAGGCTTCTTTTTATCTCTGCAAACTTACCTCCTTCCCCCTGCCCTCTTGATCTTTAGGTTCCATCAACTCTAAATACCTGCTGCTCTTTTCTCATGTTTCCTCTGCCAAGATTGTCCTTAATTTCCTCATTTTCTGGGTAAATGCCTGTTCATTCCTTAAGACCCTATACAGACATCACCATCTCCAGGACACTCCCTCTGAATCCTCCTTTCTCTCAGAGTTACCCATCCATCCATCCATGCATTTATTTATTTGTTTATTATTGAGAAAATATTTATTGAGTGCTTAATATGGATCAGATTCTATGTCAGGTAATGGGAACACCGTGGTGAATAAGATAGGCCACACATGACCTTTACCCTTCTTGGTCTTACATTTAGCAGTGGATACACATGTATAACGCAATAATCACAAATAAAATAATTACCAATTTCATAAATGCTACAAATAAAATAAACGATGAACTATCATACAGAAAAATGAGGATGAGGGGTAGACAGAGAGGCAAACCACTTTAGTATAAGGTTGAGCCATAAAAAGTTGTTGATCTTTAAACTGTTTGTGTCCCATAAAATAGTTTTACATAGTTTAACCTAATGGTTGACTTTCTGAGGAATTGACATTTAAGCTGAAACCTGAAGGATGAGGTGGAATTGGCCATGCTGGCTAAGCCTATAATTCGGCATGTTCCAGGAACCAAATGAAAAGAATTGAGAAAAAAGGTGAGTGAAACAAAACAAAAGTAAGAGACAGAAGTAGGGCAGATCATATAGGACCTTATAGGAGATTGGATTTGTTTTTCATTAAAATATAAAACCACTGGAGTTTTTTAAGATCCCTCTGTTTACAGTGTGGGACTAGAATAAAAGGGAGTAAGGTTGGAAAAATGCTACCTATTAAGAGGTTGATGTAAGGAGACAATTTGGTGTTGCCTTATTTGTGCAGCTTGGAATCAGGCTGCCTTTGTTTAAATCCTGGATATGCCATTTATTAGCCATGTTACTTCATGTTCAAATTTTGAGTTTTACTCTAATTCTCTAAGCCTCAGTTTATCTATCTGTGAAATAGAGACAATGATAGGATCAACTTCATAGGTCTGGCCTTGAGATTGAATGAGATAATCCATTGCAAACACTAAGCAGTCCTTGACAGAGAATAAACACTTACTAGGTACTAGAGATTAATAGCCCAAGCGAGAGATGATAGTGGCCTGGGCTAAGTTGATGACAGTATATTTGGAGACAAGTGAATGGATATGAGGCCTATTGTGGAGGTTTAAATATCAGGATTTAGTAATGTATTGGATTTGACCGTTGAGGGAGAAGGATTTCTCAGTTATGACTCCTGGGCTTCTGTCAAAAGGAATGGAGAGGGTTGTGTTGCACTTTCTTGAGTTGGCGAAGGTCTGTCTGGTACAGATTTTAGTTTTATAAATTTCTCTCTATATACTATATAAAGCAGGAATGAAAGAAAGGAAAAAGTTAAGTATCATACAATGTAAGAGAAAATGGCTATTAAATATTTTAGGTATCTGTCAGAATCTTACATGAGGTATATAAAACACTTTTAGTTTATATTATGTTTATACCACAGTGTCTATAATATGTAAAATTTTAAAATGTGTATATTGTTTGTTCCCATGGTATAAGATTTTGGAAATTTCTACTGTACTGTGTGATAGGCAGTGTTAACAATTAAGCTTATATGTTTGTTTGTCTTTATATTAAAGGTGATTTGTAATCATTCCATCTGCTTCTCTTACAGAATGGAGCTTGCTTGATATTTCACTAGATAAAGAATTTAAGGCGAGTATCTATCTTTGTTCTCCTTGGCAACTGAGAGTCTGCCCTTGGAAACATCAGGCACCATGGGGAAGCGGGATAATCGGGTAGCCTATATGAATCCTATAGCAATGGCCAGATGGAGAGGCCCAACTCAATCTGTGGGCCCAACAATCCAAGATTATCTAAATCGACCAAGACCCACCTGGGAAGAAGTAAAGAAACAATTAGAAAATAAAAAAACAGGTTCAAAAGCATTAGCTGAATTTGAAGAAAAAATGAATGAAAATTGGAAGAAAGAACTTGAAAAAAGCAGAGAGAAATTATTAAGTGGAAATGAGAGCTCATCTAAAAAAAGAGAAAGAAAGAAAAAGAGAAAGAAGAAATCTTGTCGGTCTTCATCTTCTTCATCAAGCTCTGATTCTTCAAGCAGTTCTTCAGATTCTGAGGATGAGGAAAAGAAACAAGGAAAAAGGAGAAAGAAAAAGAAGAACCGTTCATACAAATCATCCCAAAGCTCTACGCATGAATCAGAATCAGAGAGCAAGGAGTCTGTAAAAAAGAAAAAGAAGTCAAAGGATGAAACAGAGAAAGAAAAGGATGTAAGAAGCCTCAGCAAAAAAAGAAAGAAAAGTTACCCTGATGATAAACCTTTATCATCTGAGTCCTCATCTGAATCAGATTATGAAGAGGATGTGCAAGCAAAAAAGAAGAGAAGGTGTGAAGAGCGAGAACAAGCAAAGGAAAAAGTAAAGAAGAAGAAGAAGAAACAGCACAAGAAACATAGTAAGAAGAAGAAAAAGAAGTCTGGATCAAGTCACAAGTCAAGGTAACATCAAGAAAAAAAGCAAGAATGAGTTTGCCGAGTTCCCCTGTGTTAGTAGAATTATTTCTGGACTTTGAGTTGCCTATCAAATCCCACTGTGCCAGTAAGGGGCATAGTGGCTGCTGGCAACTTCAATATACATTTTTGTTTGTTTGCTTGTCCTTCCTTCTAATGGTTAATTCCTCTGAGAGCTAAAATTCTGTTGTCATACCAGTGAATAAAATGTTTGAAATTAAAGTAAAATGTGTTAGATAATGAATAACTTTGACAAAAAAAAGTGTATCTAAGGTTAAATGTATCTAATTCGAATACATCTTTGAAATATCACCATCAATGAAACATAAATGTAATTTCCAGACAATTGTAGTTGGTATTTTTGATGCAAGGACTTAATATTGATGTCTCAAATTCCTTGCTTTTGTAAATAAGTTTAGTTCATTTTCCTTTTTTCTTTAATGAATCTTTGTTTACATGGGGAAAGAGCATGTGGGGTGGGAAGGGCAAGTGTTTGCTAATCACTGTGGCTAGCTGAATAGTGTGCCTTTGACTCTTACACATCCTATTTTTGCCAGAGCAGCAGCCGTCCTTTTCTTACTTTATGAAATTCTGGGGTGTTGTATGCTGCTTCAAGTGAACAAGAAGGACAGGAGTTTACAGCATAAGTAAGCCCCCATATCTATGAAATTTACCTCTTCTTCAGCACTGTTTACTATACAGTACTGAATAATATTTAGTATTACAATATTACATGATTTGAAATAACTTTATACCCATTTTGTATGGGAACCATTCTAAACAGACCCTGATGTTGTTTGATTAAGAAATATTCTGAAATTTTTTTTGCATGTTTTATACTGTTAAGTTTTAATTATCTGACCATATTCTATATAACTGATGATCCTTTTTTAAGATATGATTTATGCTTAGGATATAAGTTTCAAGTTTTTAGTTTCTTAGCCTTGCTATATTAATTTCATTACTGTGTTTAATTGCACCCTTGCCAAAATATTTAGCATGTGAAAAGGTTTTTTTTAAAAAATATGTAATGCCTTCATATTGAAGCTGGTTACTGTACGCAAGTTGAGTGCCAGACCTCTAGTACGCCGTATGTTACATGAAACTACTGCCAAAATCTTAGTAAGATTGTTGTTGAAAAGATTGTTGTCTTAAGCATTAATATTGAATTTATATAGAAGTTAAATGTAGATGATAATGACATCATTGATCTTCCTGTGTCCGTATTTTCCTACAATTTGGTGCCTTGTATCTGTTGCTGATTCACTTTTACCACTAGTGTAAAAATAAGTGAAAAAATATTTTTACTTTACATTTTTATATATCAGAGTAACATAAATTATAAATTTGTGTCTCAAAACCACCTGTGATGGAGGATGTGCTAATTGTAATGTCATAGGTACAAAGTATTTTGGCATGATGAAAAGCTCAATAGCTATTGTTTTTCAATAGCAGATTTTATCTCGGCTACCTTCAATCACAAGTAAAATTATAAAGATAAAAAACATCTACATAAACATGTTGGCTGCCAAATTTTTTGCATTGGAAATACTGGAATCTCTCATTAAAGTTCTTGGAACATTATAGTGATGCCATGTTAGATTACCTTGGAGCTTCATAACTTTAGCTTTTTCCTAAAAATATATGTTTATGCTGATAAAAACTATTACATTTATGGGATATTTTGTATCCATATAGAGTTTTTCAGAATTGTTCATTAAAATGCTTTTTATAAGCTTATATTATTTGTAGAATATGGCAAAAGCATTTACAGCTCATCATGTATCTATCTGCTCCTGTTCACTTCCAAACCTCTTGTAGTTAGGCAATGCCATTTGACTACTTCAAGCAGAGGGATTGTAAACAGAAGTGATTTTCTATTTCCATGTTGGACTGTAAAAAGTTCTGCATGACCCTCCAGTTTTCTTTTGCCTGTCATGGTGACCTGAAAGCAAGATGTTCCAAATGGCATACTTACAAGACGGATGCAACCTGGGTCCTTAGGTCGCTGTTTAGAAGGGACCTGACTGGAGTGCTGATGGACTTGCAGTAAACTTTTTAAGTGTAAGAAATAAACTGTTATGTGTTAAACCACTGTGATTTGGGGTCTTTTTATTACTGCGGAATCACCTAACCTAATCTGACCAATAACATAGAACTCTAGAACATCTATTTCATTATTTACATAAAATAACTCACCTTCTTCTATCACATTCTTCTGTAGTCTACAGATTGACTCAGAAGTGATCATTATGCCATAGCAGAAGGAAATACTCATTGTATTTGCACTGGTTTTTATGTAATGATTGAGGGAGAGAGTGGTCTACCCTATTTCATGCTTATCAGAAATGCTGCCTAGGAAATAAAA